>NC_000019.10:27865874-28490874 GCF_000001405.40 Homo sapiens
GTTTGTTATAATTTCTATTATTTTACTTTTGCTGCGGAGTGTTTTACTTCCAACTATGTGGTCAATTTTGGAATAGGTGTTTACCTCAAGCATTCTAAGGGAAAAGTCTGGCCAACATCACATGTTCTAAGGGGAGAGACATCTGGCAGACTTCAGGAACTCTAATAGGAGAGACACATGGGTGACCTCAGGCATTCTAATGGGAAAGACACCTGGTCCACCTCAGGCATTCTAAGGGGTAGGACTCCAGGCCAACCTCAGGCATTCTGAGTGGAGAGACACCTGGCTGACCTCAGGCATTCTAACAGAAGAGACAGCTGGCCAACCTCATTCGTTCTAATGGGAGATATACCTAGACAACCACAGGCATTCTAAAGGGAGAGACACCTGGCTGGCCTTATTTATTCATTGTAATGGGAGAGAAACCTCGCTGACCTCATTCATTGTAATGGGAGACACAATTGACTAACTGCAGGCATATTTAACAGGAGAGACATCTGGCCGACCTCAGGCATCCTAAGGGGAGAGGCACCTGACCTACCTCAATCATCCTAACAGAATTGACACCTGTCTGGCCTCAGGCATTCTAATAGGAGAGAAACCTGGCCGACCTCAGGAATTCTAAGGGGAAAGACACATGGCCAACCTCAGGCATTCTAACAGGTGAGACACCTGGCCCACCAAAGGCATTGTAATTATAGAGACACTTGGCTGACCTCAGGCTTTCCAAGGGGAGGGACACCTGTATGGCCGGATGGCCTCATTCATTCTAATGGGGTGACAACTGGCCTACTTTAGGCATTCTAAGGAGAGTCTCTGGGCTGACCTCAGGCATTCTATGGAGAGAAACACCTGGCCATCCTCAGGCGCTCTAACTGAAGAGACTCCTGGCCAACTTCAGGCATTCTAAGGGGAGAGACACCTGGTTGACCTCAGTCATTCTGACAATTTGTTGTCAATATTTGTAAAAATTACTTCCCACATAGAATTTTAGAGTGCTGGCTTTTCTTCAAAAAACAGAGAAGATCTGGGATACTCTATGCCAGTGTGAAGTAACAAGAATAAATGAATAAATTTAAAAATTAGAAAAAATCATTTGGCTGCAGCTAAGTAACATCCTTTTATTTTAGTCTGGCCATGCATTTTCCAATTCTCTAGGACTCCCTTACTCAGTAGTGCTTTATGGCCAACTTTTTAAAAATAAATTTACCTGCTAGTATCCTGTATGCATAGGATTTATGACACTGTAATGAAATAACCAACAGTGCATCCATACAACAGTGCACCAGTTATTCATTAAACTAGGTAAAACATGTTATTATAAACATAATCTATTTATTTGCATGTCTCCGTGTTGTTTTGTTTTGAGATAGAGTCTCGCTCTGTCGCCCAGGCTGGAGTGCAATGACACAATCTCAGCTCACTGCAACCTCCGCCTCCCAGGTTCAAGTGATTCTCCTGCCTCAGCCTCCAGAGTAGCTGGGATTACAGCCATGTGCAAACATGACAGGCTAATTTTTTGTATTTCAGTAGAGACCCAGTTTCACCGTGTTAGCCAGAATGGTCTTGATCTCCTGACCTCATGATCCACCTGCCTCAGCCTCCCAAAGTGCTGAGATTACAGGCGTGAGCCACCACACCTGGCCATGTGTTTTTGAGAAAAGGTCTTGCTCTGTCACCCAGGCTGGAGTGCAGTGGCACAAACATGGCTCACTGCATTTTCAACCTCCCTGGCTCAAGCAATCCTTCCACCTCAGCCTCCTGAGTAGCTGAGAATAAAGGCATGAGATATCATGCCTGGATTATGTTATTTATTTATTTATTTTGTAGACATGGGGTCTCACTATGTTCCATAGGTTGATCTTAAACTCCTGGGCTCAGGCAATCCTCCTGCCTTGACCTCTCAAAGTGCTGAGATTATAGGCATGACCCACCATCCCAGGCCTGTGTTATTGTTGTTATTTTATGTTGCATAAAAAATCACAAAGTGAGTGGTTTGAAAAATTAGAAGTCTATTATCTCACAGGAGGCCAGGAGGCCAGGCACAGATTAACTGAGCCATCTGCTGTTACATTTGGGATGATGGAGAATAAAAGCCATCTTTTTAAAAAAATCTTATCTGCAAGGGAAACATCCCTAATCACTAGAATGTCATATTATTAACACAAGATTTGTTTCTATTTTAATTAGAAAACTATAGAGTATGCTTAGACCAGTAGCAAATGGCTCTTCCTTGCTGTGGTTTGGGGGACATTGGCAGGTGGTGAGTATTATTCTATTCAGGCCTCTTGCCTAACTTGGTTTTAGAAGGCATGAGGTTCTTTATGGTTCTATGTCTGTGGGTAAGGCTGCAGCTGCTGATTATGCTAATTCTTGCTTCCTTGCAAATAGCCAACTCCTTATTTTGTGCATTGCCAGCTATCAACAGAGACATTTTAGGAATAATTTTCATGTTAAAGGCAGGCTTTGTTGTAGTGTCCTACTGTGAACTGTCCCAGCATTAGACCCATCAGAGGTTTGTGAAGAGAGCTCTGATGTTAGAACAGTGAGCACAGTACTCTGCCAATTTGCCCATTACCTCTTCTGTCTCCCCTAGCAGGAACTACTGTCTGGCTTTCTCAAGAGGAACATGAATTGCTGCTCTAATGGACTGTTCATGGATTTGAGATCTTATTTTAGTTAGGGAGGTTGAGACTTTCATGGCTTCATAATTGATGCTTGAGAAAACATTCTTTCTAATTGGAAATTCTAACAATCTCCATAAAGCCTGTTTTGCTGTCCCTAAGGCTTTGAATGCATTCTTGTTTGGTAATCAGAATGAAAACAAACTTTTCAAAGCAAATAATTGTGTTTTTTTGTTGTTGTTTGTTTGTTTTTTGAGACGGAGTTTTGCTCTTCTTGCCCAGGCTGGAGTCCAATGGTGCGATATATGCTCACTGCAACCTCTGCCTCCTGGGTTCAAGTGATTCTCCTACCTCAGCCCCCTGAGTAGCTGGGATTACAGGTATGCACCACTATACCCAGCTAATTTTGTGTTTTTTAGTAGAGACGGGGTTTCTCCATGTTGGTTAGGCTGGTCTTGAACTCCTGACCTCAGGTGACCTGCCCACCTTGGCCTCCCAAAGTGCTGGGATTACAGGCATGAGCCACTGTGCCCAGCCAATAATGGTGTTCTTGACCTTTATTTTGGGTTATATTCTATTTATATGTTATAATCTAAATTTAATTTTATTTGATTTTGTGGAAGAAGTAGAGAAAATTAGTTTGCTTTTTAATTGATATTACTTTAAATGAAAAAGGAAACAAGTTAGTAAATCTAAGAGCATTTAATTTTCACTTTTTTTTCTTACCATTGTCTCTGCTTAGCCATCTTTTTAGTTATTAGATGAATTAGGATACTTTTTGCATGAGAAATACTTTGACACTCATGTATATCAATGAAAGTGTGCCTCTGCTTTTGATTTTGGTTTACTACTTAAATTACTCTTGAATTATGCTGACAAGATCCATCTCAAGTTTCTCAAAGCATAATGTGAGGAGAGAAAAAATTCTACATGCTTGGGGTTTCCTTGAAGGAAACCACAAAATCCCTGATGCCTCAATGAACATGCAGACCTCCCAGGCTGCCTAAGCATAGAATGTTAATTCTGAACACCTAATTTCTTCCAGATCTTTCCCTCCCCGCTTACGTGGGGCAGATATCAACATATAGTAATTTATTTAAAGAAGTATCTGCTCACTGCTATCTTTGGGTCAATGCTTGTGCTAAGCTCTGAGATTACAGGGATAGGTTAACTAGATTCCTCCTTAAATGAATTAAGACTTAGAGCAAAAAAATACAAATAAGTAATAATTGCCCTTAACTTTCTTTTGGGTGTGGTGAAAGGCAGCTGGGAAAGATCTTTAGTATCAGTGAGGGCATAGGTAAGCCTTCATTGCACACAGCATGTTGAGCAAGGGTCCCAAATGGGAATAAATGGGTGAAGAAAATTTCAGGAAAGAAAACAGATCATAGTTTAGAGAACCTGAATATTAGACTAACCTGGATTCAAATCCTGCCAGCACTGCACATTAGCTGTGTAACCAAACAAAGATCTTTACCATTCAACATTTGCTGGATACAAGGTTAATATACAAAATGTAATCACTTTCCTATATATCAGCAATAGATACCTGAAATTTGAAATTAAAACACCATAACATTTATATTAGCATCCCCCAAAATAAAATACTTGGCTAAAAATCTAACAAAGTATGTACAAGATTTATATAAGGAGAGCCATAAAACTATGATTTAAAAAATCAAATAATTGAAGAAATTGATAGATACTACATGTTTATGGATAGAAAGATTCAATATTGTCAAGACATTGGTTATTTCTAATTTGACATATAGACTTAACACAATTAAAATAAAAATCCCAACAAATTATTTCATGGAAATCAACAAACTGATGCTAAAGTTTACATGAAAAGGCAAAAGACCCAGGATAACCAACATTAGAAAAAATGAAAAGCCAGAGGACTGACACTACCCATGTTCAAGACTTACTATAAAACTACAGTAACCAAAAGAGTATGGTATTCATAAAAGAAGATAAAAAGAGATTAATGCAACAGGTTATAGAGCACAGGTATAGACCCACATAAATATAATCAAGGAGCAAAGGTAATACAATGAGGAAAAGATGGTCTTTTCAGTAAATAGCACTCAAACAACAGGATATACATATGAAAAGAATCTACAAACAGGCTTTACACTGCTTAAAATTAACTCAAAATGGATCATAAGACTAAATGTAAAATGCAAAACTGTAAAACTTCTGGGAAATAGCATAGGAAAAGAGATCTACACTACCTTGGGCATGGTGATGGCTTGTTAGATACAACACCATAGGCATGACCCATGAAAGAAACAATTGATAAGCTGGCCTTCATTATAATTTAAATCTTCTGTTCTGCCAAAGGTACTGTCAGTAGAAGGATAACACAAGCTATAGACTGGGAGAAACTATTTGCAAAAGATATATCTGATACAGTACTTCTATCTAATATATTTAAAAAATTAAAACTCAACAATAGGTAAAAAAGCTTAATTAAAAAACACAGGCAAAAGACCTGAACAGATACTTTATCAAAAATATATGTAGATGCCAAATAAGTACAAGAAAAGATGCCCCATATAATATGATATTAGAAGATTTCAAAATAAAATATCAATAAGATATGATTATACACAAATTACAATGGTCCAGATTCAGAACACTGACAACACCAAATGCTGGTAAGCACGTGGAGCAACAAGAACTCTCTTTCATTGCTGGTGACACAAAATGGTGCAACCACTTTTGAAGACAGTTTGACAGTTTCTTACAAAACCACACATAGTCTTATAAAATTCAGCAGTTGTGCCCCTTAGTACTTACCCAAATGTGTTAAAAACCTTATGCCCACCCAAAAACCTATGCACAGATATTTATAGAAGCATAATTACCAAAACTTGAATGATGAATGAACATTATATCTAGACAATTAAATCTTATTCAGTTATTTAAAAAAAGAACTATCAAGACATGAAAAAACATGGAAGAAACAAATACCTGTTGCTAAATGAAAGAAGCCAATCTGAAAATGCTACATACTGTATGATTTCAACTATATGATATTCTGGAGAAGACAAAACTATAGAAACAGTGAAACAATCAGTGATTTCCAGGGGTTGAGAGGAGGGAGGGATGAATAGGTGAAGCACAAACAATTTTTAAGACAGTACAAATATTGTAATGTGTACTATACATATACTGTATTATAGTATCATACTGCATTATATTCTGTATAATAATATAATAGTGGATACATGTCGTTATACATTTGTCATTAGAATGTACAACATGAAGAGTAAATTCTAATGCAAATTATGGACTTTGGGTAATAGTAAAATGTAAATATTGATTCATTAATTGTAACAAGACTGCCATGCTGGAGGGAAAAGCTGTGCATCTGTGAGGGAAGGGAGGATGTGGGACATATCTGTACTTTCCGTTCAATTTTGCTGTAAACTTAAATGGTCCTAAAAAATAAAATCTATTTGAAAGGGGGAAAAAGACATTTGAAATTTTAAACACATAATGAAAATGCCCAAATTGTGGTGATAAAATTTTCTGTATCTTGATTTTATTAATTTTAATATTCTGGTTGTAATATTGTACTAGAATTTTAAATTACTTTGTCCCAGATTTTTTAAAATAACTTCCCTGACCACATTATTGTTGGCCACCTCCTCCATAGTATCTTTAATCTCTTTATAGCACTTATTACCATAAAAAAAGCATTCTACACTGACTTAATTATATGCCTATTGTCTTCTTCCCCTTCATAATGTAGGCTCCACCTGAACACAAAAACAGTATTTGCACCTAGTAGCTGCTTGATACCTATGTAGTCACTAAACATTTGAGTGAGCAGATTTAGTTACAGTTATGATGATAATGGTAATAAGAGGCTGAGGCAGGAGGTTCACTGGAGCCCAGGAGTTCAAGGTTGCCATGAGCTGTGATCACGCTACTGCACTTCAGCCTGGGGTACAGAGCAAAACCCTGTCTCAAAAACAAAAATGGTGATAATGATGATTATGGTGCTGCTAATGATAACGGTGGTGAGGATGGTGGTGGTGATGACGATGTTGATGGTGATGATGTGGACTATGATGATGATAGTGATGATGGTGATGATGATGATTATAATGTTGATGATGATAGTCATGGTGATAACGATTTACAGTAAGTTTAGCTGTGGTGGGTCACATTGCTGTCCATTCTCAAAGATCAGTCATAGAGCTGGTGCTTTGCCTTCTATATATCTACTGCTCCTCTATGCAATGAGGACCCCAACTTCTGTTGGAGCTGTGGCTTAGACTTATCCTGAGCTGTGGAAGTTGAATTATCCATTGGAAACATTTCCTTGCCCCCTTGATTGGCAAGGGGTGGTCTGTGGTCTTTACAGAGCATCTCTAGTCTAGGATGGACTCTGCTTCTCTTCATAATCTTTTAATTTAACCCACATAAAACTTTAAGGCAGGCTGGGTGCACTGGCTCATGCCTGTAATCCCAGCACTTTGGGAGGCCAAGGAGGGTGGATCACATGAGGTCAGGAATTCAAGACCAGCCTGGTCAACCTGGTGAAATCCTGTCTCTACTAAAAATACAAAAATTTAGCCAGGCATAGTGGTGCGCACCTGTAATCCCAGCTACTTGGGAGGCTGAGGCAGGAGAATCACTTGAACCTGGGAGGCAGAGTTTGCAGTGAGCCAAGATTGCACCATTGCACTCCAGCCTGGGTAATAAAGCGAGACTTTGCCTCAAAAAACAAACAAACAAACAGAAAACCTCTAAAGCAAAGACCCACGTATAATCCTCATTTGAAGTATTGAACTGAGACTTAGAGACGTCAAGGAATATGCTCATTTGCCAAGATAGAAATTGGCAATAGGTGGGAAAAATATCTCACTCCAAAGTTTAGATTAACTTTTTGACACTATGTTATATGACTATAGAACCATCCCCTTTATAAATAAGATCCATGATTTGTCTTTCTTTCATAAGCTTGTGAGGAAGTTCTCTGCATCATCCTAAGCTTGGGAACACCTATTATTCCTTGGTGTTTTTTTTTTTTTTTTTTTTTTAACCTATATGCTGTGCCTTTTCAAGTCCAAACTCAGTGTAGATCATGGTTCATAGATTTCAGAGTGGACAAATACATCTGGATCTGGCATTAGTCTCTTTCATAATCTACTAATTATTTACAAAAGATTGGTGGTGACCAGTATTTTATTAAGTATTTTTGGAAAAGTCTCAGTTCATAAATATTCTAAGCTAAAAATATATTTAGAAAGCCAAATCTGAACTGAATTTTTGATGCACGTAACTCTTCTTTTCAAAACTTACTCAGCCACTCTGAAAATTTTCCCTCCCATAAAGGACATGTTGTTAGCTTCTCAGAGCACCTTGCTTTTTGTATTCAGGAAAGTCTTTTTATTTTCAATTTGTTATTTATGTCCTTCACAATTTTTCTAATTTTCTGTTTTCAGTAGATAAGAAACATACTGGTATTTGGATTTTCTATAAGAGGAGAATCAATAAATGAATAAAAGAAGGAAGATGGTATCCTATGAGGATGATAATTAGGAGGGACTGTATGAAAGAAAATAAATTGCTATCACCTGAAAAAACATACCATATTTCTAGTCTTGGTTCAGGCAAATTTAATGATGGGAACTTAAATAAGTCTCCTGCTTCCCAAGGCTGCTTCTTAACCATACAAGTATAAATTCCATGTTCCTCAGTGATGCATCCCTGCTTGTGACATGTCCACCTGTTCAAACCTTATCATTAACCACTTCACCTTTCATTTCCTCCTTCTGAACATTTTGACATCAGGTTACTGAACTGCAAGGATCAGACAGGGATACTGAGGAAACCATTGCCATGGTTTCTAGCAATCCAGACTCACTCATGAACTTCTTGGGAGAATGAGCCCTACTGTGGATTCCCAGTCCAGAATCAACAGGAAATAAATTGAGTCACATTATCTCTGACTTCCCAGTAAACTGCAGAATGTCAAAAACCTAGTAGCCTTCATTCAATATGTGAACTAAATTGAAAGATATAAACAGGTTGTTTCTAAAATCATTTTTGTTCCAATATTTTGTTTAATTTACTGCATGAAAGACCAAAGACTAGTATACTAGTCTGTTCTGGCATTGTTATAAGAAAATTCCTGAGACTGGGTAATTCATAAAGAAAGGCATTTAACCAGCTCACAATTCTGCAGGCTGTGCAGGAAGCACAGTGCCAGGATCTGCTTCTGGTGAAGGACTCAGGAAGCTTCCAATCATGGCAGAAGGCAAAAGTGGAGCAGGCAGCTCACATGGCAAAAGTGAGAGCAAGAGAGCAAGGGGAGAGATCCCTCATACTCTTAAACAATCAGATCACACATGAACTCAGAGTGAGAACTCATGCATCACTAAGGGGATTGTGCTAAGCCATCCATGAGGGATCTGCCCCCATATGCCAAATACCTACCACCAGGCCACAATTTAAACAGTGGGGATTACATTTCAACATGAGCTTTGAAGGGGACAAACATCCAAACCATATCACTTCGTATTCTTAATTTAATACAGAATATCAGACTTTGGTTCCAGCTCAACTCACTGCAGTCACCATTGGAAAATTTATTTTATGAGTAATTAAATCTTCTTATTCTTTTAATATAATTTATCACCACTAACCTGAGTAGCTCTATTTCCTCTTGGAGCTGTGCATAATACCACTAAGAAGGTGCAAAGACTTTCCAGAGCATGGGAACTTAAAGTTCTACTATGTCCACAGCATCCTCTGGCTCAAGCATAGAAATCCTGTTCCAGGATGCTTCTAACTGAAAATTGTCATGTCTGCATTGGCTGGAGGAAGTTTTTGGAAAAGCACTGGGAAGGGGTAGTCTGGATTTATCAGGATACCTTATGACAGAGACAAATATCAGAAGTTTAATACATTCTTTAATAAATGTAGGTAAGCATGATATGGGTTTGTCAGCTGTTCCATCTCTTACAGCTGCATCTTCTGCAGCATGTGGCCTCTCAAAGATTACTGAGGCAAGATAAAGAGCCTAAGGAGGAGGCCCACAAGCTCTTAACTACTCCAGCCTGGAAGTGACACACATCACTTGCATTTACAGCTCATTGGCCAGAATTAGTCACATTACCCCAACATAACTGCAAGGAAAGCTGGGAAATTTAGGGGAGAACATGAGACATTTGGTCGGTACAAACTGCTCTGCTACACACCCCTAGATATTTTGGGTTTTGTCAAAATACATTGTAAAACTCAGTTGGAACAGTCAACAACAGAAGAGGACCATTCTTAATTCCTCTTATTAGAGATTTCACCAATTTTCTGTCTTTTAGTTTGTTCTGTTTGGCCTTCACATTATCCTATTGTGTCAGTTATTCTGAGCAGAGTAAAGCAAGAAAACACACGAGAAAGAATAGTTTTAGAGAATGTAATGGATCAATGGTATTCCCCCTTCTAATAGCTTATTTTTATGCCTATTACCTGGAGTTGTTCTTCTAATGAGCCTTAAATGACTGCTGCAAATTGACACTCAGAATTGATGCCCTGATTGCTTCCTGAACATCCTACAGGAAAGTTAATCTGCGGGACTTCCTGACCCCACCTTGTCTTCTATTTTATTTCAATAATTAGTATTTAATTAGTGCATCTGGGCTTTTCTCACCTGCCTTTTGGTTCTGCTGCTGTCCAGGACCAGATATAAGGTAAACTGTGACCCAGACTGCTCAAGAGTTGAGTTCATGAAGTGATGAAAACTTTACCCATCTTAATTAGCCCTCACAGAGAAGCCTGACTTCAAATCCTTAGTAACCCCCGGGGGTCTTGCTTCTCTCGATACTCAGCAGCAAAGTGAGGTATGCATACTGCAATGGGTACTTGGAGTGACCAGTGTTTGAATAGTTTTATTTTGCCACACTCTATATGTGGGTGTGGGTTAAATGATACTCAAGAGGCAACAAAAGTTTTTCAGGGGAATTGTGGGTGGCCATCCTGGAACGAGTATCTTCTAGCTTTCTCTGTCCTGTTGTGTCCTACACTGCCACCAGTTCAAACTTTGCTGGGGTTCAGAGAAGAAACAAGCAACTTGGACTTCTCTCCCTGTTCCTGGGAGCACCATCGGGCTCCCAAAATAGCATACAGACCACGGAGGGTACAGGGGGCCTTTTGGACAGCTTAGAGAACACATCCAAGCCTATGGCTCAAAGGCAGGACCTGGTGAAGGGGAAGGGGATCAGCCTAAACAGGATCCAGAGTGTGAAAGGATCAAGAACCTGGCAGGGCAAGGCACCAGAATGTCCTGAGGCACCTGTGTCCTCACACACCAGCTCTACTGGCTTCACAGGCTCCTTCCTAGCCAAACATCTTCCAAATCAAGAGATCAGGGTCACCTTGCTTGGGGGAGTAAAGCAAAAACAAGAGAAGGCAGAAAGAATACTGACCTTGGTATTACAGGAATTATTAAGAAATTATTTTAGGTAGATAGGATAAGGGGTCCTTGGTAAGGTTTTTTTGTTAAAAGCAGCTCCAGAAATGTTTCTTTTCTAGTAGAAAAACAGCTCAAAGGGCCAGGCTGGCAAGCTTTGATATGCAAATGGAAGCCATTAGAAACTAGGTCCATCTAATGGTGATTCCTGCCCTCTTCTCCTTGTCACCACGTGTGCCAAGCATCATGGCCACCCCCAGAGATCTCCACGTATGCAGAATATCATGGTGGCCTGCATTTGCATGTTAAGATGCTGGGGCCAGTTTTTTCATGGGCCATATAAATGACATACCTGGTCAAACCAATCCCCTGGTTCATATGCAAATCAGACACCTCCTCCTCCAGCCTCCCCATATAACCAACTTTTTTTCTGCTTCACTCAGGGTGTCCTCTCTCCGCTCGGGACAGAAGGGACAGAGGTCCCTTCCCTCTGTCTCTGTACAAGGCAGATTCTTCCTTCTTTTTTTGCCTATTAAAGTCTCCACTCCTTAAAACCACTCCACGTGTGTCCGTGTCATTTTATCTAAATTGGCACAAGACAAAGGACCTTCGTGTTCCTCCAGTCATCGGAGCTGTATCATTTTGGTGCTTTGGCCAGGAATCTGAGGTATAACATTCATCAGAGCGGTGAGTATGGGAGCAAGCTAAAAACAATTTTTTTAAGCGTAAATTCTTTAGCATGGGCCATAAAAGCAGGATATAGCGTTCAATCTAGCATGCCCCCTTCATTAAAGGGGCCTTGCCCAATTACATAGTTTTTCTTGAGATCCTTTTTTTTTAAGGGAGGCACACAGGACACACACGTCTAGGACGTCAAAGGGAAATAATAGGTGAGGACTAGGGCTAACTGGGTAAGTGTGACCAGGCCTCAAAAGCCTAGTTCCTCTGGTGCCATGGCTTGAAGGGTTATGCCCACAGTCATGGGCAGCACATTTAACAGGGTGCTGGGACCCAGGAATCAGGAAGGGAAAATAGTTCGGGGAATGCCCCCACTGTTTTCTTCATCCTAGGTCACATATGGAAAGAAAGGAGACTAAAAGAATGCTTTTATTCTCACTTCTCTTTCTAGATGGGTAACAAATCATCTTCAGCATGGACTCTCCTGGAGTGTATATTTTAAAGCACTGGGACTCCTCTGACCCCGAGACTCTGAAGAAAAGCCACCTCATATTCTGTTGCACAAGGCATGGCTTTCTTACCATCTTGGGAACAGACAAACCTGGCCTGCTGGGGGGAAACTTAATTTTAATATTATCTAACAGGTCTTTTCTGCTGACAGAAGGGCAAATGGACTGACATCCCCTATGTGCACTTTCTTTGCCCTGCAAGACAACCCAGACATTTACAAGTTCTGTACAATTGACCCAGTTCTTTTAGCAGCCATGGCAGGAAAGCCCAGGAAATAGTTCCCCAGAGTAAAGGAAGGTTCCAGAAGAGCAATCTAACACAGCTATTGAATGTCCCAACCCTTCCAGTCTCCCTCCAATCGTACCATCAGCTCCTCCAGCTCCACCATCTCCAGTATATCCTACTCTTCCTCCTTCACTTTTACCTCTGTAGGAAATGTCTGATGGGAATGGTGCCATGAGGGTTCAAGTTCCCCTCTCATTACAGAACCTTAAACAAATAAAGGGAGACTCAGGCCAATTTTCTGACAACCCTAATAGGTACATAGAAATTTTCCAAAATTTAACTCAGGTGTTTGACCTCACATGGAGGGATATTATGTTGCTGATAAGTCAGACCCTCACTGCAGCTAAAAAGCAGGCTGTTCTGTAGGCAGCAGGAAAAAAAATAAGAGTTGAGCAACATGCCTCCTATAGCTGACCAAGGAGAAAAAGAAGAAGTAGGGAAGGTGAGAAAGAGGTGGAAACTCCATTCCCATTAGAAACGGAAGCTGTTCCAGTAAATAACCTTAACTGGAACCCCAATAATTCAGGAGATAACTGAAAAAGGACACACTTTTTAAGGTGCATATTAGAGGGACTATGGAAAACCAGGGCCAATTCTCTCAATTACACTAAGCTGTCCACAATAGGCCAAAGACCAAATGAGAATCCCACAGACTTTATGGAAAGGCTGAGAGAAGCACTAATAAAACACACCTCTTTTACTCCTAATTTAGTCAAGGGACAGCTCATCCTGAAGGACAAGTTTATTACACAGGCAGCTCACGATATTAGAAGGAAACTACAGAAGCAAGTTATAGAACCAGATAGCACCCTAAAGAACCTCCTGAGAATAGCCACTTTTTTTTTTACAATAGAGATCAAGAAGAGGCCCAAGAAAAAATAAAGGAAATACAAGAGAAGAACAGAACCTCTAGCAGCAGGGTTGCAAGCTTGCAAGTCCAGGATTCCCAAGTTACCTCCATTAGCTGTTACTGATGTAGCAAGTCAGGGCATTTTAAAAAGGAATGCCCTGGAAGCAAGACCAAGCCACTTCAACCCTGTCTAGCCTGTGGCAGAGACCACTAGAGATGGATATGCCCCCGAAGACAGAGGTCACTGGGTTCAGAACCAGTTTCACAGATGGTCCAGCAGGACTGACAGGTCCTGGGACTCAAACCTCTGGTTCTGGTGACTCAGACTGCCATTACAGCACAGGAGCCCTGGGTAATTCTGGAAATTGAAGGAAGGAAAGTAAATCTCCTTCTAGATACTGAAGCCAGTCTCTCTCTTCTCCTCTCTAATCCAGGCCTCCCCTCTTCCCATAGCATGACCATAGTGGTGTCTCAGGAAAACATCTAATCCAATATTTTTTTCAACCCCTTAGCTGCAGATGGGGGGACCTACTATTTACACATGCCTTTTTAATCATGCCTGAAAGACCCACTCCTTTATTAGGTAGAGATATTCTAGCTCACATGGGGGCCAGCATCCTTAATGCCCCAGGACAAACTTTTTTCTCCCCCAGTGGAAGCTAACATTAATCCATAAGTGTGGGTAAGTCAAGGAAAAATAGGCTGACCTATAACTGCTAGGCTAGTACAGATCTACCTTAAGTATCCCACTTCTCTTCCTAGCCAGAGACAGTATGCCCTAAGGTCAGAGGTTAGGAAAAAGCTGAAAGCCATAATTAATAACCTAAAGATGCAGGGCCTCCTCAAACCCTGTAATAGCCCCTGCAACACCCCAATATTAGGAGGGCAGAAACCCAATGGGGAATGGAGACTACTTCAGGACCTTCACCTCATTAATGAAGCTGTAGTTCCAATCCATCCAGTGGTACTTAATCCTTGTATCCTGTTAACTCAAATACCTGAGGGAAATAAATGGTTTACAGTCCTAGATTTAAAGGATGCCTTTTTCTGCATAGTATTACATCCTGACTCTCAATACCTGTTTGCCTTCAAAGATCCAGCCAGTCCGCCCAGTTAACATGGATGCTGCCTCAGGGACTTCGGGGTAGTCCTCATCTGGACAGGCACTGTCAAAAGACCTCTCTGAGTTCTCTCATCCTCAAGTTAGGGTCTTGCCATAAGTTGATGATATTCTGCTCTGTGTCCCAACTGAGGAAGCTTCTCAGGAAGGCACTGAAGCTCTTTTCAACTTCTCAGCTAACAGAGGACATAAGGTTTCAAAACACAATGCCCAGCTCTGCAAAACCTCAGTGAAGTACCTAGATTTAGTGTTGTCCAAGGGGACCAGAGCATTAGGAGAAGAAAGGATTAAGCCTATTTCCTCCTTTCCCCTCCCGCAAACCCTCAAGAAACTAAGAGGATTTGGGGGCAATACAGACTTTTGTAGACTATGGATACCTGGGTATGGTGAAGTAGCCCATCTGTTGTATAACCTCATGAAAGAAACTCAGGGAGCTAACCTCTCTTTTAACCTGAGAACCTGAAACTCAAAAGGCCTGTGACCAGCTAAACCAAGCCTTGCTGAAGGCACCAGCTCTCAGCTTTCCTGTAGGGAAGGCCTTCAATCTGTATGTATCAGAAAGGAAGGGAATGGTCCTAGGAGTTTTAACACAGGCTCGAGGACCAGTCCAACAGCCAGTGGGTTACCTAAGTAGGAACTTGATTTGGTGGCTAAAGGATGGCCAGCCTGCCTCTGAGACATTACTTCAGTGGCTCTGATGGTCCCAGAAGCCTCCAAATTAATCCTGGGAAATGATTTAACTGTTTACACTCCACATAACATGGCAGGACTACTGCATTCTAGGGGGAGCCTTTGGTTAATAGATAGCTGAATCCTTAAATATCAAGCCCTGCTGTTAGAAGGTTCCAACATCCAATTAAAAACTAGTTCTCTCCTAAATCCAGCCACCTTCCTCCCCAAGGAAACTGGGGAACCTGAGCATGACTGTGAACAAGTCACAGTACAGACCTATGCAGCCAGGGAATATCTCAGGGAAACTCCCCTAGAGAACGCAGACTGGACCCTCTTCACAGATGGGAGCTCTTTTGTAGAACAAGGGATCGTAAGGCAGGATATGCAGTAATCACTCTAAATGACATCATTGAAAGTGCATCTCTCCTTCCAGGCACAAGCGCTCAATTAGCTGAGCTAATAGCTCTTACAAGAACAATTGAATTAGGCAAAGGAAAGGTAGCTAATATTTACACTGACTTCAAGTATGCTTTCTTGGTTCTCCATGCTCATGCTGCCATTTGGAAGGAAAGGCATTTTCTTACCACCAATGGATCTCCTATAAAATGTCACCAGGAAATTAACAGGTTATTACCCTCAGTTTTCTTTCCATGAGAAATAGCAGTGATGCATTGTAGGGGACATCAAAAGGGAACAGATGAGGTAGCCGAAGGAAATAGATTAGCTGATCAGGCAGCTAAATCAGCAACAAGGAAGCCTCAAGACATCAACATGCTTCAAAACCCTCTAATCTGGGAAGGCTCCATAAGAGAAATTAAACCTCAGTACTCCCCTACAGAAATAGAATTGGCCACTTCTCTATGGTATACATTTCAGCTCTCAGGATGGCCACAGTCAGATGGCTACAGTAGCCAATGGATGGCTACTCCTTCCATTGACTGGAGGCTGGCAAACTCAATTGCCAGCCTCCAGCCAGTGGAAAATCATTTAAATCCTTCACCAAGCTTTTTACTTGGAAAAAGATAAAACTTATCAATATGCCCAGGAATCATTTTCAGGAGAGGACTTACTAAAAACAGTCAAGCAAATTGTTAATGCTTGTGAAGTCTGTCTTAAAAATAATCCCCTGAACAGGTGACTCCTTCTTCCTCAAACCCAAAGAATAGGAAATTGTCCAGAGGAACACTGGCAGATAGACTTCACCCACATGCCAAAGACAAAAGGCATTCAATACCTGCTGATATGAGTAGATACCCTCACTAACTAGAAGTATTTTCATGCCATACAGAAAAAGCCTCTAAGGTAATAAAAGTGTTAGTTAATTACATAACTCCCCACTTTGTCTACTTAAGTAGCTTTAAAGTGACAATGGGCTGTTGTTTAAGGCAGCTATCACTCAAGGGGTCTCAAAAGCACTAGCCATGGAATATCATCTCCATTGTGCTTGGAGACCCTAATCCTCAGGAAAGGTAGAGAAAACTAATGATATTATGAAGAGACATTTCAGAAAATTATCCCAAGAAACTCATCTTCCTTGGGTCACTCTTCTTCCCATGGCCTTACTATGAATAACAAATACCCCTTCAAAATTAGTTCTTAGCCCTATTGAGATGTTGTACGGATGGCTTTTTTTCCCAATAATTTTCTATTAGATTGGGAAGACTCTGAGCTAGTTAAGTATGTAACCTCTCTGGCTCACTTCCAACAGGAATTAGCACAATTAGTAAAAGCCCAACCCCAGGACATTGAACCACCTCTATTTAACCCAGGAGATTTGGTACTGGTAAAGTCTCTCCCTTCTCTCTCTCTCCCTAAACCCAAGCTGGGAAGGGCTTTACACTATTGTTCTTTCAACCCCTTTGGCAATAAAAGTCAAAGGAATCAATGCCTGGATACATCACACTCGAGTCAAAGCCTGGAGAGCTGAGGGAACAACCCCTGACAGCCCAGAGGAATGTCCTGAATATCAATGTGAAGAAATAGGAGGTCTTAAGCTGAAAATCACAAAATATAAGTAACTGAGTGAGATCTACTCATCTTAGTCTCACCCCTACCTCACCAAATACTTTTTGTTGTTTCTACCTCTCCTTTCAGATTTGTTGCCAAATATTAGAACTTATTTTGATGGAAATTATTGACTATGCCACTCTTGCAAGAATTGCTATACTCGTGCTACTATTTGCATTAGGACTATACACTGTACCACCCTCTGGGTGGAATATCAGACAGGAATCTCAATTACTGTACGATTTTGCTTAATTATTATCCTCATAGCAGGAATAACAGTTCCTAACTGGAAGTAAACATGAGCATTTTACTATCACTAAGTGTTAAAACTTTTTACTGGACTTAGTAATACATCACACCCTTTAGCTCCTACAATATTCACCATAGCCCATTTGTACAATAAGACTAATTGTTGGGTCTGTCCTAAGTGGCTCACTCAGTTCGATGACACTAAGAAACCTTAAAATGACCCAGAACTTGCCATCTTAGGATTTCATTTGTTGGCTTTACCTCTAACCTTTAAAGACTTATCAGTCATAAATGGGACATGATATGGGAGGACTTTCAACTGGGTAACTAACTCCTCTCAGAGAACATTCTGCCCCCAGTGCCAAAGAACAGTTTCCCTAAAACTCAGCTTCACACCCTCAGGTTGGGAAAAGTTGGCCTAGTAACAGCAAATGCTTTGAAAGCAGTGGGGAAAGCCCATATTTGGGCTCAAATATTGTAACATCACATTTGTAATTGTTGATAGTTCAAAGATTTGGGGAGAAGACTGCAACAAAGGGGATCTAACAGGATCAGAAGCCCTAGTGGGGGGCTTTCAGAATCTAGCCTCTCCTTCTGGTTGGAAGTCCTATGATGGGAGTGGCATGCTCTAAACAACCACCTTGACTACAATGTAAAGAATAACACATGGGCCTTTTCAAACATGCATGCTTATAGAATTCCAGATCCTTGCACGACGTTTGCTAATAGTAGTGGCTTACAGATCTGTGGGCAAACTGGAGACATCTGGACTGACAGCCCTTGCCACAAGGATCATCTGAGATATTGGCCAGGGTATAAAATGTCTAATTTTTTGAAACTCCATTTGTTAGGTGGACCCTTCTCACTTGGCATGTCAAATTCCAATTGGCATCATAAATGACTATCTTAAATATGGTTATCCTTATCCCAAGGATGCCCCTATTATGTGTAAGGAAGGGGAATTTCTAAGATATGAGAAAAGTCTGCCACTGTCTCTCACAAACCACAACTTGGAACCATCCCTTCAAGAAACAGGGCTAGATATTCCTTGTGGCTCCTAGATACACTTAGTTCTCCCAAGGCATTAGAAGGGAACTTGTATTACAGTAGCAGTAGTTTCCAACTTATTTTTAAATTCTACTGAGTTGGCAGCATCATCATGGGACATACCTAACTTAGGCTCTTTTCTAGAAACTGCACTATCTCAAATACACCGGACAAAGAGATCTATCATTTCTAAGCCCTCACATGGAGATTTAGCTGAAAGGGCAGACTGGGGAAGGGCATGCACATGACAATCCCAACTTGAAAAAAAACATGGATGGGAAATTCTATAGCCAGAGGCCTATTCTGATTTACGGGCATCCCTCTTCTTGAAAGATCAGTACTTACTGTCTCTATTATGATGCAACAAGGATGGAAGGTAACTATAAGTGCCATAGAGGCACAACAACAATCTATAGACCCTTTATCCTCAGTAACAGCACAAAATAGATGGGCCTTAGATGTCCTCACAGCTGAAGTAGGAAGTACTGGTGTGCACTTTTAAATGAAACATGCTGCTTCTGAATTAACACTTCTAGTAGAGGAAAATCTACAGGTACGTAAAGATCAAATCAAAAGTATTATCAGGCTAAGAGAATATGTAGGCTTCAGTCCCAGGTGGCTACAATCCCTCTTTAATAAATTCCAGACTTCTTTATGGAATTGGTTAGCTCCTTTATTAAGCCCCCTCTTGCTTATATGTCTTGTATTAACATTTGAACCTGTACACTCAATACTATAACTTGAATTGTTTCCTCTGAAATCAAACTCCAAATGGTGCTGCAAACCGAACCATGCAGGAACACGCCATTCTTCCAAGGACACTTATATCGAATCCAGGAGGAGCCCTAACTGCTGTTCCCCAATCGACACCCCTTTTCAGCAGGAAGTAGCCAGAAAGAGTCGTTGCCCAAATCCCCCTAACAGCAGTTATGGTAACGTCTCCTCAGGGGCGAATATTATATGAGTTATTAAGAAATTGTTTTAGGCAGATAAGATAAGGGATCCTTGGTAAGTTTTTTTCTTAAAAGTAACTCCCAAAACATTTCTTTTCTAGCAGAAAAATGGCTTGAAGGGCCAGGCCAGCAGGCTTTGATATGCAAATGCCAGCCATTACAAACTGGGTCCATCCAATATGGGGATTCCCATCCTCTTCTCCTTGTCACCATGAGTGCCAAGCCTCAGGCCCCCCGCCCCGCCTCAGAGATCTCCATGTCTGCAGAACATCATGGCGGTCTACATTTGCATATTAAAAGGCTAGGGTGAAAGGGCCAGTTTTTTCGCGGTCTACATAAATGACATACCTGGTCAAACCAATCCCCTGGGTCATATGAAAATCAGGCACCGCCTCCTCCAGCCTCCTAATATAACCTACTGTTTTCCGCTGCACTTGTGGTTTCCTCTCTCCACTTGGAGCCCCCCTCACTCTGTCTCTGTACAAGGGAGCTTCTTCCTTCTGTTTTGCCTATTAAACTCTCTGCTCCTTAAAACCGCTCCATGTGTGTCCGTGTCATTTTATATAAATTGGTGCAGGACAAAGGACCCTGGTGTTCCTCCAGTCATCGAAGCCGTATCATTGGGGTCAAGAAAACCTGGGTTTAAAACTCTGCTTCTGTTGTGTGACCTTAGTTAAGTAGCTCATCCTCTCTGGACTCAGTTAACTTGTCTATCAAATAGATGAGCCTCAAGTTCCAGTCTTTCAGAAACAGTCTGAGTTTCTTTTTTATTTATTTTTAATTTTTGTGGGTACAGAGTAGGTGTATATACTTATGGAGTATATGAGATATTTTTATACAAGTAGCAATGCATCAAAATTACATCAGGGTAAATGGGGTATCCATTCCCTCAAGCATTTATTCTTTGTGTTACAAACAATCCAATTATATACTTTTAGATATTTTTAACATACAATTAATTTATTTTTGACCCTAGTCACCCTGTTGTGCTAGCAAATACTAGGTTTTTTTCTATGTTTTTGTACCAATTAACCCTCCCCACATCTCCTCCCACTCCACTACCCCTTCCAGCCTCTGGTAACCATCTTTCTACTCTCTACCTTCATGAGTTCAATCGTTTTAATTATTAGCTCCCACGAATAATTGAGAACATGATGTTTGTCTTCAGGAACACCAACCCCACCCCTCAGTCCTTGTCCCAAACACTCAGCTGTGATCTTCCTAAACGTGCCACTTTTAGCCCACCAGGAGAGGAGGGTGACAGGCTGGGGGAAGTGGAAGGGAAAGGCAAAAGGCAGATGGCAGCTGGCAACTTGATCCTTTTTGATTCCTCTTTTGCCTGAGAGAAAAAGAATGTGCCTGGTAAGAATTTAGGAGGGCAGTGGCTTCTCATGCACCAAGCCAGGGATGTTCTTTAGAACTCCTTACACACAAGCCAACCCTCTCCCCATACAGTCCTTAGCCTGCCAAGGAGAAGTTGAAAAATCAAGGGACACTTTCTCTACCACTCCTACACACAAAGCAAACCCTGTCTCTAGAGGTGTGTTGGGACAAGGGTCATACCTGCAGGGACCCAGGCTTAACCCTCTCCTGCCAACAAGCTGGACACACACCCCATGGAAGGCTCTCCTAGTGAGGCCTTTCCTCATCAGCCCCAAGTACTGCTCAGTTCAGGCTCTTCTCTCAAGAGGGAATGGTTCCAAGTTAGGGAAATCAAATGGAATCCATTTGTCAGCCTGGAGAGGCACGCCAGTGGTCCTTGCCTGCTGCTGTACATTTAGTCTTTCCCCATGGTTACAGGACAGTTTCTGAGTCCCTGCCATTAAGAATATGACCACAGGGACTCATGTGACTAATTTGGCTGCAGTCTCTGTTCTCTGGGTCTCAGGAAGACCCTACCTGGAAAGGTTTTGATGGCCCTTGGCCTGGAGTGCAGGGGATGGACCAAGCAATTTGGGGGAGTCCCTGTTATTTACAGCTTCATTGTGTTTATAGCAGACAGAGAACTAGCAGTCTACACTACAGATGAGAACATTTGAGGTCCAGCCAGGGGAAGTGACTTACCCAAGTGCACACAACATCTTTAGTAGCAGATTCAGGACTCCAACCCTAGTCTCCAAATGCTATCACGGTGTTTGCTCTGCTCTACTGCACTAATCTTGGAGGCTGTATTAGTCCATTTTCACAGTACTATAAAGAACTACCCGAGACTGGGTAATTATAAAGAACCTTAATTGACTCACAGTTCTGCATGGCTGGGGAGGACTCAGGAAACTTACAATCATGGCAGAAGGTGAAGGGGAAGCAAGGCACGTCTTACATGGCAGTAGAAGAGGGAAGTGCCATACTCTTAAACCATCAGATCTCATAAGAATTCACTATCATGAGAGCAGCATGGGGAAAACTATCCCCTGATCCAATCACCTCCCACCAGGTCCCTCCTTTGACACATGGGGATTACAACTCGAGATGAGATTTCGGTGGGGGACACAGAGCCAAACCATATCATAGCCCAACCATGACAACACCTTCTCTGAAGTGTGGCCTCCTCCAGGAGGGACCATGGATTTCTGTAGATGTAGGTGGACTCTGGGTGAAGGTGCCGGGGCCAAAGATCCTCATGTCTCTCCCTCCACTCTCTCTCTCCTTCCCCAGAGCCCTGCCCTAGTCTTACGTAAGATCAGCAGTTGCTGACAGATGCTGCTCAGCCTCAGCAGGGACTGGGTGAGGGCAAGGGCTGGAGAGGGCTTTAAGCAGGCCTTTGGGATGGAGCCTGGTGAGCCAGCCCTGTGTCAGGAAGAATGTGTGGCAGGGGATGGGCAGAGTGGGGAGATGGTGGTGGGGGGTGTTGGCTATTTTGGCAGGTGCAGGAACAAAGCCACAGAAATATGTGCCCCATGCCATAGATGCCCATGTGGCCCTCCAGGTGCTCAGATAAGCTATCTGAAACCAGAGCAGATACACAGGGAACACGGATGGAAAGTAAACCAGCTGTCCCTCTTGAGAATCCTGATAAAGCAGAGGCCACCCAGGCCTGGGATTGCAGGCTGGGAGCAGAGTTTGGGGGTAGAAGGCAACCTCCAAGATGTTCCTTAATCTCTGTGCCAGGATCTTGGAAGTCAGAGGGTAAAAGCACACCTACAGCTGTACTTGAGCTGATGCTGTGGATACACACTCCTAAATCTATGTGGGGACAGTTTTGCCTACTAGGAAAGGTCACCCCATGACCAGACTACTGGCTCCTTTTAATGGGCTGAGCAGTGTTGGCAGGCTGCTGGCTCTGCAGGGCTCAGTGAGAACATCTGCAACATGGATCTTCTCCATGAACCCCAAGGCCATGTGGCAAGCCCTCCTCCCAGGGAATGGACTTAAAGTGCTACAAGAGGTCAGATACAAAGCAGAGTTTTCATTCAAAAACCTAAAACAGGAAACTGTTTGAGGGGGGTAGTGAGGACCGATAAAGATCATTTCCCAGTGGTTTTAAAATCAAGGGATGTAAGACCACAATCTGCTAAAGCTACCAGATTATAAATCCATAGTTCAGGACCCAGGAGGTCTATTGGCTTGCACATGGATGCCTATGCATGTGCATGTTTGTGTTCGTTGATGGCACATTGTAGGTTCAGTACATAATGAAAATGAGAGAGGAGGAAAGCAAGTCTGGTGGCAGCTGAGCTGACTCTTCCACTTGATCTGTCTCTGAATCCTCACAGCCCAGGTCCTGCCTGGCTCTGAAGGAGAAATGGTCCTCTGGACCAGGCCTTCCCCTCCCCCATGAGCCCCCCGAAACCTGCAGATCTTGCCTACTTGCGATCCACACTCTTCTGTTTGTGGACAAAGAATGAAGTCTTGCCATTATCTGCTCCCTTCTCCAGTCACTCAACCACATGTCCTGCCTTCCAGTCCTCAAATTCTTCTCTCAATCCTGCTGCCTTGGGAACTACTATGTTGCATCTACAGCTCCTGTCCTTGAAAGAATCCTCTGCACATGGGACTTCCATTTGCTCCACACCATTCCGGACCCCATCCCCTCCACGGTCCCCGGTGGCCTCTGAGTCCTGTGGCCTTGATTCCCCAGCCAGGCTTATCTTCCTCCATGTGGGCCTCCACACTACTAGCAGATCCACAGCAGGGCCAGCTGAAGCCACATGCCTGCCAGCCAGCATCCTGAGAAGGAGGAGATATCAGGAAAGCAAGAGGCTTGACAGAGAGAGACAAATGGGTTGGGGGATAAAGTGGAGAGTGAGAAAGAAGCCAGGCTGCTCAGAGAAAAGTCAGGGAACCTTTAATCTCTGTTTCCCATTCTAGCCCACCAGGGTCCAGACTTGCTTTGTGTCCTGGCCTGGAATAATCTAGAATTTAGGAATTGCTTTTCTTAAACCCTCCCTTAACTTAAGGGTGGCTTACTGTTCCTTGTAAGCTGAACAGCCCTTCAAACAGACTACAGCTTATTTGTCTGGATGCCTGGAAGAGGGATCTGGGCAACTAGAGCCCTACAAAGCCCAATGGACAAACCCCAGTAGATCCTGGGTATCATGGACTGCATGTGTGAGGCTCCTACTGACCGTTCCAAGGCAGGAACTCTGTTCAGGAAGCTATGAGACAGTCACTTATCTAGTGAGGAAATCCAGCCACCATCCAGCAGCCACTGCTCAACACCAAATAGTTACTCCCAGCCCATTGTGGATATCCCTGTCCTTGCAAAGTGATGTAACAAAAGTCACCTTCCAGCACAACAATTGATAGGAAGAGAAATCCAAGCTGTAGCAGCAGGAGAAAGTATGTGCTGAAACAGTGCTTGCAAATTTCAGGGGCCACAAGAGGACAGGCCACTTATGGGGTCACAGGGCCACTGTGACAGTAGAGCAGGTGGGCAGGTCAAAGATTGGTGAGTGGGAGCCCTGTTCTGTCTCCAGAGGGTGCTCAATGTCATCCTCCTCCAAGAGGCCTCCCCACCCACCTGCCTACCCAGTGGCTACTACTCATTTAACTGCCAAATGAAGTCATCTTGAACACATGCTGGTCTCTTTAGTAGCTGTGTCCCCAGCAGGAATGAGGGCAGGGACCTCATGTGTTGGATGCACACATACAAATGAGAGGGAGCTGTGGAGCGGTGCCCCTGACATTTCCCCAGCAGCCTGCCCTCAATGGGCACCCCAGGGAGAGTGTGCAGGCATGAAGGGCCCCACCCCTGGAGCTGAAGCTGCAGGAAGAGGCCCCTCGGTGTCCTCTCAGGCTCTTACTCCAGAGGAGTCCGGCTCCACTACCTGGGAAGGCTTTTAGGAGCCTCTCCTAAGCCTGTGTGGGGAGAATTTTGCTTACTAAAAAAGTTTACGTGTGAGAGGGACTTTCCAAAGTTTAGAAAATGAGCATGTGAAGGTCATCTGCTTGAGGCTCAGAGGGGAAAAATGTATCAGGGTCACACTGGAGGTTCCGGCAGAGCCAGAGCTGTTGAAATCACCCAAAGCTCTGGGCAGGACTGAACCCATTCCTCTGCCCTGTCCTCGATTTGTCCTCCAACTCTCAGCTGTGGAATTGGAATATTCACCAAGCTCCGGCCCTGGCAGTGAGTGAGGTTTGCTTGGGGCAGGGCCCTCAGGTCCTGGTACCCCTAGCTCAGTGCAGGCACAGGAGACTCACTGGCTGGAAGCGGGCCAGCCCAGGGGCACCGGGAATCCTGCACAGATGGGGCTCTGAGGGCCTCTGTTCCCTGGACCCCAGATCTGAGACAGGAGCCCTCATCCAGAATCATGGAGCCAGGGCAGGGCTCCTGCCCTACATGCTTGTGGGGAGTGGGCACGGCTCTGCACCTGGTCTCACCCTCTCTGGTTATGGATAGCACCAGGATAGTCAATCAACAGAGTTCTAATGATTGAAAGAAAAGCATTAAACTACAGCCTGAAGGGGCTGAGAGGCACCAGGCTGATTTTCTTAGGGTGGTTGGTCCTAGAGTCTCTGAAGGCTCATCATTCTACAAGCTCACACAGTCCATGTGAGGAGAAGAGGAGGGACAAGCAGCTGGGAGCAGATCAGGACCTCAGTGATGAGGATATCACAGGCACATGGAGGTATGTGCTGGAAGCTGATGAGACAGATGACCCTGGAGTTCTTGAAGGACACTGCACCTGACCCTAGAAGTGAGCTGGAAGGGATGGACATCTCCAGATAAGGGCGCTGAGCCCCCATAGTGCTGATGTGCACCAGCACAGATTCCAGTATCTGCTGTGCCTGCAGTGGGACAAGGTGTCAGGGC
Organism: Homo sapiens; assembly: GCF_000001405.40. Lineage (NCBI taxonomy): Eukaryota > Metazoa > Chordata > Mammalia > Primates > Hominidae > Homo > Homo sapiens. The sequence goes on from NC_000019.10 coordinate 27,891,551, forward strand.
ACACCTGCTCCCAGAGGCTGGGCTGGGAAGAAGTTGGCTGAGTCTCGCCAATATCCCTGAGCCCTAGAGGCTCTGGCCAGACAGGTCCATAGGCAGACAGGGAGCAGAGGCAATGAGACACACGGGTGCTTCTGCAAGAGTCATGGCTCTGGCATGAGGGAGACCTCTTGAGATGCAGACTCGAAGGTCTGTCTTGGCAGGATTTGTCACACCTGTGGGGCAAAGAGCTAGAACAAGGAAAGGCTGGGAGAGGAAGGGGTCACCGGACAGGAAGGCAACTAATAGAGTTTGGCTTTGTCCCTACCCAAAATCTCATCTTAAATTATAATTCCCAAAATCCCCACGTGACAAGGGAGAGACCAGGTGGAGGTAAGTGAATCATGGGTGCATTTTCCCCTGTACAGTTTTCATGATAGTGAGTGAGTTCTAATGAGACCTGATTATTTTATAAGTGTTTGGGCAAGTTCCTTCTTTGGTCATTCTCCTTTCTGCCACCTTGTGAAGAAGGTGGCTTGCTTCCCCTTTGCCTTCCGCCATGATTTTAGGTTTCCTGAGGCCTTCCAAGCCATGTGGAACTGTGAATTAATTAAAACTCTTTCCTTTACAAATTACCCAGCCTCGGGTATTTTCTTATAGCAATGTGATAAAGTACTAATAAAGCACATTCCTTTGCATGAATGATACGCCCACAGTGGGTCAGAGTCCTGCAATCTGTTGGCTGAAAGGGCAGGGGCTCTGCAAAGCTGCAGGGAAGCAAAGCCAGCTGAGGGTTCTCCTATGTTCCTGTGGTTGGTTCAGACCAGCCTATGTGAGCAGGTGTGGGGCATTCTGGGTGGTTGGACTGTGCAACTGCAGGCATATTAGTGTGTGCACAAAGGGGAGTATGTGAGAGTCTCCCACCATGCACCTGTGGTCCTCTGCCCCAGAGCTAGGCCCCTCCCTGCCCCTCAGTGTCCAGTGAGGGGTCAGATTTCTTTTCCCACTGAGTCCTGTTGTGGTTGCTGACTCTTTTCATGCCTCCTGATTGAGAGAATCAAGGTGGAGATCAGGGACTAAGGCAGGACAGTGAGGGGCTCAAGATCCCCCAGGCCCAGCCCCCTGCTCAGGGTATTCCCCCTCTTCCTGAAAGGGAAGCGACCAATACCTACCCCTTCCCTCTGCTATAGTCTGACCCACAGGCCTGTCCATTGCCCCCTTACCTCCCCCGTATCTACCCCTGAAATGACTCATTGCTCTAGGGGCTTTTCCTCCTCTGCCCTGGGCCCAGAGTAAGAGACATCAGGGAAGGAAAGGGTACCTGGGAGTCTTGATCTCCAGACTCCTGGACCTTCTGATCCACACATTGAGCCTTGACATCACCACCCCTAAGACCCTCAAGATCTCCTAAAAAGAGAGCCTTCCATCCTAGGGTTTAGGGCCACTTGCAGCAGCAAGGCATTTTCAGAGGCCCTGGATTGAGGATAGACTCTGCCTCACTCCCATTACATCCAGAACATGCTATAGACACATGAAAAAGCTCCCTCACTGTCCCTAGGAAGCCATGTGCTCAGCTAAGGAGATGGGCTCAGGAACATGATGGTAACTCAAGGTTCTGCCAACATTACTTGACATATGAAAATACAGAGTTTTCTAGCACTGCCATGGCCAAGATTTTGGTTTTGGAGACCTCCGAGCTAATCAGCCTAAAGATCCCTTGCAGGCCCTGAGCCCCCCACCTTCTGGCTGTAGGCCGATCTGCCAGTTCCTTCTCCAAGAGGTGGTGTTTGCTGACTATACCCACACAAACAATGAAGCGCTCAGTGTGACAGGAGCTCAGAGACTTAATGGATTCTGATCTCTGGGAACCAAGAACACAAACTGCTCCCTGACCCATAGAGGTGAGGTGCACAGACCATGCCCAGCACATCAGGTATCCTCTACACTTCTGGAGGGGCCCCACTCACCTGCATAGCTGTGTGTATCCTGCCAGTGTCTCTCCCAACTTCACTGTGCTGGCCGGGAGCCTCATGCTGGCACTGCAGAATGGAAGACAGGACAGACAAGCCATGTGAGACATCCCCACCTCAGGAAGACCAGGTCTGTCCCTAGGGCTGGAGGAGTAGTCCCCAGCACCAAAGAGAACATGGTCCTCCATCACAGAGTGGACTATGTTGACTTGGCCAAAGTGAAGAACTTCCAGACTCCAGGAATTTTTCTCCATTCCTGAGAAACATCCCACTCAGTAGGACATCCCCAGGATCAGAACATCTTCCACTCCTTCCTTCTCCCCTTCTCTTCCAACAACTATCACTTTCACCTCAAAGACACCTCCTGAGTCAGATCCTTCCTTTCCATCTTCCCCACCAAAGCAATCAACATCTATCTGCTCCCCGGCCTGCCACCCAGAGCTCTTCACCAGGCTGCTTATACCTCAAATAAATCTGATCTGGTCCTTCCCGCTCAGACCCCTCAGACTGCAGAACAGGGGCCAAACTCCTTGGCATATCACACAAGGCTCTCATTATCTGGTCCCTCCCCCTGCCTACACCTCATGCCTATGTGCCAGCCGACAGAACACCCATGCTCTTCACTGTGCCCTTCCACATTCTGTTCCTTCTATTGGAAATGCCATTCCTCCAGTTTTCCACCTGAAAACATCCCACTAGTTCTTCAAGTTCCATGTTGAATGTCAATTGCTTCATAATACCTTCCCCAGCTCTCACAGGCTGAGTGGTTGCAGCTACTCCTGAGCTCCTAGCCCTGGGTTTGAAATTCCTGTCCCTGCACCTCCCTGCTCGAGTGGTCTGTGTGTGTTTCATGGTCTCATGTGAGTTGCTTGAGGGCAGCAACTCTGCCATTCATCATTGTACTCATCCTCTTCCATCCCCACCCCAACCCCCAGGCCTAGCCCAGCAGTCAGCTTCAGTGAATGTTTAGAGGGCAGATGAATACAGCACAAGTGGATTAAATTCCTAACACATACGTGCAACTCCTTTTCAGATCTGATATTTTTTTCCCAAAGCATGATCCTCAGACTCCTGCATCAATGTTATGGAGCATGGGGACCCTTATCAATCCCACAGATCCACAGGCACCAGGCCTGCTGAGGTAGAGGCTTTCCCTCCCTACGCTGTTCCTGGTCTCCCTCCTGAAAAGCCTCCTCCTCCTTCCCACCTCAAGACTAAACCCTCCTCCTTCTTTGGTGCCCCATCCAAGCCCTGCATCCTCCAAGCAGCTCTCCCTGATCCTACTTCCCTGTTCCATCTAATCCAGCTACAGTCTCTCCTGTTAATCCCATCCCTTGCCAGATCTGGAGCCCTGGGCAAGGAATGCATGTTCCTTTTGTGTATCATAGGGTACAGCCTGGCACAAAGGACATGGGTGGCAGATACTCAGAAAACAATCTGAATATGACCAACAGGAAAGAGCTGGGGCCTCCAGTCCCCCTCGCCCCAACCTGCAGATTAAAGTGGTTTCTCAGTTGTCTTTCCTGGGGCTCATCTGAAGGGGGCAGGAAAAGCGGTGGCTTGTGAGAGTCCTGGGGAGGTCGGTGGCCCCCTCAAGTCAGGACGCTTCCTCCTCCTTGGATATCCTACAGCTTCCACCAAGCGTCAACTGTGACCAAAGAAGTCTGTGGACAAGCCTTCATTAAAGACCCTTGTCTTGTCTGGTAAACGTATCTGTGAAACCCCATACACCAGTCAGGGTCACAAGCCCTTCTCTAGGTTTCCTTCTTGGGAAGCTGTTAACTACCTGTTTTCCTATCTGCCTATCTGCCTGCCAGCCCTGTGGGGCACCGATCAACATCGGGCCTTCAGCCTCCTCCCTAGGGCCTGGCACACATTAGAGACGCAATGCCCAGTGAATGAGTGAGTGACCCTGTGAACCAAATAATGAAGAATAAACACTAGGACAAGGCAATATGAGATTTCCCCACACCGCATACTTTGTACTGTTGGAGCAGTGGCCTAGCAGAGAGCATTAGGAGAGCCCTGCTGCTCTCCACCTCTCCCCTCTGCTCCTGTGCAAGCCTCCTAAGTGATGCCAGAAACTGATGAAGGCAGGTGTGGGCCTCCTGAAGCCCAGTGCCATCCTGGCCTGTACTGTCATCTGCAGCTCCGACCTTGCCCACTACGTGGGGCTGCTAATGCTTACTGGCACCCAGCTCCTGGGTCACTAACCTACTCTCCTTTATTTAGCACAGCCTTGTCTGCTTGGGGCCACCCATGGGAACCCAAAGCCTACTCTATCCAGAGCATGGTCCTATCTAGTCCGAGGCTCCTATGCTGTGATGGGTGCTGGATTCCTCAGTTTACCTTGCAATGGATTCAAGACAAGGGTGTGCTGTGCTCTTACCTGAAAGGAGGTGGTCCTGGCCTGGAGTATTTGAGGGAGCTACTGCAGGCGCATCGAGTGGATGAGGGGGTCTGCCTCTTCCTCCTTGCTGGGGTTTTTTACCCAGACAGGGCAGGGGGAGCATCACACAGAGGTCTAGAGCCCAGTGGGCTCAGGCAGCCACAGACCCCATGTTTCATCCCAGGAGCTGCAGGAGAAGGGGAAAGTGAGACAGTCCTCTGCCTCTCTCTCCTGCCTCCTTCACCTTCTGTAAGAGTGGTTGGTGGATAAGCATTCCCTTGGGGCCAGGTCACCAGGCAGAGCTTCCTAGGGGAGCTTCCGGAATGATCTGAGGCTTCCCAAGAGTCTGTTGGAGCCCTGGAGTCCAGGCCTGGATGAGGATGTGGTAGGGGGTACCAGGTCTCCCTGCCCCATGGCTGGTGCCCCTTGAAGTCTAGCAGCCTGCCCCATCTCAGTCCCTGCTCTGACCATGGCTGGAAGGAGGCAGTGGGGAAGAGACTGCCAACACCAACCTGCCTTAGTGGGGTGGGTGAGAGACAGACAGGGAGCCAGAGACCACCTGAGTGGAAATAGGAAGGAGCCCTCCAGGGTGGAGGGTGGAAGGGTAGGAGGGAGAGGACACTGCCAACCAGGAGTGTGACTAGTGAGAGGCAGGAGACTACAGTCAGAGGGCCCAAAATGCCCTGCTCTGCAGAGGACGGCAGTTTCTTCCAAGGGAGGGCCCTTTCTGTCTGCCTCTCAGTGGTGGCTTGGCCTCCTCCGAGAGGCCGGCTGCTCCTGGGCCTGGGCTGCTCTGAGGCTGCAGTCTTCTTTGGAGCCAGCTTGATGTCTTGTCAGGCTCTTCTTTAGGACTGGTGACCTCTCGAAGATCGATGCTTTCTCAGACACCAGTCTCCTTTCTGAGCCTGGTGTGTTTTCTGAGACACTTGTCTTTTCTAGAACCGACCTCTCTGAGATGGACTTTTGCTTTATCACCACTATCTTCTCCTACACTGATGCCTTTCCTGGGGCCAGTGTCTTCTCTGAGACACCTGTCTTTACTGGAACCAGCTTCTTCTCTGAGCTGTCTTTTCTCTGATACCACTGTCTTCTCAGATAGAGATGTTTTCTCCAAGGCTAGCACCTTCTTGGCGATGGAGGTTTTTTCTGAGACCAGTCTCTCATCCAGTGCTGTCTTCCCTAGCATGGAGTATTTCTCTGAGAAGACTGGGGACTTCTCTGTTTTTTTTCCTCCCTCATGGCTCCCTGCTCACCAAGCTCTCCTCCTCCAGGGCCCAGGGACCCCGCTGCTCCTGGCTTTGTCTCTGGTGAGGTGGGGTCTCCAGTTCCTTCTTGGGGACTAGGAGATGCTGCACGTCCTGCTAGGGTCCCAGCTTCCCCTTTGCTCCTCTGCCTTCTGCCTCTCCCAGATGGGTGCCCATGCAGCCTTCACCACCTGCTACCTCTGCCCCTTCTGACAGATTATGATAGCTTGGATGTCCTCCTCCTCATCTTTGGAGGCTGGGGCAGCAGCTTGGAAACCTCTACTTCTTCCATGCTTGAGAGTCTGAGTAGGGAGGTGGAGTTGGAAATATAATCACAGGATATCAGAAATGGAAGGGACCTTGGGGGCACCTAACCAATGGAGATGCCTTCAGGACCACCATGGGGAATACAAGAATGTCAGGCCCTGCCCTCCTCCCCACCACCACTTAAATAAGGATTATCTTTACCTACTCTACATATTAGGCTTCCAAGGGGTCATTGAACAAAGCAAGCCATGCTTTTTTAAAAAGTTAATAAACCCCTAGTAAGGTCCAACTATTCCATGTTTAGACATAGTCAAAAAAAATTAAGCAACTATATTATATGTGCCAGACCCTGTGCTAGGCATTGAGGGTCAAAAGAAATAAGCACAGCTTCTGTTCCTTAGAACTTAGATCAAAACTAGAAGTATTCAGGGATTTGTCAAAGGTCTCACAGCTAATTGACAGGAGAGCTTGGAGTGAAAGCGAGGGCTTCTGATGCACCATTCCACTTTCCTGTCAGTCACATGGGTACAGTTGAGACCAAGTGATAGCCACAGGTATTGCTGCGGCCTAGGGCACATGCCCTGTTCTCCATCCTCTGGGGCACCCAGGGAAACAACAGCATGAGAAGACTGTCAAAAACCCACAGCACTCGGCCTCCAGAGAAAGGAGATTCTTTTCCTTCCTCAACTACCTCTTCTCCATGTGATTTCAGGCAGGTTAACTCACTTTCAAAGCCTCGGTTTTCAAATCTGCAAACAAGGCTTGCAAGGAAGTAAAAGGAGACTCATCTCATGAGAGTGCCCAGCACAGTCCTGGCATGTGAGTGGCATTCAGTAAATTCTGGGCCCTTCTCTTCCTTTCCTCATAATCTCAAAGTCTAGATGGCAAAACCAGTTCTAATGTTCCTCCCCTCAGAAGTGAATTATGGGGGTCAGGATTAGAGGGAGGCAGGCTGGCTAACAGGAAGAGGTGAGCCCCAGAGCTGGACAGATCTGGATACAAACTCTGGTCCTGCTGCTCTGTAGGCATATGATTCCCTCAGTATCCTTCAGCCCAGTTTCCCTTTCTGTAAAATGGGTTCACAATACCTCCCTCTCAGGAATATTGTGAGAACTAAGTGAGCTATGGCCATAAAATGTCCCACACAGTTTTGGCTCATGGATGATCTCAATACTGGCAATCATTGTTGTGAAGAGGGTGGAACCTAGCAGGTCTGAGGGGTCTGGAGAAGGTGAGGAATTTGAAATTTATCTTCACAACCTTCAGCTTCATTCTCTGGGCTTCAGTGCTTGGCCGGCTGAACACGCTGCACGAAATCTGGAGAAGCTAATTCATCCCCACCACCCAGGATACCACAATGGTACCCTGGCCCCTGCCTTGACCTGAGCACTTCTCAGAGGCCCGACGTTCTCCATCTGGCTGATCCTGGGAGCCTCGTCCTCTGTGGTTTAGCTCTGGCTGCAGTGGCACCATCTGAGCTTCTGCTCCTCCTTATCTTCCAAAGACCACTACTAGGAAAGGCTCAGGGAGGGGAGGAGAGGGTCAGCACAGCACGGAGAAACATAAGACCCTCCCCATTGCATATTCCTGTGGGGCTGAAAGAAGAGACCACATACCCTCCTGCCTGCATTGAACACAAGAGGCTGTCAAGTGCTTGAAATGCAGCTGGTCTGAACAGAGACATACTGTGTGAAATACACACTGGATTTTAAAAACCAGTTAAAACTCTCATTAGGAATTGTGTATACTAATTACATGGTGAAATGGTAATATTTTTGATATATTGGGGTAAATGAGCTATCGTATTAACATAATTTTACTTTTTACTTTTTTAATGTGACCACTCAAAATTTTAACATTTTAAATGTAGTTCCCATTATATGTCTATTAAATTTCTACTAAAGCTGTAGGGATTTGATTTAAACCAGGGTTTCTCCACCTCGGCACCACTGACACTTTGACCAGATAATTCCGTGTGTGAGTCTGTCCTGGATTGTAGGATGTTTAGCAGCAAACTTAGCCAATACCTGCTGGGTGCCAGTAGTAGCATCCCCCAGCTGTGACAATGAAAATGCTTTCTGACATTGCTGAATGTCGCTGGGGGGCAAAATCACCTCAGATGAGAATCCCTGGGCTGGACATTACTCTGGACTTCAGGGTGGGAATGTGAGGCCTCCCTGCCTGAGGGTGACTAGGAATGTGGAAGGGTGGGCATGGTTATGCCTGAAGGAAGTAGATGAGCTTGCCAAGTGCCTCTCTCTTTTTAGTCCTGGGATTCTTAGATAATACTCCTTGACAGACAGTCAGGGTGAGATTTCCTCAGAGTTACTCAGTTCCCCATGGAATTTCTTAGCTTTGGGGATGGGGAGACTTGCAAATAAAACCAATTACACCTGAAAACCCCGATATCATCTCCTCTTTGCTTCCCAGGGGCTCTTGGGGTCTCTGTCACCTTCTAGTTGAAAAGAGCTGAGTCAGAGAGCTTGACAGATGGTGATGAAAATCCAGAAAACTTTCACTTGTCTGGGGAGCAAAGGGAGCCCACACACCATACTTTTGGCTCCTGCCCCAATGACCCTTCATTCACGTGGCCATCCAGGTACTCTCGCAGCCAGCCAGTCAAGCCCCACCAATTTATCCATCTACCACTCACTCACACATCTGTGTACCCAGCCACCCACCCATTTCCATCATCCTTGTCCCACCTTCCCTACCACACACTCACCCACTGCCCCCCAGCCCATCCTCCCTTCCAACCACCACATCTCTTCCAATCCAACAAAGGAGCAAATGCATACTTACTGAGCAACTGTGACAAGCCAGCACCATTTCAGCAACTGCGGTGGAGTGGGGAGGGGGGTCAGAGAACATAGCAGGGTATCTGCCCTGGAGACACTAACAACCTAGTAAGAAACAGAAGAACGTCCACCAAGAAACAGAAGAATGTTCACCAATAACTCCCCCAACCAAAGTGCACAAGTCACTCTGCAGAGTGAGAACACAAATGCTACAAGCCAAGATTATCCGGAGAGGCTCAAGGAAGAGACTGAACCTAGGCTGGATCTCAGTGAGCAACCAGGCTTCGGATGTGGTGACTGGCAGTCCAGGCAAAGGAGAAGTACTGAGCACCCCAGGAGGCCAGAAGTTTCGGGGTTTGCTGGGGACAAAAAGGCTGTAATTCCCAAGGGAGGCAGGAGAGGGCTTGAGCAGGGGAGTAGCAGACTGAGAGAGTCAGTCAGGTGAGCCCCTCCTGGCACCTCCCTCTGTCTCCCCCATGCTTAGACCTGGGTTGGAAAAAGCCTCCGTCTTCCCTTCCAGAGTTACAGCAATGACTATAAGGCCTGCCCTTGCCACTCCTGGGCACCAAACTCTCCCTTCTTTTTGCTCTCCAGCCTCCCTTGCTGCCCACCTCTAGTTCCTACTGAGCCTCTTCCCTCCTGGATGGTATAAAACAGTGCCACATGGAGTCTTAGGTAAGACAGAGTCAGGTGATCTGGTTTCTAGTCCTCCTGCACTTGGGTAAGTCATTTCCTTTTCTCTTTTTCCATTTTCCCTCCTAAAATGAGAAGGTTCAACCACAAGACAGCTCTCATTTTTTTCTAGGTCCAGCATCACATGTATTGAGCCAATATTCACTAAACGAATACTTCTGAGCATCTACTATGTGCCAGGCATGCTTCCAGGGACTAAAACCAAGATCCTCCCCTTCATGGAGCACAGATCCAGAGTGGAGGAGAGTCAGACCATGAGTGAGGAAAACAAGCTCATGAACAAAATGAGATAAGTGTCACTGGGACAACAGAACAAAGTAAGCAATGTGGGAGAGGGTGGCTGGGTGATGAAACCCTCTGAGAGATCAGGTTCATGAGGAGGAGGCAGAGCTAGATCTGGCAGCCAGAGTCCCAGGAGGAGGGCACAGCGAGTGCAGAGCCTGGATGTGAGGAGGTAGGTATCTAAGGGAAGAGGGTACGCGTGGGCCAAGGAGTAGCCTTAAGGGAAGTTGGACAAGGTGCCAGGGTTAGAGCATGGGGTCTTGGAGACCAAGGAAGGAACTTGGGTTTTAATCAAAGTGTGCTGGACAGCCCTGGAGAGTTGTACACAGAGAAGTGACAGGGTGGGATTTCTGTAGTTTAAATCTCTCTGGCTGATGTGTGGAAAAAGAATGGAAAGGGCAGGGGAAAGGGGAAACAGGAGACCTGTTGGGAGGCACCTGCAATTGCACAGGTAAGAACTATCATGACTTGAACTGACAGAGAGATATGGGAAAGGGATGGATTCGGGGCACATTCTGAAGATAGAGCCACCAGGTTTACTACTATATTGGATGTTGGACTTGGGGGAGGCGCGTGGTTGGTGAGGAAAGAATAATTAAGAACAAGATTTTTGGCCTGAGCTATTCCTGGAGCTACCATGAGCAGGACAGGAAGACCAGGGGAGCAAGGAGTGTGGGGGATGTTGGGTGGTAGAGGGGAGGGACAGGAGGGAAATGAAGACCTGTGTTTCTGGTAGTGAAAAGCAAAGGAGATCAAGATGCTGCAGTCAGGAAGCTGGAAAAATACCAAGCCAGGGCGTTGGCATGGGCAAAGGAGCGAGGGCCTCAGTCAAATGCTGCTGTGAGGGAGAATGAGACCAGGTGGAGTAATGAGTACAGGGGTGCCAGGCTTCCTGGAAGCGGCAGCTTCAGTGATTGTGCCAGAGCCTGACCCAGCTGGTGAGGATGAATGGGAACGAAGAAAGAAATTAGTGATTAGCAGCACTCTTTTGAGAAATATTACTGAGAAGAAAAGCAAATAGAAGGGGACAGTAAGTACCCAGAAGAGGATGTGAGGTCACAGGATGCTTTTTTTAAGTTGAGGTATAATTTATATAAATGTACAGATCTTAAGTTTTGCTTTTCTTAGAAAAAATGAGCAAATGCAGGAGAGTAGAGAGGGCCTGAAAAGAAAGGGTGATTAAGTTGTCCTGCAGTGAGGGAAACAACTGCAGGATAGGGCCTCTTTCTTCTCTAGTACCCAGCATGGCACCTGGCACCCAACAAGTGCAGACCAATGTAGAAGAGCAAGGCAATGTCAATTTCAGGAGTGCAGGGCTCTCCTCCTCCCTAGGAACTATTCAACCTCTGCCTTGATACTGAAGAGCACAAAGCAGGAGAAAACTCTATGTCTTTCCCAAAGGCAATCTGTCTGTCTCTCTTTCCGGGAAGGTGTGTGCCTGCCAATCACTCTATAGGAAAGGATGTACCTTTGAAGAGGAACTTTCTGGACCCTCTTAATTCTGCCATCAGTGCAGCTCTTCCAGGTTAGAACCTCAGTCCCTCTGTCAGTCTTACCTCCACTTCCTCATGCAGAAGGGCCCCAGTCAAATGTTTCTCCCCATGGCCTTCATCATGGAATTTAAGCGAGGTTCCCCTGGGCCTCCACATGACTCCTGTGAGCTCTGTAGAATGATCATTCATCGTTCATTCACTGCATACCAACTGATGGTCTCTTATGAGGTAGGATTCAACGTCGCACCTCTCCTTGGTTTTCTTGTTCAAAGTTAGAAATGCCAACTTCTGCTGTCTTTCATCTGATACCACATCTCCAGCCCCCACACCCCTGCTTCTCTGGATGCACCCCTGCCCCTTGCCCATAGTCTAGGAACAGCTCTTGCCCTCCAAAGCTGAGGGATTCATATACTGGGGAAAGTGACCCACACAGCTCAAAGCACCTCTTCCCTGAGCTGGCTGGGCTGGAGCCTCCAGGACCCCTGAATCCTGAGCAATCCAGTTTCCACATACTGCCCTCAGCCCTTGGGGAAGTGGTCTATTTGTTTACCCTCCAGTGAAGCCTTTTATGGTGTCTGATCAGAGCCTGGTCTCCTTGGAATTGACTCATTCCCCAGGCTGGTTCTGGTCCTGAGAGGTCTCCAGGGGGCTGGGCTATAGAAGATGGGGCCCAGGCATCTTTGAATGTCCCTGAGCTTTACACCAAGAGCCCACAGCTCACTCAAGGTGATGTGGCTACCACTCCTGCTGCTTGGGAATCATGTGGCCACCTTCAACCCCTGACATTGGCAAAACCTGAGTCCCTTGAGAATCACCATCCAACCCTGGGAAGAAAAGCTATCTCCAATAAGCAAAAGTTATGAGGAAATTGATAGAAATGGAAGGCAAAGGTCAGTCCCCAGGAGGGACCACAGCAGGTGCAGGTGTTGAGACCCCTATGAGAATAAATTAATAATTAGGGGCTTAGAACAGTGCCTGGCATTTGTTGAATGTGGAGAATAATAATCAGTAACTAAAGGAATAAAGGAGGAAGAAAGGACACTCACATGTGTGCTTACTCCAATGAGAGGCACTGCTGTAATGTCACTGACATTCCTCTTTACAACAGCCCTGGGAGGTAAGTGTGTGTTATCCCCATTTTGATTATAACTTTCCCAAGATTACGCAGCTAGTAAAAATAGGAAACCAGGCCAGATGCAGTGGCTTACGTCTGTAATCCCAGTACTTCGGAAGGCCAGGGCAGGTGGATCACCTGAGGTCAGGGGTGTGAGACCAGCCTGGCCAACATGGTGAAACTCCATCTCTACTAAAAATACAAAAATTAGCCAGGCATAGTGGTAAGTGCCTGTAATGCCAGCTACTCTGGAGGCTGAAGCAGGAGAATTACTGGAACCCAGGAGGCAGAGGTTGCAGTGAGCCAAGATGGCACCACTGCACTCCAGCCTGGGCGACAGAACGAGAGTCTGTCTCAAAAAAAAAAAAAAAAAAAAAGGAAACCAAGATTTTAATCTAGATTAGCATCTCAAGTGCCCATACCCTTAACCACTTTACTACTGCCAGAAAAGGCTGCTGAGGAAGCCTGGCCCTAAACCAGAGTGAGGTTCCACCTCCTTGGGAGCTCAACAGCTGAGCATTCAGGAGAAGGAACAGAGGGGCCTCTGAGGTGTGGGCTTTCCCACCCCGGGGCAGGCTGCAGCTCAGGGCACAGCCTGGGAGGGCAGAGTTTTGGGGAAACCCAGTGGCCAGTACAACATTGACCGTCAAGGCCAGAGCCAGGCCTGGGGTGAAACCTAAAGGCCCCAACAACTGGGGGTCCCAGCCACTCTCCCTAGCTGAGGGCACAGCCCCAGGTGGCTGCCCACCACTGCTTCCCTCCGAACAATGCTTTCCCCCTGTGCTGGCCTTCACCAGGGGACACATTTCCCTCCTTATGCCTGCATGTCATACTGCTATCCTCCCTATTCCAGACTTCACCAACTCCAAAATGGGGCTCCACTTTTTCTCTTAAATATTTCTAAAAGACATCTGCCCCGTTACTCATTGGAGAGCTTGTTTTGACCTCTCCTTTTGGAATTTTCTTCCTAAAGTTTAACTTCCATCTATTATGTAGCAACTGATAGCAAGGGTTTAAGTGCAGTGGTTAGTAAAGGTCATGTTTACAAGTAAAACCCATTTTCCCAAACTGAATTATAGGTAGATGCTTCTTATACAACAGATCAAGGCTCGGATGCTCTGGTTAAAGTAGGGAGAGGGTGTGAAGGCTGCCCCAGAAGCATTTTCTAGAACCCTGGGGCTCAAGGAGCATAATTTGCAATTCTTAGGGGCTAGGATAGAGAAAGGGAGAACAGAGGAGAAAGCTGCAGTGGGGGCTGGCCATGATCTTGGACCTACCTTCATTCCCTAAGCGGGGTAGGCCTTAGGTTCCCCTTCAACATAAAGGGTCACTGTGGGTGGTCACTGAGGTCATTTCCAGCCCTGATGGTTTTGGGCAAAGTGTTGGGAGTCCCCAGGGCAGTGCATGGAGGTGGGAAGGCAGCTCAAGCCCCTGGGAAATGATTAACCACTGGCTACTCAGTCCCAGGTGCTCTCAGATCCACCTCTCACCTCCTGCAGACAGGCCAGTCCAGGGAGAAAAGATCAAGGCCTCTGACCAGGGCACCCAGCCAGCCCACTCACCACTGCCCCTATCCCAGGACTGGAACACTCAATTTACTACTTAATGCCAAGAATATGCTGCAGGCTGGCCCTCAGCTGCCCACCAACCTCCCCATCTAAGGCCTCCCTGACTAAGGCCATGCTTGTCACACTCTCAGCACATTCCTCCCAACCCTGGCAGGCTCAGTTGACAGTGACCTTCTCTCCTGCCTCCCCACTGAGGCTTGTTGTTCACTTAGGGAGTGAAGCAGAAGTGCTCCTCTGTTCCAGGTGCCTCATCAGGGTGACTGTTGGCAGCAGCTGCTCCTGCCCATGGGGCTATATGAGAGCTAAGGCTGGGCAGAGGTGACAGACCAGGGGCCCCTGTGGCTGAATTGGTTTCCCAGGGCTTCCCTGGCACTTACCCTGGACATCCTGTGGGAACTTGGCCCCACCCATGCACCCACATGAGTCCATGTTCATCAGAGCAATGGACAAGCTAAGGCCAGACTTTGCTCCCATTTCCAGTGCTAGCTGCCTCCCCACACCACACACCCCTGTACATATGCAGGTGTGCTTACAGACATAAAATGATATATATCCCACCAGACTGTGAACTTCTGAGAAAGTAGTGTCTGGTTTCCTTCTCACCAGAGACTGTTTCTGAGAAAGAAGGGTCCTTGGCCTACTGCAGGCCCAGAAACCTCCTTCCCACTGGACTGCATGAGGGCCCATTCTCCATTTCTGATCAAGGGCTTGGATTCTCATGTAGAAGTTTATTATCATTCAAATTCTAATTCTATCTTGCAGATAGAATTAGAAGCCAGGGGATGACCTTGGAAAATACAGTCTATTTCGTCCAATTGTTCTTGCCTGTCTACTCCATGTAATAATGAAGAATTTGCTCCTTTAGGCTCTAGCGCTGACAAGGGGCTATTGTCCATGGGAGTGAGATTAGTCTGCTAGAACACAAAAGCCACACACATAAAGGGCTGCTTTCAGCCCCAAGAAGAGGCACCCAGGCCAGTGCCAAAGCGAGAGAGGGAGGGGCAGGGAGGCTCCTGACCAGATTCTGCTCATGGGGGAATTTTGGCCAGAGCTGAGCAATACATCTCTACCAGGTCACACCACAAAACACGGCCTGTGTCAAGACAATACACCTATCTGTGCTTCAGTTTTCTTATATAAAATTGGGTGGTGATGATACCTACTCTTGCTCATCTGGTGGAATTATAATCAGTAACAAACAAGTAATATAATGTATGTGAAACCTCATTCATTCATTGATTTTTTTTTTTTTCTTTGAAACATGGTCTTGCTCTGTGGCCCAGGCTGGAGTTCAGCAGTGTGGTCACCACTCACTGCAGCCTCAACTTCCTGAGCTCAATCAATTCTCCCACTTCAGCCTCCCAAGTAGTTGAGACCACAGGTTAGCCATGCCTGGCTAACTTTTACTTTGTTTTTTTGTAGAGATGGGGTTTTGCCATATTGCCCAGGCTGGTCTCAAACTCCTGGGCTCAAGCAATCTGCCTGCCCTGGCCTCCCAAATTCTGGGATTACAGGCCTGAGCCATTGCACTTAGCCTATTCATTGATTTTCTTTTTTAAAATTTTTCATTTGTTTTTATTATATTTTACCATTCATTAATTTTTAATAAACATTTACAATATCTGATATTCATAGGCATCAGACATGTGACAAACATCATTCTAGGTGAGGCAGCTAATGTAATGAACAAGATCCAGTCTGAATGTCCAAGGAACAAAGCAAAATTTGCACTAACCATAAAAAACAGCAATGACGGCGGTGAGGATGGTGGTGGTGATGATGGTAATGATAGATGTTCACCCCAGAAGGCTCTGATGCCTGGTGACTGATTTTTGTGTGTGGTGATTGTTCCTCCTCTTGTTCATCTTGGCTATGAACTAAGAGAGATTAAAATGCTTTTGTACAAAGGAAAAAGTATGCATATTCTATGAAATACATTTCTCTGCCTGTTTAAATGTAGCATTTTCAAGAGAGGCAGGGATATTCAGTGTTCACCACTTGGGTGAATGGATGGGTTTTCAGCATCAGGCCTGGGAGGCCCTGACCAGTCATGTCGTTGATCTCAGGCCTGTGGGGGTAAGTGTGTGCAGGAGGGTTAGGATGTGGCATGTGGCCAGGGAGCTTTCTTTCCTCCCTGGGCCTCAGTGTGTCCACTTGCAAAGTTAAAATGTCTACTTTCCCATTGCTTAAGCTTTCTCAAGCTAATTTACCACAAATCAATCTGCTGAGATTCACCAAGATGATAATGGTTTACCAGAGAACAAAGAGAAATGTTATATATATATATCTTAGATATAGATTATATATGTTATATATCTGTACACATACATGGTTTTTTTTTTTTTGTATTTTTTTTTTCTGTAGCAGCAGTCTTACTATGCTGACTGGGCTGGTCTCAAACTTCTGGCCTCAAGCAATCCTCCTTCCCGAGTTCCCCCAAATTCTGGGGTTACATGAATGAGCCACTGTGCCTGGCTACGCTTCATGCTTTTGAATACTTTTTGATTGAAATAAGACAGAAATACCCATGAGCTAGTATTACACAGCAGGCTTCTAATGGATAAAGACAACAAACACCCCCTACTACTGAGTGTTCTGCTGTGGCTTTTAATAGTATTTACAGGATAACTAAGTGAAACATGAAGAAAAACAGAAAAAGAAGCGGTGCTTGTATAAAGTTCTTGTATAGAAAGAGAATAAGGAGAAAAAACTATCAAAAATACGGAATATATAGCAGACCTGTTTTCTGAAGATAGTACCTGTATTTCTATAGTGGTGGGAGGATGGAGTGCAGAAGAGAGGTGGTAGGAGAATGAGATTTGCTACAGTACACATCCATATTGAGGGTATCATGGCAAGTTCCTGTTCCCTATGCCACAGTGGTACAGTTGACAAATTCTTCAATAGAATGCACTCTCAAACATCAACTTTATAAATTATCTGAAAATATAAAATTATAAAAGAAAAAAAATCCCAAAGCATTTATTTCAAAGACAGGCTAAATAAAATTTGCTAATGACTTACTTCAAATCTTGCATAGCAATGAGTAACTTTCTTTCCTTAGATATTCATCCTCTTTAAGCTAGGATTTAGATTACCATAACTATATTTTATGATTAACTGAATAGCTTCATTAGCAATTTCTTCATCAGGTAATTTCATGGTTATTTTCCAAATGAAATCTATTCCCATCAACTTCAGCTTTTCTACATTCTGTTCAAAAGAAAAAAACAAATTATATAGCACACCAGGATCACAAAATTACAGATCATTATTTCCTGTTACATCTTGAGTCCACAACACTTCAGTTCAACATGAATCAAGGCTTCAGGACCTCAGCTATATGAAAACACTGTCATACTGATATGGAACTTGAAAACAAAAACCCACCAACCACAGAAGCACCAGCAACCTCTGTGGGAGCTAGAGTAAGTATGGAGAGTTTTCTTCATATGTCCCTAAACCCAAAGCAGACATACACATCGACAGGCTATTGAAGCAGACACACAGGAGGAATAAGCTGGGCCCAATCTTCATAACTTTTCTTCAAATGGAAATGGACTCAGGCTAGAAGTGGCTACTAATTCTTGGGGTTCAAGCTAGTTTCTCCAGAGCTCTGTTAGAAATACCAGGATGGGCCAGGCGTGTTGGGGCTCATGCCTTTGATCCCAGTACTTTGGGAGGCTGAGGCTAGGAGTTCAAGACAAGCCTAAGCAACAGAGCGACACCCATCTCTACAAAAATAAATAAATAAAAACAAATAACAGGATACAGGCTTTACAAGAGCTTGTAAAAATTTTTACCACCCAAAGAAGCCAGATACTTAATAAAAGGGACTTGAAAGCCAGCTCTCACTTTGGTCCAAGGTGGCCAGAAAATGGGGGGCCCCCGGGGAAAGGGCCGCAGACACCTGTGGGCCGGCTCCGTGGGTGTCCTTGAACTTGGATGGTGGTCCCGCAGCTCTGGGCGCCACGCAGACTGCTGTGCCCACTGGGGCTGGGCTCACCAGGAAGTAGGATCAGCAGAAACGCGGGCGCTCACAACTGGTGCCAGGTTCGGTTTCCTTAGGCCTCTACCCGCAGGGCCCCGTCCCTACCGTGCCTGGTGGGTGCTTCCTCACCTGCTGCTCTCCCCACAACGGGGCTGCTCTTTTGCCCAGGGGCTCTGGGGCGGTCCCGGCCACCCAGAGCGCGAGGTCGCAGGTCCCAGTACTCATGCCGGAGGCCCTGACGTGCTGGGGGTGCCCACGCGGGCCTGTGGTCCCCACGCCGGCTTGTGGTCCCCACGCCTGGCTCGGGCACCTGCAGAGGGAGGGCGCCCTCTTGAGTCGGCGCCCTCTGCCGCGCTGTTGCCGCCCCCGCGGCTGGAGGTCAGCTCCTCTCCCCGGCCATCTAGGCCTCAGCTCTGCCCTGCCCCCTGGCCGCTCCGCTATCCTACCCCCTGGCCACCACCAGAGGAAGACCCCTTCTTTCCCTAGCTGTGCCCGCACAGTGAGGCCCTACCCGCGGGCCGCCTCCTCCCGCTGCTGCCCCAGCGCTGTCCTACCCCCGGTCGCGTCGCCGAGGCAGCCGCCACAGGTCGGTGCTACCTTCTGGGCACCGAAGGAGGGAACTCTCCTTTCCCCAGCCATTCCGCCCCACTGTCCTGCCCTACCCAATGGCCGCCTACCTCTGACTGCCCTACCCCTGGTCTGCCTGCCTCCACTACCGCCCGCCGGCTGCCTGCTGCCCCAGCCCCCTCCACCGTGGCAGCCGCTGCCACCGCCCAGGTAGTGCAACATCCCGCAGCGGTCTCCTTAGCGCCCGCAAGTTCCGGCCTCCAAGGAGGACGCTGGCGGGTGGCCTCGGCGCCGGCTTCTCCTCTGGCAGAGCACAAAACAGCCCTGGGCAAAAACCACAGGCAACTCAAACGCTGGACCAGGCCCTCAGCAGGCTTTTATACCAGCTTTATGCAAATAAAGTCTCCTGGAACACGTGTTCTGATTGAATGAGAGCAAGTCTATAGGACAACTCTGATTGGATAATTTAGTCCAATGAGATTAGGTCAAAAGCTTCCTTCTCATCAATCAGAACATGTGTCCTAGGAGCCTGCACTTGCAGAAGGTGGGTATATAGCTGTTGAGGTGGGTCAGTCTTCTCGTTTGACTCTCTTCTGGTTCTGTGTGCTGTGCTGTCCTGTTCTGGCAAAAGGAGGACGAGCTGGCCTACCTGCTGGGCGGCTTTATTGGAGACTGGAGTCTGCGGATGGCTGCAGTGAGATGGCAGCCGCTAGGAGGGGGACCTATGGCAACAGGAGGTTGGTTGGTGGGCGGATGGCACGGGAGGTAGCATCGCTCTGCTGGTGGTGGCCTAGCTTCAGCGTCAGCGGTACCGGTGCGACCAGGTTACCAGGGGATGAGGGATGTGACTTTGGAGTTGGAGGCTGGGGGGATAGAACACTGCTGGGGAATAAAACACTGCTGGGGGGATACAACACTGCTGGGGCCGGGGGAGGAGGGTGGCACAGTGTTGCAGCAGGTAGCGGGGCCAGGGAAAATAGGGTTCATATTTCCGGTTGTGACCCAGCCAGGCGTGGGGGACAGCATGCCCATGCAGATAGCCTGGGAACGTCAGGATTCCTGCCGTGGGTTCCCAGGTTTGCATCCTTGCAGTTTGTGTGGCCAGGACTGCCTAGGAGCCACTGGGCAGGGAGCAGCCCCATTATGGGAGAGCAGCAGGCAAGGAAGAACCTAGGGGGCACAGGAGGGTTGGGCCCTGTAGGTAGCTGCATCAGGAACCAGGAACTCGCACCTGCATGAAAAGGGGCCACCAGGTGTGAATGGCACTGAGGGACTGGTTCCCAGTTTCTGCTGCTCCTAATTCCACCACATCGTAGCTCCAGTGGTCGTAGTTTGCGTGATGCCCCGAGGCTCAGGACCTCCACCCAAGTGCGGAACCACCGCCGGGAGCCAGGGACTGTGCTGTCCGCAGCCCTCACCCCCGGGGCCCCAGTTTCTGCAAAGAGAGGCTGCACTTTGGAGGGTGGGTGGGTGTGAGTCCGTCAGCTGAAACCTGGCCCCTTATCCCAAGTGGCCAGCATAACACGGTGACACAACTTAGTGTCACCACTCTCCTCACCCTACTCTTGAGTCAGATGGTCTGAGGGGCCTGGTGGAGTGTGTTCAACCGCAGGAAGGGGCAGATGTGAGATGGTGGTGGGGCAACAGACCCAAGTCGGTAGTCAAGGTCTGGGGGGATGTGGAGGGTCTTCTAGCAGAAGTGGAAGGGCCATGGGGCTATGGGGTCAGGAGAGGGGTGGGTAAGCCAGGCCCACTCTACACAAGCACCATAGTCCTCCAGCCAAGCTGGCCCCAGCACGCCGGGTGCCATCCTACCCCTATGTGTGTTGTTAGGCACCAGGCGGCCTGGCACAGAGCAGGAGCCTGCCTCCTGGGGAAATCCAGCTCCCATCCACAGCCTGGCAGCTGCACGCACAGAGGCCATTGCCCAGGGAGCAAGTGGGTTTGGGGGAGGGTGGTCGGCCCAGCCAGAAAGAGAAAGAGCTGGGAGTAGAGCCACCTCTGGCTGGGCTTTAAGTTGGGGTCTTTCCAGACCTCCAGGGCTCCAGGCTGCCAGCTGCCTGCTGAGGTTCTGGGTTTCCTCCTTAGCCTTCAGTTTCCTCACCTGACCAGGGGGACCTATATGGCAGTGTTTAGATTATTAGACTTGTTACTTTGGGAAACCCTCAGCCTACTGGCTCTCTAAATTTTTTTTTCCTGACTTTAAGGATCTTTTCAATGGATTATCTAGAGATGGGGAGGCAGGAAGGCTGGGATACTTTCTCTTGGCTTAACAGTCCCTTCAGGGCATTCCACTCCTTTTAGGATCTTTTAAAGCACGTGCCTAGCAACTCATCCTGTACCTGAGAGAGCTGGGAAGAACTTCATGCATGTCCAGTACTAGAATGATGTGTTCCCTGACCCTGGGCCCTCATCTCACCCCAAAACCTAAATCCCTCGGAGCAACCAGCTTCAGACACAAGTCTGAATTTGTTGCCTGTTGTCTGAGATTGACCCAAGGTCTTCTCCTCATATGAGATGGGGATCCCAGGCCCCCTGTATTTAGGATCCAACCACCAGCCACCCTTGTGGGCCCACCTGGGCCTCTTCACTCCACTTGTGTAGGAAAGCCAAATGTCCAGACCTGGTGTCCTATTTGTATCTCTCTTTTTCTCAGTGTATGTTTGCTATAATGGCAATGATACAGCATTTCCATATAAGTTTCGGGATATGGAATGTTCCCCACCCCAGAAAGTCCCTACATCAGCAAGCCCTGATTCCACCCCCTTTGGGCTGGCTGTGCATGTGCTCAGCTTGATGAAAACAAAAATGGCCTATGCAGTCTACACTGCTGAGTGTGATCTGTGGACATAGCTTCCTGATCCTGCATCTCCTTCCCCCTCATTACTGAGGTCTATTCTGTCTCTCACTTTTCACCTGAACTGCTCCTGAAGCCAAGATGAGGAATGGGGAGGGTCTTCTCCTGGGGTAAATCTTTGCTCTGAAAAGCCTGGGCTTGCCCCACTCTGTTATCCCCTCCTTTGAGCTCCATTTCTGCCAGAGGTTGGCAAGATGCAGCCTATCCCTGTTTGGTCTTGTGCCTCCTATAAGCCAAGAAATAGCTTTTTATTTTCGAATGGTAGAATTCATCAAAAGAATAATAATACTTAAGGACATTTTGAAATTTTCCATGTCCAGAAGAAAACTTTTGTGGAGGTGCAGTCATGCCTGTTCTTTTACAGGGTGTCTGCAGAAGGCTGCTGTCCTGCTACAGTGGCAGAGTTGAGTCTTTGGGACAGACACCAGTGGGAAAACCTGAAAATACTGACCCAAGGCCCTTTAGGGACTGTTTTTAGTTCTTGATTTGAGAGTTACATAGTGGGACTGGAGGCTTTGCACCAAATCTTTTATCACTCCCACTGCTGTAGTCTCTGCTGGTGTGTCTGTAAAGTTAGGGTACCATGGCACCTCCCTTGAGAGTATTGAGCTCCAGTGTGCTAGTTTTGGGGGTGCCTGCTTCATGGTTGCTTATCCCACCTACAGAGGTCCTGGGCCTAAACCAGGCCAGCAGGATGAGTTGGTCATTGGAGGCTGGAGCCTGCAGGTGGCAGAGGCACTATGGAAGCTGGTGTTGCTGTAGTCTGTGGCTCTGGGGGTGGTGGCTCCTGCTCCCTGGACACCCAGGATGTATCTTTCTGAATTTGGAAACCTTCCTTAAACTGCCAGCCTCAGGACCCAGCCTGATAATCCCCAACAATCACATGTAAGTGTGCATTTGATACATGTAGTGTATTTGCAGAGTTATGGAACTATAGGCACAGTATAATTGAAGTGCATTTCATTCATCCCCAAAAGGTGATGCTGTTTGTGGCCAGTCCCTATTACCTTCTAGCACTAGACCACTATACATCTCCCCTCTGTCTCCAGAGATTTGCCTTTTCTGGACATGCCTTGCCAGTGGAATCACAGAATGGGGTCATTTGCTGCTGCTTTCTTTCTGTCAGCTTAATGTGTTTGAGTTCCATTCCTTTTGTAATGTGTATTATTACTTTATTTTGATTGACAAAAAATATAATAAAGATATACCACCCATGTTTTTCCTTTCATTCCTTGAGATGTATTCAGGTAGTTTTCATCATGAATAGTGCTGCAGTGAATCTTGTTGTGCACGTAGACTTTCATAGCTTATAGGCGCATAACTGGGAGTGGAATTGCTGGGTCAAAACAATAGTTCCTTCTTAAACATTTTGAGAAATTGCCTCATTGTGTTTTAACTGGCTGCACTATTTTACACTCCCACCAGCAATGTGAGGTTTTCCTATTTTTCTCATTCATGACAACACTTTTTGTTGTTGTTGGATTACAAGGTGTAAAGTGGTATCTCTCTGAGGTTTTGATTATAATTTCCCTAATGGACTAATATTGAATATATTTATACATACTATTTAAAATTTGTATATATTTTGGCAACGGTAAAAATTTCTATTAAAATCTCATTTTTAAAATTGTATTTTTGTCTCTTTATAGTTTGTATTCTTAAGTTTAAAGTTACAGTTTTAAAAAAATTACAGTTTAAAAAAGTCTTAAAAAACATTTTAGTTTAAAGTTACAGTTTTAAAAAAAGTTACAGTTTAAAAAAAAATGTCCTTCCCTATGTGTTTTTTGGGGGGTTGTATTTTGAATAGTATTGTTTCTTTAATTATATTTTGAGAATATTGGTAGTGCACAGAAATGCAATTGATATTTCTATCTTGATCTCGATCGTCTGCAATATTGCTAAACTTATTACTTTGAGTGAGTTTTTACTAAATTTCTCAGGATTATTGTTATTATTATTATTATTATTATTGAGACAGTATATCAGTCTGTTGCCCAGGCTGGAGTACAGTAGCACGAACACGGTTGACTGCTCCCACCTCAGCCTCCAGAGTAGCGGGTTCTACAGGCATATTGCCACCCTGCCCAACTAATTTTTGTTTATTTTTTGTAGGAATGAGAGTTCACTATGTTGCCCAGGCTGGTCTCAAACTCTTGGATTCAAGTGATTCCCCCACTTTAGCCTCCCAAAGTTCAGGGGTTACAGGCATGAACCACTGTGCCTGGCTAGGACTTCATACATATGAGATTATGTTTTGGATATGAAAAGGCAATTTTACACTTTCCTTTGGAATCTGGAGTCCTTTTCTTCATTTGTTCTTTCATGTTTTTTTTTTTATGATACTTTAAGTTCCGGGATACATGTGCAGAACATGCAGGTTTGTTACATAGGTATACACGTGCCATGGTGGTTTGCTGCACCCATCAACCCGTCATCTACATTAGGTATTTCTCCTAATGCTATCCCTCCCCTATCCCCCCAACTCCCCAACAGGCCCTGGTGTGTGATGTTCCCCTCCTTGTGATTTTTTTTAACAATGTCATCAAGGACAATGTTGAATAGAAGTGGCAAAAGCGAATATTTGTGCATCTTGTTCCCGGTCTTATGTGGAAAACATTCTTTCCACTAAGTATGACGTTTTCTGTAGGTTTTCTATAGATAACCTTTATCAGGTTGTGGAAATTCTCTTCAAT
This sequence comes from Homo sapiens, assembly GCF_000001405.40. NCBI lineage: Eukaryota > Metazoa > Chordata > Mammalia > Primates > Hominidae > Homo > Homo sapiens. Next base: position 27,915,453 of record NC_000019.10, read on the forward strand.
TATTGATTTGGTTAAAATTTTCGTTATATGCTAGGTATAGTGAATTTTTTTTCTGTGTCAATCCGATAACCATCTCTTGGTCTTCCATCACTTTTACAATATGGTATATTACATTAATTGTTTTAGCCGCTTTATTGAGATACAATTGATGTACAGAAAACTGAATGTTTATTATATTCAATATGTTAGGTGTGGACAAACACTTGTGATATAGAACCACAATCAAGATAATAAATATATCTATGTTAATTGTAATGACCACAGGGCCCACACATCCAGGGACTTGAGAAATCATTTAGAAGAATGGATATGAATGGAAACATCAAGTTTTTTTAGTTGCCACATAAACTGCATATCTGTGCCACAATTCCTCTTGGTGTAAGGGTCCTTAATTCTTTTTAAATGTTGTTGGGTTTGTTTTGCTAGTATTGAGAACTTATTTTGTCAAATTCAACAGGGGTAGTGTTCTGCAGTTTTTTTCTTTTCTCCTGTGGTTTTTGTATTATAGTAATTCTGGCCTAGCATAATTAATTGGGAAGTTTTTCCTTCTCCTTTTTTTCATATTTGTAAAGGATTGGTTGTAATTGTTCATCAAAAATTGGCAAAATACACATCACTGATGCAATTGAGATTGGGCATATTCTTGGCATGAAGATTTTTATTATTTTTATTTTAGATTCAGGGAAAACATATGCTTGTTTGTTACAAGGGTATGTGGCACGATGCTGAGGTTTGGGCTTTGACTGAATGCATCACATATGCAGTGAACATCATACCCAATAGGTACTTTTTCAACCCTTGTCTCCTTCCTCTCCCCACCTTTTGGAGTCTCCATTGTCTTTTGATTCCCATCATTAATTCCATGAGGACCCAATGTTTAGCTCCCACGTATAAGTGAGCACATGTGGTATTTGTTTTTCTTTTTCTCTGTTAATTTGCTTGGGGGAAAAGGCCAAATTGTGGCAATTTGCATGCATCTAGCTCTGCTATACATAATTAACACCAGAGCCCTCAATATTTTTTCTTTTGCAAAGATGGGGATTGGATCAAATATATCCAATGGATGTTTTTAAGCAGTTTAAATACAGAGCCTGTTAGATCACTTGCTCATTTTGCTAAAATATATTTGGGGAGAGAGAAGGAGCCTTTGAGGATTTTAGGCTATGGATGGCCCCACATTCTCATCTAAATTGTCATGGGACCATTGGCTAAAATTAAAGCATTTTACCCAAGAAAATTCTTACTCTCCTCCCAAGAGAATATTTGATTTGCATCTGCTACAGAATTTTCTTTTATCCTTGATTATCATTTCGGGTTTTCTGGGTCCTTTAGGGCTGTTTTAAGCTTTGTGTGGACTGATAGACAAGATGTAATTTAACTCTTAGAGAATCAACCTATAGCAAATTTCAGAGGACAATTCATGTGATCCCTTGATTCCATTCCTACCCAGTGCCTGCCCCTGTGTGGGAAAGATTTCCAAAGATTCATCAAGGAATAATATATAACTTTCTTTTGAATTATTTTGCCTGGGTTTTTTGAGCTTGAATCTTCAAAAAGAAATTATTTATATAATGTATATTATTTAGATACTTTGTAGCTGCAATTTGGCATGCAAAACTATTTTTAAGAGGTATAATTTTCTAAGTATATTAAATAGAAAATATTCATTTCTAGATACAGCATTTGTGCATGTTAAAAGCTGTTTACTGAAGAAAATAAAATTCATAATTCTGTTTATATGGGGTACCTAGAATGGGCAAATTCATAGAGGTAAAAACAGAATAGAATTTACTGGAGGTAAAAGCAAGAGTTGTTTAGTGAGTACAGAATTTCTGTTGGGGAAGACAAAAAAGTTTGGGGTTTAGGTAGTGGTGATAGGTACATAGCATTGTAATTGCATTTAATGCCACTGGATTGTACACTTACAAATGGTTAAGATGATAAATATGGCATGTATATATACAATGAAAACCTGTAACTTCTAAGAAGATATATATATACACACATATATTATACATACATACATGTATACATATACATGTGTACATGCATCCATAGGCTTCAGATTAAATTTGCCTCTTCTCCCTAATTTATTATAGAATGCCAAGTTAGGTAGGGAAGGAAAAGTAGATTAATTTGGTCCTGGGAATTTTTTTGTTTTTGAATTTTATTTGGCTTACCACTGAGAGTAGAAACTCAATTTGAATGTGTGTGCCACTCTTCTTTATAATTCAGAAAATATTTCACTATTTTGTTTATTTGCTATAAGGGCAAGGACTCTATGATTTTTTTCATTATGGTACAAGGATATTTTTAGGACTGAATAGTTATCAGATGCAGAGGAAGGTAATCTTGAAGCTCAATTCCCAAATTAAAGTGTTTTGTATACAATTTCTTACATTTTTGCAGTGTTGACCTTAGGGAATTTTCTAAGCTCACCTATTTGATTTCACTGAACCATAATATAATGTGCAGTTTCTTTTCTTGTAGGCCAAGAAGTGGCCACGTGAACAGTTGGGATTTGTTTCCATAAAATTCCTCTCTAGTCAAACAAACAGGTCATAGAATAAACTAAAAATAAATTTGTGGAAGTCAGCATTCATTTATGACTAACAAAGAAGAGAAAAATTCCATGAGAAATAGCAAGTGCAGAGCTGCTTCCTTAATAAAAATCTACCAATCTATTTCAAATTTAAACCCAGCCATTAATTAAAAGGGACACATAAAATACATTGGCATTAAAATAACCTCAGAAAAAGGAAACCTGTTATCACCCCTCTCTTTGAACATCATTCTTGAAGTGCTAGCCCATGCAGACAGGGGAGAACTGAATAACTGTGTATATAAGAAAGAAAATGAAAAACTTGTCATTTTTGGATGATATAATTGTCCACTATGGAAGCCCAGAAGAGTCAACAGCAACTTAGTACTAGTAAGAGGTTGGTTACAATTGGAAATTCATTTATAAAAGTCAGGTAGATAGGCATGTCTTCTACCTGCGGGTCTGGGAATATATCAGTGAGGGAGGTGGAACACAGGTTCTAGCTGGGTCTTGGGAAAGTGAGGAGGAAGCACGTGGACAAGGCAGGGCTCCAGAGGCACCAGAGGGCTCATGGCTTCTCTTTGTTCTCGCCACCACTTTCACTGGGGCCCAGGAGCTGAGTTCCAAGACTTGGGGAATAGTGGACTTCTGGGGCAAAGTGGCTGATGCACCAAAACATCTTTTAAAGAACAGATAAAGAACAGAAGCGTACCTGGGAGAGCTGGCTGAAACCAGGACACGGTGGGACCATTGGAAAGGACTCTAAACCACAGCAGCAGAAGGAGAGCTAGACTTGCAGGGACCCAGGCTCCACACTAGGGACCTCGACCTTGTCCTGCAGGGAGTGGAGACCCATGAATGGATGTTAGGTGGGTTTGGTTTGCACATAGCCTTGGTGTATGTTGATAGTGTTGTAACTGATGACTAACCAGGCCTCACATTTGCAGCCCACAGTGCCTTGCATACAGGAGATCATCATTCTTCTGGTCCTATGCCATGTGATTGTTACTGAGGAGGATGGAGATGACATCATCTACCACGCCTCCTCCCCAGGTGAGGGCTGTGGTGAGATGCATCCTGCCAGACCCTCCTCAGGAGACAAGGGTATTGGCAGTTATTCGTGAATGATGCAATGGTGCCACCTCTGCCACAGACTCAGCTGTCTGCCCCTGCCCTCATACCATGACCAGGCTGTGACTACAGGTGTTAGAGCTGTAGAGAACTGGGACTGTGCTCTCCCGACTCTCCTAACGCTGACAACAGAGGGAGGACCCAGGCTGTCTTGCATTTCCCAGCAGTGGCTATTGGGCTAAGTAAGTCTCTGAAGAGAGAGCAGGGCAAGCTTCTGTCATCCCCTAGCCCCCAGGAGTTTTCCAACTGCTGTGGAAGCTGTGTATGAAGCACTCTCCCCACTTTGTGTGGCTCTGGCAGTCCCACAGCACACGACTAAACATGGCCTTGCTCAGAGGTGACATTTGGTCAGAAAGTTGTGGGAATACTACTTAGGTTAATTAGAGAGAACTTGCCCGTGAAAGTAGCAGGAATGTAAATCACTTTCCTGGTGAATTAGCTCTAGGTCCATGTGCTCCCATTTAACAGAAGCGCTTATTTCAGGACCATGGTGGTAGGAAGAGTGAGTGCTGCTATACCCTGAGTCCTTACTACTGTGCAGATAATGCCAGGCCTCTTTAACTAGAGTGAGTTTTGCTAATTTGAAAAATGACAGTAAACAGAATTTTACCATTATGAGTGATTGTCAATGTTTCACCAACTCTTTATTGACAGATGAAGCTGCTTTGGTGGAAGGTGCTAAAAAGCTGGGCTTTGTACAGTGAGAACACCATATTCGGTCATCATAGAAGCAGTAAGTGGCAAACTTGTGCACATTTTAGAACAGCTACTTTCTTGAAGATTGTGTATTGGACATAGCATGTCTATTGCAAGAATGATAGCTAAATGTTTATTTTTCTATCTGTGAAAAAACAGAACTGTTGAAAAGTTGTTAATGTAATTATATTATTAGTGTTATTTGCATTACAATACTTGTTTGCTCTTTAAGATGCTTCCCCACACATCTTTTTACATTGGTGTGAAAATATTAGTAGCAAAAAACTTCAAAAGTCTAGTTTTCATTCTACAATAGTTGGAAAATTAATTTTTTGTTGCACATAAGGGCATATTCTATGCCTCTTGTAGCCTCAGCACCTAAGATTTCTTACACAGTGAAGCCTCACAGTCCTCTGGGCTTCTGTCTGGCTGGCTGAGAGAGAAGGGGTCAAAGCTTAATATCCCTAATCTATATAGGAGGGTTCTTCTTCACTAAAGTAAAGGGAGGTCATGTATTTTCTGATTTTTTTTTTTTATTTTTGCTCCCTATGGTTCAGAGGAAGAAATTTAGTGATAGAAAAAAGGTTATATCAAGAATAAGATCAAATAGGGACCCTTGAGATGGGCAACAGGGTAAAATGATGATGAGGACAAGCAGGGCAGGGGAGTTTGTCATGATGACCAGTTAGAAGGGCTATAGTGCATTCGAAGTTCACTTCCAAGGGGTATATTAGCGTGATATTGTTTCTGACTGTTTAGTACTGTAGTCAGTTTTTGCCTTTGCTTCTATGCAAAACCTGTGAAATATCAGACCTTGTACAAATTGCTTATTTCTTAGCATCTGCAGTTTCCTTTCTTATGGAGTACAAAGATCAGATTATGTTTATTTTTATTGTAACCAACAGAGGGAATTTAGCTTAGGGAAGTGTGCAAAAATAGAACAAAGTACTGATTGAGTATAGTATTTCCTTTACAGAAGCTTTTTAAAAATGAGGCCTTTCCCTCTTGCGTTTGAGGAGGCTTCTAACCTTAACTGGAGAACTTTCAATCGCATGGGTGCTTGGGTGCTGCAACATTTATCTGCATTGCAAAAATGGAGGTTGGGGGTAGTGGGCAGGGACTAGTCAATCAGAAGTGGGAGAGACAGACAAGAACAGCTGCTTCTGTCTCACTCACATGCCAAAGAAAGACGAGCATCTACAGAGCCTGTTGATACCATCCTCTTAGTGTTAGATGCCAGACTGGTACCACTTTGTTATTTCATTGAAGTTTTTTGGTCATATTTCTGGGAGTAAAAAAGAATACCCTATTCATTAGGACTTGCAAATAATCATAATAAATATAATCCTATTAAACCATTAATACTGGGGTGACGTGGAACCACAGATTGTCAAATTAGATACCAGGTATTTACCAGGTATTATGATGACCTTGCTGGTCATCATAAGAGCTGAGTCCATGGGTGCACGTGGAGGTGGTTGATGTAACCATCGTACCGAGAGATGTGGCTCCTGGGAATGGAAGCCCTGCTGCTAGACAGTGGATATTATAACATTCCTCAGCCTGAGGAGAAAGGGAACTGGTGGATCCAGAGAGAGCTGAATAAAGATGGGTGAAGGCTGGATGAAGTAGATTATTAGTTGTATTTTAGGATGTAGTGAGGAGTAAAGCGTTGTGGAGATGATTATTCAGTCATGTACTTGGTCATTCAGATACATTACTTCACTGATTATTTCTCTCACCCCAAGAGGTGAGTGCTATCACTATTCATCAGTAAGTCAAACACTTAGTGGAAGAAACTGAATTTAAATTCACATCTACTGGGCTTCAAAGGCTACATTCTTTCTACTGTGATGTGTTATGGAAATACCAGATTAGATTAAAAAGTTTGAAAGCAGGCCAAGTATGGTGGCTCACACCTGTAATGCCAGAAATTGGGAGGCAGGAGGATCACTTGAACCCAGGAGTTCAAGACCAGCCTGGGCAATGCAGAGAGACCCCATCTCTCAAAAAACAATTTTGACATAGCTGGGTGTAGTGGTGCACACGTGTAGTGCCAGCTACCTGAGAGGATCGCTTGAGCCCAGGTGGTTGATGCTGCTATGAGATGTGATTGCACCACTGCACTCCAGCCTGGGCAACAGAGTGAGACCCTGTCTAAAAACAAAAACAAAAACCTTTAGAAACAGCATACACAGCATCTGGGATTTTGTAGATGGAAAGAAATTGTGATTCTTGACTTCTAACTTGAAAGAACCCAAAGAAGAAGAGCATTTGATTAATTGCCCTAAAACCAGGTGCAGAGTTACCATCTCTTATCTGCACCAAGATCCAAAAGCCTTTGAATTCCAAAAGTTTTGTCCTAAGTTTGGGGAATAGTCATTTGGCAGCAAAATCTAATCAGAACTGACATGAGGCTATTATAATCTTTATGAATCTCACTGCATGTGACTTTCATACAATTTTCTGCAGGAAGTGGATATGTTATAGCAAGCAGTGTTACCCCAGACCGTGCAGGGGGCATTATGATAAATGGTCTAGAATGCGCATATAACTATATAAAATTGGAAAATCCTGAATTCAGAGGCATAACTAGCCCCAAGATTTCTGATGGACCCATGCAGCTTTGTGTTCTTTATCTTCATTTCTTGGAGGTAGTTACACCAGCCAATTGTTAAGACAGCCATGTCACTGAAGAAAAATGAGAAGCTTTTATCAGAAGAGCAAGCTATGACCCCAGAAGACTTGTCAGAAAATAGTACATGTTGCAGGAGGCTAGAGGGTGGGAAGGGGAGAGAAAGCAGAAGAGATGGGGGCAGAGAGAGATAGAAAGAGAGTGGGTTTATGAGTGGGAGAAAATTGCTTTGAGATTTTAATACTTACACTTTTAATAGGTAAGAGCCTATTTATTTTTTCCTTTAGATGGTACAGGAACAGACACTAGGAATCCTTATAGTCCTGGAATTTTCTAGGCCTGTATCTCTTTTATACACTTAAAATATGTTTTAAGTGTATGAAGGAGTTTATGAAAGTTTAAGTGTATGAAAGTTTTTAAATATATCTTTTTAAAAGCTTTATCTCAGTTCATTTGTATGATTGTATGGCATGACTCAATATAGTACTTAAGTATTAAATACAGTAAACATCTCTCCAAATCTTCTTCTCCTTGGAATTTGAGACTTTTATTAAAGAAAATGAAGTAAGTTATTTTCTTTGTTTTAGTCAACAGAAGTAAAGTTTCATGTGCTCCTTTTCTTTACACTTCTACAGTTTGATGTTCTTGCATCAGCAGCTGCAGAGCAGTCTGAATAGTTTATACATGTGATGAGAGCATTATTTTCATTGGCATTTCCCACGTCCTATGAGGTCTTTCTCCTAGCTCCATCTGAGCGTGCCTCTGGAGATCTGAGAAAGTGACAAATGATGACAGATGAGATAAATTCATCTCATTAGAGGCTTGGTCCATGTAGGACAGTTCTACTGCGCATGTGTGTAAGCATTTTTCCCCAGAGCAGTTTTGAAAATTAAGACTCATAAACATTTGTTAAATTATCTTATTCCCCTAGGATATTTATACTTTGTTATAAGAAAACGCATCTTAATTTTTTTTTGTTTTTGCCTCTTTAACACTGAATGGTCAATGCTAAAACCAGGTTCTGTTGCTATCTGAATTGCATCTTTTCCTGTTACTAAAGTTAGGGGAGTTTTTCTGTAACGTTTGTTAAATGATTCATGAATTGCTTGCTCTGTCTGCTTTATAAGCTATTGGATAAATGTCGGCACTGCATTCGCTTGTAGGAAATACCTTCCAGATCTAGTCTTTAGGTTTGCAAGTGTGAACTTTGGTGAGACAACAACCCTTGGGGTTACATATTTAACGAGAGAGATTGGGGATGGTTGATGACTGTGATAGCTCGTGGAGTGGGTGGTGATGGTGCTCTGGGTATGGAGGTGAGGGACGTGTTAGGCAGCCCTCCAGACTTTTTTATGCCCATCTCTTGTTGGAGACTGTCCATTACTTTCTAGTTGCATTAACTAGGACCAGCAGTTAATGGACAAGCAAGAAGGGAGTTAGATAAAAATGGGTGAATATGGATTAAGATGTGAAGATGAATTTTATTATTATTATTATTATTATTATTATTTGAGATGGAGTTTTGCTCTTTTTGCCCAAGCTAGAGTGCAATGGCACGATCTCCATTCACTGCAACCTCCACCTCCTAGGTTCAAGCAATTCTCTTGCCTCAGCCTCCCGAGTAGCTGGGATTACAGGCGCGTGCCAACACGCCCAGCTAATTTTTTGTAGAAACAGGGTCTCACCATGTTACCAGGCTGGTCTCGAATTCCTGACCTCAGGTGATCTGCCTGCCTCAGCCTCCCAAAGTGCTGGGATTACAAGCATAAGCCACCTCACCCAGCCGATTAATTTTAAATTATATGGGAGAATAAGAAAGAACAGGTCATTTGTGGTTATAGTTGTGGTCCTATCTCTTTTTAATTAATCTTTTACCTGAAGTTACTTAATCTTTTTTTTTTTTTTTTTTTTTTTTGAGATGGAGACTCACTCTGTCACCCAGGCTTGAGTGCAGTGTTGTCATCTCGGCTCACTACAACCTCCTCATCCCAAGTTCAAGTGATTCTCCTGCCTCTGCCTCATGAGTAGCTGGGATTACAGGCTCCTGCCACCATGCCCGCCTACTTTTTGTGTTTTTAGTAGACACGGGGTTTCACCATGTTGGCGAGGCTGGTCTTGAACTTCTGACCTCATGATCCACCTGCTTTGGCCTCCCAAAGCGCTGGGATTACAGGCATGAACCACCGTGCCCAGCCTCTCTTAATCTTGATAACACTCTTTTCAAGCAGTTGCTTTACATATTGAGAAACTAAGACATGAATTTGTTTTTTTTGTTGTTGTTTTTTGTTTTTTGATACGGAGCTTCGCTCTTGTTGCCCAGACTAGAGTGCAGTGGCATGATCTTGGCTCACTGCAACCTCTGCCTCTTGGGTTCAAGCAATTCTCTTGCCTCAGGCTCCCAAGTAGCTGGGATTACAGGTATGCGCCACCATGCCCGGCTAATTTTGTGTTTTTAGTAGAGATGGGGTTTCACCATGTTGGTCAGGTTGGTCTCAAACTCCTGGCCTCAGGTGATCCACCCACCTCAGCTTCCTAAAGTACTGGGATTATAGACATGAGCCACTATGCCTGGCCTCACTTAATTTTGATAACACTCTTTTCAAGCAGTTGCTTTACATATTGAGAACCTAAGACATGGATTTGATATCTTTGGTAAGCGCACACAACCACTAGGTAGTTGAGAGAGAATGCAGGAATTTATCCAGAGCTGAGGAGAGACTATCCTCACTCTTAGGCATTTAAAGTTGATTGGGAAGGACCAAACTGAAGATCCACAGAGATGGGTGGTCAGGGCTGCTATAGTTGAGGTGTGTCTCAGAATGATAACATGTTGACATAGGCATGGATTGGAATGTACAGAAAAGGAGAATGGTGAGGCTTGTGTGTGCTTGAAGTCTGGAGGTTGCGCATGGAAGGATGAGTGGGAGATGAAAGGAGGCTGCACAAGTGGGTGGATAGCAGTAAGAAGAATTTATGGGTGATTGGGACTCACGAAAGCCTTGGTGGGTGAGGGTGGACCATGATGAAAGATGTGTAAGGAACTATAGATGCTTTGGTGAGGAAAGGAGAGAGGAAGAGTTTATTGGTGCTGAATTGGGAATGTTCTAGAGGTTTGTAATTTTTTTTCTACCCAGTTTAAAGATGAAACAGTGAGGAACTTTTGAGTCAAATGGATCTATACTGAATCTCCCAGTTTGCTACCTAAAGATCAAGTTACTTGATAATTCCTAGCTAAAAAAGTAAAGAATACTTTTAGAGAGTAGATCCAGAAGTCAATCACATACACAGCCAGTGCTAGAATTCTCTTTTTCTTTTTTTCCTACTGCAAATAGCTTTGCTAGTATATTTTTGTGGCAGGGGAATAAATAGGTTTATGTCCATTAGATGTAAATGAAAAGACTAGGAGATACACAGTTACGTTCAACTTTGAGGAAAAAGGTAGGGAAAGATACAGCTTGACTGTTTTTAGGAGTGTCAGGCCACCTTTTGTTTTTATTGGTGTTTAGCTGTAGGACACACATTCTATCAACAGAGCAATGGTGACCTTTCATTTTTTACTCTCCCAGTGACAGAAAAAGGATGTAATTGTTCAAAGTCTTTCAGTGCAACTTTAACTCCACTGTAAAGGGGCTGTAAGTATCGGTGCAGTGTCCTGCATAGCAGAGAGTTCTTGGCAACTACTTTGTCAATCAGCTCCTTTTCCTAACTGTGGTTCTCATCATTTGCTTATTGTTTGCCCAAAGTTGAAAGGTTCTTTCAGGTAGGTTGTCAAGTTGACTTAGGAGTAAAAGCCCATGGTGGTTCAAGGCAGAATGGCACAGATGGTCAGTTTTAGCCAATAGTTGTTTCAGAAACAGCAACTCAATGTGTCAGGCAAAATCCTTGGAGTATAAATTCTGATTCCAGTTTTACCAGCATTGTGTTGTGACTTTGGGAAGATAAAGAATTTTGGTTGGCCTGTGATGATCTTCTTTAAGTGCTCTGATATGTAAATATATGTTCTCTAGCAGCTATTCTTCTCAATTGTTGTGGTTAATTTTTTTTTTCATCACCAAGAGCTATGTTGTGGGGACAAGGGCAGTGTCCATCTGTGGCTGCATTATTGCTGCTCCTTTTGGTCAGGCTTTTCGTCCTGTCTGCTTCCTAGTACCCAAATCTAAATGTATTCTCTAAGAAATCTGTGAATCTTATTTTTTTTTAATTTTATGTATTCCCTAAGGAATTTGTGAATCTTATTTGTTAAATCATGATCTTATGTATTGAGGAAAATAATTATTAAGCTTATTTTATTTGACTGTCAAAAATATAAAGCTATTCTAGGATTACTGATTAGTTGAAAATCTTAGTAATCGTTACCAATTGTGGGAAGAACGGTGGTTTCATATGAGTACAGTATGACTAGCGGTTTTTAAAAATGAGGAATACATGGGAATTCTCAGGGCATTATATTTTACCCATGAAATAATTCTATTTTTAGTAATAGCTACTTAAATTAATTTCATCTAGGTTTTGTTCTCACATGATCTGTTTCTTAAACTTTTTGTTTATTTAACATTATATTTTATACATGAAATAATTATGTTTTGAGTAATAGCTACTTAAATTAATTTCGTCTAGGTTTTGTTCTCACGTGATCTGTTTCTTAAACTTTTTGTTGATTTGACATCAAATTCTAAGTACTACAGAAAGTACAAAAGGCATCAATGTGAGGCAGTGGAGAGAGGAAGGCTGTAAATATAGAACAGTGTCCATATGAAAACACCACAGAGGCATATTCTATTTCTATAGAGGTATTTTATTTTTACAGGATTTTATTTTTTCCAAAATTCAAGCTAGGTTCTTCTACTTTTTTTTATTAAAAAGCATCCTAAAACTATGTACTTTATAGCATATTGGATTATCTGTGGAATCCAGTACCCTAGCCCTGTCTGTCATCATGGAAATACTCACAGGGCAATGAGCTGTGTACACCCAAATGTTTCTGGGCAGAAATGGATTGGCTGCCTACTGGGTTGTGTCTTACCTGATTAGGAGCTTCTTCAGTATCAGGGAGCAAAGTTGTACTTGAGCAATTTAGGATGTGCATTTTACCCTTTCCACTTCTGCACAAAAATATAAATGTTGGGATATGAGTTTTACAGAGTTGGGTGCATGTAGGCACTGATGTTTCTCTGATGACTCTCCTGGCAACTTTGGCTCTCCCCAGTGTTGCTTTTGTTTGACTTTTATGTACAGAACAGATTTTAGTCTTGTTTGGACACATCTATACCCAATTTGTTTTCCAAAGCTCATGCCTGAGCCCAACCGAAGGCTGTATTCCTATTTGACCACTCAGTATTCTCATGGACACTGGAAAAACAATAATACAAAGCCATGCGAAGCATGCTGGCTACAAGGTTTATTGAAAGGTTTTCCAGCCACAGTGTCTCTGTATTTTTATAGGATAGTGTATTTTGTGAGACACTTTTAAAAGTGTTAAAATACATGGAGGAAACATTATGCCATCTGGATATTTTGCCACAGAAGGTAAGTGAAATGTGAAAATGCTATTTTTGACCATTGGAGTTGTACTTTCTGGCATGTTGGCTGGCTTCACAGGAGCATATTCTTCTACTGCCTGCCCCTTTTCCCTCCCACCTACTCCTCCTGTGCCCATGGCAGGGACTAGATGTGTGGCCAAATCCAAAGTCAATTACCTGTATAGCCCTCCATAACTCATCACCAGTAGTGCAGAAAGAGGAGGCATCCCATGCAGAATCAACTTTAGTTACTGGTCTCTTTCTTAGAAAACTCAAACATTGTCATAACTGTCATAAGAAAACAGTGTTTTCTTATCCCTCTCTTATGCTTATGACATTGGTTGATCTATGACTTGAACAAAAAATTCATGGAACCCATTGTGAGCAGGAAAGGTGTTATCTGAAAGGCTTTAAACAACCCTGATGTCAGGTTTTCCTGCCAGTAATGATAGCTGGAGATATGCTCAGATGCTGGCTGCTTTCTTGCCTTAGTGTGTTCCACTGAATGCATGATGCATGCACTTGTGAATACATGCAGATACATGGGTGTAGCTGCTTGAAAGACTGGATCTTTCATGGGACAGCACATTAGGCTTTTTTTTTTTTTCCAAACAAGGTCTCATAATGTCATCTAGGCTGGAGTACAGTGGTGTGATTATGGCTTACCGTAGCCTCAAACCTCTGGGCTCAAGCAGTTGTCCCACCTTAATCTCCCAAGCAGCTAGGATCACAGGTACATGCCACCAAGACTGGTTTTTTTTAATATTTATTTTGTAGAGAAGGAGTCTCCCTATGTTGCCCAGGCTGCTCTCAAACTCCTGAGCTCAAGGCACATTGGGCATTATGTTGCTATGTTGAAACATACTTCCTGCTTCCTCATATTGATACCTGCTTACTGTACATGTACACATGGATAATGCACAGGTCCTGTGTCTCTCTGCTGTGGGGAATTAACTCATGCAACTTACTGTGCACTCTCCATCTTGCGGTAGAAGTGGTTTAGTTAGAAAATGGGAGAACTGTTTTTAAATATCCCTTTGGAACTGTGTAAATGTTGAATTAAAGTGTCCTTAAAAAGCAGTGGTTTCTTTAACTTTTGAGCATGTGTGATGTCCCCTGTGAGGTAAAACACTCTGCTTGCTTCCATTCACCAGTGGCTGATTTGCAGGCTTGTGCACTCTGTGGCTTACGCTGTTCTCTCTGAGGATGATTATGAGGAGTGGCTGAAAGGCTATCAAGAAGCCAGCAACACATTGAAAAATGGAGCTCAGTGGTTGGAAGAGTGTGGTCAGATCATTGAGAAGTTAACCACACATGATAGTCTTTACAGATCCAAGAAGGACTTAAGCAGCTACCGAACAAAATCTTTGAACAGGCATCCTTCTACTATATAGTGATGTTTTCTTGTTCTGTTTCTTGTTCTTTTCCTATTCTCTTGTCTTGTTCTCTGAGACATTTCTTTGTTTGCTTTAAGAAGCACTTAATTTTCATGGCTATCTGAAATATCTAGCCACCCTCAACTGAGAATGACAGCTTAAGAACTCTCAGGCCAAAAACAGCATCAGTGACTTTCTGGCTTTGCTTAGGATTAGGCTTAATGAGATTAGCTCACCGCTCACCGTGTTGAGTTACATGAACAATCAGAACGCTGTGGGCTGATTAGACAATGTACACACTAAGCATTCTCACACTTACTTGTGGTAATAATATTTAAGTTTTGCCATTGCTACTCTGTATTGCCTACTTCATTTTGTTGTTGTTGTTGTTATGGTGGCTGTCTTCACTCTATCCCAAAGCATTAGGTAGCTTTCTTTTTATGGGAGTCCCTCAAGTCTGAGAGCTGGATTTCAACTTTTTCTGTTTTATGTCAGCAACCATTAGACCATCCATTTTCCAATTTCTATAACTTTGAAGCCATCACTTGTTTGCTTTTTTCATTTCTTTTTTTTATTTTTTAATTCCTTTTAGTTTTTTATGCTCAGTTTTTATGTTTCTTATTCAATTGTTTATATTCAGTCATTTTAATGGAATTTGGGTAGGAATAGAACTGAATTCAAGTGTTCATTTGCCTTGATTTAGTGGAATTATCCAAAATTACTTTTAGAATCTGAAAACAGTGATTATATATACTGGGTAATTTACAAAAAGAAAGAGGCTTATTGGACTTACAGTTCCATGTGGCTGAGGAGACCTCACAATTGTGGCAGAAGGTGAAAGGCACATTTCACATGGCAGCAGACAAGAAAAGAGAGCTTGTGCAGGGAAATTCCACTTTTTAAAAGCATCAGATAATGTGAGACTTATTCGCTATCATGAGAACAGCACAGGAAAGACCTGCCCCCATGATTCAATTACCTCCCACCAACTCACTCCCATGACATGTGAGAATTCAAGATGAGATTTGGATGGGGACACAATCAAACCATGTCAACATTTTACTTGCAAATTATATTTGAAATTATATTAAGTTACTATGTTGCTAGTCATTCACAAAACATTTAAACAAATTGCGATGCCAGAACTCATATATTGACATGCAGTGACCCCTGGAAATCAGTAGAGAAATGTATTAGAAAAAAAGTTCTGGCAAAGACCTGGCTGATTGTTGGCCTTATTACACAACCTCAGGCATTGGTCACATTAGCTCACAGAGCTAAGAAAAACCAAGTACTAACCTTGTTACTCAAGACTTTAGGTACTATTGATTTAGATGGATAAAAGATTTATTACAAAGTTATCCTGAAGAATATGTCCCTCATGCAGAGGACCCAGGAGGTTATGATGACCCCAGAAAGCCTGACCAGCAGTAACAGTAAAAGTTACATAGGGACATGAGTGCAGAAATATTATCTCTACTGAAAATAAGTTTTATACTAGGGAAGAGTTACAGGGTATATGTAGAACTTTAGCACACGGGCTCAAACCAGATGTATAAGTTCTATATGGTTTATGGGTTAACAATGGTAAATCCATTATGCTTATGAGAAGTGAATTAGCACAAATGATTGGAATAGCAAATAACTCCAGGGTTCATGATGAATTAATTGCTAGAGCACAAAATAACCAAGACCTCTCTGACTTATGATGGGGATGGGTAACAGCAGTTTGGATGAGACAATACTCAAACATCATTCCCAGGTTAATCTAAACTAAAAAATGGAAGACTTTAGAAGGAGTCATTAAAATACTCAAGAATATGGAAGATTATTATTAATGTCTGATGGGACAGTACTTTATAGAACACCTGGGAAATTTCCCATCAAAAATGACTTTTTAAAAAGTCAAGTAATATATCCAAGATAAATCCAATTACTCACAATATACACATAATATACCATAATGAGGTGGGAAATTGAAGAAAAATAAAATTGAAAAGAAAGAGAAATAAGCTTTCCTGTATTAGGCTGACTTGTCCCAGAGGCACAAACTGGCACATCCCAGACCCAAGAAAAGTCTTGATAATATTATCTAATGTACTCTGGAGACTCTCCCAGCACTCCCTCAACATAGGGAGAAGAAAAATTTTCCTTTGTTTTAGGGTATGAGTTTATAGATTCTTGTTCTCTGTAACCAGTAACTTCAAGTATTCTGTTTTATCTAAAAAGCACAGCAAAGGTCATGAGAAGGCTGAGCAGGCCTGAACTACAGCTATCTAGACACCATAGTGAAGGTTATGGGATAAGCCCGTGCCTAGGCAAACCTAGATAATGGACATCTGGGTTTCATAGCAACAGTTATGTGCAATCCTGAGTTATGAACCTGTTACAATTTGATTAACTGTCTTTGTCCTGTCTCTGTATCCTGCTTTCATGCCACTGTAAGCTTGCTTCAAGCTAGCCTACCCCCTTTTGTGAAGTGTGTATAAAAGTCAAGTGCTGTCTTTGTTTCAGGCCCAGTCTTTGGATGTGAGTCTGCTGGGCCTGAGTGCACTCAATAAGAGATTCTCCTGTTTTAACCCGAGGTATCTCTTGTCCTCCTAAATCCTGCAACAATATAAGACTGATTTTTGACTGCCGTAAAATCTTTCTTGCCTCTAAACCAACACTTCATTCTATAGTTTAATCTTCTTTCCACTTTTTCTGTTCTCTTAGCTTAAGGAAAGATTATGGCAAACTTTGTATGTTTTTCATATGTACTTGCAAAAGATTATACAATTTTGTTTTGATTATTCTTACTTTAGGCTGAAACTTCCCTAATCTTCCCTTAGAGATTGTGGCATATCATGCTAGTTTCCTTTTCATATCCAATTGTTTCTTCTGCATTTATCACCCTAGCTATGTGATTATATTTTCTGAGCTTCCCTGCAGCTTGTTATAGCTATTTGACTAAGCCAGTGATTTGTAAGCACTGTGCTATGTGTACCTTCTATAAATCCTTCCTCCTTCTTCTCTTCATCTACCAAGCAGTCTGGAATGAAAATACAATAGCTGGACATCACTAGCCCTCCTAGGTAATGCAGGCAGGAGTGAAGGGCAACACAGTCTATTAACTTATTTACTAGAAGATAAGTTTCAGAACAATAAGAATCTTGTTTATGTTGGTCAAAGCAATATCCCCAGCGCTCACACAAAGTGTATGGCATGTGCTAAGGGCTCAGGTATCAAATGGGTATTGAATGAATGAATAAATTAATAGTTCACTCTGGAGTCATGAGTAAACAAGGTCTCAGCTTATTTCACATAATCAAACTCCTGATCAAATCACATTACTCTATTTTTTTATCTTTACTGCCTCAGCCTTGCCAATGTTATAGAAAGATAAGATTTTTTTTAAATGTACATCAATATTCCTTTCCATTAAAATGTTTTAAAAGCTGTTTTTATAACAGTGCTTTCCAATATTTTCCTGCTTAGCAAGTTCAAAATTCTAGGACTTCAGACAATATTATTCTTAACACAGAATGCAGCCACTGGATCCTGAGGATTTCACTAGATGTTAGTTACTGAAACTGAACTTTCTTGAATTCTTTTCCTTCCACTGTGGTCTCCCGCATTTCAACATATCACCTATACTTGTCCTCAAACTTTATTTAAATTTTTCAACAGAAATAAATTAAATATTAATCATTACTCCTGCCCTGTTTTTTGAAGTGATCCTTTTCTTCCTATGATAACAATTCCTCTGGGCCCTTTTCATGGCCACTTTTATGGTTATAGGGTTTGTAAATACATTTTTTGCAAATGCATATAATTTTATTAATTATTTTTTACTCTACCTCCAAAGTTGTTGCTATTTAACTCTTCGTGAGAA
The DNA here is from genome assembly GCF_000001405.40 of Homo sapiens. Classification (NCBI taxonomy): domain Eukaryota; kingdom Metazoa; phylum Chordata; class Mammalia; order Primates; family Hominidae; genus Homo; species Homo sapiens. The sequence continues at coordinate 27,933,226 of NC_000019.10, forward strand.
AAATTAAACTCATGTTTTACTTTTGTTATATACTTATTTATACTTGAGCTCCTTGATTTCTGCTCAAATTGCTTTTCAAGTTACCTGCTTTTTAGAGAAGACATTATTTGGTTTTCATTAGGTGTATCAAGCTTTTCTTGATAGGTGTATCAACAAGTGTAGACTTCTCTATAAAGAATTTCTTTTTCCAGAGTAGTTTTCTGAAAAGTCTATTAAAACAGAGAAAAATACAGGTCTTCGAAAGAGCTCTTCCTAAACCTCCCCTCTACCAGAAATATTTCTATAGTCACATGGTCCTTTCTCCCTTCTTGCTTTTGTCTGAGTCCAAAACTAATCTCTCCTTGATCTGGACTGCATGCACTTGTGCCTTCTCAGGGCCCTTTTGTGTTTTTTCTTCTCTCTTGACTTCAAAAATGAGGTTTCTGTATTGGCTGTTACCCTTTAACATAGAACTATACCCACCCTTTTTAAAAATCTCAGAATAAAAAGGCTTGCTTTACCATGTATCTCCTTTACTACCTCATCTCTCTTCTCAGCGAAATATTTGGGAAGAGAAGCCCTCAGTTTGTGTCATTGTTTTCTCACCTCCAGTTCACTTTCCCCACTGCCTGACATCCAGCTCACTCATGCACATCCCTTGTCACTAAGTTGCCATAGACAACGTTTAGCTGTCCTGCCCTCCTGGCAAAATTTGACTCTGTGCATTGGGATAATATGTATTCAGCACCTATTGACCAGGCACTGCGTTAGGTCCTGCTGTTATAGAAATGAGAAGCAGACATCCTCTCCATTCTGATAAGACTCAGTGGAGCAGCTATTCCTGATTCATATGCAGGTCGCTTGACTTGGCCTAGCTTTTGCAAGCTTCACTTAATGCCATGTAAATCTCCCTATTCTCCAAGTCTTTCTTTCCGATTCCCCTTGCTATACACAACTTCTCAAGGCAATTGTCTCCATGCTCATGGCTTCAGTTGCCTTCTCTATTCTTTGAGGACAAAACAATTATAAATGTTTTCATTTAATAGCTTTATTTTATACAAGATGCCTCATTTGCTATAAACATAGATTCAAAGTTGCTCCATAAAAGTAATTGCTAAAATATGGTGACATTTTTAGCATGTAAATTTTAGGGAATTTCCCCAATTACTCTTAATGGTTTGATTTAGTATGTGTATTATTTTTGAAAATATATGTTGGGATGTCACAAATGGACTTAGTCTACAGAGATTTATATCCAACTCTTGACTAGAGAGCTCCATTTTAATGTGATGCTGAGACTAAAAACCTATCTTTTCCTTCTTACCTATTTTTCTTCCTACATTCTCTGCTAGGAGAAAGGCACCACTGTTTCCCCAGTCCCCCACACCAGAGCCTTAGCAGCTCTGTTTTCCCTGTATCTCCCCTCTTCTTAACATATAATTACCAAGCACTACCTATTCTATCTCCCAATGATCACAAAACTTTTCCCTTTGCTTTAATCACTGCCACTGCCTTTAACATTACTCTTCTTTAAGATGAAGCCTGTTAGTTGGTCCTGTTGTTTCCTGCAATCCTTTATTATTGTTCAGAGTGACCACACTGCACACACATCTGACAGTGATGCCTCACCTTTGTATGGTTCAAAGATTCTCATGTTTTCAGAATAAAATTAAAACCACCCCAGCACCAAATTTGGAATCAAATAGACCTGGGTTTGTATCCCAGGTTCATGCACTGTCCAGAAGTGTGGTCTCAGAAAACTGAACTTTCTAAGCCTTTGTTTGCTTATCTGCCTAAACTCTCTGAGAGTGGGGACTGTTTCATATATACAGTGCCTGGCACGTAGAAGGGACTTAATTATTATTAAGCCAAAGGATAATTTAGAGACACAAACAAGAAGACACACAAAATGGAGGGTCTAATGCCAGCCTGGAAGAATGAGATGAGACAGCAAGAACTGGGCATTTAGGTAGGGAGGAAAGAAATTGACTGCACCCTGTGGGGAAAGACTAAGGGGTGGGAATGCAAGGCAGAGCCAGTCTTTGGTCCTGGTGCCCAGCCCTGGGAAAGCTGGCTACAGGCCGATGTGGAGGATACCTCCCAGGGTACCCTGGGGACAGTGTCAGCCACTGAATGAAGAATGAAGGGGAGACATTTTTAAATCGACATGAAAAAAATCTTTGTTCTTTCAAAAATTATACGAACCTACAATATCACTTCCTCTAAAAGATCGACTTCCACCTTCACTTTCTGATAATCAGGCTGGGGGAATTGGGGAATATAGACTACCTGGAATCAAATCCTGGCTACCCCTGAGCAGTCATGTGACTTTGGGGAGCTTACTTACTTCTTCATCTCAATTTATTCTGTAAAATTTGTAAAATGAGATTATTTCTGAGGGTTAAATGAGCATACCACAGTTGGAACACTGTCAGGCACATGCTGTTTGCCAGTTGTTGACTATTCATCTTTATTGAATTAGGACTATGGTACTCTACTTTATGGTTCTCAAGTTTGTATGAGAAAATCATGCTTAGTGCATTGATAATCAAAGAAACAAAATCAGAAAAACCCTGCCATGGAAGGAAGACACAGAGGGGAAAAAAGGGAGTGGGCTAGTTTCAGTATTTCAGAGCTTGTGGGGACAAGTTAGTTCCCTATTTTATAAACAAGGAAGTGGAGGCAGGATGTGTCCTGGGATCTCATGCAAGATACACAGTGATAACTCCTTACTGAGAGTAGAACTAGGGTCCCAGGAATTGCTATGGACAAAGTTCTGACAAAAATTACCCCTTGGAAGACAGGAGGAGAGGGAGGAGAGTGTTTAGATACAAAAACATTCAACAATTTAGGCATATCTAAATTCAGTGAGCAAATGAAAAATGTACTACTTGGCAAAACGAACTTGCTAATGGGACCCATTCTACTAACTGGGACTTCCTGCAGAACTTATAGAGGAGGATGGCTTCAACTAACAAATTGGCCTGTGCTTTCCTCAGGACCTAAAAGCTCAGAAAGCCTGTGATGAATGAAAGCATTAGTCCCAATAGCACTGCACAAGGGGCCAGGAAAGCAGCAGCATCATAAATGACAGGGTGGGGTAGCCCAGTCTGGGACACTGTGAGCTGTGGGGCAGGGCAGCAGCTGGGCAGGGCATTGTGAACTGTGGGATAGGGCAGCCGGGTGGGGCATTGTGAGCCACATGCCTGGGATCCCCTGGGTCAGTGGGCTTCAGTCTGGAGGTGATTGCAGAAGGAGGAGCAGCTCCCTTTGTTGTCTCTTCAGGCAGCTGTAGTGTCTCTTCAGCATTTGTTGGGTTCACAACCTATTTAAAAGCCAGCTGGTCTTCACCCTCCCAGACAAGTCAGCTCAAGGGAGGCGGTGGGGTGCGGGCCTTGGCCTGAGCCCCACCCAAGGCTGAGCTGTGGGGCAGTCAGGAGAGCAGCAGGCAAGACCATCTCTGCAGGCGCAGTGAAGCCCTGGCCTAGAGCAGCAGGTGTGAGAGGCCAAACCTGCAAGCTAAGGCACAGGTAGTGGCAGAGAGGAGTAGAGGCCCCCCATGGGGAACACACTGAACTGTTGTGTGTGCCCCAAGTGGGGCTGGCACCGGGGTCGTGTGTGGCCCTGTGAGCCTGAGATCTGTGAGGCAATAACTGGGAACACAACGCCAGTAGCACCAGTGCCTGCTGCTGTATAGCCTACTGAATTTGCTTTTGAAGCTGTTGAGAGCCTCCATGTACACCACATCCATGACCAAGAGATTCCAGAAGGTAAGGAGGTGATGGATGCCATCTGCTCTTGGCACACCTTTGGCTGCCACTGTCCCCAGGGTCCCCTGGGAGGTATCCTCTACATAGGTCTCCTTCATGCCTGTAGCCAGCTTTCCCAGGGCTGGGCACCAGGCACAAAGACTGGCTCTGCCTTGTATTCCCACCCCTTAGTCTTTCCCCACAGGGTCCAGTGAATTTTTTTCCTCTCTACCTAAATGCCTAGTTCTTGCTGTCTCATCTCATTCTTCCAGGCTGGCATTGGACCCTCCACTTTGTGCCTCTTCCTGCTTGTGTCTCTATTTATTATCCTTTGGCATAAGAAGCATTATTTGAGGCTTTTTTTTTTGGTATATTCTCTCCTGCTTCTAAATAATATCTCAAATACCCCAGCATTCCAGTACCTATCCATTCTCTCTCTTTACCTATCCAGATGGTGCCTAAGTAAAGGAACCAGGTAAGTGCCCAAGTGTTCCCTTCCTTCCATTTATTAGCGTATGGAAGAAATAATACTAATACTAATACTCAGGACAATTCATACCCAAATATTTTGGAATTTCTTATTTAAATTCAAAATAGAGGTTGCCATGGTATTCTTAATAGGTTGTTTTAAGTCACCTTGATAGAAGCTGCTAATTCCTTCTAACTATAATTTGAACACAGAAGGAAAGAAAATGGAGCGTGCTTAAAATAATTGGGAAAGATGTGAAGTGCTACTGCCAGGGCTGCAGAAAAATTAACGTGTTTTCCCCCCAAAGGAATTTACCCATGAAGTTCTGTTTACTTTAAAATTCCCAGTTTACACTGGGCAGGGTGGCTTAGGCCTGTAATCCGAGCACTTTGGGAGGCCTAGGCAGGTGGATCACCTGAGGTCCAGAGTTTGAGACCAGCCTGGCCAACATGACAAAACCACGTCTCTACTAAAAATAAATAAATAAATAAATATTAGCCAGGCATGGTGGTGAGCCCCTGTAATCCCAGCTACTTGGGAGGCTGAGGCAGGAGAATCGCTTGAACCCGGGAGGCAGAGGTTCCAGGGAGCCAAGATGTGCCATTGGACTCTAGCCTGGGAGACAGAGCGAGACTCCGTCTCGAAAAAAAAAAAGAAAGAAAGAAAATTCCCAGTTTAACACAAAATGGGTCTCCACATTTATTTTGGTGACTTAACAGACTTCATTTACCTCCTTGTTCTAAAAGAGAAGTGGGGCGGTTCATGATCAAAAGCTTCAAAGAGATGAAACATAAGTTTGGACTTCAATTTGTAATGTAAAGATTGGAAGTCAAAATGCCAGACCTTAACTATGCAAGAGTGTTTGTTGCCATGGTTCCTCTTTCCCCCTCCTGCCAGTAGCATCTTGTTCAAAGATAAGAGAGTAGGAGTTCTTCAGACTTTAAACTTCTGGGAGAGGCAGGGGGATGGGAAGAGGTAGAAAAGAGGAAACATTTAAAATTTTGCCTCTAAAATTTTGGAAAGAGATAAATCTAGGTAAAAATAATTCTGGATAACAATATGTCTTGAATAAAAAGTAAATCTTCCAAAATAGAAAACACTGTATTGTAAAGATATTTAAATCCAGTTGGTTCATTGGTTTCATTTAAATGTCAGAGATTTCATTAATTTAGAGGAAATGTCTTGTAGCTCTTCTATAAAAACTTTGGTTGGGCTCTTAAGTTTTTAAAAAGGTAGAATAATTAAGACTCATGATGAATGTGACTTTGTAACTGGGATGTACTATACTCACTTTTCAGGATATTTCAGAATTGTCTTAGAATAAATAAATACGTTATATGAATTAATTGATTATACCTTTATCCACAAAGCACGTAAGTACTTGTGTAAACTTCTGCTTTGCTTGAAAGTGTAAGGTAAGACTCTGAGTGATTTTATACATGAGTTAGTAGACGAGTAGTTTTGGATGACAGCCCAAAATAGACTCTTTATTGTCATTCTTCAGGATTTACAACACTTTTTTCACTTTTTTTTTTTTTTTTTTTTTTGAGACGGAGTCTCACTTTGTTGCCAGGCTGGAGTGCAGTGGTGCGATCTCGGCTCACTGCAACCTCCACCTCCTGGGTTCAAGCGATTCTCCTGCCTCGGCCTTCTGAGTAGCTGGGACTACAGGCGCATGCCAACAAACCCAGCTAATTTTTGTATTTTTAGTAGAGACAGGGTTTCACCATGTTGGCCAGGATGGTCTCAATCTCTTGACCTCGTGATCTGTCCACCTTGGCCTCCCAAAGGGCTGGGATTACAGGCGTGAGCCACCTTGCTCGGCCTACAACACATTTTATGTATGTCTCATTTGGCCCCTCCAAATACAGATAAGGCCTCTGTATGTTCTCCCTATATTGCTAATGAAGAAACAAAAAGAGATCTTAAATGACTAGTAAAACAGCTACTAAACAGAACTAAGGTTTGTAAGTCCTCAGAATGACATGGAAATGATAGATATGCTGAATTTAGTTCTTTAAAGTTTTTAAAACTCCAGAATACATCTTATATTTTACTGTAAAGTAGACCTGTCTTTTAAAATGATTTTTAAATGATTTTTAAAATTATTTATTCCATTTAAAGTTCATTTTACACAACTCAAAGGCAACATTTACCTCTTCATTTTTTTCTAAATAAAGGAGAGTCTGACTACGTTACCCATGCTGGCCTCAAATTGCTGGCCTGGGCTCAATAGACTTTTCCACCACAGCCTCCTGAGCTGCTGGGACTACAGGCATCTGCCATCTTGCCTGGCCCTATCTCATGTCTATACATTTATTTCAATGGATAAGAATAAAAGTAGAGGTAGTGAAATAGCTCAGGTTTGTCATTCAAATAAACAAGTTGATAAATTCTAAAGAATTTCTCTTGGTTACTGTGAATTGAAGCTGAGAGTGTGTGGGACAGGAGAAGGTGGCAAGAGGCAGGTAAGGAACCAGGCATTAAGCATAGGGTGATAAGGAGTGTTACAGCAGAATAGCTTTAAAAAAAGTTTGTGAGCACAGAATTTCTCATTTTGTGTTGATTACCATGACCATTAAATTTTTATTTCAATTTGTCTTTTTAATTGTATTTGTGTGGAATTCAATAAAACAATAAGCAAAATCTCAATTTCATCATTTGCCTATTAACTTTTCATAGGAACACAGCAAAGCACCAAATGATAAAAGTATAGACACATTGAAAGTTTGCTTCTAAAATCTTTATTTGAGACAATTTTATATTGGTACTCCTGGAAACTGAGAAATTTCTACTTAGATGTGAAACATTTTGGTTTTTTTTCAATGAGGAATTAAATTATTTCGGTTGTTTAGAAAAAATTAGACACAAGTTATGCTTTACTTTTGTCTTCTCTCCTGAAACATTTCAGAAGAACGAGATTTATTTAAGGCATTTCAGAAAGCTGTTTCTAAGAACCTGGAATAGATTTCAGATTACTCAAAAGTGTTTTTTACTACCTTACCTTCATTTAGCAGCCTAGCTAATGTAACTCAAGGTAGTAACTGTAACACAAAGTAAGGTACTGTGATCTTATTATCCAGTTTCACTGTTACTCACCAATTTTTCATGCAGCCTTTTATGTTCTGACTTTAGAAGCTTTACTAATTTGGGAGGTAAAGGTGCTCTCCAGTGACCCATTTCTTTCCCCTACCCTAGCGGTGAGGGAAGGAAAGAATGGACAATATGAAGTGAAAAAGCCTCTGAGCAACAGACTTGTCCTCTTTTCAGTAGCTATTTTAAGCCCTCCTTTCCAATGTGTTTAATGGAAAACATACAGAAAATACAGAAAAGTAATTTGTTCTACTCAGAATACTCAAAGCTAATATTCATTATGATTCTGATATTGATTCTTTCTTAATCTTTATGCATGTGAATATAACATTTCTTCAAAAACAAGATTACTGTATATGTGCTGCTTCCTAACTTTTACCTAACACAGTGAAATAATGACATAAGTTCCTGAAACAGTGCTTGACATCTAGAGAGCACTCCAGGATGTCTTTCCATGCCTGTGCACCTGCACCCTGTTCTACCTCATGCCTTCTAATAGAATATTGGTATACCATGGACTGGTTGGAGCATTACTTATTTACTTGTCATTTATGACTGTATATCTTTTATAGTAACATCATACACAGTTCCATTTTGTTTGATCATGCGGACACAGATAAAAAATGTACTTTGATAACTGATGCATTGTACCTCCCTATAAAATTCAGATGGTATATTTTTGTCTCAGAACATAAATCAATGGGATGAGTCATTTTGTAGTTAGGGTAGTTTAGTATTAAATGTTCCTTTGCCAAACTGAAGTTAACCATTGACTATTCACTGGATATTAGCATTTCTCATTAAAGTTTTTGTGATTCTTGGTAGCTCTTTTGCAGTTCCTGGCAGTTCTGAATAGCTGCCCCTTTAAGAGTTCTGATGCTGTCTTAGATGACCAATCAGGAGACAGCACTAGAAGAAATCTTAGAAGATGTGGGAAAACTGGGAGAACTTAACTAGTTTTAGGTATACTGAAACATATGTAATGAGCATATGTGTTCCAGATGCAGGGCAAATGGTACTACACAAGACAGACTGCCCATCCTAACTCTGAACCTTACATTCTAGAGGGAGCTAGGGATCAATAGCACTTGAATAATCAAGAATGTGAGGTGGTGAAATGTTTAGAAGAAAGTAAAACAGAGCAATGGATTGAAGAGGAGGGCAGTTTTACAGTAGGGAAGGAGGCAGAAGTTGGCTGCTTTCCTTAGGTGACATGCGAGCAGTTCTAAAAGTGAGGGGAAACTTGTGAGGATGTGGAGAGCTTCCACACAGAGGAATAGCTGCTTTTGAGTTCCTTAAATGGAAGCAAACTTGGTTTGACCAAAGGACAAAAAAACACAAGGGTGGCTGCAGCAGATTGAAAGACAGGCCAGGTGGTTAAGACCTTACAGAAAGACACAAGGATGGCTGCAGCAGAGTGAAAGGCAGACCAGGTGGGTTAAGACCTTGTATGCAATATGAGCCTTGACAAAGATTATAGACTTTGTGATGAGAAGCCATTGGAGGAATATAGCCCAGGGAATACTGATAGTTCTTTAAGAAAAAGATCAGATTAGCTGCTCTGTGAGAATATGCTGGGATGCAGGTGAGGGTGGAAGGAGGCAGACCAGCTAGGAAGCTGATGGAGTGGTTCAGATGAGACTCAACAGTGAACAGAAAAATAAGAAGGACCTGAAATAGGCTGACTTGAAGAAATTAAGTGAATCCGGAAGTAGGTAACAAAGTGATCAATAGACAAGTCACAAAAAAATGCAGATAATCTTTAAACACATCTTAACACATAAGAGAAATGCAAATGAAAACTATGCTGCAGTTTCTCTCTTATTGGGAGAAATTTCAAAAACTTTCCAATACATTCTTTGGTATGGCTGTGAAGGAAGTTGTGTCCATATGTTGCTGGTGGAAATGCAAAGTGGCTCAGCTCCATAAAGAAAACTTTGACATAATCTTACAGCATTGCAAATGCATTTATTTATTTATTTTATTATACTTTAAGTTCAAGGGTACATGTGCCCATATGCAGGTTTGATACATAGGTATACATGTACCATGTTGCTTTGCTGCACCCATCAACTCGTCATTTACTTTAGGTATTTCTCCTAATGCTATCCCTCTCCCAGGCCCCCACCCCGCAACAGGCCCTGGTGTGTGATGTTCCCCATCCTGTGTCCAAGTGTTCTCATTGTTCAATTCCCACCTATGAGTGAGAACATGCGGTGTTCGGTTTTTTGTCCTTGCAATAGTTTGCTGAGAATGATGGTTTCCAGCTTCGTCCATGTCCCTACAAAGGACATGAACTCATCCTTTTTTATGGCTGCATAATATTTCATGGTGTATATGTACCATATTTTCTTAATTCAATCTAGTATTGATGGACATTTGGGTTGGTTCCAAGTCTTTGCTATTGTGAATAGTGCTGCAATAAACATATGTGTGCATGTGTTTTTATAGTAGAATGATTTATAATCCTTTGGGTATATACCCAGTAATGGGATTGCAGGGCCAAATGGTATTTCTAGTTCTAGATCCTTGAGGAATTGCCACACTGTCTTCCACAATGGTTGAACTGGTTTACAGTCCCACCAACAGTATAAAAGTGTTCCTATTTCTCCGCATCCTCTCCAGCATCTGTTGTTTCCTGAATTTTTAATGATCACCATTCTAACTGGCATGAGATGGTATCTCGTGGTTTTGAGTTGCATTTCTCAGATGACCAGTGATGATGAGCATTTTTTCATGTGTCTGTTGGCTGCATAAACGTCTTCTTTTGAGAAATGTCTGTTTATATCCTTTGCCCACTTTTTGATGGGGTCGTTTGTTTTTTTCTTGTAAATTTGTTTAAGTTCTTTGTAGATTCTGGATATTAGCCCTTTGCCAGATGGGTAGATTGCAAAAATTTTCTCCTATTCTGTAGGTTGCCTGTTCACTCTGATGGTAGTTTCTTTTGCTGTGCAGAAGCTCTTTAGTTTAATTAGATCCCATTTGTCAATTTTGGCTTTTGTTGCCATTGCTTTTGGTGTTTTAGTCATGAAGTCCTTGCCCATGCCTATGTCCTGAATGGTATTGCCTAGGTTTTCTTCTAGGGTTTTTATGGTTTTAGGTCTAACATTTAAGTCTTTAATCCATCTTGAATTAACTTTTGTGTAAGGTGTAAGGAAGGGATCCAGTTTCAGTTTTCTGCATATGGCTAGCCAGTTTTCCCAGCACCACTTATTAAATAGGGAATCCTTTCCCCATTTCTCGTTTTTGTCAGGTTTGTCAAAAATCAGATGACTGTAGATGTGTGGTGTTATTTCTGAGGCCTCTGTTCTGTTCCATTGGTCTATATATCTGTTTTGGTACCAGTACCATGCTGTTTTGGTTACTGTAGCCTTGTAGTATAGCTTAAAGCCAGGTAGTGTGATGCCTCCAGCTTTATTCTTTTTGCTTAGGATTGTCTTGGCAATGCAGGCTCTTTTTTGGTTCCATATGAACTTTAAAGTAGTTTTTTCCAATTCTGTAAAGAAAGTCATTGGTAGCTTGATGGGGATGGCATTGAATCTATAAATTACTTTGGGCAGTATGGCCATTTTCACTATATTGATTTTTCCTATCCATGAGCATGGATTGTTCTTCTGTTGCAGGAAGTCAGGGACCCCGAACGGAGGGACAGGCTGGAGCCGTGGCAGAACAACATAAATTGTGAAGATTTCATCTTAATATGGAAGTTTATCAGTTCCGAAATAATACTTTTATAATTTCTTATGCCTGTCTGTACTTTAATCTCTTAATCCTGTTATCTTTGTAAGTTGAAGATGTATGTCACCTCAGGACCACTGTGATAATTGTGTTAACTGTAAAAACTGATTGTAAAACGTGTGTTTGCTGTAGTCCCAGCTACTCAGGAGGCTGAGGCAGGAGAATGGCGTCAACCCAGGAGGCGGAGCTTGCAGTGAGCCAGGATCGCACCACTGCACTCTAGCCTGGGCAACAGAGCAAGACTCCGTCTCAAAAAAAAAAAAACAAAAAAAAAAACCATGTGTGTTTGAATAATATGAAATCAGTGCACCTTGAAAAAGAACAGAATAACAGTGATTTTTATGGAAAAAGGGAAGACAACCATAAGGTCTGACTGCCTGTGGGGTCGGGCAAAAACAGCCATATTTTTCTTCTTGCAGAGAGCCTATAAATGGACGTGCAAGTAGGAAACATATTGCTAAATTCTTTCCTAGCAAGGAATATTAATATTAATACCCTGGGAAAGGAATGCATTCTGAGGGGAGGTCTATAAATGGCCGCTCTGGGAATGTCTATGTTGTGCAGTTGAGATAAGGACTGAGATACGCCCTGGTCTCCTGCAGAACGCTCAGGCTTACTAGGGCTGGGAAAACTCTGCCCTGGTAAATTTGTGATCAGACCAGTTCTCTGCTCTCGAACCCTGTTTTATGTTGTTTAAGATGTTTATCAAGACAATACATGCACCACTGAACACAGACCCTTATCAGTGGTTCTCCTTTTGCCCTTTGTCCTGTTCCTTCAGAAGCATGTGATCTTTGTTGGACCCTTATCAGTGGTTCTGCTTTTTGCGTGTTGAAGAATGTGATCTTTGTACCTACTCCCTGTTCTTACACCCCCTACCCTTTTGAAACCCTTAATAAAAACTTGCTGGTCTGAGACTCAGGTAGGCATCATGGTCCTACCAATATGTGATGTCACCCCTGGCAGCCCAGCTGTAAAATTCCTCTCTTTGTACTGTCTCTCTTTATTTCTCAGCCAGTCAACACTTACAGAGAATAGAAAGGACCTATGTTAAAATATTGGGGGTAGGTTCCCCCAGTATTCTTCCATTTGTTTGTGTACTCTTTTATTTCATTGAGCAGTGGTTTGTAGTTCTCCTTGAAGAGGTCCTTCACTTCCTTTGTAAGTTGGATTCCTAGGTATTTTATTCTCTTTGTAGCAATTGTGAATGGGAGTTCACTAATGATTTGGCTCTCTGTTTGTCTGTTATTGGTGTATAGGAATGCTTGTGATTTTTGCACATTGATTTTGTATCCTGAGACTTTGCTGAAGCTGCTTATCAGCTCAAGGAGATTTTGGGTTGAGATAATGAGGTTTTCTAAATATATAATCATGTCATCTGCAAACAGGGACAATTTGACTTCCTCTTTTCCTAATTGAATACCCTTTATTTCTTTCTCTTGCCTGATTGCCCTGGCCAGAATTTCCAACACTGTGTTGAATAGGAATGGTGAGAGAGAGCATCCTTGTCTTGTGTTGATTTTCAAAGGGAATGCTTCCAGTTTTTGCCTATTCAGTATGATATTGGCTGTGGGTTTGTCATAAATACCTCTTATTATTTTGAGATATGTTCCATCAATATCTCGTTTATTGAGAGTTCTTAGCATGAAGGGCTATTGAATTTTGTCAAAGGCCTTTTCTGGATCTATTGGGATAATCATATGTTTTTTGTCATTGGTTCTGTTTATGTGATGGATTACGTTTATTGATTTGCATAAGTTGAACCAGCCTTGCATCCCAGGGAAGAAGCCAACTTGATCGTGGTGGATAAGCTTTTTGATGTGCTGCTGGATTTGGTTTGCCAGTATTTTATTGAGGATTTTCACATCCATGTTCATCAGGGATATTGGTGTGAAATTCTCTTTTTCTGTTGTGTCTCTGCCAGGCTTTGGTATCAGGACGATGCTGGCCTCATGAGTTACGGAGGACTGCCTCCTTTTCTATTGATTGGAATAGTTTCAGAAGGAATGGTACCACCTCCTCTTTGTACCTACGGTAGAATTCAGCTGTAAATCCATATGGTCCTGGACTATTTTTATTGGTAGACTATTAATTATTGCCTCAATTTCAGAGCCTGTTATTGGTCTATTCAGAGATTCAATTTCTTCCTGGTTTAGTCTTGGGAGGGTGTATGTGTCGAGAAATTTATCCATTTCTTCTAGATTTTTTAGTTTGTTTGTGTAGAGGTGTTTCTAGTATTCTCTGATGGCAGTTTGTATTTCTGTGGGATCAGTGGTCATATCCCCTTTATCATTTTTTATTGCGTCTATTTTATTCTTCTCTCTTTTCTTCTTTACTAGTCTTGCTAGTGGTCTATTAATTTTGTTGATCTTTTCAAAAAACCAGCTCCTAGATTCATTGATTTTTTCAAGGGTTTTTCATGTGTCTATCTCTTTCAGTTCTCCCCTGATCTTAGTTATTTCTTGCCTTCTGCTAGCTTATGAATTTGTTTGCTCTTGCTTCTCTAGTTCTTGATGTTAGGGTGTCGATTTTAGAGCTTTCCTGCTTTCTCTTGTGGGGATTTAGTGCTATAAATTTCCCTCTACACACTGCTTTAAACATGTCCCTGATATTCTGGTACATTGTGTCTCTGTTCTCATTGGTTTCAAAGAACATCTTTATTTCTGCCTTCATTTTGTTATTTACTCAGTAGTCACTCAGGAGCAGTTTCTTCAGTTTCCATGTAGTTGTGCAGTTTTGAGTGAGTTTCTCAATCCTGAGTTCTAATTTGATTGCACTGTGGTGTGAAAGACAGTTTGTTGTGACTTCTGTTCTTTTACATTTGCTGAGGAATGCTTTACTTCCAATTATCAGGTCAATTTTAGAATAAGTGCCATGTGGTGCTCAGGATGTATATTCTGTTGATTTTGGGTGGAAAGTTCTGTAGATGTCTGTTAGGTCTGCTTGGTGCAGAGCCGAGTTCAATTCCTGGATATCCTTGTTAACCTTCTGTCTTGTTGATCTGTCTAATATTGACAGTGGGCTTTTAAAGTCTCCCATTATAATTGTGTGGGAGTCTAAGTCTCTTTGTAGGTCTCTAAGGACTTGCTTTATGAATCTGGGTGCTCCTGTATTGGGTGCATATATAGGATAGTTAGCTCTTCTTGTTGAATTGATCCCTTTACCATTATGTAATGGCCTTCTTTGTCTCTTTTAATCTTTGTTGGTTTAAAGTCTGTTTTATCAGAGACTAGGATTGCAACCGCTGCTTTTTTTGTTTTCCATTTCCTTGGTAGATTTTCCTCCATCCCTTTATTTTAATCCTTTGTGTGTCTCTGCACATGAGATGGGTTTCCTGGATACAGCACACTGATGGGTCTTGACTCTTTATCCAATTTGCCAGTCTGTGTCTTTTAATTGGGGCTTTTAGCCTATTTACATTTAAGGTTAATATTGTTATGTGTGAATTTGTTCCTGTCATTATGATGTTAGCTGGTTTATTTTGCATCATTAGTTGATGCAGTTTCTTCATAGCATGAATGGTCTTTACAATTGGCATGTTTTTGTGGTAGCTGGTACTGGTTAATTCTTTCCATGTTTAGTGCTTTCTTCAGGAGCTCTTGTAAGGCAGGCTGGATGGTGACAATCTCTCTCAGCATTTGCTTGTCTGTAAAGGATTTTATTTCTCCTTCACTTATGAAGCTTAGTTTGGCTGGATATGAAATTCTGGGTTGAAAATTCTTTTCTTTAAGAATGTTGAATATTGGCCCCCACTCCCTTCTGGCTTGTAGAATTTCTGCTGAGAGTTCAGCTGTTAGTCTGATGGGCTTCCCTTTGTGGGTAACCTGACCTTTCTCTCTGGCTGCCCTTAACATTTTTTCCTTCATTTCAACTTTGGTGAATCTGGCAATTATGTGTCTTGGAGTTGCTCTTCTCGAAGAGTATCTTTGTGGTGTTTTCTGTATTTCCTGAATTTGAATGTTGGCCTGCCTTGCTAGGTTGGGGAAGTTCTCATGGATGATATCCTGAAGAATGTTTTCCAGCTTGGTTCCTTCTCCCTGTCACTTTCAGGTACACCAATCAAACATAGATTTGGTCTCTTCACATAGTCCCATATTTCTTGAAGGCTTTGTTCATTTCTTTTTACTCTTTTTTCTCTAACCTTGTCTTCTCTCTTTATTTCATTAATTTGATCTTCAGTCACTGATACCCTTCCATCCTCTTGATCGAATTGGCTATTGGAGCTTGTGCATGCATCACTAAGTTCTCATACCATAGTTTTCGACCCCATCAGGTCATTTAAGGTCTTCTCTACACTTAGCCATTTGTCTAACCTTTTTTCAAGGTTTTTAGCTTCCTTGCAATGGGTTTGAACATGCTCCTTTAGCTCAGAGTAGTTTGTTATTACCAATCTTCTGAAGCCTACTTCCATCAATTCATCAAAGTCATTCTCCATCCAGCTTTGTCCCATTGCTGGCAAGGAGCAGCAATCTTTTGGAAGATAAGAGGCACTCTGGTTTTTAGAATTTTCAGCTTTTCTGTTCTGGTTTCTCCCCATCTTTGTGGTTTTATCTTCCTTTGGTGTTTGACGCTGGTGACCTACAGGTAGGGTTTTGGTGTAGATGTCCTTTTTGTTTATGTTGGTGCTATTCCTTTCTCTGTGTTAGTTTTCCTTCTAATAGTCAGTTCCCTCAGCTGCAGGTCTGTTGGAGTTTGCTGGAGGTCCACTCCAGACCCTGTTTGTCTGGGTATCACCAGTGGAGGCTGCAGAACAACAAATATTGCAGAGCAGCAAATATTGCTGCCTAATCCTTCCTCTGGAAGCTTTGTCTCAGAGGGGCACCTGGCTGTATGAGGTGTCGGTCAGCCCCTACTGGGAGGGGTCTCCAAGTTAGGCTACACAGGGGTCAGAGACCCACTTGAGGAGGCAGTCTGTCTGTTCTCAGAGCACAAACGTCGTGCTGGGAGAACCACTGCTCTCTTCAGAACTGTCAGACAGAGACGTTTAAGCCTGCAGAAGCTGTCTGCTGCCTTTTGTTCAGCTATGCCCTGCCCACAGAGGTGGAGTCTATAGAGGCAGTAGGCCTTACTGAGCTGAAGTGGGCTCCACCCAGTTCAAGCTTCCAGCCACTTTATTTACCTACTCAAGCCTCAGCAATGGCGGATGCCCCTTCCCCAGCCGCGCTGCTGCCTCACAGTTCGATCTCAGACTGCTGTGCTAGCAGTGAGCAAGGCTCCGTGGGTGTGGGACCCACCAAGCCAGGCATGGGAGAGAATCTCCTTGTCTGCCAGTTGCTAAGACCTTGGGAAAAGCACAGTATTTGGGCAGGAGTGTCCCATTTTTCCAGGTACAGTCTGTCATGGCTTCCCTTGGCTTGGAAAGGGAAATACCCTGGCCCCTTGAGCTTCCTGGGTGAGGTGATGCCCCGCCCTGCTTTGGCCCGCCCTCCGTGAGCTGCACCCACTGTCCAACCAGTGCCAATGAGATGAACCAGGTACCTCAGTTGGAAATGCAGAAATCACCCATATTCTGCGTCGATCACGCTGGGAGCTACAGCCCAGAGCTGTTCCTATTTGACCATCTTGGAACAGATCCCCTGTAAATGCATTTAATCCAGAAATTCTACTGTGAATAATTTTTCCTGAAGGTGTATCCATGAATATAAAATAACATAAACACAAAATTTTTGTTCTATTATTTTCAATAGCAAAATATTGGAAATAACTCAAATGTCTAGAAAGGGACTGATAAAATAAAGTGATACAACAATGCAAAGGAGAACTATGGAGTTGTAAAAGGAATGAAATCTCTCTTTACTGCTGTGGAGTGATTTCCAGGTTATATTATGTAAAAAAAAAAGCAATGAGGGGCTGGGTGCAGTGGCTCACACCTGTAATCCTGCACTTTGGGAGGCCAAGGTGGGCAGATCATGAGGTTAGGAGATCGAGACCATCATGGCTAACATAGTGAAACCTCATCTCTACTAAAAATACAAAAAATTAGCCAGACCTGGTGGCAGGCACCTGTAGTCCCAGCTACTTGGGAGGCTGAGGCAGGAGAATGGCGTGAACCCGATAGGTGGAGCTTGCAGTGAGCTGAGATTGCACCACTGCAGTCCAGCCTGGGCAACAGAGTAAGACTCCATCTCAAAAAAAAAAAAAAAAAAAGCAAGGAGGAGAATGTACAGTAATATACATAAAAGAAAGCAGGGGAAACATGTATTTGCTTACTGTAAAAAAAAAAAAAACAACACTGGAAGGGATTCTTGATGATGATGTGTGACAGTTTTTCCCTTAACTTCAGTGGGTAGACAAAGTGCATATTTGCTCAAGATGTTATTTTGGCATTGGTTTTCCAGTGAATGCTAACCATTTATTTTTTGCTTTTGAGTTAATTTGTGAAAGCTTTTCTTTGTAATTTATTGTTTATTTTTTAGCATATAGATTGCTCTTGCATTTCATTTGATCCTCATAATATTTTGAATTTGTTGATATAAGAATTATACTTGTTTTACATGTGAGGACAAGGCCTCTGAGAAGTACAAATTAGGTTTTTCAAGGTTTGGATATATAAGACTTGGTAAACTGAGAGTGTAAATTCTACATAAGACTAGAATTTATAGAATGATTCATGAGTTTATTTGAATACCCTTTTTATTTTACTTTCTTAAAGTTTATTAAAGTAATTAGGCTTTAGAGTTAAAACTGTAATAGTCAGTGGTGAGAAATGAAAAGGAGGTACTTATAACCCAGAAGTGTTCTTCTTCTTTTAAAGACAGATTATTGCTCTCACTCAGGCTGGAGTGCAGTGGCACGATTGTAGCTCACTGCAGCCTTGAACTCCTGGGCTCAAGCAATTCTCCCACCTCAGAGCATCTGAAGTAGCTATGACTATAAGCGTGTACCACTATGCCTGGCTAATTTTCAAAATATGTTTTATAGAGATGAGGGTCTCACTGTGTTGTCCTGCCTGGTCTCAAACTCCTGGTGTCAAGCAATTCTCCCACATTAACCTCCCAAAGTGTTGGGATTAGAGGCATGAGTCACCACAGCTGGCTCAGAAATGTTCTTAAAAGCCTAAGAAGTAGAGTTAAGTGCTCTTAAGACATATATAGGCCAGGCGCAGTGGCTCACGCCTGTAATCCCAGCACTTTAGGAGGCCGAGGTGGGTGGATCACGAGGTCAGGAGATCAAGACCATCCTGGCTAACAAGGTGAAACCCCATCTCTACTAAAAATACAAAAAATTAGCCAGGCGTGGTGGAGGGCGCCTGTAGTCCCAGCTACTCGGGAGGCTGAGGCAGAAGAATGGCATGAACCTGGGAGGTGGAGCTTGCAGTGAGCTGAGATCACGCCACTGCACTCCAGCATGGGTGACAGTGCAAGACTCTGTCAAAAAAAAAAAAAAAAGAAACATATAAAGGGGGAAGTATACTACCTAATGTGAAATGTCACAGCTCAGTCACAGTCACTAAAACAGATCGAGGAGTTAAAAAGTTATGGCAAGACTGAGAACTGACATGGAGGAACAGCAGTGGTTAGGAAGCCCAAGGTGGGGTTGTCCGACCTGGGAAAGCAGAACCAAGGCATGAGTGAGCCTGAGATGGGCACAAAGGAGCTCCACGTGTGCCCTCAGGTGATACAGGCAGGCCAGCTCAAGGCTATCAGGTAGGTAGCATCTGATATGTGAAAAGTCTGGCCTTAGATAAAATCTCAAACTGCATCATAATTGAGAGACTTGGAATGTTTTTATGGGCCATAAAACTAATACCAGGTACAGTATAGGGATGATAGAGCAGGTCAGTAAATGCAGTAAGTCTTTACATAAACAGATGCTCAGCAGTGGGCTCAGAAAGTGTTGACGTATTTTATTTAATTGGGATATATGAAAATAATATGTTGAAATTAATCTCTTTCTCTGAATATGCTCCTTCTGTCAGTTAATTCCTTCATTACTGCCCTCTCCCTTTTAATATTTTGACAGGAAAAATTATTTCTTGCATAATTTTACAAGTTTTACGTAAGTTTACAGTTGCATAACTTTAATACCTTTGGCCTTTAATAATGCATCTTACTTATTCTAAATTGCATACATTGTTTTGTTACATTTTTAACATCTTTACAATTGAGATAGATCTTACGACTAATAGAATCTTAGAGAAAAACCGGTATTCAGTGTCAGCGAGTCTACAGATTCCTTCCTCTGAGGGATGTTTACATTTAGACCTGAGCATAACTGTTTTTTAAGTCATACGTTTCCCCATCATTCTTTTATGCTGCCAGATCACGTTGTAACTTAAATTGATAATACAAAAACACTGGGTCTTAAAATACAGTGATAGTTATAACCCCTAATCATGAGATCAAAATTATTTTCCTAGTTTCCTAGTTTCAAACATTTTAGGAGGTTACAAAAATAATTTTGAAGGTATTCACATCAAGTTGTGTAGTTATTGTGTTTTTATCCTCTGGATGTCTCTAAATCTCCACAGGTGCCTGTTTATGGGGCCTAATATTTTATTTAATAGTTGGCAGTCTTTTGTGACAATGAAAAAAGAGTAGTGTGATTTCTCGACTCTCCTTAGGCTCTTGGGAAAAGAGTTAATGGAGAATGAAGAAATAACAGTGTATGTGTTTAAGTTTCTGTCTAATGGCTTAAGTGTCCATTCTATAAAATAGCAATATGTGGTATTTGTCATCAGCAGAAATTACAAGTTATATAGAAAATTGTGGTAGGCTATAGACATAAAATGAATATTTTCTGAAAACCCCATGCAAATAAACACTAGTAAATTCCTAGTGAATTCAGTACATACAGTATGTACAAATGATATGAAACTCATCAAAGTGGAAATAACATTGTTAACTATGGAAAAATGGTCAAAGTGTATAATCTAATAAACAAATATAAGTTAGAGCCTCAATAGTGTTCCTCCTTCACATCAGTAGGAATTTTTTTAAGTATCCAAAGCTGAACTAGAAGCTAAAACTGGTGTGATTTGAAGCACTGTGCCCTAATATGCCCATATCTTCTTTAGAAAGCAACTTAGCACTATATATTGATTCATGAAAACAATCTCACCTTTGTTCTAGTCATTCCACTTTTGAAAATCTTTCCAAAGGATCTCTAAGAAAAAGTACAAGATACTATACATGAAGGTTTTCCTCATAAGAACAAAACTTTGTAAATGCCTAAATCACCGACAATAGGGCATTGGCTAAGTAAAGTATAGGAATAACACTTGATGAGCCAATATTTTCCAAAGGGGTCAAGGTCATTTGTAAGAAAATAAAACATAAATGGTGTACTGCTTAGAGCTATTTTTTTACCATGCATAAGGAAAACAAAAAGTAATGGTTGTGAGTTTTAAACAAGGCATTATTTTGGCTCTTGCAAATTTCTGTTCTTGATAAGACATTTCTTAAAGAAGTAAGCAAGAGACTTTTACCTATTCCTGCCTTTAGTGTAATCATCAGTACTATCAGCAGTGCTGACTAACCAAGTCTCTTACAATTGCCAGTTGAAGAAAATCTACCTCAAAATAGTTAAAAATGTTTATTGAAAAATTAACTTGCATAGCCAGGGAGTTAACAGGAGTCAGTGAGGCACTGCTTGACCAAGGAATCAAATGATATCCCCAGAACCTATCTCAGTTATGCTCTTCTCTGTTGATCTCTCCTGAAAATACCCTTCTCTTGATGGTAATGGGAGCCACTGGCAACTCCTGGTCAGCTACCAGTCCTGTGAGCCAGTTCATCCTTTCTCCTCTAGTTCTTGGGAAGTCCCAGATGAACTGCGATTGACTGGCCAACCTCTCGGTCAGATGCCTAAAACCCCAGGAATGGGAGAGTGACAGCTTGTTACTTGGGCTGATCTTGTTTTATTTCCTGTATGTTTTCATTTCTTCTTGATTTTTGTATTGAAATACACAATAGCACATCTTGGTTTTATGTGTGGGGTATATGTGTATGGGCGTAAGCCTGCTACTTTTTGAATCTTGTACATAATTTTCCTGGGCTTCCATGGAAAATTCCAAATTAAACATTATGACACAGGTACTGAAACATTATATGAGTTCTGCAAACATTACTTGTTATGTTTCACACTCAAATGATAATATATTTGCTTTTTTGATACAAAGTAGTCATGGACTTTTTCAGAAGCTTTAGGTTAGGGACGGCTATACAAGTCTCTTCCTGTCATGTTGTGCACAAACAATTTTATTTTTCCACATAGCTAACATTATATCATCAAATTTTCAAATATGTGGGAAAAAACTTGAAAATGACTTTTGTGTAAGTTTTTTACATAACAATAGTTTTCTCCCAGTAAACTTCAAATCATGGAGAAAAAGCAGATTTTTTAGCTATGTAATATTCTAGTGAGATGGCAGTATTATTAAAATAGATGATTCGGATTTCTGCTAAATCAGAAACTCCTAAATTATTTTTATACTAGATTCTAACCACTTTAGTTGGAGGGAAGAAAAGGATCCTGGGTAGATAAATTTGTGAAATGCTGAGTTGGACATTATTCACTAACGGGCTGATTAGTTTTTACTGTACCACTGTGCACTTTGATTTTGTAAAAGCAAGGGATAGAGTGGATTGTGATTTGCCCACTAAAACCCTTTTTAAAAAGTAGAACAGTTACTAATATGTGATTTGGAAAATATTGCCTTAATTATTACTCTGAGTGGATCTTCACCTAGTTTCTTACAAGATTGCTTAAGATAAGTGGGTTGAGATGGACAGTGCTGAGGAGTGTCATAGGTTTTTATTGTTTTCCCTTATTACACCTTTTATTATATGATGAAAATGTGTAATAAAAATTCAAGAATATTATTTTTAGTCTTGCTTAAATGGATTATCTCACTTTGGTGCAAGGTGGACTGTAAACAGACCTACCTTGACATACATAGGGCCAACATTTTTTAGAAGAAGGTCTAAGTAAGATCTGTT
This sequence comes from Homo sapiens, assembly GCF_000001405.40. Lineage (NCBI taxonomy): Eukaryota > Metazoa > Chordata > Mammalia > Primates > Hominidae > Homo > Homo sapiens. Next base: position 27,955,194 of record NC_000019.10, read on the forward strand.
TCAAAAGTATTCTTGATGAAGTCCCAAATGAATCATGTGTTGGAAAGAAGTGAGATTTTAGCTTTGGAAATGGAGGGCAAAAGTTAAAAATCATTTTCTGACATGAAAGTGTCCTTATAGATTAGAGCATTGAAATTTTTATGCAGTCCACTTAAATCTGCCATGATGAATTGCCCCTGAATAAATCACAGATAAGTAAATGAATTAGCCATGTTATTTTCTGAGGGATAGTGGCCAAAAAACAGCTCTTTATTTTAGCATGTTTGATATATTGAGCTAATGTCTGACAGTAATTTCACACAGCATCAGTTGCTGCTTGAGCCTATTCCTAAAATGTGCTGCGAATATCAGTAGAGAGGCAAGTGATTATATTTTTATTTGATAAGTAGAAGTGGTAGATGCAGGAGGCAGATGAGGGGGAGGGTGTCCGGAGAATCTGTGACCTGCCTGTGCACTGGGAGAATGGGGTGGGGTCACGGGAAGTTTGCATCTTGTGCAGTGGGGAGGAGCCTGGCCTCTTCAGCTTGTGTGTGGTGGCCTGGTATTCAGTCTGTGAGTTGGGAGCCCGCTGGAAGGATCCCCTCTCGCTTTTCTGAGATTTTTTGTTCCTTTTTGCCAAATAAATTCTGTTCTACTCACCCTTCAATGTGTCCTTGAGACTAATCTTTCTTGGTCGTGTGACAAGAACCTGGTTTTAGCTGAACTAAGGAGCAGAGTTTTGCAGCAGAAGGAGCAGGGCATGTATATGACTTCTCTTTTGCATTAGATTATTTAGTTTTAGTCTTTTTGAAAGTCCTTGACATAGCCCAGTTTTATTCCATATGTATACAGAGAGGCTATAATTTTGCATTCCCAAGTAGAATTATTATATTTTTGCCTTTATTTCCTTCATATTTATTACTAGAAACTTTTTTCAGGACTATTTAAAATGATTGAAATGAATGTGTAGCTACTTTAAAAATCATTTTTTCTATTCGCATAAATTATCACATTTTTTTTTCTCTGTAGATAGAGCTTTGGAGCCAAACCCTTCTGATGATCCAAGGGCAAGCACAGTCTTCTTGCAAAAATCTCAAACAGATGGTGAGACGACACTGTTTTTTCCACCAAGAAGACGACTGAAAACTCTCTGTCATAATGAGTGTATTATAGAAAGCATTTAGAGAAACTTACATTGGTTTAAAATTTTCAACTTTTCATATATTCACTTGTCCTATTTTAATGTGTGAAATACTTCTCTTTAGTTGTTACTGTGTGAGTGAAAACATGTAAACTTTCTGTTTATACATTTTGCTACCTTTTGGCAACACCATTTGTCATGTGATTTAAGAGTAGTCATAGATTTATCTTTATTCATAATTTTTTATTCATATTTTTTGTCTTTCGCCCTTTTTCCCTTGCTCCAAAGAGTTCATTTTAATGATGAATGATAGAATTTAGGCTTCAGCTTGATCTTTATTTAAACAAATAAAAAAACCATTTGTTCATCAATGGGGATTGAATTTGTGATTTCAGCCTCCTCTTATACAGTGCTTTAACCATATGAGCTTATCACATCCAAGTTTATGCTACTCAAAACTTTTAAGCTATTAAACTTTTCCTGCTAATGTAATATAAATTTAAACATCCAGTACTCCTGCTTATATTTTAAATGTTATGGTAAATCCTAGTTTATTTGATTAAAAAGCCATATACAACCAAGTTTTTTAGTTGATTTCAACAGCAAGAATATAAATGAGGGTTCTATAATAATATTTGAAGTAATGCAGTACAATAAAATTTGGGTTTCTAATTGTGCTTTTATGGTTTGTGTGGATTTTGCCTGCCTTAAGTCAGTCATCTCTGGTCAGGACTTGTGTTTGTTCATTTTTGCATTGCTATAAAGAAATACCTGAGTCTGGGTAATTTATTTTTTAAAAAAGTTTAATTGGGTCCTAGTTCCGCAGGCTTTATGAACATAGCTTCAACACCTGCTTCTGCTGAGGGCCTCAGCAAGCTTACAATCATAATGGAAGGCAAAGGGAGAGCAGGTGGTTTCACATGAGAGAGGGAGCAAGAGAGAGGGGAAGGGGGAAGGTGCCACACTCTTAACTAGCTCTTATGTAAATTACCAGAATGAGAATTTGCTCATTATTGTGAGGATGGCACCAAGCCATTCATAAGGAATCCACTGCCATTACCCCAACACCTCCCAGGAGGCCCTGTCTCCAACATTGAGGGTCACATTCTCATATGACATCTGGAGGGGGCGAAATATCTAAACCATATAAGAATTGTATTTCTCAGTTCCTTCCAGAGCCATGGGCTTCTCACAGAGTGTGTGGAAGCCCTGAAGGCTATTTCCTGTCCCTCAAGTCTTCAGTGGTAGGAATGTTTGCCTTTAAGGCCTTCCAGCATCAAAGGAGGAGGCAGTGTAGGAAACAAAGCATGGCCCAAGTCCCTCTTGGAGCTTTTATTATTCTGGCCTTTGTTAGAAAAAAAAAATGATTTTGTTTGCTGCAGATACTATGTCCAATTAAGTTTGCATACTCATTTTAAAATTTAAATGTAAGATAGGTTACTTTCCAGTTGTGCAAAGACACATTTTTTTTGTTAGTGACATATTAGTAGATGACCAATAAGTGGTTTGAGATGCTTACAGGGATTCTGGTGCATCTACAGATTTGTACCTTGCCAGGAACTAGTTCTTAGAGCTGCTAGCTCTTAGATTCTAGTAATTAAAGTAAGCCATGTGTAAACACAGAGTGAGAAAATACCAATGAATCATGGCTCATATATGCAACAGTTGTTAAACTTATTTATTAGCTAAATTTCTCATCTGGCTTAATTTGTTATGCCCCTTTTTTTGTACATGAGCATTCTTTCATTTGACTGTAATAGAATAGATGATAGATGATAGATAGATAGATAGATAGATAGATAGATAGATAGATAGATATTTTTTTTACCCCGAGATGGAGTCTTGCTCTGTCGCCCACAGCTGGAGTGCAATGGTGCGATCTTGGCTCACTGCAACCTCCGCCTCCTGATTCAAGTCATTCTCCTGCCTCAGCCTCTCAAGTAGCTGGGATAACAGGTGCATGCCACCATGCCTGGTTATGAATGTAATAGAATATCTGTTAGGACAAAAAGTAAAGCCAAATTTTTAGATTTTACTTTATAAGATTTATTAGGCCCTATAATTTAAGTTATAAATAGTTGGAAATTATTTTTAAATGGAATTTTGTCTCATTTACATAGAGATAATCAATCAGATGTTAGCAACTATTTTATTTTATATTTGTATCAGAACTGATTTTTTTTATTCTTAGTTCAAGAAAAGAGAAAGAGCAACGACATGAACCATGTAAGTAAATAGTCACAAAGTTAAGAAATTCATAGTTTGAAGTAAAATATGTCTATCTTGATTCCTTAAAAATAAAATGAGGACCCAGTGTTATTAGCATGGAACTCTCTTTGTGGACTTTGTAAATCTCTTCTATCTTTCCAAGTATCAGATTTATGCAGAAAAGTCTTTAGCTTAGTGTGTCCATCTTTTAAAGGATCTGACATGCAAGTTAAATTTTAAGAATGTGGTTGGTATAAAGATCTTTATTTAATCTTAAAATAAATCAAACAACAAAATTAGAATAACTAAGTTAATTTTCCACACTGTCTATTGACTTTCTGGTATAGCAGGTAAAAGCACAGCTTTCTGGGTATACCATGACATTATTTTTTTCCCATTGCTTTGTCCAATTGTAGCACATTTTTATTAAATCAGTAATATTTACATGATTCTGCTTATGCCAGTATTATTTACTGCTAAGTCATACGGTGTTTCAGCTGTGCATCTTCATTACGTATCCTTCATTCCTTTAAACAGTTCTGGCATCTGAGCACTTCTTCACTTCTCCCAGATAATCCTTTTCCTGGCCTATGTTAGTTTACCCAGCCAAATGCAGTAAGTAGCCGTTGGCTGGTCTCTCTGCTTTCACATCCTGTAATTTTTAGCATAGAATTAATTGTCTGACTATATTCATTTGCCTGTCTCTAACAGTTATTCTTACCCCAAGTGTTGTAATATTTGTCACATGCATATCAAAAATATTCATCAGCTCAAATACATCTGTTTTATATTTCTCTTGGGGCAATTTTCCTTGGCCTTTTGTCATCCTAGTTCAGTGTAGAGTGGCTTTCCTAGATGTGCTACATGCTTGCTTTTCTAAGCTATCTCTTGAAAGTCTTCTGAGATCTCACTTAACTGCCCTCTTCTGTGAGATTCCCTGAGTCCTAGATTCTGTGTTTCCTTCTGCCTTGTTATCTTCTCTAGTTGTACTAGAGCACATTTTCCTGGGAAAGGGCACATGGGAACATGTTTAGAGACCCAGCCAATCTTAAAACCCTTCTTCTTTGATACAGTATAAAATTTTAGGTTGCAAACAACTAAAATGCATACTAATAGAAATAACTCAATTTATAACAATATAGTTAGAATTAATACCAAGTTAATTTCAGTAGTATATAAAATCTTGCTTCTAAATAGCTCTGTTCTCTACCCTCTTCTTTGTGTTATTGTTATACAAATTACTTCTGAATACACTATTAGCCAAAAAAAAAAATTTAGGTTGAAACTAAATGTTACAGTTCTAAAGGTATTTTGTAATTGTGTTCTTATTATAGTATTGTTTTTTAATCTGTTGCCATTGTGTGATACATTATTTGTAACCGGGTTTTACATATCTCTAGAAGCTTTTCAGGACCTTCTTTCTCTCTGGGATTCTGAAATTTTATAATGCAGCTTGGTGTGGGGATCTTTTCTCTTTATTGGGGCTACTAAGTCTTCAGATTATCTCTTCTAGAGAATTTCTTTTCTTCTCTATTTTCTCTGTTAAATTTTTCTGATATTCTTGTTATTCAGATGCTGGGCTGCTTAGACTCCTGTATCCGCATTGGTTTTTAATCCCCCACCCCCTCCTATTTTCCAGTTTGTCTTTTCATTCTACTTCTTGGATATTTTTTTACTTTATAGTTTAATATTTCTCATGTTTCTCTTGTTGAGGGCATTTTTTTAAAGTTTTGCTCCAAAATTTTTACTGGTCCCATGAATTATTTTTTCCTGTTGTTTTGATCTCTCTTGAATGGTGGTCCTTGGCTTTCATTGGAAGCAGGACTTCTGTTCACGAAGGAGACTCACTGTGAGGTTTTGGAAATGAAGCCAGCATTTCATTTGGGGGACTTCAGTGTATTATCTGGGGATCTTTACTCTGGGACCATTCCATTCCTTCCGAGAAGGCTCTCCCAATTTTCTGCCTGGGATGTAAAAGCATGGCTACTTGCTTTCCAGAAGCAGAGGTGGAGTTGTGTTTCTTGCTGTACAGTTTTTTTCCATCTCTCAGGTTTTAGCTATGGTATCTCTGAACCCAGAAATTTCAGGTTTTATATATCCAGAGAACACACATTTAAATTCCTTGTAAGATGGAAGGACAGGTAGACTTGGGGATCTAACCACAGATTTTCAACTGACCTCGCTCGCTTTTATTTTATGTCTCACCCTACTTTCAGAGATGCCATTTCCCTTTAAGTTGAAGTCTGCCTTGGGTTCTGGAAGACAAACTGGCTTGCTTGTTTCTGTTCCAGTCACTTCTTGTAGGCACCAAAGTTGTGCTACCATGCCAGTTACCACTCCATTATCTACTTTTTATAATTCAGCATTTATTAAAAATCATCAGTGTCAATCTTCCCTATTGGTCCTGCATATAACTTGAGTTATATGAGTAATTCTAATGAAATTTCAGGAGAGAGGGAATAAATTTATGGTCAATCTATTACATTTAACCCAAATTTATGACCTATATTTAAAGTGTAAATTATAATTTAATTTCAATATAATTAATATTAATCCAGATAATTTTACTTATATATTTATAATAAACATTACACTTTTATACCATTACCTTTTTAAATTTTCTTTTTATTTCTGAGACAAGGTCTCACTCTATCATTCAGGCTGGAGTGCAGTGGTACAATCTCACCTCACTGCAATCTCCACATCCCAGGTTCAAGCGATTCTCCCACCTCAGCCTCCTGAGTAACTGGGATTACAGCGCCCACCACTGTACCCGGCTAAATTTTAGTAGAGACAGGGTTTCATCATGTTGACCAGGCAGGTCTCGAACTCCTGACCTCAAGTGATCTGCCTGCCTTGGTCTCTCAAAGTGCTGGGATTATAGGTGTGAACCACTGTGGCCAGCCCTTGTTTAGTATTCCTATTCAAATTTTATACCCTGCCATATTGTTCCATTACTTCACACTATAAATGGAGCTGTTTTCATTAATGCCCAAAGTGTTAGAAGTATTAAATTAAAATGTGTTCATTTTTAGCGTGGTCAACATAGCAAGACTGCATCTCTACAAAAACATTAAAAAACAAATTAGCCAGGCATGGTGGCATGTCCCTGTTGTCTCACCTACTCAGCAGGCTAAGGCAGAGGATTACTTGAGCCCAGGAGTTTGAGGCTGCTGTTAGCTCTGATTGTGCCATTGCACTCCAGCCTGGGCAGCAAAGTGAGACTCTGTCTAAAAAAAAAAAAGTTAATTTTTTGAAAAATACCTAAAATTTGTCCTCCCAAAAAGGAGAGAGACAGAAGTAAACTTTAGAATTTTCAATGGGCTAAAACAAAAGGCAGCAGGTACAATGAAAAAAAGTCAGTATAGGAGTTCAACAGATACTGGACCTTTGATGGTAATGTTTTGGTTTTGGCTTACTAAACTATAAGGTATGATGATTTTCTAGTCTTCATTATTCAACCTTAAGAATACTAAGTAACACTTTCCATTTTGTGTTAAAGTTTGTAAAATTTTATATTCTTGGTATTTATGCTGACTGAATGAAGATAATTTGTTCCTTTCTAGTTTTGACTACCTGAAATAATACCTATAAATGGTAAATTGTTACTGTATTTGATATAATTAAATATAGTAAGATTTATCTTCCAAATTGGAACTGATTTAATTAATTTGTCAAGCACTTGTTGAACTTTTAAACTTGTCCAAAATTCTGTGCTCAGCATCTCCAGGTAGAGAAGAAAGGACTCTCCCTTCCTTGGAAAGACCTACTTTCTTATGAGGGGAATACTCTGTAAGAATTGGTATCATGTGACAAGTTGTGAATTAGACTGACTAGTTTACAAAAATGGAAATATTCTGTGGTGTGGTTGCTGGCAAAGGAATCACAGAGGGTAAATGGGGTCAAGTTTGCTGGGACAAAGAAAAAGAATCCTAGGCAGAGAGCAGCAGGAAACTGTGTGGCAGGAAAATGCCTATGCGCAGGTCAAATGACTTGTAGAATAAAATGAATCAACTTTGGAAATGAATGGAAAGTACTCTCCGAGAGTCTCATTTGAGTGATGTCCTGGCAGTCTTATTGAAACATGAAGTGAAAGTTAAATTCGTAGAGTTGTCTTTGTTATCTGTTTTCAGGATGTGAGAGAATATTAAAGTGATAGTCTTTTTATCTTCTATGTAAGAAAACAGGACTAGAGAATGCTATGGCTTTCTCTGTTGTTGGTTATGGAGCAGCCCTGGCACACAGAGCCTCTGAATCTAAAACACTTGTTTTGTCCCACTGTCTCCTGGAATATTACATTTAGGATTAGTAACTTAGTAATGTAGCATTAGTCTTCATTCATTGCAATAAAATGCTCTTGTGCCAATATTATTTAATGCATTACAGCTTATTGCAGTAAGTAAATAATAGAAAATCTCAGCTGCTTTATATTGCTTTAAAAACACTGACATCTTAAACATTTCTCATTTATAAAGAAGGGGAATTCACAATAGACGCTTGCCAGGTCTGATGATAGGTACCATATTAAGGGCAGCCTTTTATAACCCATTTCTCAAACATCCTCTATTGAATTTAAGAGCCTCCAATGGGTTTCCTATGGAGTGCACATAAGTCCACACTCAGTTCACGAAGTGTAAGAAGTACCTTAGTACTTTGTCATTTGACATTTTAACCAATGGGAAAAAATACACTTTTATAGGTTTAACTTACTGTGATGTTTTCTTCTATTTCCTTTCCCCTTCAGGTATCTACTAAGCATTTTACTAAAAAGTACAGCTCGTGTTCAACCATATACCTAGATGACAGCACAGCCAGCCAGCCTCATCTTACAATCATAGTAAAATCGTGAGTACAACTATGATGTCAAGGGACACAGCCCCTTATTCTAAGATCATCCTAGCCATCCTCGGTTATTTCAGCCGTTTGATTGTCCTTTTGGGCAATCAGTTTAAGAAACTGGTGTCAACTATATATTGATTTCTGATTCTATATATTAGTTTTCAAAAAAATACTAATTTTCAGTTTCTCCTTTAACTTTAGATTTCACGTTGGAAGGGAAAATTAGTTAGCAAATAATCAATCCCTGGAAAAGTATAGTTATTTATTTGATGCTTTTATGCCTTATGACAATGTTGAACACAATGAGTAAGATAGGTGTCCTTTATAGGATGTTTTCCCCCCAAAAAAAGGTTTCTTATGAGTTACAGGCCTAAATCAATCAATGTGTACTAGTTTTGACATTAATCTTGGAAGAAAGAACAACTTTTTCTCTACTGGCACCGTAGTGTATCTGCATTTGACTTCCCTTCATTTTGCATGAATACCTCATAGGGCACAAGTGAAGATGCACTTTTAGAACAACCTAAGACGAGCCTTTCAAGTTTATTTTAAAAGCAACAACAACAACAACACCAGCTCTGTTGGGGTTGTCTAGAGAACATCATTATCATCTGCTTGGATTATGAGCGTTTAATTTTTGGAACACAGTTTTAGAACACAGTTTGGAAAGTGCTAATTTAGAATATTAATGTCTTTATCTTTCATTGTACTTCTTTTTCTTCACAAGAGGATGGTTGTCAGTTTTACTTTTCATTCTATAAACATAGCTAGCTTATAAACAATTTTGTTTCTAATGCACTAGCTTTCCTAGCCAAACCAATTGTCAGTAACTTCTATTTTAATTAAAAGTAGGAAGTTTACACTCATGATAATGTCACTTTTCTATCTCACTTCTAACAGTGGTTGAGATAAAATTGTGTTTCAGCAAAAACTTGACTCAAACTCTGTCTAAAGTCTTAAGCTTTGTGACCTATTAAGTAATCCCTAAACTTCTGTATTCAGCCAAGTCTCTAAACCCTTGGGAAAAAAAATTACTGTACTTTGGCTAGAGTCCCTGGCTTCTATTCAAAAGATTGTAATATGTTAGTATACAATTCAAAAGTAGTTTTAAAGATTAATCTTGCTCAAACAAGTATTCATAAAGTTTATGTTTTTTTCCTCCATCATTCTAATTTTTAGAATTCTACTTTTGGAAGTGTAGTAAGTTTTAATTTTCTGTCAGCAAGTTTGAGAAATTATCACTTGGTATATTCACTATTGGTAACATAAAGGTTTATTGAGCAAATTAATAGGGCAAAATGGGTTTATGAACAGATTTTGGAAAATGTTTTATATAGGTGAGTAGAGCATTGTTCTCAATGGAATGCATGGACCACATTTGATTACTTACGCAAGTTTTCTTAAAATATATGTCTGCAATCACATGCCTCTTCCTACCTCCACCTCTCCTTCAACTCTAGGCACTCAGAAGCCTTTTAAGAAAATAGGGATGGATGTGAGGCATTCTTATATGGATAAAAGCATCTCAGAAGATTCTGCTTTGAACCCCAACCCAATCATTCGGAAACCCTGCTGTACATTGGAATCACTTGGGAAATTTTAACAACCACCCTGATGTTCAAAGTTATACACAATGCTAATTAAATCAAAATGTCTCATGTTAAAAAGAAGGCAGTTTTTAAAGCTCTTCAGGTGATTCCAACGTGCAGCAAAGTTTGAGAGCTACTGCCTGATTTGAATTTAGGACAACAAGCTGCTCCTATTTGGTGGGACCTTGGGCAAGTCAATTTTAAACATTCTTTTTCTTATCTGTAAAATGGTGTTGGATTCAATGTCATTTAGATCATTGGTCCTTTTCAGCAGGTAACTTCACATTGTGTGATTTTAAAATTATTTTAGAGATTAAAAACTTCTTGAAGCACTATAGACATAGCCATCTTAGATACTAATGTTACAGGCTTTTAAAAACATGCTAATATTATATAAACCTATTGTTAAATTCAGATTTGCCTTCCCTCAATTATTTGAGCCTCATTTTAGATGCTGTGGGCACATGGAAAAACATAACTTATGTTTCCTAATACACAGTGTCTGTAGACAACTTAAGAATACAGTAACATATATCTGAAGAGTTTTACTTGTTCATAAATATTTCACTTAAACTAATTGAAAGTACCTGCCCTTAATATTATACTGTGTAGTGCTATGCTGCATTATCGTTAGCACTGCTTATTTTCAGAAAGCTATCACTGATTTTGTGTGTACCTAGGTTTACTAACATGAATTATGCAAAAGTTATTGTAAATGATTTAATTTGGTATAAAACACTTTTATCATTAATTTTTAGGAAATCATAAAACACGGATGGGTAGGAGATAGTTAATTAAATCAACTAAAGTGCAGGGCCTAACAACTTAAAAAAAACACTACTGTATGTCTTAAATTTAAGCATATGTACACATAGGTATAAATTGCATGGGATGAAAGGTTTTGTGGGTAGAAGAGCATCTAACAGGGAAATATGTTATTATTTATATATTATAATCATCAACAGAAACATGTCTTCTAACAGTATATTGCCTAGCATTTTGATCCTCGTATTTTTGTTAAAAGACAAAAAACTAAAACAAGAATATAGTGCCCTAATGGTACTGTTCTGAAGTAGAAGATTTAAATTTCAGGGCCACTGGGATAATTTCTTCCTCCCCCCTTTTAAAAAAAGTTTTTAGACCCAACAAATGATAAAATCCATTGTTATGATTTTTTCTCTTTCCGTAGTGTGGCCTTAGCAATATATTATCACATGAAGAAAAGGTGAGTTCTTTTAAAACCTTTCTTGTTATTCCAACTCATTACTTTTTATAATATCAATCTCAGTGTTAGTTCATAGCTATAGACACCATAAGCTGTATTGTGCCTACTGAAATATTGAAGCATATTATTTGTGTTTTCTTTCACCCTTGAGACTCTTTAAGTCCTAACTTATTGAGAATCCCAAAGAATCTGTGTTTATATACTGTGTAAGAAATTAAAATTGAGATTTTTAAAAAATCTGCTTCTGGCTTGGATTTTACTACCTCAGCACTATTGATAACTTTGAGCTAGATAACGCTTTGTTGTGAGGAAATAAATGCTTTGTTGGTGCATTACAGGAAGTTTAGCAGCATTGATGGCCTTTACCCACTAGATGTCAGTAGTAAGCAATAACCCAGGTTGTGACAACAAAAATATTTTCTGAAAACTATATCGTTAACATAAATAGCATTTTTTAAAGAAAAATAACTTCTCTACAATAAAAAGTTGAGTAAAAAGTGTGTCATGCATTGATATTATTGCAAACCTCTAAAGTTTGGCATAATAGAAGACAGATGGATTCCCTTCACAATATTTTTAGAGAAGCAATAAGATGATCAAGCTTTTTGCAAATATATAGTTACTAAAAGGTGTATCTTTAATGTTTTTAGATAATTGTGAGTGTTCTTTAATACTACCTCAAAACTCCCCTGTAACTAGTTTCTTAGTTACAGGGGAATTTTGCATATCAATACATTTATTCCATCAATACTCACTGATTTTTCTTGTGCAGTAAATGGGTCTTTCCCCCATGCTTGCTTGTATAAGAGTATGCATTGGTTATTTGGGAAATAATGGTTTATGTTTTGTTGTGTCAAAAACTCACTTTTGTTAGTATCACCATGTCTTATTAAGAGCTCTTTAAGTATTGAGAAGCTGTCGAGTTTACGGTAGGAGTGTGTTTTCCAAAGTTCTGGGTTTTAGCCTGAAAGCTTGACTATTATCATTGAGAACAGTTATTCTCTTTTTTTGTTTAACTTTTATATTAAGTTCATGGGTATATGTGCAGGTTTGTTACATAGGTGAACTTGTGTCATGGGGATTTGTTGTACATATTATTTCTCTGCCCGGGTATTAAGCCTAGTACCCATTAGTTATTTTTTCTGATCCTCTTCCTCTTCTCACCTTCTACCCTCCAAAAGATTTCAGTGTGTGTTGTTCCCCTCTATGTGTTAATGTGTTCCCATCATTTAGCTCTCACTTACCAATGAGAACATGTGATATTTGGTTTTCTATTCTTGTGTTAGTTTGCTAAGGATGATGGCCTCCAGCTCCATTCATATTCCTGCAAAGGACATGATCTTGTTCTTTTTATGACTGCATAGTATTCCATGGTATATATGTACCACATTTTCTTTATACAGTCTAACATTGATGGGCATTTATGTTGATTTCATATCTTTGCTTTTGTGAATAGTGCTACAGTAAGCCTATGTGTGCGTGTGACTTTATAATAGAATGATTTATATTCTTTTAGGTATATAGCCAGTAATGGGATTGGTCGGTTGAATGGTAATTCTGTCTGTAGGTCTTTGGGGAATCTCCAGACTGTCTTCCACAATGGTTGAACTAATTTACACTTTCACCAATAGGGGAACACTTATTTTTCATTGATGTAAAAGGCTTACTTTATTCATTTTTGAGAATGATAGTCAGTTGTACTTTTAAATAAAAACAATATTTTATTTAAAAAAGTGATTATTCAGTTTACATTTAAATCATTGTTTCTTTTTCTTAACACAACCATACTGCAGTAAGAAGAAGTGCTTCTTGTTAACTTTCCACTTATTCAGAGTATTAAATAGGAAGGCAAAGATTTAATAATACCATTAATTGTTACTGCTTCATCAAAGACATTCTTAACTAAATCAGGCTCTCTTTTTTAACTGTAAGGGGCTGTGGAGAATAGAATGACTTCTAGTGTAATTTGATCACCTTGATTTATGCTGAGAAACCTTGATTTATGCTGAAAAACCAGCTATTTCACCCACTTTTGCTTTTATAAAATCATGGCAAGTGTCACAGTGAGAAAGCAGGCAATGCCTTCATATCCTTTTAAAAATTATTTTAATTTATTTTTTATTTTTAATCAGCTTTCTCAGGCTGAAATAGTATTTTTATCAGAACAGTTTTGACTGCTTGGGCCTCATGAAAAATGGCCTGCATAGTATTCCATGGTATATATGTACCACATTTTTTATACAGTCTAATATTGATGGGCATTTATGTTGATTCCATATCTCAGGCTGAAATAGTATTTTTATCAGAACAGTTTTGACTGCTTGGGCCTCATGAAAAATGGTCTAGGGGATCTCCAGAGGTCCACAGAGCACATTGCAAGAACCATTGGTTTATTAAACAGGCAAAATGTATTAGTTGTATTAACCTCTTAAGTTCATCAAAGACTGGCCTGTTTGAAAATAAAAAGACAGATTAAGTTTTTAATTCAAACTACTTAAAATAAATAAATATATCATGAGAATCTAATACAGAGAAAATGATGATAAAGAGAATAATTATACTATTATCAGTAATTGATAGTCATTATTATATTATTATTAATACTTTTTAATTAGTAATTATTAAGAGAAAAAGACTAGGGAATCTGAATCTCATTCACATTTATTTATTTATTTTATTTTATTTTATTTATTTTTTATTTTTTTTGAGACGGAGTCTCTCTCTGTCACCCAGGCTGGAGTGCAGTGGCACTACCTTGGCTCACTGCAACCTCTGCCTCCTGGGTTCAAGCGATTCTCCTGTCTCAGCCTCCTGAGTAGCTGGGACTACAGGCATGTGCCATCATGCCCAGCCAATTTTTTTTTTTTTTTTTTTGTATTTGTTGTAGAGACGGTGTTTCACTATGTTGGCTAGGATGGTCTCGATCTCCTGACCTCGTGATCTGCCTGCCTTGGCCTCCCAAAGTGCTGGAATTACAGGCATGAGCCACTGCGCCCGGCCATATTCACATTTACTAAAGTTCTAAAGACTTTATTGCCCATTACTACTGCTTTCTAAAACATTCTTGTGTTCCAATGTCAGGTTAGAGGAGTGAAAATACAACAGGTTCATTACCATGGCCTGTTAGGGAGGGTCAGTACTTACTGGCAATTCTGACTGGTTACTGTAATAAAAGACTTCATAGGACTTGATGTGCTGAGTAAGAAGAGTCCAGGAGACCCTCTGAAGGTCAGGCTCCGGGAGAAGGATTTGTAAAACAGTTTGCCTTGGTGAAGCAAAACAGCAAAACACACAGGAGGCATTATTTTACTAAACAGATATGTTTAGTAAATATATTAATCATTTCTGAATTAATTTCTTAAATGCACATTTTTACTTTATAGAGATGCAGATAAATCCCTCGATATGTTTGACGAGCAATTACATCCACTCACTGTATCACTTTTATTGAGGCCGTATTTTTCTCATAGACTTGTGTTTGTTTCACACTGAAGTCAAAGACATTTTTAAGTATTCTTCCCCATGCCATGTTGCATCTAATCGTCTTATTTAAGAACTGTTATAAAAAGGATGTGCTGGAATAAGAAATGACCTGCAGCTCTGGTTAATTAGTGAGCTAATGAGAGTAAATATATAATCCAAATAACAGAAAATGTATCTTTTAAAAAGATAATTGTCAGTAGCATCAAACAATAAACATTTTTGTAAATGCCTTTAACACATATACATGATTTCTGTGAATAGAAATAAAAAACAATGTAAATTTAAATAAATGGTGTACAAATTAAAAGTGTACTTCCTCAGGTACATAATAGCCACATGTGGCTAGTGACCGTTGTATTGAATAGTGCAACCTTAGAGCCTTATGGCTACAGAAAACTAAATGTGTTTTTTCAAAGTTTGTTGCAGAGGAGAATGAATTATTGTCAGTAAGTAAGACTTTAAAGCCTAAAAGTAGTTTACATTTTTATAGAATTCTATGGGAAAAAGAGTAGAAAGGAACATAAAAATTTTCTGAGCTTGAGCCCATTTTTTTCACTGAATGTTGATGACTATTGAATCATTATAGTATCTTAAGATTCCACTGTTCGTATTTTAGAAACTAAAAGACATCTCCCCAATCCAAATTGTTCTAAGTGACACACAGGCACAAGTATGAATATTGCTGTCTTAAGAATACTTCATTTTTTTTTCCAACGGATACTTACATCACATCCTTTCTTCTTTCAGCAAGAAAAGATGCCAAAGGAATACTTTGAGTATGTTCCTGAACACAAGTTTATTTACAGATTTGTCCATGTTCTTTTTAAAGCCACAAACCTAACAGCTGAATTTGCAATAGTAACTTTGGTAAGATATTTCTTATTTATAAAGCATTTTTAGAAGTTGGTACTTGTACACAGGGTATGGTGCTGTTTTTAAATAAAAGTTGGCTTCTGGGCTGGGAGTGGTGGCTCACACCTGTAACTTCAACACTTTGCGGGGAGGCTGAGGCGGGTAGATCACCTGAGGTCAGGAGTTTGAAACCAGCCTGGCCAACATGGCGAAAACCCAACTCTACTAAAATTATAAAAATTAGCCAGGTGTGATGGGGGATGCCTGTAATCCCAGCTAATCAGGAGGCTGAGGCAGGAGAATTGCTTGAATCCGGGAGGCAGAGGTTGCAATGAACCAAGATCTCCCCATTGCACTCCAGCCTGGGTGACACAGCAAAACTCTGCCTAAAAAATAAAATAAAATAAAAAAGTTTGCTTCTGAAATTATTATACAAACTTTAAGAGAAACTTATGAAAGCAAAGTAAATACACACATTCGAGTTGTATCATCATTACAGCTTAAAATGTTGCCATTGCGTTTTTCATAATAGAACCATTGCTATTAAAAGCAGCGGGAGAGATTTCTGATTTCCCCCCCACACATCAGTGCATATGAAGTGTACACACATGCAAGGCAGGCGGAGGTGTTGGGATGGGGAGCAGTAAGGAGACGGATTCCAGTGGAGCTCTGAGCTGAGTCCCAGGCTGCATTCCTCAGGCAGTTCTCATGCAGGCTGTGATTGACAGCTGCTGCCGTGTCGTCTTTGTTCCTTGGGCCATGAGTCTTAATCTACCCCTACTGATCACTTGTGCCTGCTTATGAAATTGCCCAGGAATGTGGTTCCAGTAGGCCTGGGACACAAGCTTTGCTCGTTAGTCTTCCAAGCCATAGCTGTTTCCTTACATTTACATCATCCCTACAGAATTCCTATTGTAAAAATGTTAATAATAAATTCTATTCAAATTGTTGAAATTGTTTTACCCCTCTTCACAGCCAACCTATAGAGGAAAGTCAACTGCATGGCTGGGAAGGAAAGAATACTTAGGTCAATACTTACTTATTTACCATTCAATTAGAGTTTAGGAGAGAAGGCTTCTGATGTGCACTTGAGTCAAAGCCCTCAATGGGTGCTGGACCAGACACAGGCCTTTTCGAGGAGCTGCAAGTCATTTGGAACTCTCAGCACATGCTGGAGGGAAGCAGGAGTGGTGCTTCCAGATTTAGACAGATAGATGATGCTGGGGGGAAAGCTGGATTGGAAAAGGGAGAGTTTTGTACTCAGGCTAAACTAGATGTGCCTTTTAGATAGCAGAGTAGCAGTGTCTAGTCATCATTTGGATATATGGGACTAGAGCATGAATTTGTGGTAGAGATGCAGAGTGAAGAGTAATAGCAGCTGTTCAAATGCAGAGTAAGTGTGTAGAATAAAATTGGACAAGCCAGGCATGGTGGGTTCATACTTTTAGTCCCAGCTACTTGGGAGGCTGAGCTGGGGGGGATTACTTGAGCCCAGTAGTTTGAGTCCAGCCTAGGCCACATGGTGAGAACCCATATCTTGAGAAAAGAAAACATAAAGCCAGGTGTGGTGGTTCGCCCTTATAATCCCAGCACTGTGGGAGGCCACGACAAGAGGATTGCTTGAGCTTAGGAGTTCTAGAATAGACTTGGCAATAAGGTGAGGCCCCATCTCTACAAAAAAAGAAAGAAATTAGCCAGCCATTATGGCACATGCCTGTGGCCCCAGGTACATGGTAGACTGAGGCAGGGAGATTACTTGAGCCAGGAGGTGGAGACTGCAGTGAATCATGATCATGCCACTGCACTGCAGCTCGGGCAACAAAGTTAGACCCTGTCTTAAAAAAGGTAAAGAAAATTGAGAGACGATAGGTCTGTAAGGACTTATAGTGAGTAAAGGACAGGCCCCCAGAGGAGTAGCTGCTAGAATGGGAGGAGGAAAAGCAGGAAAGGATAATAAAAGAGTTAAAAGATGCTGTGGTCACAGTGCTGAATGCTGCCGAGAAGTGACTCATTCCATAAACACTCACTGGATACTGACTCTGTGTCACTCTTCTAAGTGCTGGGGTAGAAGGGAGGACAGGTTGAATACAGTTCTTGCCTTTATGAGCTTATGTTCTAGTGAGACACAAGTAGTTTTTCAGGTAGTGTCAAATAGCAGGAAGAGGAAGCTGGATAAAGGGATTCAGAGTGTCGGGGTGCTCAGTACTTTAGATAGAATGATAAGGAAGAGTCTCTCTAGAGAGCCAACATTTGAACAGTGACCTGCCCAAAGCAACGAAGGGAAGGAGTGCTGGCATTACAGGCAGCAGAGACAGGAATGTGTTTCACATGTGTTCACAGAACAAACAGCAAGGTGACCAGTGTGGTCAGAGTGAGGAATAAGGGAAGCAGTGGAGATAAGGCCACACAGGCAGGGCCACAGCTCACAGGGCCTTTTGGCTTCAGGCCATAGGAAGATGTTAAGGTTTTATTCCAGTTTGATAGGGGACTCATGTAGATCTTGAGCAGGGAAGTGAGTGCTGTTAATAAAGAGGTTATGGTGACTGCTTTGGGGAAAGTAGGCCATGGTTGGGAGGCAGATTGGAGGCAGAGAAGAGGGCTAAAAAGCAATTAGAGTGATACAGGTGAGCAATGAGAGATTGTGGCTCATAATCAACCCAGGCAGACTACCAGTGAAGGCAGACATAACAGGCATTGGAGACATTGCAGAAGGGTAACTCAAATGCAGGTATTTGGCCCCAGCAGCTAGGCAGATGGCAATGTCCTGTACAAGATTAGAAAAGGCTTGGGGGGTTGACTGTTGGGCTGGAGACTTCCAGTTTGTAAGTGTGAAGGCACCAGAAACCTAGGCAAGAGAAGTGTTGGAAGAGTAATGTCAGTGGGGCAGGCAGTGTACATTAAGGAGAGATGGAAGATGAGGAGCTGGCATGAGGGCATGGTGCTGTGAGCACCAATGAGATGACACAGCTGGAGGAGTAGTGGGGAGTGAGATGGGAACAAAGGAAACACAGTTAGATTGGGGAAAATCGCTAGTAGAGAGGCACAAAATCTTCAAAAAGAGGTGATTGTAGGAACAGTGTTCTGCAAAAGTGGAATGGGATCAACTGCACTGAGAAAAGTTGGCATCAGTGGGGAAAACATTTCTACATCTGAGCTGATGATCATAACCTTCAGACAAGAAATAAACTCGTATAAAATAAACTTTTTCCCTTTGTTTTGACATAAAGAGTTCAGGTAGCTCGCAGACATACTCTTCTGCAGAGCACCCTCTGAGGTAACACCTCCTCACAGCTCACCTTTAATCTTTACTCAGCTGTTCACTTTGCCCAATTCTTTGTAAAGCAGATGTTTGATAAATGTAAACTATCAAACATGTGCTAATTCATGAGATTGTCTCACAAACTACTCGGCAGGCTTAGAGGAATCCCAGGGATGCAGAAACTGGCAGCTGTTTCCACCTTTAAACCAACAGAATTGACTAAGTTGCAGGATGTAAGAGAGAATAAATTTTCATGAAGTGATCATGAAGATGGGAAAATAGGGGCTGAGAGGAGGGCCATTCTTTTATACACATGTGTTTTTTATCAAGCAACTGAATACTGAGAATGTTTTACAACCCCTGAGACCTGCACCTGCCATGCTGCTCTGCACAGCGGCCACTGGGAGGCTCTCTTGACCAGCAGTTTTTTAAGCTAGCACCACAAAAGGGTTAGTGTTTGTGAAAAGGAGATTAACATTTGCTCACTATCACATGGGTTTTATATATTCAAGCTTGACATGCCTGTAGAATTTCTATCTACCTCCCAGCTAAGTATGAGACATTACATTTGGTAGGCACTTGAGTATTTCCTGAACAACTTCAATCCACACTGGTCCTTAGTGTGTGCTGCCTTTTATGAGTGTGAAGATGATGACACTGCCTCTCTTCATGGTGGCCTTGGCTGACATATGCAGGCATTCTTGTCACCGAAATTGGGCTGGAAATTCCCATAGGCAGAGTAGGCAGCAGAAGTATCTGACCTATGATTGTAATGTGGTCTCTTGCTTTGCCTGACCAAGCAAAGTATGTAGAGCATAAGAATAAAAGACACTTTCTGGTCAAAACCAGAAGAAATCTGTCATTCAAAAGAGTTCTTATCAGAGCACTTAAAGTGAACTAAATCAAAGGCCAGTGCTCTATTTTGCATATTTACATAGAAAGACTCTTAAGTTATGTGGAGATAGACCTTTGCCCGACCAACTGGAAGAGATTGTCATGGGAGCCATTCTTCTCACCTCCAAAGTTTGGAAAGATGTGACTATATGGAATAGGGAATACTGCAGGCTCTTTGTGAACACTAGCATTAAAGACATGTGAGTTTCTAAGGTTTTTGTGAACTTTCTAACCATTTTCATTACCTTATTTGCTCCCATAAATGTAACACTTTAAGACATATTTTTAAAGGCTACAGTGTGCAGATAAGGAAAACACATAAAACCACATACTTCTTTATATCCAGCTTTAGTATAAAAGTTCATATCTTTTCACTGTTAATGGGTAGGTCTTGGTGAGTTACTGTTGTAATAATCTGCTCTGCTCATACATGGAAAAGTATTTTTCTGGTGGTTTTTGGCAAATACTTCACAAGTGCACTACCAGAACACCATAGCACAGTAAATATCTTTATGGCTTTTTAGAAGCTGTCTGTAAGTTCCAGTCTCTTTTTAAGGGACACATGTCTGGCTGTTGAAATAATTGGCCACTCTTAAGGTCTAGGGCCTCTGGACTATGGAGAAGTTATAGCCTCAGCCTCAGTCACACATTGTGTATTTGCTTTTGCTGATGTTTTCTCCCTTATATTTAAATGTCTGTTTTTTTATAGAAAACTTGAGATGCAGAATAGCCACAGATCCCTGTGCCCTCCCCATTAGGAGTGTTGCATGTGTTTAGAAATTGGGTTGATGAGTTTGCTGCTCCAGTGTTTCCTTGAGGCAGTATGCAAAAAATTGCCCAGGCATCACACAATGCCCACCACACTCAAGAGGCTCCTGGGGCACTCATACAACCACAGCAGCAATCTGTGGGACTTGAGTTACCAAGGAGAGTGCGAGAAATCTTGCTGAGTCATGGGGTTGCTCATAGACGGTGCCAACATGATACTGAAACATGGGCTTCATGGGGGCTTTCTTCCAGTCTGGCCTTACGACTGTTGTAAAGGGAAGAGCCTTGGAGCTTGTAAGCAGGGTGAGCTAGGGAAGCATTTCCACCAAACACTCTAGTAATGTCCACAGGACAGTGAGAATAGCTATATGGGTGACACTTAAGAAAATATAAAGGGACACCTGTTGCTGTCGTTGAGCAGCATATGAAGAACAATATCATGACAGGCAGTGGCAAGAGTTTGTTTTTTTACATTTGCCCGTTACTCCAGATAAGACTGCCATCCAGAATGTATGTGATCACAAAAGTAGAGCTTGATGGCTGATTAGAAGTCTCTGCCAATTGTTCTCCTCATAAGAATAACAAATTGAGTAACTATCTAAATAAAAAACACCTTTATTAGAACTAAAAATAGCTAAATAATTATAGTACCTGGTTTAAACTTTGTATCACTGAAAAAGGCAGTGAACACGGTAGGAAAGACAGTCTTGAGTTGCTGATGCCAGCCCTCCCTTATGTCCTAGCATTGGCCATGTGACAAGAAGAGAATCTGCATGCTTGGGGAAGGGAGAGCACAGCAGTGTGAGACTTTGCATTGAACTCAGTGCTGCGTTGTCATAGCAGAAAGCAAAACTGGGCTGAACTCAGCCAGTGCCCACCCACGGATGGAACATTTCTAGCCCTAGCCTGAAGGGAATCACCCATCCCAGTGGCTGAAAACTGAGTTGTGGAAAGCCTCACTGCTGTGGGATAAAGTATTCTGGGGTCCTTAATAAACTTGAAAGACTGTCTAGGCCACAAGGACCGCAACTCTTAGGCAAGTCTGAGTGTTGTGCTGGGCTTGGAGCCGGTGTATTTGGGGGGCATGTGACCTAGAGAGACAGCAGATGGGGCAGCCCAGGGAGTGCTGTACCACCCCTCCTTCAATCTTAGGCAGTGTAGCTCACAGCTCTGACAGAGACCTCTTTCTTCTGCTTGAGAAGAGTAAAGAGTAAAGAGGACTTTGTCTTGCAACTTGGATACTAGCTCAGCCACAGTAGGAGAGGGCACTGGTCAGAGTCATGAGGCTCCCATTTTGGGTCCTAGCTTTTGGATAATACCTCTAGACAAACCCTGGGCCAGAAGGGAACCTGCTGCCTTGAAGGGAAGGAATCAGTAAGGGCAGGATTCATCACTTTCTGACTAAAGAGCTCTTGGACCCTGAATAATCAGCAGTGGTAAGCAGGTAGTACATGTCATGGGTCTTTAGTGAGCCTCAGAGATCTGCTGGCTTCATGTGTGACCCAGCACATTCCAAACTGTGGTGGTTATGAGGAGAGACAACTTCTGCTTGAGAAAATCTGAGGGAAGAGTACAGAGGACTTTGTCTTGAGCTTAGACACCAGAGCAGCCACAGTGGAGAAAAGCACCAAGTGGGCTGTTGGGGTCCCTGATTCAGGCCTTGGCTCTTGGATGGCATCTCTGGGCTTTCCCTGGGCCAGAAGGGAGCCCACTGCTCTGACGAGTGAGTTCCAGGCCAGGCAGCATTCACCACAAGCTGACTGAGAGCCCTTGGGCCTTAGTGAACATCAGTGGTGACCTGGCAGTACACCCCAGGGGATTGTGATGCTGGTGAACATGGGGACAGACTACTCTGCCTGGGTAATGGGGAAGGAAGAGTGGAAAGGTGTTTGATGGTTTTAGTGCCAGCTCAGTCACAGTAAAACAGAGCACCAGGTGGATTTCTAAGGTTTATAACCCCAGCCCTAGCCCCCAGACAGCACCTCTGAACCCATCCAGGGGCCGGGGGAACTTACTACACTTAAGTGAAGGACAGAAGGTTCTCTGGCTTCACTACCTGCTAATTGTAGAGCCTTGGGGCTTACTGCAAAATAGCTGGCAGCCAGGGAGTTGTTACAGTAGAGGCCTTGGGCAGTAACAGTGCTGTGTGGGCTTCAGATCAGACCCAGTGCTGTCCTAGGTGTAGTGGCCACAGGGGTGCTTGTATCACTCATCTTCGAACTCCAGAAAGCTCAGCACAGAGAGACTCTTTTTGTTTGGGGGAAAGTAAGAGAAGAAATGAGTCTCTGGCTGCTAATGCAGAGAATTCTTCCAGATCAAATCCGAGATCACTAATGTGCTACCTCTACATATCTGCAAGAACCAATGACATTCTTCATAGACATAGAAATAGAAAAGACAATCCTAAAATTTATATGGAACCACGAAAGACACAGAATATTCAAAGCTATTCTCAGGAAAAAACGAAAAAAACAAAACAGAAGGAGTCACATTGTTTGAATAGAAATGATACTCTACAACTATAGTAACCAGAACAGCATGGCACTGGCATGAGAACAGACACATAGACCAATGAGACAGAAGAGAAAACTCAGAAACAAATCCATAAGTCCACAGTGAACTCACTTTCAACAAAGATGCCAATAATACACAATGGGGAAAGGATGGTGTCTTCAATAAATGGTGCTGGGGAAACTGGATATCCATATGCAGAAGAATGAAACTAGTTTTTCTCATCTTATACAAAAATCAAATCAAAATGCATTGAAGATTTAAATTTAAGACCTCAAACTATGAAACTAAAATAAGAGATTAGGAATATTCTTGAAGACATTGGACTGGAAAAAGATTTTTTAATACTCCATAAGCACAGGCAGCCAAAACAAAAATGGGCAAATGAAGTCACATCAAGTTAAAAAGCTTATGCACAGCAAAGGAAACAACAAAGTGAAGAGACAACCCACAGACTGGGAAAAGATATTTGCAAACTATCTGGATTAATTACCAGAATATATGAGAAGTGCAAACAACTCTGTAGGAAAAAAACTAATAATCTGATTTAAAAATGGGCAAAAGATCTGAATAAACATTTCTCAAAAGAAGACACATTAGCTGCTGATGGAAAATGCTTCTGGTTCCTGCTACAAGGGAGGCCTGGATGGGAAAATTACCTGTGCTCAGGAGGTCAAGGCTGTGGTGAGCTGTGATTGTGCCACTCTCCAACCTGGGTAATAGGGTGAGGATCTGTTTCAAAACTTTAAAATATACATACAAATGGCAAACAGATATACGAAAAGATACTCAACATTATTAATCATCAGAAATTCAAACCAACACTACAGTGAGACATCCATCTCACCTCACTTAGAATTACTTTTATCCAAAAGACACGCAATAACAAACACTGGATAGGATATGGGGAAAAGGGAACAGTCGTACACTGTTAGTGGGAATGTAAATTAGTACAACCCCTATGGAGAACAGTTTGGGGGTCTTCAAAACTAAAAATAGAGCTACAATATGATCCAGCAATCCCACTGCTGGCTATATACACAAAAGAATGGAACTCAGTATATCAGAGATAAGAGATACCTGCACTCTCATGTATGTTGCAGCACTATTTACAATAGCTAAGATTTAGAAGCATCCCGAGTGTCCATCAACAGATGAGTGGATAAAGAAAAGGTACATGTACACAATGGAATACTATTCAGCCTTAAAAAATAATGAGATTCTGTTATTTGCAATAACAACATGGATGGAAATGGAGTATAATGAAATGGAGTATTAACTCATTATGTTAAGTGAAATAACCCAGGCACAGAAAGACAAACTTCCCATGTTATCACTTTTTATGGGAGCTAAATGTTGAAACAATTTTACTTGTGCAGATAGAGAGTAGAAGAATTGTTACCAGAGGCTGGTAAAGGTAGTATGGGGGATGGGGAGTAAGAAGTAATTGTTAATGGGTACAAAAATGTATTTAGAATAAGATCTAGTATTTGATAGCGCAACAGGGTGACTATAGTCAGTAATTATTTAATTGTACATTTAATAATAATGAAAAGATTATAATTAGATTATTTGTAACACAAAGGACAAATGTGTGATGGATACTTCATTTACCTTGGTAGGATTAGTACACATCGTTGGCCTGTATCAAAATATCCTATACACCCTATGAATATATAAAGCTATAATGTATGCACAATTTTTAAAAAAGACTATCATTCGTCCAGGCTCGGTGGCTTACGCCTGTAATCCCAGCACTTTGGGAGGCCGAGGCAGGCGGATCATGGGGTCAGGAGATCGAGACCATCCTGGCTAACACAGTCAAATCCCATCTCTACTAAAAATACAAAAAATTAGCCGGGCATGGTGGTGGACACCTGTAGTCCCAGCTGCTTGGGAGGCTGAGGAAAGCCGTGAACCCAGGAGGCGGAGCTTGCAGTGAGCCAAGATCTCACCACTGCGCTCCAGCCTGGGTGACAGAGCGAGACTTCATCCCCCGCCCCCCCCCCCCCCCCGCCAAAAAAAGGCTATCATTCAGAATTACTACACTGTGCATAATATACAATTGAAGTGAGGATGTTGTGACTAACAAAAGACTAGTGACTGTTGGTTGCTGTTGAAATGGCTGTTGGTGAAAATGACCACTTTGCTGATAGTATAAACGAGTGATGATGGTGATGTTGCTAGTAGCCATTTTAGCAAAAGATGTGACAGAAAATTAATTTGAAACAGAAGTACTTTGAAAGTTGCAGACACTAAACTGACTTTGATCACTACTGTCATCAGTCTGCAGACTGATTTCTCAAAGGAAACAAAATTTGTCATTATGAACACTTAGCTTTGCTATAATTGCAGCTAAATTATTCTCAAAACTTGCAACTAAGCTGGCTGAGCTCTAGTTGTAGTTACAAGGTCAGGGAATGTGCAAGTTCTCACAGACGTGAGCTCCAGGGGCAGTGGTGTCAGAGGCCTGCTGTAAGAAACCCAGTTCTACACAATGCTGTTTGTGAATGTGGAAGCATCAGAAGCTATGCTCTGCAAAGGCTGCTTTTGTTTATGATCTTTGGAAACTGGAAAGCATTACAACAAAGTGTTGAATATACATTTACCTTGTCTCCCTGCTGTTGATTATGCATAATAATCTTGTTTTGACTGTAAATTGGACCATTTAAAAATGAGTGTCTATTGGGTTTTTCTTAAAACTCTTCAACATCTTCATGTCTTGTTGGAATATATTTTCCTTCAAAATATCAGTTAAACTGAGCAGCTGCTCTTAAGAAAATGTGCTGTGCCTGTAAAGGGTATGCTGTTCAGTCATTTAAAAAAAATAAACAAAAAAAACTAAGAAGATCCATATCCTGTAGGCCTATGCTTATCTTCAGTAACTAAACCTCTATTAATAGGTGTAATAATTTAATAAAATATTGTATTTCTACACAGTCAAAATGTGTTCATGGAAAAATGTGAGATAATATAAAACAAATAAATACAAAAGTCCTGATTAGCTGATTATTAAAACATTGTCTGATTTACATTTCTATAGCCTTACGGTCATATGAACAGGAAATTGATGTTGGAAATAGTTTCAGATGGGTTTTCAGTTAAACAGATGAGAAAACTACATCTCTGCTCATATTTTAACTGCTCTTCCAGAGAACATCAAACATTTGTTGACTTAGCCAGTGGATAAGATATTAAAACTTTAAAACCAAGAAACTAAATATGTTGTTCAGGTATTGATTGTTTTTATACAATTAAGTCTTTACAGGGATTACTGTGAAAGTGGTTCTATATTATTTTATATTCATTTGTTTAAACATTTAACAAGAAGCCAGGTACACTGGCTCACACCTATAATTCCAGCACTTTTGGAGGCCAAGGTAAGAGGATCACTTGAGCACAGAAGTTTGAGACCAGCTTGGGCAACAAAGACCCTGTCTTTAATTGAATTTTTCCTTTAAATTAGCCCAGCTCAGTGGCATGAGCCTGTAGTCGCAGTGACTTGAAAGGCTTAGGTAAATGGATTGCTTGAGCCCGGGAGTTTGAGGCTGGTGTTAGCTAGGATCATGTCACTGCACTTTAGCCTAAGTGACAGACTGAGACCCTGTTTCTTAACAAAAAAAAAAAATAGGCAAGGGCAGCTCTATGATCATGTGACAGAAGGCTGTTCTCAGCCTTTATCTCTCCCACTGCCTTCAACTCATCCCCCACATTCTGTTCTGTCTGTGGGTGACAGAAGCTGAGCACCTTAGGGTTTTATTTCCAGCTCAGGAGAAACACTGAGTAAGTCCAGTGCCCTGCCAGAAGTCATATCATAAAGTGAGTTTAGTCTAGCCAAGATGTCTCTCTTTAATCTCTCTGCCTTCCAGTGTTTAAAGAGTATTCCTGTCCTGTCTAGTGACAGTTTCTCACCTTCATAATTTCAAGGTGAGTAGAAACTGGCGTTATGCCCTTTGACATAGCCTCATGCACTGAGGCAGAGGGGAGGGATTCCCTTTCCCATCAAATGTAGCTTATGTATGTATTTGAGACCAATCCTTGTTGTTTTGGAGTTTTTCCTCCTCAGAAATAACAGGGTGGCTCTCCATGGATCCATTTGTTGCCATGGTGTTGTACCCATGGCTTTTGTTGGTGTTTTTTGACTTCAGTAAGCCTCTTTTTGTTATCCTTGTGAAAAAGTCTGCAAGTTCTTCAGAGCTAATAAATGGCATTCATCATTCCTGTCATCTGATCACTGTTGTGGGGCCTTGTGAGTGAGCATGGAGTCTGAGCTGTGCACCTGCACTAAGGGAACTCTCAAGAATGAGCCCCGAGTCAGCAGCACATATGCATGAGAGGTGGTCACCTTTCTCCCCATCCCAGAGTCAGGGTGCTGGATGCAGAAGGGACTGCAAGCAACTGTGCCTTGTTTGGACATTAGCATAGGAATCCAACTGGGTAGCCTTTATTTGTTTCAAAACAGAATTTAGAGACATCCTAGTAGCTCAGAATTATATTTTTAAATGAATAGAAATAAATTTTATTAAATGACAACAGAAAAAAACCACTACATGTTTAGTACATGAACTAAACTTATGTAGTATTGTTTGAAGGGTATCTACAAAATTCTCACCCTAATGTTTTCTTGCAAAAGAAGTGAAAATATAAAGTGAAGAGACATTCTGTAACAAGGAACCACTGAGAAACACAAAATATTTAAAAGTCATATAAAATTTATGTGCATTTTTGAGGATTATAAAATAATCAGTTGGCATCAGACTTTTCATTTTAGCAACATTTATAGAATTATTTTCTAGTGGGAGTTTTCACACAACTTTTGAAAAATATGTTAAAATTGAAAACTTTCTTGTATTTTGTAAACTACTGAGGTTCCAATTCAGGGTGCTTTTTTTATATTTATAAGGTCCATCTCTACAGCATGTAATATCATGGGTCTTTGAGTGAATATCAACTAAAGGCATTCTGACATTCTGTACATTCATAGGTTTTACCTCAGAAATGAGTTTTTTCTTGTCTTCAGGTGGAACTGGAACGAGTAAAACACTACCATATGTTTGTATTTATAAGGCTTTTCTTCATTGAACCCTTTTATGTTTTCAAAGAGAAATGACAAAAACCGAAGGCTTTACCATGTTTCTTAAAATTTTGTGGTTTTTCTCCATTTTAAATCCTAAAATGTCTTTAAAAGCAAGTGGGAAAATCAAGTTTATTATCACATGTTTTACATTTATGCTTTTCCCCCAGTATGAGTTTTTCTAAGTTTTCAAAGAGAACTGAGAAAATTCCAGGCTTTCCCATATTTATTACATAATAGGGTTTCTCTCTAGTGTGTGCTTTTTCATGTGTTCTTAAAGAACTAGAACTTATAATTGCTTTATCACATTTCTTACATCAGAATAATGTTTTTGAAGATAGCCCAGTGGACTAACATTGTCCCATGTTGGTTTTCTTGTGTTTCTCCTCCCACAGGAATGAGCTTGAAAGACAGTTTTTGCAGCTAATTGACTATAACGTCGAAGTTTCTGGAAGTGTTTATGCCAAGTACTATTTTGATCTTCG
Source organism: Homo sapiens (assembly GCF_000001405.40). NCBI lineage: Eukaryota > Metazoa > Chordata > Mammalia > Primates > Hominidae > Homo > Homo sapiens. The sequence goes on from NC_000019.10 coordinate 27,983,501, forward strand.
ATCCTTGGCAAAGGACAATAGCTTGCATTTTCCAGTTTATCTTCTCAACAAAGAAAGGGCACAGAACCTGGAAGTAAGGCGATAAAGTCACTAAGGGGGGTTTTCTGTCAACCACCAAAGCCAACATCTGTGACTAGATTAGATTAAGTAGTGATGAGAAAAATGAAAAGCTCCAAAATTAACTTACATACTGAAGAGCTTATTTCCTGTATCATTTATGGTTTATACAAGAATCCACATTATTTAAATATTATAGATCTCTTCTGTGACCATAATTCAGAATATTTTTAACCAAATTTAATTCAGTCTTAGTGGTATTCTTTTTGAATCTTTGCCCTTTCAAGTAAGCATACATGAATAATTTCTTGCAATTCTATTTTAAATGATATCTGCATATGTAATGCACTTACCACTTTTGCCTGTTTTTTATTACTTAGTTTGCAAATTTATGTCATTTTTTATTGTATATATTACAGTGCAGCCAGTTCCATAAATTTGTTAGGCAAAGCATTAGTGCTTAAGCCAAGAGACCTACACTTAGTCTGTATAAGGTATGAGCGTCTCAGGTAGTGATGCAAGAAGTACATGTGTTTTACTGGAAATGGTAACTTTTGGGGGGCAAAGCAATATTTATGGTTTGTGACTTCTGGTTTCAGTTGTGAGCAAAGTTGCAACTGAAATGGATGCATATTTATAATTAGTACTTTCTGTGGTACCTTAGAAGTACTTTAGAATAACATACCTTCTACCATAATTAATGTGCCAGGTTCTGCCTTTTGCTGCTTTAGTCGTTCGACCTCTTTGATGTTCCAGTGCACTCCTGCACACATCTGCTTCATTCAAATTTGCTTTGAGGATATAATAACTACTGCAGATGGGGTAGACTCTGAATAGATTAATAAACTATAAATTTTCCTTTGCTCCAGCAATCTAATCATAGCCCTTAAAGGAGATTACCTTAGTGAGGTGGCAGGGAGTAGCATCCCCGGAACCTGGCAGTGCGAACCTCAGCCAAAGGAGCTGTAACTGTGAACTATCTAAAGGAGCGTCTGCATGTCTGGCTTATCATCAATGGTGCTTGTTAAAAGGCTGGAGCCCTTTTTAAAATTGTACCTCTTTTCTGTTTCATTTACTTTCTTAGGCTATTTCAAGGATGGAAGACGCCAAAATCTTTTATAGTGAAGGTCCTTCAGCGCTGATAATTTCATTAATCTTCAGCGCTCTAAAGCCATTAACTCTTGAAGGAAGAAATGAGGGGCTATATCATGTGAACCCCTCATCAAAAAAGTTCGGAAAATATTACCTCTCATGCTCAACAACTAGAAAAGTTAGTATTTTCAAAAGAAGAAAAATCTCAAAGTTGAGAGGCTTGTGGGCAACTAGGATTGCACTCCACAGGAAAAAAATGGGATCGTTGCAGTGCAACAACTCTCGTACACTCTTCTGTCTTTTTAAACGTAAACAGGTATAAAAACTACTCCAAAGTGAAGACTTCTTGCCCATACATAGATATCTTTTTCTGTGTGTGGACTAATAGCTGTGAACTATGTAAGGGTTTTAAAACAATAGTTTAAATTTTTAGATTTCAGACATAATTTTCTGTTTCTTTTCTATTTTTCTTTTCCCCCAATATTGCTGCAGACACATTTAAAATAAATGCAGTATTACTATTAAAACATGGGACTGTAATAACTCATGAAGCCACTAGAAGCAGACCGCTCATTTTCAGGTGTTGAAGGGTTCTACCTGCCTACTTTTACCATCGGAGCTGCTCGTCACTGGCAATCATTTTAAACAAAAGCTGATGGAGTTCATTTGCCATTCATATCTTTTGTAAGCATTACTTGCTAGCATTTTAGCATGTTTGGGGTCACAAAAGAAAAACTATTAGTTATTGGTTACCTACTTGTATTAGGGTCCATGGTATGTTTCTTATAAACTATAATGATCCTTTTGTGTGTGTGTGTGAATTTTATTTATTTATTTACTTATTTTTTATTTGCTGATAAATTTTCTTATTTGTTAAATAAATGTATTGAGAGATATTTTCATAATGCCAAACCACATGATGATCCAGTGGTGATATAAAAATAATAATAAGTGATGTGATCTGAAAGTTTCAGGGCAGATTCTAGTTTTAATGTAGTGTGCTTAGACCCTCCAGTGCACGGCAGCTTATGTATATATGCTATAAACCTTTATAAAATACCGTTCAAAAGTTTCATAGTATTTATTTTTTCTTTTTTATAAAAGATGGGGTCTTACTATGTTGCCCAGGCTAGAGTGTAATGGCTATTCAGAGGCACAATCATGACTCCACAGCCTGGAAATTCTGGCCTCAAGCAATCCTCCCATGTCAGCCTACCAAGTAGCTAGGACTATAGGTGTAGTACCACCACCTCTGGTTTTATTTTGCAAAAACTGAATATTAAGCTTTTAACTTTTTGTTTCAGTCAATATCTGCTGTCTCCAAGAAACGCTGAAACAAAAAATTAAAAGCTTAATATTTAGGAGCTGGGCATGCCTGTAGTTCCAGCTACTCATGAGTCTTAAGTGGGAGAATCACTTGAGGCCTAGCATTGGAGGCAGCAGTGCTCTATGATTGTGCCTGTAAATAGCCATTGCACTACAGCCTTGGCAACATAGTGAGACCCTATGCCTTTAAAGAATTGCAAAACTAAATACATGTATAAGCAATATAATAAACTTTCCAATGATGTTTTGTAAATGTTTGTAGCACTGATACTTGTACAAGTATCAAAGCTTAAAATTACACTAAGACTTTTGGAATTCTTGTATTTTTATAAAGTGCCCTCTTCTCTTTTAAAGTAGTTCTTAGCAGGGCTGTTATCTACGTTGATCACCTAAAATTATTTTCCCTACATGTGGTAAAGGAAGAATATGATCAGTGTTAATTTACATGTAACAGATTAGAAGGAATTGGACCCTAATAGTAGCAGGTGATTAAACATTTTATTATCCCACCTGTTAGCCTGGCTACAGGTATTATATTTCATGTCCTGCTGTTTACAAAAAAGAACTTCCATAAACCTTAGAAATCTTACTTCCTCAAAAATTATTGTTTATGGAGTTTAGAGCTTGGAGATTTAAGTATTTATTGCAGTTTTATTTTCAAATGATAAATGCTATCTATAATTTATGTGGTTTTTATTTCTCATGTTTACATTAAAATAAAACCTGATAAACTGTTTTAATTAAAATGTGACCAATGTGTTCATAACACTTGTAATTACATTATGTTACATATCTGCCTAACTTACATGGTTTAAGTCAGTCTTGATATGTCCGAAGACATTTTGATAAGTTGCTTTCACCGTTCATAAGTTGGTTTGATTCATGCCTCTGTTTAAGATGTAATATTTGTTTTCTCTCTCTTAAGCTCTTTTCAAAGTGAAGATAATTTGTTACACTTAAAATCACTGTCCAGCCACAGTACTTAGTGGCATAGTGCATTAGATGGCATCTTTGAATAAATGGTTATTGTGCCTGTGAGAAAAAAGCATAATATGCTTATTAGGATATAAAATTATGTAAATATACAAAAGAGAAAGGATTTCCAGAAATAGTACAGAATTAGAACAAGAGGTGTTTGAAGTATTCAATTACACAGAAAAAAAATTGGAAGTACAAAAAGTAGAATTAGTGTTGCTGTACAGAGGGTGACAAACCACATAATTTGACTTTCGCACACTGTTTTCAAGCTTACATTTTAGTTAAAAATATATCAAATCAGTTAGGTTGTTTTTTAGAACTAAGAGTCTAGCCACTCAGCTTCAGTGATTCTCACTAAATCTTTAATTCTTTAGTACCTAAGGTAAAATTTTAAATAACTTATCACCTTATCTTGATAAAGTGCTGACTAAAATCAATGATCTCATTTAACTTAAAAGAAAATATTTATAAATTACTGTTTATAAGAAAGTTTGCAGCATATAATATGACAATAAGCAGAAATCCTGACATATATGAGTGGTCAAAGGTTCAAAAAACAGTTTGGGAGAGAAGAACTGGACATGAATTTGTGACTTCAGGAGTAAGTCAGTAGAATAAAAATCAGTAACATTGCTCTCCCCTTTGGCTTGAATTCTAGAAGGCAACACAGTCATTTTGATAATTGGGAAATTGGGTCAACTTAGGATAAGAATATAAATGTCACTGAAAGTGGGTAGGTTTTCTGACAAATGTTATGTGAGAATGTGAGGTGGCAGGGCCCCAGAACCTGGCAGTGTGAACCTCAGCCAAAGTAGCTGGAACTGTGAACTATCTAAAAGAGTCTGCATGTGTGGCTTATCATCCGTGCTGAGCATGGAAACCAAGCTGCTAGTACAGTGGCAACTATGGCAGTTTTCTTATAGTTTGATATCTAGGAAATATTTCAACTGTTGTAATACAGCCACCAGTGAAATTTTAACTCCAGTATATTGTGAACTGAACTTTTACATCATTACAAGGAAAAGACAAAGATTTGAAATATACATTTGAACCAAGTGAAATTGCCATTCTTATAAGTCAAAAATGGTTGTCTAATGGCAATTTCATGTGGTTCACCCTAAGGTGACTGCTTAGAGCTCAGTGTTTCTGGAGAAATCTTATCCCGGCCCTTTCCTTCACATTTCCTCTTTATGTAACCAATATGCCCACATGTTATTAAAATCCAACAACACTAAATCCCAATTTTATCACAATTCAAGGTTCATTTTTGACCTAGTTTTTTTACATTTCTAAATACTCTATTTCTTGATTTAAAAAAAAATGCCAAAGCCAATTTTAACCAAAAATCAAATCATTCTTTGTTCTGTATTCAGCTCATGCAGTGTTTCTGGAAACTAGTTTAGCTGCAGTATGCAAGTTAGCTTGAATTTTTCGTCAGCAAAGGCTTCTCCCTAAGCACATTTAAGATGACTGTGGCCTGACTGTTCCTTCACACAGCATTGTTGAATATGAAACTACTTGGAAAATGATTTCACAGACGGCAGAGAAATCTCCCAGGTAAGTGCTAGTTTCTACGCAGGATCTGTAGAGTACGCCCAGAATCTATCAAGTTAAGGATTAAACTTAAATCTACTCAACAGCCACTTCCAGACCTGATTGGGCCTGACATTGTGCCAGCAGGCAAGGCAAAAGATGTAGGAGCCCTTCAGTGAAGTCTGCACCCCTATAACACAAGTTTCTAAGGCAATTTCCATTCAACTATTTTAAATGTGTTCGGCAAGTGTCAGAACATGCACTTAATGTGAAATAAATTTTAAGAATATCAGCTTGTGGTTTAGGATCTCCAGGGTACAAGAAGAAAAACTAACTGGGAAAGTGAAATAGAATAAAAATTATGAGAATCTTGAGTCCAATGAAATAACGTTAATATTCTTTAAAGAGGAACAGGTTAGGTGATTCTTACAACTGCTGTAAGGGAGCTAAGCAATTTTAATGTGATTAGGAAAATTCAGTGATAGTACCAGAATTTAAGGTCTTTAATAAAATACCAGTAGTATCTTCTTCAAAAGACCTCCACTGATTCTCAAATTAGGCTGCTACCTTCTTGTAAGAAAAATCGCTTTGTCTTTTCCACCTTGTCTATTCTACAAACTCTTACCTGTCAGCCCAAGCTGGTGGCTCCTGTGTCTCCTTGGTGTGATAACTGACTCTTCCACAGGTAGAGCTTCAAGTGTTTTTCCACCTTCTCTTTCACCAGCTGCTTCACCCAAGACCCTTAGGACCCTCTTTAAACAAAATTCTTCCAGCGTTATCCTTGCTTTTTCTGCAATGTTTGATGTTGGTCATTATGACCCACTGCCAAAGCATTATTAGCACCGGATTCCAGAGCATGCAGGCTGTATGTGGCTTACAGACTAACTGACCCCTTGTAACTCCCTTTCATCACTTATGTGAATCCTGTGTTCTCCAAAGCAGCTCTTCCCAACTTGCTGCACTTACCTATTCTCCTGACCTACTCACAACCCTCGTCATGTATTCTCAATCTAGACTGAGGTTGAGGTTGCACCCCCACCTTCCAAAACCAACTATTTCCTCTGGCATGAAATTCCTTGTTCTGAAGGTAACCCCCTCCCATCTAATGGAAAGCATTCCACTTCTAACTCTAAAATTAACCTTTTATTTACACCTGCTCCATCAATTATCTTCCTTAAAATTGCACTTACCTCCCCAACTTGGGGAGGTAGCAATTTTGGTTTGGTTCTCTGAATGTCTGAGTGTTTTCTCAAAATGTGGTCCTCAGCTCCCCTGCCTCTCTTCCACTGAAAGAGCTTATGAAAAATGAAGATTTTCTAAGTCCAGTGTGGTATCCTGGATTTGATCCTGGAACAGATAAAGAACTTGAGTGGGAAATCTGATGACGTCTGGAGTTAAGAGTAATGTGTCAACACTGACTTTAGTTTTAACAAATGTGCCATGTTAATAAGATGTTCGGATGTTCGCATTAGGGGAAAACTGGCAATGGTATTCAGAAACTCTGAGTTATTTTGGCGACTTTTTGTAAATTTACTTTTATAAAATGGCCTCTTGGGCCCCAGAACTACTGAGTCTCAATGCCTGGGGCTGAGGCCTGGGAATCTAAATTTTTAAGAGGCAACCTAAATGATTGTTATACAGCCTCAAATTTTAAATCCTCCTCTTCTCAATTCCCTTTAATTCCATGTCTGAACAGTTGCTTCTCCCTTGTTTCACCTACCTAACTTAACCTGAGTTAATCTGTTAAACCTTCTGAATTCTATGATGTAAGTACTATTATTATCTGTTTTTTCCCTGATGAGAAAGCTGAAATAGTAGGAGCTGAGGCATCCAGGATCACACTGCTCAGAAAAGGTGGAGCTGGGACTTGAATTCCCAATCAGCCCGGCTCCCAAGTCTATGTTCATAACCACTCTCCATCAACCCTATTTCTATCCACAGTGAGCTAAAAAGCTCTGTAGGTAAAGCACTAAAAGCAGCATTATTGCCAATAATATTATCCTAGGCCTACCTATTTCTGTAACTTTCTAAGTCCAACAAACAGTCTTTCTGCTTCAGCATACAGACTTTGCCTCCCCTGCTTTTCCACTGGGGATGAATGAGCAATGAGAAAGCATGGGGAAGATGTGCTGACTGTAAAGTCCTGAACATGGAAGGGACAGTTGCTCTTCTCTTAGGATTCAGCTCAACTATTATATTTTCTAATCTGCCTCTCCCAACTGCCTTATGTACCAATTGAATGAAGTGACAGCACCCACCCATGTCACCCACCTTGACATAGAATTCCATGCTCCCATATTGCTAATTCACCTCTTCCTGGATTTATGTTGCCTCCCCCAAACATTTTAATCTCCTAATTACTCACATAGTTGTGTCTCCCACACACTTATGTCTGGGATCATTGATGGAGAATGTGGATATACCAGGCATTAAAATGAGGTGGCATTTGGTAGATTGGTGGCTAATCTTTATTTTGCCAAAGAGAAATCAGCAGAAGGTGGTCTGACAGTACTCTCAGGCTCACTAAGCATCCTTCTAGATTTTAAGGGAGAAATCTACTTTCAATCAGTTTCTACGTTCTCATCTGGGCTCCCTGACTTTAGAGTTTGACAGCAAATTATGGATACAACTGCTGAATTAAAAAGCTGTAGAAGTTTCTGTCCTCCAGCCAGACACACAAAAGAGCACCATGTCTATTCAGATGATTTCAGTGTAAATGAAGGGCTCATAAAATAGAAGGCAATCTCAGGAAATAACTTTTTTTCATGTCCCTCTTTATTTCTTCAAATGAATAATTAAGATTGGCAGGAGAAACCTAGGAAGTATTTTCGATTAAAACATGTTTTAATTAGTTCTGCTTCTGGTGATTAGAATTTGCTTAATTTTACTTGTTTATAAAATTTTTCTGCTTATATTTAAGTACATCTGAAAAATCTGATTATAAAGTTAAAATCTACATCTCTCCCCAGATATTCTTTAAAAGAAGTGTATTTCTTCATAGAAACATGACGAGAAAAAGACTTCCATGGCATCTTTTTATTTTCTTCACTATTGCTTTAATGCATTTTAAAATTAATCTATATTAATTGAGAATAAAGGAACAAAAAGACTTTTTGTCATAACTAGTCTTTATATTTGATTTTTAAAAAAGCTCAAACTGTTATTTTTTCCTTACTACAAACAGAATACATACAAAAATTTTTGCAATAACAGTATCAACTAATTAAACATTTTGAGACTAACATAACCACATAGTCATTCTACTGACTCCGAGGAACAAAAAATTCCTAATCAAGATGCTCTGGGTTTTGTTGTTGTTGTTATTGTTAGTATTCAGATTTATAATTATCATCTGCCAGTAAAAATTTAAGTGTTCAAAGTTGATTATCTACAAATACATCACTGGCTCTGACATGTAAGTTCTGGAGTTAGCATGACAGTGACTACACTGCATGGGATGGGTACGATACATGTATAGAAATCATAAAGAGCATTGAATGCCTGGACTTGAACCGTTGACTTGGTATGTGCTTCATTTGGCTCACTAATAAATCCACCTGTACCAACCTCATATCAAAAGTCACAAAATATTTCATCTATATCATATATACTCTGTAGATACACACCCATCTACAAAGCATATATACTATACATTCAGTTTTTAGAAACATGAAGTCATATTGTTTTATGGTTTTGTTTTATTTTGTTTTGTTTTTGAGACAGGGTCTTGCTCTGTCACCCAGGCTGGAGTGCAGTGGCATGATCATGGCTCACTGCAGCCTTGACCTCCCAGGGTCAAACAATCCTCTTATCTCAGCGTCCCAAGTAGCTTTGACTACAGGTGCACACCACCATGCCCAGCTAATTTTTTTTATTTTTAGTAGAGACAGGGTTTCGCTATGTTGCTTAGGCTATGAAGTCACATTGTTGTAAAATGATATACCACAGATGAACATTAATCTGGCTAAAATAAATATTGTAATTGTCATCAAGCTACTAGAAACTTTTGGGAGTTTTGAGTCAGGTGAGTTACTTCCCACCTGCCTACCCTCATGCTTCTGTAATGTCTTGGTAGTCTGTTCATACAAAACCATTTCCCCTTAATGCAGTTAAGATTTCTTTTCCAGGATGACCTGATTGGGTTTTGGAGAAAAAAGGGGTCATGCAGAAGAGGCAGGCATCTCTCAGCCACTTTCCCTCACACCTGCTGAGATGAGTGCTGTTTTCTGTCTCATTGGACACATTTGGGTTAGAAAGCAGTTATTCAAAGTTCTGTGTCTGCTACTCCCTTTGGTCTTTCTGTAGAGCACAAAAGTGAAAGAAGCTCCTTTGGCAAGAATAGCCGTTTTATTAAAATGTAACTGCATGTCCTAGCTCTAAGGTTTCCATTCTCTACTGGAGAGTGCAGGTCATGGATGCTGTTATTGAGGTTTGGTGTGTGACAAAACAGGACGAAACAGCCTAAAGAATGCTAACTTTGAAATAGTGCCGTGGGCATGTTATTTAAAGCTTGTACATGCATCAGTTACACCACACACCCAGGACCAGTTCACTGGCAATGATCACGTGAAAATATGACAAAAGTTTGCAAACACATACCAATAAGGCACCAAGAAAAAATATTTCCAGTTAATTTCAGTTAATTCCCAGTTAACTTCAAAATATGAGGTTGTACCAGACTCAGCTGCTTACCACTTAAAAGCCAGACATGAGAGGTGAGGGTTGGTGGAAGGAAAAGCAGGTTTAATCAGAGGCAGCAAACCCCAAGGATGGCAAACTAGCTTTCTAAAATACCATCACAGATTTTTAAATATTACCATAGGGTTTTTAAAGAAAAACTTGCTATGGGAGACATGTGGGAGCCGTGTGGAGTGCAGCATCTGTGTCTTTGTTGCGATGGCTGTCAGGGTTAATCACCCAACTGGAGGCCTGGTTGGTGTTATCTTGACTTTGGCCTTAATGTGATGGACTAATTGTGACTCCCCCTAAGCAGGAGAATTTCACAGGGACTCCATGCCTTACTTGTTCTAAGATTACCTTCTGACATTTCTTAAGCAAGAACATAATTAGATAAGCTTGGAGGGTACTCTAGAGAGGGAAGGAATAGAGGGGTGAGAGGGAGAAAAGGAAGAAAAATAAGAGGATGATTAAAAAGAATTTTTAGAACAGTTTCCCAATTACAATGGGTGAAATTAAAAAAAAAAAAAGACTCCTGAAAATCTGGTCAACTGATTCACTGAGAGTTCCCATTACTTTCTTTAGATAACCTATTTGAATTCTCATCCCCTTGTCTACGAAGTGAGACATTGCTGAGAATCACGCTGTGAAAGTGACAGCCCTCAAGCTGTCCATATGAAACTCCACTGTGTCTAAGTCTGTCCCCACTTTTACAAAGCTAGCTGTAAAGGAGTTGCTGTACCACCCCATAACCTTTTATTTTACAAGTATTTTTATGAGTAAAACTAGTTTTCATAATCAAATGCAAATTATATGGATGGAAATGGGGGTGGCTGTAAATCCAGCTTCTCTTCCCTAGGGAGGCTGATGGTAGACTTCAGGGAAGCAGATGGCCTTTATCTTTGTGTCTTTCAGGGAATGAGGGAATAGAGGGATAGCAGGGATGAGAATTTTCTTTAAGTGCCTCTGAAAGTTAGTCTGGAACTAGATCCCAAAGACCATGATTTATACTGCCTGCCCTTGGGGTTAGCATGTTTTCTAAAACTGTCTTATTTCTGAGTGAATTAATTGTTGTTAGGTTTAGCATGTTGCCAAAATTTTTTTTAAAAATCTAAAAATAAATAAATCAGTTTTATCTACTTCATTCCACAGTATTAGGGAACCGTGCATCATTTCTAGATTTCTCCACAAAGAAAAGAGGGAACACCCAAATTAGGCAGCATAACTGAAGGAGGCAGGGCAGTCTACATACATTGTGGGAATACATACTAGACGAGGGGAAAGTTCAAGGTGACCAGAGATTCTCATCTGAAAAACAGAAGAGGAACTGTTGCCCAGACAGGCAATCTGTTTCAAAATACGAGTAAGGGGCTTCTTCCTCGAAGAATAAATAAGATAGGCTAAAGTTCTGTAGCTATGTGTAGTAGGTTTTGTTGTGGCCACTGAAATTTTAATTATGATTCAGAGGATGAGTTGTGTAAGAGCAGGCATATATATACATATATATATATATAAATGTTAAGAGCTTTTGAGAGTCCTTAAAACTATAGTACTAACTTTTTCCCTCAACCCCCGCTGTTCCCCATAAAAAATGTTCAAATTGCCTGTGGAAAGTATACATTTATCTACTCAATATCCACAAAGTAAAAATTGACCTAGGCTTAAACATTACTTTTCCAATTTTGGTGTAAATTAAATCCAAATGCCTAGACTCCAGGTGTTTTTCCAGGTAGGTTTCCTCAAATGTTAATTGCAGTAGCAATTTTATCTTTCTAAATTTAGCACTCACTCAATCTTGGTCATTGGTATTTTGCTTGCTGATGCACTGCCACTCTCTTGTCCAGTAATCACCTCAAATCCTTCATGAATGAATGCTTAAACAAATTTTTTAAAAAATTCTAATAGCAAAGAAATCTCTGTTTGTGTCTATGTGTGTGTGTGTATCATTATATAGGCTTTCAAATATGAATGAAGGAATGGTTGAACAGTTTAGTAAAGCAAACCAAATTATCTAATAGCAAAGAAGTTCTCTGTGTGTGTGTGTGTGTGTGTGTGTATGTGTGTGTGTGTGTGTGTATGTGTGTGTGTGTGTATGTGTGTGCTCATCAAAACACAGGCTTTCTCAGAAGGAAAGAAACAGTGTAGTGCTAGAGGTAGCACTACACTACCTTTGCAGCATTAACATAAACACAGACCTTAAGTCTGATAAGAAACATTTACAATGTATTCTCTCTGAGGCCTGCTTATTGAGGCTTCCTCTGCCTAATAAAACCTTGGTCTCTGCAATCCCTTATTGGAACTCAGACATTCCTTACTACTAATAATACCTCTTTCAACAAATTGCCAATCAGAAAATTTTTAAATCTACCTAGGACCTAAAAGCACCCCCTCCCCCACCACTTTGACTCATCCCATCCTTCCAGATTGAATCAATGTTAATCTTACATGTATTGATGGATGTATTCTGCCTCCCTTGAATGTATAAAAGCAAGCTATGGCCCGGCACAGTGGCTCACGCCTGTAATCCCAGCACTTTGGGAGGCCGAGGCAGGCAGATCACGAGGTCAGGAAATCGAGACCATCCTGGCTAACACGGTGAAACCCCCGTCTCTACTAAAAATACAAAAAATAGCCAGATGTGGTGGCAGGTGCCTGTAGCCAGCTACTCAGGAGGCTGAAGCAGGAGAATGGCGTGAACCCAGGAGGCGGAGCTTGCAGTGAACTGAGATGGCACAACTACACTCAAGCCTGGGTGACAGAGCGAGACTGTTTATCAGGCCCTCCCGAAGTTGTTGCATGGATGCATCCTTTAAGTCTGCAGAGGTTTCTGCTGCCTTTTGTTCGGCTATGCCCTGCCCCCAGAGGTGGAGTCTACAGAGGCAGGCAGGCCTCCTTGAGTTGTGGTGGGATACACCCAGTTCAAGCTCCCAGGCAGCTTTGTTTACCTACTCAAGCCTCAGCAATGGCAGGTTCCCCTCCCTCAGGCTCGCTGCCGCCTTGCAGTTGGATCTCAGACTGCTGTGCTAGCAATGAGAGAGGCTCCGTGGTGCGCATCCTTAACTTTGGCAAAATAAAGTTTCTCAATTGATTGAGACCTGTCTCAGATACTTTTTGCTTTACAAGTTGGTAACCATAGAGGATTCTGAGTGGAGGTGTCCCTGACCTTTGACAAATCTATCAATGCTTGGTACCAGTTTGAGCTATCTCCCCACTCCAGAGAATTTTTGATTTCCCAAAATTTGGTCAAGATCTGAAGTTTATTTTGCTGTACAACTTCTTTTCTGGAGTTTTACTTGCTTCCAAAAAGGGAAGACAAGTTTTCTGCTTCTGTGACAAAAAAGTGCAGGCAACTACTTCCTGGAATTTCAGCTCGCTTTCAACAAAGAAGGTGAGTTGTTTCTTCCTGCTTCTAGGAAAAGATTAACAACCAGCTGGCCTTAATTTCTCCTTACCATTAGAGTGCTCAGTAATCATATTGTTGGGTTTGTTTGTTGTCGTGGTCTTTCTCCCATCATATTTGACCAACTCTACCTAGTTTACTCAAATCATTCTTATTCTATGAAGCCAGCATCATTTTGGTAATAAAAATCTGCCAAAGACATACACACACACACACATAAAATTCAATGTTCTGATTAACATAGACGCAAAAATCCTCAACAAAATACTAGCAAACAAAATCCAGCACCAAATTCAAAAGTTAATTCACCATGATTATGTAGGCTTTATATCTTGGATACAGGACTGGCTCAACATATGCAAATAAATAAACAGAATTTGCCACATAAACAGAATTAAAAACAAAAAATGATCGTTTTGATAGATGCAGCAAGAACTTTTGATAAATTTCAACATCCCTTATGATAAAAACCCTCAACAAACTAGGCGTCAAAGAAATATGACTCAAACTAATAAGAACTTTCTATGGCAAACCCACAACTAACATCGTACTGATGGGCAAAAGCTCAAATTATTTCTTTTGATAACTGGAACAAGAATTCATACTCTCACAACTTCTTTTAAACATAGTGCTAGAAGTCTAAGCTAGAGCAGTCATCAAGAGAAATAAATAAAAGGCATCCAAAGTGAAAAAGGGGAAGTCAAATTATTTCTGTTTGCAGATGACTCTGTATTCTGGGTTCTCTATTCTGTTCCATTGGTCTTTGTGTCTTTTTAAAATTCCAGTAGCATACCGTTTTGTTAACTATAACCTTATAGTAAAGCTTGAAATCAAGAAGTGTGCTGCCTTCTGCTTTCTTCTCTTCCTCAAGTTTGCCCTATTTGGAGTCTTTTGTGACTTCATACAAAGATTGTTTTTCTATATTTGTGAAAAATTCCATTGGAATTTTGGTAAAGATTAGATTCAATCTGTAGATCACTTTGGGTGGTATAGACATTTTAACACTAACAAGTTTTCAAATTTGTAAACATAAGATACACACCATTTATTTATGTTTTTCTTAAGATTTTTATCTCTGTTTTATAGTTTTCAATGTACAAATCTTTCACCTCCTCGGATAAATTTATTCATATGTATTCTTTCTGATGCTATTGTCTTTGGATTGTTTTCTTAATTTATTTTGGATAGTTTGTTATTTGTGTATAGAAAAACAAGTTATGTTTGTTAATCACGTTTACATTAATGTTTTATGTGATTATTCTGTAAGTTTATTGAACTTATTTATTAGTCTTAATAGTTTTTGGTGGAGTTGTAACATTTTTCTATGTTTATTATTATGACATCTGCAAACAGAGAAAATTTTACTTCTTCCTTTCCAGTTTTTTGCTATTTAATTCTTTTTATTGCCTAATTGCTCTGGTCAGGAATTGACATACTAAGTTAAATAGAATGGTTGAGAGTGTGCATTCTTGACCAGTTCCAGCTCTTCACGGAAATTCTTTCACCTTATTCCCATTCAGTATGATGTTGGCTATGGTTTGTTGTATGTGTCTTTTATTATTTGGAGATATATTTCTTCTATGCTAATTTGTTAAGATTATTTTTAATCATGAAGGGGTATTAGATTTTATCAAATACTTTTTCTGCAGCTATTGGGATAATCATATGATTTTGTTTTTAATTTTGTTTATGTGGTGAATCACATTTATTGATTTGGATATGGTAAGCCATCTTGAATCCCTGAGATAAAACCCACTTGATTATAATATATTATATTTTTGATGTGCTGTTGAATTTGGTTTGCTAATTTTGTTGAGGATCTTTGGATTTTTGTTCATCAAAGATACTGGTCTGTAGTTTTTGTTGTTGTGTTCTTGCCTGATGTTGATATTACAGCAATACTGGTTGCATAGAATGAGTTGAGGAAGAATCTCTCTTCCTCAATTTTCTGGAATAGTTTCTGCAAAATAGTTTCAGCTCTTCTCTGTATATCTGGAAAAATTTATGAATCTGCCTGGTTTTGTTTTTTGTTGTTGGGAGATTTTTTTTCTACTGATTAAATTTCATTAAATGTTATTGGTATGTTTAGGATTTGTTTCTTCCTGGTTTATTTTTGAGGTTGTATGCTTCCAGAATTTATTCACTTCCTTTAGGTTTTCTAGTTTGTGTGCTTAGAGATGCTCACAGTAGTCTTTAGTGATCTTGTGTATTTCTGTGGTATCAGGTGTATTGTCACCTTTATCTTTCCTGGTTGTGTTTATTTGAATTTTCTCTTTCTTGTTTAGTGTAGCTAGCAATCTGTCAATTTTGTTTATCTTTTCAAGAAACAAACTTGTCATTTTGTTGATCCTTTTATCTTTTTTTGTTCTCAATCCCATTGGTTTTGCTCTGATCTTTGTTCTTTCTTTTCATCCACTAGGTTTAGGCTTTGTTTGTTTTTGTTTTTTAAACTCGTTGCAGTGCAACATTATGTTGTTAATTTGAGATATTCTGTTGTCAGTGTTGTCAGAAGGGCGTTAGTCTCTTATTGTATTACTGTCTATCTCTTTTCTATCAGCATTTGTTTAATAAATATGAATGTTTCAGTGTTGGGTTCATATTTAGATAGTTATATCTTATTGTTGAATTGAGCCCTTTATCATTATATAATAATCTCCTTTGTCTTTTTTTACTGCTGTTGATTTAAAGTCTGTTTTATGTCATATAAGTATGGCTATTTCTGCTCATTTTGGTTTTCCATTTGTATGATATATCTTTTCCCATCAGTTTTCTTTGAGGCTTGGTTGTCTTTACCTCTAACATGCATCTCTTGTATGCAGCAAATGTTTGAATCTTACTTTTTCTATACAATTTGCCACTCTGTATATTTTAATTGGAACATTTAGGCCATTTACATTAAAAGGTAATATTGATATGTGAGATTCTGTTGTTGTTGTAATGTTACCTGGTTGTTTTGTAGCAACAGTTGTAGAATTGCTTTATAGGATCTGTGAACTTTTTACTTACGTGTGCTTTTATGATGGCAAATTTTGCTCTTTCATATTTATCTTTAGAACTCTTTTTAGTATTTCTTGTAAGTCCAGTCTAATGGTGACAAATTCCCTTAGCATTTGCTTTTCTTAGCATTTCTCCTTCATTTATGAAGCTTAGTTTAGCAAAATGCAAAGGTTTTGGCTGGTAGCAGTTGTCATGCCATCAGCACATCACCCATCCCATGTGAAGGAAAATAAGACATGTTGCATAACATGGCAATGTGGAAGTTAGTCATCATCTCAATGCAAGTAGGTATGAGTAACTAAGGCGCCTTGCACTTGTTCCTACCAGATTTTTTTTTATACTTTAAGTTCTAGGGTACCATCTCACACCAGTTAGAATGTCGATCATTAAAAAGTCAGGAAACAACAGGTGCTGGAGAGGATGTGGAGAAATAGGAACACTTTTACGCTGTTGGTGGGACTGTAAACTAGTTCAACCATTGTGGAAGACAGTGTGGGGATTCCTCAAGGATCTAGAACTAGAAATACTATTTGACCTAGCCATCCCATTACTGGGTATATACCCAAAGGATTATAAATCATGCTCCTATAAAGACACATGCACACATATGTTTATTGCAAGCACCTACCAGCAGATTTAATGTCATTGCAATGGAAGGTGCTGGCTCTCACCTGAATTGTCTGCTTCTACACTTGATGGTAGTCTGCTGAGAAGCCTGTTTCTTGCCAAGTGCTCTGTGGCTCTAAGAGCTGGAGATTCTTTGGTTTCAAACTTTCCTAAGTCCAGTGCTTCTGGTTGAGGGTGGCTGCTTTCAGTAGCGTGTAGGAACTACATTGCATAGACAATCACCATTGTTTGTCCAATCACCATTTAGCCATCCAGTCAGCCTCCAGCCACTTATCTAACAAATACTAACTGAATATGGAATATGGAACTCTTTCTAAGACCTCAAAAAACTGCTGTTGACAAGGAAAGACAAAATCTCTATTTTTGCATAGCTGACTTTCAATTATTTAGAGCCACTATGGTTACATTTTTGAATGTCACAAAACAATTTATCAGAGTTACCCAGGTTAAAAACTAATTGAGGTGGAGAAGAACTCTTTGAGGAGGTGGCATTTTAGCTGGGACAGAAGGTTGAGAATTCAGCTATGAGGAAAGTATGAGAGAGTATATTCCAGGTGACAGGGACCACAAGAACAAAGCCATAGGGTCAGAAGGAGCTTGATGTCTTTGAAAAACAAAATAAAGGCCATCGTGGCTGGGTTTTAGTCACATGAAATGAGGTAGAGGAGGAGATTGGGAACAAGTCTTTTAGGGCCAAACAGGCCTTGGTAAGGAATTTGGATTTTAGTCTCATTTGAATGAGAAGTCATCAGAGGATTTTACGCAGGAAAGTGACTTAACGGAATGTGTATTTTAAAAAGATGATTCTGGATGCACTGTGGAGAATGGAAGACAGGAGGATGTGGATGAAAACTGAGGATGGTTTTAGTCTTTCAGGGCGAGGCAACAGTGGACTAAACGCTTGTAGTGGTGATAGAGATGGAGAGAGGTGGAATAATTTGAGACACACTACACTGTTTTTTTTTTCTTTTTTTTTTCTATTATTTTTGCCCAAATCTGCCATTGCTGCAACTTTGGGATGGAAGTCTCTCAGTGTAGTTCTTCCTTCAGTAAATCCCCCACTAATATTTCCCAGGGCCACTCTGGAAGAAGGTTTTGGTCAGCCATGCTTTTGGTAACCAGACAGCATGCTTGGCACTACAGCTTAGCCAGGGGTCTCTTTCTTATTACCTAAAACTATCCTTATTCTTTAGAAACTGCCACATCAGGAGAGCCACCTAAAGCCTTTCCCCAACTCTAATCAAACCCTGGCCATCTCCATCTCCTGGTTCTATTTTTGCTGCTTGGCCAAATTCTTGGGGAGTCCACCAAGATTGAAGCCACCAAGCCTTACTGGCTTCAATTCCTAAGACAAGACAATGTCCCGTTTCCCAGTTCTAGAAAAATGTGTGGGATTGGTCCATAGTAGACTGACCTATTTAATATGCATGGTCCTGAAGCAGCCTCGAGGGTCATGGGATGGCAAAGTTGTCATCTTGAGTCAGCTGTCAACTGCTCAAGCTGGTGTGTACAGGAAGGAGCTGGGCACCAGACCCACATTGTCTGAGACCAACAGGAGGATGATTCATCAAGGCAAATCGAGGTGCTGGCACCAGCAGAAGGGAGAATAGATGGCTGGAAGACAAATACAACATCTCTGAAGTACCTTTCAAGCTGCGACTCCTAAGCTTTCTCTTCCAGGAACCATTCTGAATCTAGACTGGTTGGAGAGCCTGGCTTGGTCACACAGTTGACTTTCTTGTCAAGGGGAAATGCAGACAAATGTTGTTAGTGACCAGGTCTAATCTTTCAGGGAAGTCTTGCAAGAGCCTAACCCATGGTCCACAGGTTTCTGTGCATGCACTGTGAACAAGCACCCACTGGTAACGATTGCATCCAGAGTTGTTTCAAAAATTTCCAAGAGGAATCTCAGCCCTGGAAAACAAGAATGGGTTTGACCCAGAGTTGCCTGCATTGGAGATAAACTTTGGAGAACTCCCCTTGTTAGCGTACTAAAATCCCCACCCAGGGAGGGAGGAGCTCATTCACTTTTTTTTTTTTTTTTTTTTTTTTTGAGATGGGGTCTTGCTCTGTAACACAGGCTGGAGTGCAATGGTGTGGTCTCGGCTCACTGCAACCTATGCCTCCCCGGTTCAAATGATTCTCCTGCCTCAGCCTCCCAAGTAGCCAGGACTATAGGCACATGCCACCACACCCAGCTAATTTTTGTATTTTTAGTAAATCGAGGTTGCATTATGTTGGCCAGGCTGGTCTCTACAATTCCTGACCTCATGATCCGCCTGCCTCAGCCTCCCAAAGTGCTGAGATTACAGGCGTGAGTCACCACACCCAGCCCATTTACCATTTTTTATACATGCGAGGTATGTGGAACATGACCAGTGACACCCTTTACTCCATCTCTACGATTAATGACTCAGCTAGCCAGCCCAGTAAAAGCCCAGCTTTCACCTTTGTTCTGGGAGGCACTGCTTAAAAACTATCCATGATGTCCTCCTTACTTGCCACATAAAATCCCCTTGTTGAACCCGCCTTGGCTGTGGTCATTGGACGTCACCTGACAAGCCATTGAACCCACCTGCCATGTGGGTAACAAGATGAGGAAGAGAACCTTAAGTGATGGGTCAGATTGTCTGACTGACGATCTGAAGACCTGATATGAAGATATTTTTTCAACACATAATTGTAGGTGTCTACTCTGGACCAGGAGCTGAGCAAGGTGCGTGAGGCCCAAAGGTCATTCACACCCACATGACCTTGGAAAGAGCCCGTGCTCGCCTCATGGACAGAGTACAGCACAGGCACAGACGGGTGCTCAGTGGAAGTTGTGAGTAAATAAATGACAGCTTAGCACACGCATTGGTCTGGAAGAGACAGTGAAGTTAAGTGATGAATTGAAAAAGTGATTAATAGAAAGCGCTGCTCTCAGAGCCCTCGCAAATGCTCTTCTCACAGCCATGCCTCTGATCAGTCACTGTAGGCTCTTCCTGCCTACAGAAATGAAGCTTGGTTGCTTCACCTGGGAACACACCCCAGACAGAGGTCCCTCGTCATTGCTGGCATCATTCCCCCTGCCTGGCATAGCCTCCTGGCCTGTGGAAATCCTACTCACTTCTCAAGACTCAGCTGCAGGAAGCTTTGTTCCCTGGACCAAGTTCCACTGCGTTGACTCCTGCCTGTGCGCTTCTGTGTTCCTGCTGACACCCCCTGTCACTCTCCCTGCCACCTGCATTACGGAGGACCCAGTGCTCACCTGCCTCTCACCCAGGATCTCAAGCACTTGAGAGCAGAGGCTGGCCTCCTGCAGCCTTGTCCAAGACCCTCCCACCCAAGACACAGACGATGCTCTCACCAGGTCCCCGCTGGGCTTGACTGCTTTATTTTACTCTTGGAAACAGCTTCTTAATGTGTTGGACATAAGTAGCCAAGACACCAAGGGAGGTCATGGTCTCTTGGCAGAAAGGCTTCCTTGTGCCATGGCTCTCTTAGGCATAGAAAGCTGTCTCATCAAACTCAGTGGCAAATCTTTTTGCAACTACCTGTTGCCAGCCTATTAATTCAGCAGCAACTCAATGGCCTGTAGGGTACTTGCTGGCTCTGTCTTGTTGCCACTCATGCTGAGGGCCCACCATGGGCACCAACATGCCAGTTGTGGGCAAGACAGGATGGGAGACCAGAGCTGCCACTCTCCACAGACTCTGTTGGTCACTGTGTGGGATAGGGAGAGTGGAGAGGGAGGGTAAAGAGTGTGTATGGCTCTTCTTTCCCACTGCAATGCTAGTATCTCTGTAATTTCTGCAGAGTTATTAGTTGATGTGACATTGCTACTTTGTGTTTACTTTAAAATGCCCAAATTAGGGTCTGTTGATGCAGTCTTTCAAATGAGATTATGCTGGATATACGGTAGCAGCAAATACTCAGGCTCTAATTTGAAAAGGCATCATTATGGGAAATATTAATGAGTGCTTGTTCTTAATCAGTATGGGCTGGGCTGAATGGCTCTGCAGAAAGCTTCCTGGATTTTAGAGTTAAGCTCCTGGTCTGTTGGGGAGAGAATAGGGCCAAGGAGAAGCTAAAGAAGAGTACAGCTATGCTTCAGTGATTCACTTCACTGTTATTTGATTCATTAAGGTTTTACTGGGGAAATGCTTATCATTGAGGCTTCTGGGAAAAAAAACATTCAGGTGATTGATGAAATTTCAAAAAGTAAAAGAAGAATAAGATGAAGACAATGACACCAGGTTTTGCATCCTTGCTTGCAGGAGGTCTAAGGTTTCAACTCACACACTGGATCTTACTGATTGAAAGCAGCAAATATGCCATGATTGACTAATGATGTCTGCCATGGGTGTGGAATAGACAAATGAAGACAAAAATTCAAATACCTCACTGAGCAGCAGAGTCTTAATCCATCAGGAAAGCCTATGAAAAAAGAAAAACAGTCTTCATTTACACATTTTTTCTCTGTAACAAAATATGTTTTATGTTGAAGAGCGGTACGTAATTTCTACTGGGGTTGATCAGATGAAAAGAGAGAGAAATCTGAAGCTGGTGGTAGCCGTCTTGCACCAAGAGAAGAGAAGCTATCTGAAAATGAAGACCAAGCTATTCTTTTAGGCAAGGAAAGCTACCCTATAGCTTTGGTTACATGAGCCCATTTTTCCCTGTTTACTTATGCCAATATGAACTGGGTTTATGTTATTTGCTACCCAAAGCACCCTAATAGATTTATTAAAAGAGCCAAGATCACTTAATTTCTTTTGGCTTTGAGTGGTCTTACCTGTCAGTGGAAAATAATAAACTTATCTGTATTTGTTTAATAGGATTGCAGTAGAAACCAGCCGAGACAAAAGATGCCGGAGTTCTTGGAAAAATGTATGTGAAATTTCAAAAATTAAATTCTAGGGGGATGTGTGTGTGTGTGTATGGTTTGTGTGTATTATAATGAAGAGGACAAGGTGATGTGTATTTCAGATAATGAGGTAGATAATCCACTACATTCTGTTTTTGATTCTGGAAACACTGATCCATAAAAACATGCTATTCTCTATGTTATTCCTGCCACATCCACCAAAACCAGCAAATTCTTTCCTTTGTAGAATCTGCTTTTCAAATGAGGTTTCCTATATGATTGAACACTTTGATTATATATGTATTTTTGATTACCTATTTTCTTACAGCATCCTGAAACTTTATCTGCACTTAGTAATTTATTCATGTTGCCTGCAATGCCCCCCTATGTAGCACTTTGAGATGATTCTCTGTGGACCTGGCCTTCCCATTGATTTTGAGTCTCTTATCGAGGACCTAGGTAGCTTTCTGTGACTCCAGAATATTCTAAGAGAGCTGCTGGAACAGCAGTGCTGGAAGTCTTTGTCTGCACTCTTCAGGGTTACAAATGCCAGGTTTTTCTCACCATCCCTGCTGTGGTCCAGCATTCAGCTCCTGTGAGGTGTTTGTCTTCCATGGTTCAGGAATCCTTCAAAGCCACTCACACAACCGAGATTGTGTCCCATGGGCAGGGAGGAGCATCCTCTGTTTCTGTCCCAACACTCAAGGTCTTTTCTGGTTTGAGACTCAAAGATCAAGTCTACAGGTTCCAAATACAAAAGGACATCTAATCACTCAGGAAGCCAACAACCATGGTGATTTTTTTTCTGGTTTTCACTTGAATCTTATTTTTGAGATACGGATCCTTTGAAAGATCTTGAAAGATCTTCCAAGAAGACAATCCACATATCTATTAAAGTCAATCCCTTCTTCTGTCATCCAAATAGAAGATGGTATACCCCTTCCCAGGTGCATGGAAATTCCAGTATCTCCAAGGACTCCAGGAGGAATTTCAGTTCTCATAGTTACTGCTGGCTCTTTTGGCCTATATCATTTTCTTTTGCATCATGCTTTTGTTAGTAGTTTCATTTTTCCACACCAAATTGCCTTGCTTAACATCAGCCTGATTCTTTTGGGTAGTGGTAGCTGCCCAGAACATGACTGCCTCACAGCTGTGCATGGTAGACTTCCCTGGAAGTTCAGAATAATCCAAGTGTGACGTTTGGCATTTCTGCCCTTAAAGTTTTCCCGGCCATCTCTTCTCTCTCCCTCCCCCCAAATCCACCTTCTTTTATTTTTAAAATTTTGTTCACATAGTAGCCTCGCTAATCACATTCTGTGCTCAAAGTGCTTTGCCTTCATCCTTCATATGCTTCTCAGGTGGTGCTTCTAAATCAAAAAGGGTTCTCTAGAATTCTCTCCCCAAGGGGCATTGTATATCAGCTTTATCAACTCTTGGAATAAATTATTTCATTTTCACCATTATTCTTAGCATGAATTTGCAAAAATTTAATGTATAACAAATGAGAAAGCATCAGGGAAATGTCCTGACCCATATTATGTCTGGCAAATGTTAGCTACTATTACTGGCATTATCATTATACAGAGTAGATGTTTTGTATACATTGAATCATTGAATAAGCAAATGACTGAATGAATGAATGAACTGACCATGGTCCTGGGGGTAACCTAAAGTCTAGGAGTGTTTTAGGTAGATCACCATAGCCTCTCTCATTTCTCCTTAGTTGCTCTGGCTTTTCTCACTGAGGTTGCAAAGAGACATAGGGGACACATGTTTCATTAGTATCATTTTGAAGATGAGAATCAAGGCCTAGAAATACTACTTTTACAAAGGCACGTAGCTGGTAAGATTCTAGGCAAGCTGAGAAATGCACACAATGTGGGCTTTGGCGTAAACTTGCCTGGGTTCAAATGCCAAGTGTACCACTTAATCACTTCCGGCCTGCAGCAAATTCTCAGACTCCCCTTAGCCTCAACAACCTTGCTGGCAAAGTGATGGTTATAACAGTACTTACCTCTTAGAGGTGCTGGACAATTAAACAAGAGTGTCCATGTGCAGTACATGGCATGCCCTCTGCCCAGATACCAAGCACACCAAGATGGGGCCAGCTCCTAGTCAAGGACTTTTTTCCCACATTTTCCCTTCACTTCCCTTCACCTGTTACTACAAAGAGTGGATCCATCCTGTATCATCACAGGGAATGTTCCCCCTCTCTTTAGGGACTAGCCCAGATGTTCTATACATCTTGGGTCTGTCTGACATTGCCATCACTTACAATTATCCTGCAAATCCAGCTTTCAAGCTCTGGCAGTGTTATGGGATATCCCCCCAAAATTCATACGTTGAAATCCTAGCCCTCAGGACCTCAGAATGTGACTGTATTGGGAGACAGGGTCTTTAAAGAGGTAAACTGAAATGAGGTTACTAGGATGGACCCTAATCCATTATGACTGCTGTCTTTACAGGAAGAGAAGATTTGGACATGACACATACAGGGGGAAGCCCACAGGGAGAAGATGGCTGTCTGCAATTCAGAAGAGCAGCCTCAGAAGAAACCAACCTGCCAACATCTTTATCTGCGACTTGCAGCCTCCAAAACTGTGAGAAAATTAATTTGTTGTTTAAGCATCCAGAATGTGAGACTTTGTTACAGCAGCCCTAGCAAATTAATACAAGCAGCAAACAACCAGATGTCCCGCTTGAAAACCTCATCCAAGAAATAGAAAAATAAATGTTGTGGGAATGATGTTTGATGGCGGGGTTTTATTCTGCAGTTGCCTACAGGAATGACAACAGAAAACTGTAAGACGGTGTATTTCAAAATGAGCTCTGCAGAAAACCAGTATGAAAGGCTCTGAAAAAATAGAAATAATAAATTTTCAAGAACACCGAGTTTGGGAAAATTTATATACTCTAATGCCCTCCTACCCACCTTTTAAAAACTGTAATGCTTATTTAGAGATTTGAGAAGTCCCAGAGAAAAGCCAGCATTCTGTTATTACAAAGGGAGATGAGCAGTCTTTAGCCTCCACAGTCTTTAGCCTGCAGCTGAACTGGGGTTCAATGAAGCCCACGTTCTGACATCTTTACTTGGCAGTCCCTCTGTGTCTGACATTGGTTCCTCCCAGTGGGTTATTGGTCTTGCTGACTTCAAGAATGAAGCTGCGGACCCTTGCAGTGAGTGTTACAGTTCTTAAAGATGGTGTGTCCGGAGTTCATTCCTTCAGATGTTCAGATGTATCTGGAGTTTCTTCCATCTGGTGGGTCTGTGGTCTCGCTGACTTCAGGAGTGAAGCTGCAGACGTTCGCAGTGAGTGTTACAGCTCTTAAACATGGCAGTCTGGAGTTGTTTGTTCCTCCCGGTGGGTTTGTGGTCTCACTGACTTCAGGAATGAAGCTGCATACCCTCGCGGTGAGTGTTATAGCTCATAAAGCTAGTGCGAACCCAAAGAGTGAGCAGCAGCAAGATTTATTGTGAAGACCAAAAGAACAAAGCTTCCACAGCGTGGAAGGGGACCCCAGTGCGTTGCCTCTGCTGGCTTGGGTGCCCAGTGTTTATTCCCTTACTTGGCCCCACCCACCTCCTGCTGATTGGTCCATTTTACAGAGTGCTGATTGGTCCGTTTTACAGAGTGCTGATTGGTGTGTTTTTACAGATTGCTGATTGGTGTGTTTATAATCCTTTAGCTAGACACAGCACTGATTGGTGCATTTACAATCCTTTAGCTAGACACCAAAGTTCTTCAAGTCCCCACCCACCCAGAAGATCAGCTGGCTTTACCTCTCACCTCCAGTATGCAAAGAGCCAGCAGGGAAGAGATTGAGTTTAGATGAGAAAAGAAGCAGGTTGTGCTTGGGCAGCCAGCAGGGCCCTATAAATCTGCATGAAAATGCTGCTCAGAACAGAGAGGGCACATTTCAATAATTAGCACATACTTTAACACCAGCTCATGTCTGTCACAGACAGGAAATTGTAACTTCTGTGTACTGGGCCGTTGTTCAAAGCTGTTGTCAGGGTTAACGATGTACCTGCTTGATTATTGGTAGCTGGAAATTGAGGTTGTGCTCACATGTCCATAGGTCTTGCATTCCTCAGAGCTCAGAGACTGCCGTGCTCACATGAGAAAGGGCACAGCATGTTAGTAGAGGGGAGCAAAGAGGGAGGCTGGGAGAGGAGGCTGAGGCCAGATGCTGCAAAGACATGGATAAATCTCAGGAGGCTGGACTTGCTCTGGCAGGGAGTGGGGAGATGATGAAGGACACTGAGGTGTGAGGGTGGCCTTTGGTTTTAATCAAAATGAAGCCCATGCTGGCATCTAACTAAGATAATAGCACCAAGGGAAGGAATGGGAAGCCGGGGAGCTAGAAAGCAGGTATAGTAGGAGAAAGTTCTGACCCAAAGGCTTTGGGCAGATTTGAGGAATGTGAAGAAATTTGGGGATGAACAGGTTCTTTGTGGTTTGATGGGACAGACAGGAGGATGCATTGCCTGTCACTTGATCAGGGAGTCAAAGGGGAGCAGGGCTTGGACCAAGAGAGGTTCTGTATTAAATGTCAAGTGTTTATAAATCAGGGTGAGAGTCCCTCTTGCTGAATCTGCCTCTTTTATCTTGGCTGTTCCACAACATAGATTCCATTGTGCAAATGATCATATGGACATTGTGTGATATTCTAAGCCAAAAAGTGACTCTGGCAGTTCCAGCCCATGAGTATCTTTTGGCAGAGTTCTAGTGTGAGAAGGAGTTCCTGTGCAGCACTGTCTGTCTGACTCAGCTCTGCAGGAACGGCTGGAACCACAGAGCTCATGAGGGTACACTGTTCACAGGCAGGGCTCACACACGCTCTGCCCCCAGCTCCCACGCCTGAGCAGGTCACACCAACTTTGAGGCACTACCCTGAGCCTAACATGTTTTAAAATGTGAATCATGCTTCAAGTGACTCTTTTGAGATTGGCAGGGATGGAAAGAGTCCAAGTTTTAAACTTAGTTTAAGTTTTAATTGTAGAGATGACAACTGACACAGATATGTCAGAAAAACATGTTGGAATGTCTCGACTGGCAGTGG
The DNA here is from genome assembly GCF_000001405.40 of Homo sapiens. Taxonomy (NCBI): domain Eukaryota; kingdom Metazoa; phylum Chordata; class Mammalia; order Primates; family Hominidae; genus Homo; species Homo sapiens. Next base: position 28,010,101 of record NC_000019.10, read on the forward strand.
TAATTCTGTGAGCTCAGTTCACATTGCTCTGGCCTCTGACTTGTAACATTTAGGAACCTGTGAAACATACAAATCTATGCACATGAAAAATCCAGGCACTAAGAACTCAGCCTTGATTAGCCATTAAGTGTGCTCTCCGTAGAAGGGGAAAATAACATTGTAAGGAATATGTTTAATCTTTGTAACCAAATCCATGGTTTTTAACATGGAATATGGAAATTGGTGCCACTAATTATAGTCATTTTTATCAGTTCATTGAAGTTGGCTCAGCAGGCTCTGTTTCTCCCACTCTTCTCTGGCACCACATTTAATTGTCCTGTGTAGTGTAAGGTCTGTAGAATGAAACAGCACTCCTTTTCAAATAGTGTCTAATGTGAGCCTCAGTGATCCAGACCAGACTCTGCAATGCCCAGCAGCCTGGGTGAGAAGTTTGAAGAGTTTGTGAGAACAACGATGTCTTGAATGGGCCATGAGGAACACTGCAACTCTGCTTTTAGATGGATTTCCACTTTTCTTTTCTGCAAGCGTTTTGGAGAGGTAGCATGATGCACTTCTCTGAACAAAATATTTTCATAAGTTATGTTAATGGAGAAATTTCTTTTGGGGCTTAAGTTTCTACTTACCTTTGTAACATATTTTTTTCAAAAAACAACAAGAAAAAAACCTCATTATCTTCCTCTCCCACAATCATAGCAGTAGAAAGGAGATAAGGCAAGTCCCACGTGGACCGGTGGCTGGGTGTGCTGCCAGGATAGATAAGGCGCCCCTTTTACAAACAGTCTTTAACATGCAGTCACACCCGCAATCTCGGTGCTGGGTAATAAGAATAATTGTGTTCATTACACAGTTGAATACAGGAACCTATTTCTGAAATGATTATTCTTGTCTAGAATTACACAGAATTCCACCGAGTGGCATATTCAAGAGAATTTTTATTAGGGGAATTCCAAGGAGCTGCTTAGTGGCAGAAAGAATTTATATTTAATTTGATTTCTCAGAACCAGGGTATTGTGGAGAAAGGCATCAGATAACCACGGAGTGCTGGTTAAGGGAGGGAAGCCTCACTAAGCAGGGTTCACGCGTTCAAGCCCCGCAGCCAACAAGCAATCGTTGAGACTGTCATTCGGGAGTGGGCACCAAGATGCCTCGGGATCCCAGTGAATTCATACTTCCTGCCTCTTATATCCTTGCATTTGGTTACAGAGGTGGCACATGCTTTATTACTGAGCCTGGTTGAAAATCACCTCTGGTCAGACCTTCACAGCTCACCTACGTGGGCCCAGGACTTGTGTGTAGAGAGGAATGAAGGGTTTTGTAAAAGCTTTTACCAGTGTGGAGAATTCTCCTTTTCTCATTTTGCTCTTGCATAAACAAAGATCTTTAAAACAGTTTATATCAGTAGAAAGTTCTATGAGACTACTGTGAGCACCTTTGCAGAAAAACAACTTAGCAGTAAATTCTGATGCTTGTCTGTAGTGTGTTAATGGTGGTCCCTGAAACGACATGTCCACGTCCTAGTCTGTGGGTGTGATCTTATTTGGAAAAAAAAGTCTTTGCAGATGTAACTGAGTTAAGGGTCTCAGGAGAAGCAGATAATCTTGGATTAATTTATGGGCCCTAAATCCAGTGATAAGAGACTCACAGAGAAGAGACACAGAGAGAAGAGGTGAGGGCCATTGAAGGTGGAGGCAGAGACTAGAAAGAGGCTGCCCCAAGCCAAGGAGCACCTGGAGCCACCAGAATCTGAAAGAAGAAGGAAGAGTTATTTTCCAGAGCCTTGGGAGGGAGCATGGCCCTGCCAACATCTTAATTTCAGCTTCTGGTGTCCAGAGCTGTGACAGAATGCATTTCTGTTATTGAAGCCACCAAGTGTGTAAGAATCTGTTACTGCAGCCTCAGGACACTATCGCATGTTCTCATCTTTAGGCGTGGGGTAAGCTTCTCTTCTTCATTCTCCTGGGCTTTAGTGCACCACAGTGTAAACACCACATCTTACACTTCCTCATTATCCAACAACAGTCTCCAAGGCTGGGATGGTTGAGTCTGCAAATCACGTTTGAGAGTCAGAGGATGTCAGAGCTGGAAGGGGTCTCAGTCTCCTCTTAAAGAGAAGATGTTGGGCAAGATACTCCCTTGGATCTGAATTCTAGACCTGTCCTTTCACTCATGGGCTAAGTGCTTTTGCAAGAAGGTGGTAGATGTTTTTTTCCAGGTTGTGCTAGCTTGGTCTAGAAAGCTCCCAGGATCTGGTTCTAGTTGTGTCCCTCTGTAACCTCACCTTCCACCCCCACCTCCCGGATCTCCAGCCACAGGAACTTTTCTGAACATGTTCTGATCCTGCTGTTCATATGCTTTTCTCCACACCAGGCTGAGAGAGGGACAAAGCATCCTTTAAACCCAGATCCCTGTCCACAGGCCTTTCCCTGATCCTCCAGGTGGGGTCGCTCTTCCCCCGCTCCCTCTGTGCATTGTATGCAGTGTGTGGATTCTACCACACTCTAGGGCTACTCACAAGGCCCAGCAGACCTGCAGGGTCTGTCCCCAACCTTCCTCCTAGAGTGACCTCTCATCACTTCAACTGCAGCCCCTCAGATGCACCAGGACCCCTCCTGCCATGGGGCCTTTGCAGATGCTGTGCTTTCCCTAAAGTCCTCTACTCCTCTTTACAATGGCCTTGGATTATAGTTAAAATGTTCCACATCTTTGTTGGGATTAATTGTTCAATGTCTGTGTCTTCACTGGGCAGCAAGCTCCATGGGGGCATAGATTATGATGGATTTTCTCCTAGTATAGAGCCCCAGCATGTAGCAGATCTAACAAACAAAGACTTGGTGACTATATGTTAAATCTATGTAGATGATCCTCCATGACTTTATGAGCTCCTCAAGGGTAGGGTCTTCTTAATTTTATATCTCTAGCATTTACTACAGAGCCTAAGCTCAGGTACTATTTTGGTTAGCATTCATTGGCTAGGTGAACAAAATTCTCCTTTTCTAGAGTTTAGTTTTCTCAACTAGAAAACTTGGGAGGTAGACAAGTTCAGTATTCCTTACACTCTTTTTTAAAATGGTCATAGCTTCTTCGATGGGGCAAAGGTCCCCTTTTTTTCTAAGCTAACTTGTCCCACTTACCAGTAAAAAAGTAACAAGCCAAATAACAACAAAGAATTGGATAGAAATATAATAATTTAAAATATTCACTCATGCTTTTTTTTGGCTGGCAACCCTCTTGTTCTTTTTGCCTTCTTTTTTTTCTTCCATTCTCTCTATTAATTGTCAGATTCAAACTAGACCAGAGTTTTCCATCACCTTAAAGAAAAAATTGTTGCTGCAGAAAGGCAAAGAGAAAAAAAAGTCAGTTCTCACCTCTCAACTTCAAACCAGACTATTGAAACCAATGGCTTGGTGTCACCAGGGGCCCTTCTGGAAGCAGACACACAGAGCTGAAATTGAGAGTTTAATGAGTTAAGGAGCTATTTACAGAGATTTGGGCCACGTTCAGGGTAACACATAGCCACTGGCATCGGGACGCCTTTATCACCTTAAGCTAGAGGAGTGAAAGGGAAGAGAAAGTGTGTTAGGTTGTCCTTGCATTGCTATAAAGAAATACCTGAGGATGGGTAATTTGTAAGAAAAGAGGTTTCATGGGCTCATGGTTCTGCAGGCTGTACAAGAAGTAGAGTGGTATCTACTTCTGGGGAGGCCCCAGGGAGCTTTTACTCATGGTGGAAGGTGAAGCAGGAGCAAGAGAGAGAGGGAGCAGGTGCCACATACTTTTAAACAGCCAGATCTTCTGAGAAGTCACTCACTATCACCAGGACAGTTCCAAGGGGATGGCACTAAGCCATTTATAAAAAAAAAAAAAATCACCCCCATGATCTAATCACCTCCCAGCAGGCCCCCCTGTGACATTGGGAATCACATTTCAACATGGGGTTCAGATGGAGACACAGTTCCAAACCATACCAGAAAGCCTAGCAGAAAGGACTGCTTGGCAGGAGCTGTGACATTCAGCCGGGGACCCAGCAGGGATGGAGCTGGAGGAAGACATGCCCCTCTTTGTGCTTGTCTTCCTTTAGACTCTGCTAGGGCCACCCTTGCCTAAACTCATCCAGGAACCAGGAGGCAAGGGAGCCATGGATAAAGCCCTTGCAGCGGAGCCACCCAGAGCAGAGTGAGGGGCAAAGCGAAGGCCTCCAGAATGGACCAACACTGGCTTCAGAGAAGGAAGCTTAGAAGGACCTCAGCAATGCATTTATGCCACAGCAATAAATGTGGGAAAAACATAATAAGAAGTTCTCAGAGCCAGTTTTCCCTCCCTCTCCCATCTTCATCCCTCAAAACAGATAAAGACCCTTGAAACTGGGGCAAAGGACAGGCATTCGGGGTGGAAGGTAGTGGGTGGCAGGGTTGAAGAAGCCCACTGAGGGCTCTGTCATACTGAAGTAAAAGTGAGACTCCACTCTAGAGGTGAGGCTCAGACACTGGACCAAATTAAGGACTGGCTAAAATAGGGCCTGGGCGGAAGCAGCTTTCCATAAGACATACCCACCAGTGTGCCACATCAGCTTACCATTACCGTGGCAACACCTGGCAGTTACCGCCCCTTTCTATGGCAATGACCCAATAACCTCAAAGTTACCACACTTTTTCTAAAAGTTCCTGCATAAACTACCCCTTAATCTACATGTGATTAAAAGTGGGTGTAAACATGCATGCAGAACTGCTTAGAGGTGCTGCTACTCTCAGTGCACTGCTCATGGGGTAGCCCTGCTCTGCAAGAGCAGTCGTGGAGCTGCCACATTGCTGCTTCAGTAAAGCCATTTTCTGCTGGGCGCAGCCAAGAACCCTCAAAGGCTGAGCCCCACTTAAGGGCTCACCTGCCCTGCATCAATATCCCCTGGGCTGAGTTCCTTAACAATAAAGAACTGAAGCCCTAGATTAACGCCAGAAGCTGAGTGCCTGGGGAGCCTGAACCATACTTCCAGTGGAGCCTAGGGAACCAACAAGTCTCCTGAGGGCCTCCAGCACCAGCAGGGTGTGTCAGCATCGGAGCTGTGGTGGAGTCTAATCAAGGCACCAGAGCCCCCCAGCCCATGTTTCCTGCAGGCCCATGCAGGGCAGGAGAGATCCCTTTAAGTTCCATGTGTTTCACCTGTGTACACCCCAAGAAGGTATAGAGGTTGCTGAGACCAGAGGTCAGGGGGACCATGGAGGTCACTCAGCAGATGTCAACATTCACAGACAATGATGCTTAAAAGCCAGACCGCACACATGAGCTTCTTGAAGTTCTTCTGCAACTTCCCTGAGGAGGAGAGGGGAAAACTCATGCAAAGACTGAATTTACTCATTTACTAACATGAAGTTTCAGCTCTGGTAGGGAAGGGAGGTTGAGAGAGAAACTAAGTTCAGCTATAGAAACATCAAGCTGTGTTTCTTTCATGCACACCTGAGTTGTGGCCCTGTTCAATAGACGTCTCCTCGATTGGATCAGGTGAGCCTTTGTGTGGCCCAGCAAGGCTTCAGAACTCACTTGTAAAAGTATAGAAAGGACAGGTATCACAAGAGAGGGGACACTTGCCTGGCCTCCCCATCCTTTCCTCTGTCATTTAGCTTTTGTTTGGAATATAGGGTAAGTAAAAAGATTAAAAGCCCCACATGACCTTGGAACTTCATCACTTAGATGGTAGAGAGACTCATAATACACAACATGCCTTTGAAACCATTTTACCCTCTGGCCTGTGTCACCGGGAAAAATCTCTCTCATTGTTCTGCTGGCCCCTGGCCATAGGCCCACACCTTGGAATCCTAGTTTCCAGTCCACTGAAGCTGGTTGATAATAAAAAATGAATCCATTAAGTTTGTACCTGAATTTTTTCCTGCAAGCATCTAAGGAACTGATACCATCTTCTTACCAAAAAATATCTCACTTCTACTGCATTTCATCAGAGTTACAAGGGATTACAGCTAAGTCTGTAAGGGAATAATAAAATGCAAGAAACGGAAGATCATTTAGGGCTGAGAGATGAGTTAATTCAGATAAGAAAATGAAGACCCAAGGAGAAAAAAATTATTTCCCAAAGACCACCTTCTAAGTTAAAGACTTAAATCAGGCCTCTTGATTGAAAGACCAAAGTCTTTTCTTTCTGCCATTTTGACTCCCCACACCACCACAGTCTCCATCTACATCAGGAAGTTATGGCTGGCACCTTCCACAGATGGACCTGAGTACTCTGTCTACCCCAGGCCCCATACTCAGCACTGGGGGATTACATGAGGAGGAAGACAGACCTGGTCGCTGCCTTTGAAGTGTATATACCTGCCTGCATTGAACTGGATCAAGAGTCCTGATTTAGGTTATTTGGAGTGGCTGGTGCATTCCAAAAGCATCTTTCTTAGCAAGCTGAGACCAATCAAAGGGTTGATGCCCAAATCTCATCTGTGCAAGCATGAGAAGACACCATCAGCTTTGGACTTTCCATGTCCTGGTTAAAACCAGTAGACAATTTGTGCCTCCCTAAATGAAGAACTTAGTGAGTGGTTGGAAAGATGGCTGAAGCCATCATTGGTGTAAGCATTGTCAAGGGCATGCCTGTATGGTTGCTTGCACTCAGGCTGATGTTTAGTGTAACATTTTAAAGATCTGCTGGGAGGGAGGCTTCGGGGCTAAATGATACTAAGAGTCCACCTCAGGAAAAATGCTTTGGTAGCCGATGAGGACTGTGTTCTGAAAACTCAACCACTGCACTCCCCACGCCCTATGCACAGGTTTCTATGGGACCCTTGAGTCCTCCACACCTGCCAGTGCAGGCAGCCAGGGCTTTCCAACCCCACACCCCAGGAAAAGGGTTCCTAGATACCAGAGCAAAGAAAGGCAGTGTGGGATTTATAGCTTCAAAATAGTCTTTGGATATAAAGAGTCTTGATTTGTAGAGACAATTTTTTGATGCACTAAAGTCTCAAGAGGCCTGGCATGGTGGCTCACGATTGTTATTCCAGCACTTTGGGAGGCCAAGGTGGGAGGATGACTTGAGGCCAGGGATTGGAGACCAGCCTGGCCAACCTAGTGAGACTCCATCTCTACATTTTCTTAAAAAAATTAGCCAGGTATGGTAGCATATGCCTGTAGTCCCAGCTACTCAAGAAGCTGATGCGGGATGATTGCTTGAACCCAGGAGTTCAAGGCTGCAGTGAGCCCTGATTATACAATTGCACTCCAGCCTGGGCAACAGAACTTTGTTTCTTAAAAAAAAAAAAAAAAAAAAAAAAAAAAGGAAATCGTTATCCTTTAAGAGTTTCTCCTTGCCCTTTAGATGAGACACTAACTTCTACTGCATCTATAAATCCCCACATCCCCTCTCCTCAGTTTCCAACCTCATCTCCTGCACTTTCCCTCCTGCCAGCCCTGCTTGGCAAGGCCTTCAGCTCCTCACACACAAGCCTCTGCCCTGCATGGGGCCTTGTGCAGTCTCTTCCCTCCCTTGGAACTCTTCCACCTGCTTCCCCTGTCTGTATTTGTCCTCTTTGATTCCTGTTTCAGCCTTTTAATGTCACTTCCTCAGAGAGAGCTTTGCTGATCTTCCAGTCTAGCTCCTGGTTGCTAGTGACTTCCCCTCTAGTTTTCCTGCATGGCAGTTCATGAAACTCTTAGCATGCTTCAGCGCGTGTCCCTTCTGTTAAATGCCTGCCTTCCATAAGCTCGCGAAGCCGGGCAGAACTTGACGGTGGCTCTCTGGTTTCAAAGATCTCCACCCTTGTCACTACACAATGCTCCTGAAGAAATGAATCTGAAAGAAACAAAGAAGCAGAAAGTATACATCAAGCCTATGTGGAAGAGGGCCACTGTAATGATGTCTGAAGCTCCTGTGGGCCTCTCCCTACCTGGCAGGAGAAGTTCACTGTGCCTCAGGGACCTCAGGGAGGAGACAGGGTGCTGAGCATGGCTTTGGTGTGACCCTGGGATGTCACCCAACCTTGTTCCTGGCCCATCCACAGCCCCTGCTTGCCATAGAGCCAAGTAGCTTCCTTATGCAGTAGGAACTCTTATCCCCATTTATCAGAGAAGCAAGCCAAGGTGAGCAATGGACAGACCTGGAGCTGCCAGCATGATCATGTGATTGCAAACCCTGAGCTCCTTCCAATAACCATGTGTCTTATAAATAACAGTGATGGTGTGAGCTGTGCCCAGCACCACTGAAAAACAAAATGCCCTAGAGACAGTAATGTCAAATGGAGAGACAGACAGGTAGACAGACAGACAGGTAATCTCCCCTTTGCTACCACTCAGGATGTTGCTTCCTCTCAGTCTATTTCCCAAATCCTCCTTTCCCCGCACCCCATAATCTTGTCAGGGCTTACCTCCTCCCTATGCTCTGCGCTTTCATTAATTTTTTTATCACCTATCCCTCAGCTGTAATCTAGGACTTTGTAGGGACAATTAATTAAAGTGAGGAGGTTCTTAAAAGGAGGTATTGACCTGCAAGTCAGCCCTTTCTGTCTGCAGAATTAATCTTCAGATTACGGGTCAAGAGGAGACATCTTTAAAAAAGTGCCCAGCCAATCGATTTTTCAGATGTGTTCAGGAAGTCTCAACAGCTGTGTATGAACCCGATTGCATATCCTGCTTACTGCCTAAGAAAAGCATACCCCACTGAGTACACGTGAGAGTGCAGCTTGTTTGAAGAATCTGTTGCTGTAGAAGGATTAAAGGGAAGACAAAGATAAAATGTGTATTTTAAAAAGCATCTATTGATCTATCTATCTAGCTATCTATTATATATATATTTCCGGTCCTCAATCCTGGGCAGGGTGTGTGCTGTCAGAGATGGGCAAGGATGGGTGCCAGCCATTGGAGAGCTGTTCCAGGGAGGGAGCCGGACCTTAGCCAGCCCAGGCAGCACCAGAGAAAGACTCATCCAACACTGAAATAGACGGCCCCAGTGTGCGCGTTACAATAGCAGGTGAGTAAAACTGTCTATTGTACACATGCGGATATAGGAGCTTTGCAATTATCTAGCCTAATGTGCAGATAAGGAAATCGGGGCCCTGGTAGGTACATGACTTTCTCAGTCTTGCTGTGTATGGTCCATTCCCCAAACTGAAATTCAGGACCTCTGACACCCAGGCTGGGCTCTAAGACATGCTGCCATTTCTCAGGGGAGCAATTGAGAGAAGCAGCCAGGCATTTTCCTGTCTGACCCCAACACCAGGGTTCTAATCTCCCTTAAGCTCACACAGCACCTCCCCAACCACTTTTGTGGAGAGAACAAAAAGAAAGATGTCGATTTACCCGGAGAGCATCTGTCACTAATAGTAACATGCGGCCTTCACTGAGGGTTAACTGTATGCAGGTGTCGTTCTTATCTTCTTACAAGTATTAGTCCATTTACAAATAAAGTGTGGGAGGCTTAGAAAGGTCAAGTGGCTTGTCTAAGCTCACAGAGCAAGTCAAAGCTGGAACCAGAATTCTGGGATTAGTCCTGTGTTGCAACAATTCTTTATTGCCTCAACGGACAAGGTGCACATCAATTTGAATTACTTCAGCTAAGCTGAGTGACTTGATTCCTGTTCCTTACATTGATGAGGATGCCAGGCCTGTGCCTAACCCTTATCAGGAGCTGGAGAGCACAAATGAAGGGACAAAGAGAAGTACACGGTAGCCGAGTATAGTGAACAAAATCTCCCGCTTAGGTCAAACAGGGGCACGGTTGTGTTCTGCCTCATCTCAAGAAAAGTTAGGACCTAAGCTCCATGATCATCGGTTTTCTCATCTCTAAAACCGGCATAATAACATTCACCTTTTAGGGTTCCCAGGGATCTTGGATTAGTCTGCACACATTTCCAGGAACATTCCAGGCACCTGGGGAGCAGTACAGCTCCTTCAGGAGGTCCTCGATCATCATGAACAGATGTTAGTAATCATGACTGACACAGATGCTGCCTACGGGATGATGACGGTGGTGATGGTGATGATAAAGTTGTGGTTACGCTGCTGCTGTGATGATGGGATAACAGTGAGGACACAAGAAAGAACACGGCTCTGCCATGTCAGGACCATTTAGGTCAGTGGTTCCGAACCAGGAGTGATTTCACCCACAGGGGATGTTTGGCAATGCCTGGAAACACTTTTAGTTGTTCACACTGTTGGGGGAGGTGCTATTGGAATCCAGTCGTGGGGGCCAGGGACCTTCTTAAGCACCCTATAATGCATAGGAAAGCCCCCACAAGAAAGAATGGTCCAGCCAAAATGTCTGTGGGGCCCAGGTTAAAAAACCCTGGTCTAGGAGGACAGAAAACCTGAACACTGGAAGTGAGAGATTGAAGCTTCCAGGAGCCTTGTTGACTACTTAACAAACCCCTTTCAGCTGCTGCTTTAAACCATACAGGAATCTGCACCTTAAAGGAAGAGGGCAGAGTTGTTGACAGTCAGGAAGACTATGGTGAAGCCGTTCCATGGGACCTCCTCCCTCTATTTGCCGGGCAGCCTGGTGCAGCTGCGTCCCCGGCCCCTCCAAGTCCACGTGGAAACTGTCCCCTGGTTGTCTAGATGTGCAAAAGGGTGTCTGCAGGAGCAGTCTTGCTCTCCCAAGCCTCTGACACTGTGACAGGTGGACAGAAGCAGGAGCGGGAGGAGGAGGGGAGAGGAGGAGGAGAGCCACCCATAAATGAAAGAACAATGGAGCATCGATCAGCACTTTTTCACAGCAGGGGAGCTGCTTTGCTGAGCCCCAGCACTGTCAGACAGACCAGACCCTTGATTAAACCTGTGCAACTGCTGGCATGGATGGCCGTGCTTAGCTCCCATCAGCAACTCTGCCAGAAAGAAGAGGCGCCACAGAAGTTATGAAGGGGCCCAGGGCTGGCAGCTGGGTATCTGGAGGGCTGGTACCCTCTTCCCTCCACCAGAGCTGGCTCCAAATTTCAGACTCAAAGCAGAAAGTTTATTCTGTATTTTTCCAGGAGATGGGGCTGGTTGGAGGTGAGAGCACAGGGAAGGCTAGATTCCCTGGGAATCCCCTGTTGTTTTCCTCTCTGGGAGGCCTTGGTGTGCAGGTTCCAGACACTGCCCTAGTTCTCATCATAGGGCAGGGACACGGGGAGTCCTCACCAAATTCCAAATGCCTCCACAGAGAGGGAGGCTCCGTGTGGTGATGAAACCTGCTCTGTTCATTTCGTCATTTGGAATTCTCTTGGATGGCCTGTGAGTTTTCTGTTATAGAATCAAAAACCACATTTTCTTAAAAGATGACAGACTGTGGTCTGTTCTGCCTGAGACCCCCATGTGATGCCAGAGAAGCCACAACTCGCAGGCCCTGCATCACCTGCTGCTGTGTGCAGATGAGGAAGTCTGTCTTCCTGGAGGGGGTTCTTATGAGCACAAACAGTGACGAACGACGTTAAATGCATGATGAAAAACTAAGCCACCACAGAAAGCCAGCTGCTCACCCCATAGAGGCACAGAAAGCTGGCTGCTCACCCCACAGAGGCACAGAAAGCTGGCTGCTCACCCCACAGAGGGAGAGCACTTTGTGGATGATACCTGATTTTTTTCTTTCTTTTCTTTCTTTTCTTTTCTTTCTTTCCTTTTCTTTCTTTTCTTTTTTTCTTTCTTTCTCTTTCTTTCTTCCTTCCTTCCTTCCCTCCCTTCCCTCCCTTCCTCCCTTCCTTCCTTCCTTTCTTCCTTTCTTTTTTTGACAAAATTTCACTCTGTTACTCAGGCCAGAGTGCAGTGATGGGATCACAACTCACTGTAACCTCGACCTCCTAGGTTCAAGCAGTTCTCCTATCTCAGCCTTCTGAGTAGCTGGGACTACAGGTGCACAACACCACACCCAGTTTATTTTTTTGATTTTTGGTAGAGGGTGTTGCTGTGCTGTCCAGGCTGGTCTTGATCTCCTGGCCTCAAGTGATTATCCCACCATGGCCTCCCAAAGTGTTGGGATTACAAGTGTGACCGCCATGCCTGGCCAAGACCTGCTTCTTAATCATTGTTGGATTCACAGAGCTTCACACTGTGCCATCCATGGTACCATAGAGAGAAAGGAAAGCACTTGTAAATGTGTATGTTACTGCCCCCGCTACCTCCCAGGGAGGTGAATCCCTCATCAGGGGCCTCTGCTGAGTGGATGATGGGTATGGAGATGGGAGGGAGGGGAATCCCTCATCAGGGCCTCTGCTGAGGGGGTGATGGGTATGGAGATGTGGGGGAGGGGAATCCCTCATCAGGGCCTCTGCTGAGGGGGTGATGGGTATGGAGATGCAGGAGAAGAGGAGTTGGTACAGAGCTGAATTGTCCAACATACAACAGAGAAATAAATGAAAAGTAAGGCAGTGGCTAACATGGGGTTTGGGTGGGGCCAAGGAAAATTGAGTAGCTGGCAGGCGGGTAGCAGGAAAGGGGAACGACGGGGGCTGCGATGTTACAGGGTAGGTTCTGAAGTTGTCTGACAGGTGGTGAGTGATAGAGACCTTTTTCTTGATCTCCCAGTGAAAACTTTAGTAATCACACGACTGCCACTTTTGTAAAAGGGGCTTGCATTTGGGGGCTGCAAGGTTGGCGCAAGGTTAGATCCGGGGTTGCCCGTGGGAGACCTGCCACAGCCAGGCTGCATGGGAACAGAGCACTCGCTTCTTCTCATGGCTGTGCTGGTGCATGGCAGCCCCTGACTCAGGTCCACAGTCTGACACTGCCAGGTTCAAGGTTGGACTTTACCCCTGGCCCAGATCTCCCACAGGCTACTTATTCCTATCTCCTTCCAAATTCAGCAACTCATTACACCACCTTGAAGAAGATGGGGCAGAGCGGAGGGGAGGCTAGAGGGACAATCCCAAAAAGAGCCCTAAATCTACATCAGATTTTCCTTTTAACTAAAATCTATTTGGTATTCAGCAGAAATTTTGAGTCTAGTGTTTGACATAATTTAATAGTGTGCATTAATGACTATAATTTTCCCCTGTAGTCGAGATACTAAGAAAATGAGACGTGCTTCATCTACACCACACACAACAGTAACCAGGACAGACTTGGAAATGACAGTAAAGAACAAAGTCCGTGAGGGCCAACAGCTTGTGGGGAACTTCAGAGACACGCAGCACTCCACATAGAAAGCACATTCCACTCCAGTTGTAAGAAGGTTTGAGCCTCCCTGGTATTTGTTACGTTCTTTTACGCTGACTACATTTCTGTGTGGTGAGTAAAACCATTCTCATTGTGCAGGTGCCAAAGCTGAGGCCAGAGGGATTAGGAGATGGTATATGTCCAAGGATAACATTAAGATGTTTTAAGTTCAGTTTATTTTATTTTATTTTATTCTTTATAGACAGAGTCTTGCTCTGTTGCCCAGGCTGGAGTGTAGTGGCACAATCACAGCTCACTGCAACCTGGAACTCCTGAACTCAGGCAAACCTTCCTCCTCAGCCTCCTGAGTAGCTAAGGCTACAGGCATGCACCAACACACCTGGCTATTTTGTTATTATTATTATTATTATTATTATCATTATTATTATTATTATTATTATTCGTAGAGACAGGGTCTTGCTATGTTGACCAGGCTGATCTTGAACACCTGACCTCAAGCAATTCTTCCTCCTCGGCCGCCCTAAGTGCTGGGATTGCAGGCCTGAGCCACCATGCCAGTCCATAAAGTTTTATTTTAAGTCCTTAGATGTGGGATTTCCTTTTTAGAGCAGCAAGTACTACCTGAACTAAAACAGGTGGTCTTGCAACTTGCAATGGATTATGGAAATAGATGGCATCTATATTGGTGAGGTTCTCACCAAAACTCAAACAGAATAAATGTCATTTGAAGAACAAATCTCAACTTTAACTTTCTTTCATCCATGGGTAAGTGCTACATTTTTGAAAAAAATATGAATTTAAATAAAAGTAATTTATTGTGGTGAGAATATATATTACCTGTCACGAAACATGTCCTTCTGTATGTTAACTTACCCAGGCAAATGAAAACTTTAGTAAAAACATTTATGTCTATATCTGTCTTCTAAACTACACCTGTGTGTGTGTGCATGTGTGTGTGTGTGTGTGTGTGTTTTTGAGGGGTTCCTACTTTCTGATGTACAGGACTCTGAGGCCTGAATAGTTCATTGCCATAAACTGAGTTACTTCTTTTGGAAAAACATAAATTTTGTTATTTTAGTCTTCTTTAACTTTCATGTGTTTGACTTGCCTTAATTATATATTGGTAGAATTAAATGTTTCATGATCAGAATTTGGACTTTTGCACATGAGTCCACAAGTGTTGGAAGCTTTCTCAGGTGCAGCAATGCCAATCTCCAAAAGGTCCAACTCGGTAAGCCAGTGTTTGTGCCACTATTTATGTGTTTGTTATTTTACGCTTCAAAAAATAAATTAGAACAGAACAGAAAAATGATACTAGTAACAAAGATGTTTGTCCCATCACTGTAATATAATTAAGACCGAGATGGAATGGATCAATGAGCTGCATGCGTAAGTCTCCATCTCAAATAGACTTTCAAATGGTTGCATTATAAAGGAAAAAAAACTAGATTCAATGAAATGTGTTCAATATTATGCATAAAAGGCACAATGTATTCAGATATTTTATACTAGTTTTCGGCTTCTGGCAACAGAGCACATCCACCCAGCTACCACCACAGCTAAAACTATAATACTATTTGTTTTATGATGTCTTTTATACATGCTTTCAAGAACACATTATATACAAAATAGGTGTTTCTAATGTGCTTCACTTTTCCTGTGGCCTCCCAGAGGCTAAAAGCCACATTTGTAGCACAGTTTTCATGACCGTAGAGGCCCTGAAGGCCTGAATGTCATCTCTTCCCCACTGTTCACTCCTTTTACTGGTGTTATACCCCAACTCTATGGAACACTATTAAACATTTTCTTTGGCTCCAATGTTTTAAAACTCAATTGTCTTTGTTCAGTATGAATTTGTGATCTGTGTCAAATCCTCGTGTTGTGTAGTGAGGTGGGGAACAGGTGAAGGCATAGGGGTTGAGTAAAATGCTGAGCATGCAACAGGTGCTGGGCAAGTGACCGTGAATGCTGGGAGGACCCTTCTGCCTATTCTTCCATAATGGCAGAAGTGGACAAGCAGACATTAGTGTACAGTGAGACCACATCTATAGCATAGGTGTGCACAAGGTGACTGAAGACCTGGGAGAAGGATGTGTAAACCAGCAACTAGCGAAGGGCTCTTCAATAGCAAAACTCAAAGCATCCCTTCGGCATAGAATATCAACTATCTAAGGAGTAAAAATTTTAAGTTGACTTTTGGGTCTGGTTCAGCTGACAGAGTGAGCATGTATTTATTTCCTGTAGTGGATTGAATGTTTGTGCCATTCCAAAATTCATATGTTTAAATTCTAAACCCCAATATGATGGCATTAGAAGATGGGGCCTTTGGAATTTAATGAGCTCATGAAGGCTTGAGGTGGATATTCCATTCTCCCTTTGATTTTCCTAAATATTGCCCACATCTTTTAATATCTGTCTCCTTATCCAAATTTGCCCAATTACATAGTTAAGGGAACCATCTGAGACAGATAAACTCTGACAGAGAGTGCAGAATTTCAAATCTAGAAATTCGTACTCTTCTAAACTACTAAGAGAATAAGAAATAAGATGCATGTATATTATCTATGGTTATAAAAGTAACTGAAAGCATAACTAAAAATAAAGTTATACTGTTAAGAGAATGTGTGAGGAAGAGATGAGAGGGTCTAGAGAAGTGCAAAGAGCTAAGCTATTTGTCTTCCACATTAAAGTTAGGGGAAAAAAAAACTTTTATCTGAGAAATGTGAGCCCTTTCAAATTATCAGGCCTGGAGAGACATAAAAATGAGACAGCAATCATATCCTACTCCTGCTTTTGAGCTATGTATTTACCTATTGAAATGGCTTGCTATTGTCACATGCAGCTATGAATTAACCTAATAATGCCTCACCAGACACTATATTCCACACCCCACAGTACAACAATGTATAGCTGATCAGTGATCAGTTTTGTTTCTGTAAACCAATGAGAATTCCTGACAGGATTTTGCACACTCCCTTTCCCCCTTTCTTTTCTTTTCCTTTAAAAACATGCCTGTAACAAAGGCCGAACAAAGCTCATATCCAAGGTTACTTGGGTCTGAGCCTCCTGGGCAGCTTGTCCTTATTTTAGCATGCGAGCTGAAGACTCACAAGGCTCACAACTTTGGAAAGGACACCTTTATTTCTCATAAAGGGCTGCACCCTGCAGGCTGGCCATTCCACAGGCTGAGAAGCATAGCCTCCAGCAGAAGCCCAAAGCTTGAGGGAGGTGTGAAGGGAACAGGAATTTATGCTGAACAGGTTGGCTAAATATACATATTTAATAAGCTATAGAAGATGTCATGAATATCTGTGAAAGGAGAAACAGGCACATGTGCAATTGAGCTTCATGCCTCTTCGTGGGTCACATATTCAAAAAATGGTGATCTTGGCATGATCTAAGGAGTCTTTGGCCCTCTGATGTCAAAAAGTGACAAAGAGGGGAACACAAAAACTCTCACTGAGCATCCTCCACAAGTTGGCCAAAACTAGTCCAGAGTTGGTGGTCAGTTTTTAGGAAGGAAAGCATTGTGAAACTGCTGAGCTGCTGTGCCAAACGTGCAGAGAGGAAAGGAGAGTCCAGTTGTGGCCTCAGATGACTGGCTAAAGGTGATAGAAAAATGAGTTGTCCGTTTCTTGCTTTCTAGAGCTGGTTTCTGCCTACTCCTTAGGAAAGAATTCTGGTTAAAGGTTAATGAGAAAGGGACTTACTGAGGCGTGTCTGACCTCCCATCCCATCACAGCCAGGAAAACTCAGTTTTTAAGGTTTATCTGGGATCCTCCTGGCTGTTTAGTCCACTGGGGGACTTAGGATTTTATTTTTATTTCTCAGTCTCAAGTAAACTGTTTAAATCTCACTTTGTGTTTCATTCTCTTCTTTTTAAGTGGACAAAAGAGAAAAAAATAGAAGAATTCCTAGAATTTACATTTATTCAGTAAGCAGCAGTGTCAATGCTTAAACAATTATACAGTAATACTAAAAAGTTCCTTTCTGCAAAGCTGTGGTTGAGTGGGTAATGAATTCCTAAATGCTGGAAATGACAAGATGTGTAAAACTACCCTCTGTTTTTTAAATATTTGGCTAGTCCTTTTCTCCCACAAGCTTCCTTTGTCCCATGATTAATTATTCTAAAATGGTTGGGCCATTTCTCCAGAATATAGAATATGTTAGCTGTCATTACCACACACTTGGGAAATGGTAGCATTCGAGTCTCTTGCCTGAGCATGGCTGTGAGAGGTATTCAGAGGATGCTGTGGGGAGATAATGTTTTGGTTTCACGATCAGGAACTAAAATCCAGAAGGATCTCACACTTCAGTGCATTCCAAGGCACCCCTGTTGACTATTGTATAGAGGATCCCAAAAGATAACAGCCACCTGGAGAAGGAAAGCAGCTCATAACAGACTGAGCTGTGTGTCTTTAAAAAAAAAAAAAAAAAAACTCACTTGTAACTGCTACTAATGAGAGTGTGTATTCAGGGCAACTTGAATCTATGCTCCCAGGTGGCCATCTTCAAGCTCAAATAAACTCTATACTTAATCATAATTTCTGAATCTCGTTGTTTAAGGTTGGTACACCACAATGGCCTAGCATCCTCCTGTTCCATGAGCAACAGACACCATTCAAAGGGCTCTTCCTCCAATATCTAGACTCTCTTTGTACCAGCAATGTTAACTGTGGAGCAATTATTTGGTAATTAAACAACCACAGCAGTGTTATTAGCTCCACACTCTGAATGACATCTTTAAGCCTCTCTAATGTGTTAAGCATGTCTAATGTGTTTTTCCACTTTTGGATAACTTAAGAGACCAGAATATGCCATCTCAAAATATACCCCTTTGGCATAAGCATTATTTTGAGCCAATTATTTTTGAGAAACAGCAGACACCAGAGAAACAGAGTAGAAGTTACTCTTTTGCAAGGAAGACTTACTTCTATGATGAAAATTTTCTTTCATAAGGGTGCCTTCCTTTCAGCACTAGGATGAGAAGGATGGCTTAATCACAAGAGACTCTCATCCATAGAGAAAGCTCTGACTTAAATCTGCATAACAAACTTCACCCTTTGTCTGCCATGCTTTTCCTGGTCACCTTTCCAGAACTGGCCTCCCCCACAGCCTCCTTTCTTTATTTCAGATGAAGATGGTAGTAAAGCCTGAATTCTAAGCCTTTTTTTTTTCTATTTTTTTTTTTTTTTTTTTTTCAGATTTTCCCGCTTTTCCTGAGTATCTCCTATGTATACAAAAGGAATACATGTTGATAAACTTCTGGTTTGTTTTGTTCTAGTAATGTGTCTTTTTTTTTAACAAGGGATCCTAGCTAAGACCTTAGAAGAATAAACAAAAAATTACTTTTTCAACCCCTGCAATAATCAACTTTATTGGGATAAAGATTCATATTTATTGCAATATGTCTTATCTTTATGGAAATTCAAAAAGAATTCAATCACAGAATCAAAATTCCAGAACTGTACCCAAATATTAGTGAAAATTTAGTATACAATAAAAGCAACATCTCAAATTAGTGGAGAAAAAATAGAATTATTAAAAAGTAGTGTTGGAAAAACCATATAACCATATAGAACAAGGTAAAATTGAATCCATTCATTACACCCTATACCAAAAAGTTCTAAATATATCAGATATTTAACTGTAAAAAAATGCAACAAAACAATTTTTTTAAACTTGATAAATTTTTCTATCATCTGGGAGTGAAGAAATGTTTTCCTAACATAAAATTTTGAAACATAAGAAAATGTTTAATAAATTTACATAAAATGTTTAAAATCTTAGTATAATAATGTCAGAGGCATTTGAACCAGAGTGACTCCATCTTGAGTAAGCTCTGGATAAAATAAGGCTGAGACCTACTGGGCTGAATTCCCATTCTTAGTCACAGGATGAGCTAGGAGATTGGCACAAGATACAGGTCATAAAGACCTTGCTGATAAAATAGGCTGTAGTAAAGAAGCCAGCCAAATTCTACCAAAACCAAGATGGCAATGAAAGTGAGCCCTGGTCGTCCTCACTGTTTGTTATACACTAACCATAATGCATTAGCATGCTAAAGGACACTCCCACCAACACCATGACAGTTTACAGATGCCATGGCAACGTTAGGAAATTACCCTAGATGGTCTAAAAAGGGGAGGAACCCTCAGTTCCAGGAATTGCCCACCCTTTTCCTGAAAAACTCGTGCATAACTCTCCCCTTGTTTAGCATATAATCTAGAAATAACTATAAGTATCCTTAGTCCAGCAGCCCAAGCTGCTGCTCTGCCTATGGAGTAGCCATTCTTTATTCCTTTACTTCCTTAATAAACTTGCTTTCACTTTACTCTGTGGACTCCCCTCAAATTCTTTCCTGCTGAGATCCAAGAACCCTTTCTTGGGGTCTGGATTGGGACCCCTTTCTGGGAACAATAGAAAAAATAATCTAAGTAAATGGTTAAATGGCAAAACAGAATAAATTATTTGCAAAGTATATTTAAGGCAAGGGTTAATACACCTAATACACAAAGAACTTTTTTAAATGTTGGTGCAGGGAACCAATTACTTTATAATAGGCTAAGATTATGAACACACATTTCACAGAAACATAAGCACAAATATCTCTTAAAATATTTTGAAAGGTTAAACCTAACTTATAACTTAAAATGCAGATTAAAGGTGTACTGAGTTGTGTGTAACCAGACACAAAAAATCTAAAAGCTTGATGACATATTTGGTTGGTGATTCTATGAGAAATAGGCCCTCTGATAAATTGGCAGTGTTAAGTGCAACATGATACAGTGAAGGAAAATTCAGAAATATCCATCAAAACCATGTATGCATTTATCCTTTCAGCCAGCCATCCCACTTCTAAAGATCTAGCCCAAGGATGAACCGAGAAAGAAAAGAAAAGAAAAGAAAAAAAAAAACATGAAAAGAGGCTATTCACTGCAGCACTATTAGAAATAGCAAAATCTCAAATGCCTACCAGTAGAAAGTTGGTTAAATAGAGTAGAGTGCACAACACAACTGAGTACCATGCAGCTGTGAAGAAAAAAAAATAAGAGATATCTTCATACACTATATGGAGTAACCTCCAGGCTATAGTAAAAAGATTCTTCAAAAGGAAAATAATGTGCTAGTACACTATCATTTACTAAAACATAAAATTACAAAAATTCAAAAGGGGTGAAGAATATATATATATATATATATATATATATATATATACACACACACACACACACACAAACACACATACACACAGATACATATGAAGGTGTGTGTATATATATACACACATGTATATAATGTATGTACGATTTCCTTATATTAAAAAAAGGAAAGATAAAAATGGTTACTGTATCTGCCAACTGTAACTGCAATAATGGCATGTGACTTTATTAGTCTCTTTTCATGCTGCTGATAAAGACATACCCAAGACTGGGCAATTTATGTAGGAAAAAGGGCTTAATGGACTTACAGTTCCACATGGCTGGGGAGGCCTCACGTTCATGGTGGAAGGCAAGGAGAAGCAAGTCACATCTTACATAGCTGTCAGCAGACAAAGAGAGAGCTTGTGCAGGGACACTCCTCCTTATAAAACCATCAGAACTCATGAGACTTATTCACTATCATGAGAACAGCACAAGAAAAACTTGCCCCCATGATTCAATGACCTCCCATTGGGTCCCTCCCACAACACATGGGAATTCAAAATGAGATTTGGGTGGTGACACAGCCAAACCATATCATTTCACCCCTGGCCCCTCCCAAATCGCATGTCCTCACATTTCAAAACCCAACATGCCTTCCCAATAGTCCCCAAAAGTTTTAACTCATGTCAACATTAACTTAAAAGTCTACAGTCCAAAGTGTCATGCAAGACAAGGCAAGTCCCTTCCAACTATGAGCCTTTAAAATCAAACACAAGTTAATTACTTCCAAGATACGATAGGGGTACAGGCATTATGTAAATACAGCCATTCTAATTGGGAGAAATTGGGTGAAACAAAGGAGCTACAGGCCCCATGCAAGTCAGAAATCCAGCAGGGCAGTCAAATCTTAAAGCTCCAAAATTATCTCCTTTGGCTCCATGTCTCATGTCCAGGTCACACTGATGCAAGAGGTGGGCTTCCATGGTCTTGGGCAGCTCTGCCCCTGTGGCTTTGCAGGGCATAGTTCCTCTCCTGGCTGCTTTCATGTGCTGGAGTTGAGTGTCTGTGGTTTTTCCAGGTGCACAATGCAGGCTGTCAGTGGATCTACCATTATGGGCTCTGGTGGCCCTCTTCTCACAGCTCTACTAGGTGGTTCCCAAGTAGGAACTCTTTGTGGGGGCTCTGACCCCACATTTCCCTTCTGCACTTCCCTATCAGAGGTTCTCCATGAGGGCCTTTCCCCTGCAGCAAAGTTCTGGCTGGACATCCAGGCATTTCCATACAATCTCTGAAATCTAGGTGGAGTTTCCCAAACCTCAATTCTTGACTTCTGTGCACCCACAGGCTCAACACCACATGGATGCTGCCAAGGCTGGGGGCTTCTACTCTCTGAAGCAACAGTCTGAGCTGTACCTTGGCCTCTTTTAGTCATGGCTGGAGCAGCTGGGATGCAGGGCACCAAGTCCCTATACTGTACACAGCATGAGGACCCTGAGCTTGGCCCATGAAACCATTTTTTCTTCCTAAACCTCCCTGCCTGTGATGGGAGGGGCTGCCACAACGGTCTCTGACATGCACTGGAAACATTTTCCTCATTGTCTTTGGGATTAACATTAAGCTGCCCCTTACTTATGCAAATATCTGCAGCCAGCTTGAATTTCTCCTCAGAAAATAAGATTTTCTTTTCTATTGCATTGTCAGGCTGTTAATTTTCCAAACTTTTATGTCCTGTTTCCCTTTCAAAACTGAATGCTTTTAACAGCACCCAAGTCACATCTTGAATGCTTTGCTGCTTAGAAATTTCTTCCCACAGATACTCTAAATAATCTCTCTTAACTTTCCACAAATCTCTAGGGCAGAGGCAAAATGCTGCCAGTCTCTTTGCTAAAACATAACAAGAGTCACCTGTGCTCCAGTTCCCGACAAATTCCTCATCTCCATCTGAGACCACCTCAGCCTGATAATGATTGTCCATATAATTATCAGCATTTTGGTCAAAGCCATTCAACAAGTCTCTAGGGGGTTCCAAACTTTTCCACATTTTTCTGTCTTCTCCTGAGCCCTCCAAACTGTTCCAACCTCTGCCTGTTACACAGTTCCAATGTCACTTTAACAATATTGGGTAACTTTTCAACAATGCCCCATTTTACTGGTACCAATTTACTGTATTACTCCATTTTCATGCTGCTGATAAAGACATTCCTGAGACTGGAGCAATTTATACAGGAAAAATAGTTTAATGAACTTACAGTTCCATGTGGCTGGGGAGGCCTCACAATCATGGCAGAAGGGAAAAAAGAGCAAGTCACGTCTTACGTGGATGGCAGCAGGCAAAAAGAGAGCTTGTGCAGGAACACTCCCCTTTTTAGAACTATCAGATTTCATGAGACTTATTCACTATCACGAGAACAACACCAGAAAGACCTGCCCCCGTGATTCAATTACCTCCCATTGGGTGCCTTCCACAACAAGTGGGAATTCAAGATGAGATCTTGGTGGAGTACAGCCAAACCATGTCTTGACAAACTACCTTAAATTCAGTGGCTTAAAAGAATAGCCACTGATTCCCATGTTCCCAGGCCTGTGGGTCACACCAGGTTCGTCTTCTTTCTTTGAGATGTGAGTCTAGGGTCAGGAGGGGCAGCTCTGCTTTAGGCTGTGGATCTTCAAGGCAGCTGGTGTAACTGCTCATGTGTCTCACTTGGCAACCCAGCTGAAAGACTGGGCTACCAGAAATGAAACTGCCTTTACAAAGATGATGACAGTGAAAGAAGTCTAGCATGGCTGACTCCATCTTGCTTCCAGCCTCAGAGACTGGTTGTCCTTGCTTATGCCTGGGCAGAGGTCAAGCTAACAACAGGAGGAATTTAGTTTATAGTTAAACTTTGAAGGAAGGATGAAAATAGTCTTTCCCTAAAACTGATCCCTCCTTGTTTAGGGGCTGAAACCACCTTTGTAAAACTAACAAAAGGCCACAAGATTATAGGAGAACCCTGAATTCTCCTACTATGTAGTTGTAGTTTCTATAATTCCTTATCGCCCAGGAGTCATGTGGCCAGAGGTCACTAGATTTGTAACTTCCCCAGTTGCTCCTACAATGCTATTATAGAACCTAAGATTGGTATCTTGACACATTTTTTAGACTTTTGCATTCTGGCAACAGACTAACCCCACCTGGACTTGCGACTCATCACTCAACCGGTCCTATGGCCCCTACCCAGAAGCAGACACAGCACATGAGGACTGTTTTCCACACCCCTATGATTTCACCCCCAACCAGGCAGCAGCACCCATTTTCTAGCCCCTGCCCAATAAACTATCTTTGAAAAACCCTAACCTCTGAGCCTTCAGAGAGACTGTGTAAAGAAATATAAATAAATCAATGGAACAGAATAAAGAATCCAGAAATAGATCCACATATGAATGATCCAATGATGTTCAGCCAAGATGCTAAGGTTATTCAATGGAGAAAAGATAGTCTAATGGGGAAAAGATAGTCTTAACAACAATTGGTGCCATATCCATATAGAAAAAAGGAATCCTTAATCTTTACCTCACATCATATAAAAGATAACTCAATGCATCATAGACATTAATTTAAAAACTAAAACTATAAACTTCTGGAAGAAAATATAGGGAAAAAATATTTGGAACCTCGGAGTCAGAAAGTTTTTTTGATAGAAAACAAAATGTATATTTTAGAAATCTGCTTTTTGAAAGACACGTGTGATATTGGTCTTTAACCTGGTTTCCTGACATGCAACTCCTTTTGAAGATTATAATCTTCAAAATGATGTATTTTGTTTCATATTGAGTTGAGTTGTGGCCAGGGAACCGTAGGTAGCTTCAGGATGGGGGCAGTTACCAGAAAGACCAAGGCAAGATTCCAGGGTCAGGACTTTCAACCGCACCCCTCAACCGCTGAGAAGAGAAGAGGAGCTGAGGGTTAAGTTCATCACCAATAGCCAATGATTTAAATTATCATGTCTACGTAATGAGGCTTCCATAAAATCCCAAAAGAACAAGGTTTCGTGGCCAGGCGTGGTAGAGGCCAGGTGTGATGGAGGTCAGGCATGGTGGCTCATGCCTGTAATCCAGCACTTTGGGAGGCCGAGGCAGGCAGATCACCTGAGGTCAGGAATTCAAGACCAGCCTGGCCAACATGGTGAAACCCTGTCCCTACTAAAAAATACAAAAATTAGCCAGGTGTGTTGGCACCTGTTGGCGCCTGTAATCCCAGCTACTCGGGAGGCTGAGGCAGGAGAATCTCTTGATCCCAGGATGTGGAGGTTGCAATGAGCCGAGATCGTACCACTGCACTCAAGCCTTGGTGACAGAGGGAGACTCCGTCTCAGAAAACAACAACAACAACAACAAAGAACAAGGTTTGGAGAGCTTCCAGACAGCAGAACACATGGAGGTTGCTGGAGGACGGTGCACCCAGGGAGAATGTGGAAGCTCCACACCTCTTCCCCACTGCCTCACCCTATGCATCTCTTTCTCTTTATTCTTTGTAATATCCTTTATAATAAACTGATGAACATAAGTGTTTCCTTGATTTCCGTGAGCCACTCTAGCAAATTAATTGAACCTAAAAAGGGGATTCTGGAAGCCCTGATTTATATAGCTAGTCATTCAGAAGTTCTGAAGGCCCGAACTTGTGACTGGTGACTGAAGGGTGCAGTGGTCCCCCTCACAGGCTCAGTGACTGAGCTCTTAACCCGTGAGATCTAAACTGTCTCTAGGTAAACAGCGTTGAATGGGAGGAGGCCCAGCTCGTGTTCACTGCAGGCTTGATTGCTTCCTCATTGGTGGGGAGAAATTCCCACACATTTGGTCACAGAAGTCTTTGTTGATTATTGTGTGGGATGACAGCAGAAGAGAAACAGCTTGAGTTCTTCCACTTTCAACACCATTAAGAAAATTTAAAGGAAAGGTGCAGTTTGGGAGAAAATATTCTCTAAACGTTCATTTGATAAAGAACTTCTGTTAAGAATATATGAAGAACCCTAAAACTCAATTTAAAAAAAGACAAACTTGGAATTTTGTTTGTTTGTTTGTTTTTTTGAGACAGGGTCTCACTCTGTCACCCAGACTGGAATGCAAAGGCGCGATCTCAGCTCACTGAAACCTCTGCCTCCCAAGTTCATGTGAATCTCCTGTCTCAGCCTCCCAAGTATCTGGGACTACAGGCATGTGCCACTGTGCCTGGTTAATTTTTGTGATTTTAGTAGAGACAGGGTTTCACCATGTTGCCTAGGCTGGTCTCAAACTCCTGTGCTCAAGCGATCCGCCCACCTCAGCTTCCCAAAGTGCTGGGATTACAGGCATGAACCACCGTGCCCAGCCAAACTCTGATTTTTTTAATGGGCAATGGATTTGAATAGATAATTTACTAAGTAATGTAATAAATGGCAAGTAAGCACATTAAAAAACCTACAATCAGATGATCTTCAATGGGTGAACACATTATTGGCACATCATGGCACATCCATACCATGAAATTCTCCTCACAATAACAAGAAATGAATTATTGACAAATGCAGTAACTTGGATGAATCTCCAGGTAATTCTGCTAAGTGAGAAAAGCCAATCCCTAAAGGTCATAGACTATATAATTCCTTTTGTTCCACATTCATGAAATGACAAAATTATAGAAATGAAGAATGGATTGGTGGTTTCCAGGGGTCAGGGACTGGTGGGCAGGAGTCAGGGAAGCATGGCTATGAAAGGCCAGCAGGAGGGAGCCTTATGGTGATGAACGTGTTCAGGATCTTGGCTGTACTAATGTCAGCTTCCTGGCTGTGTATCATACTACGGCTTTGTAATATGGTACCATAGGTAGTAAGCTGGGTAAAGGATGCACAGAGTCTTTCTGTACTTATTTTTTAAAACTCCATGTGAATCTACAATTATCTTAAAATGGAAAGTTTAATTTAAAAAATAACCTTGCAAATAAAAGGGGAAAACCAAAGCGTGTGTAACACCTTCCCTGTATGCATGCTTTCTCAGTGGAACCACAGAACTGATAAGGGAAATTTTCTTTTTATGGACATATTCCAGCTGACAAATTTGATGGGACTGGAATATCCCCATGTGTCACCTTCTGTGAGGTGACAGATCTTTACATGATCATTGACAGCTGCTGACATCACATAATAAGGCCTTATGAACCTCAGGCAGCACCACCTCTAAAGCAGTCTTGCCACAAAACATCAAACCTGGACCTGATCAAGCATCTGGATTGATTATGGATATAGATGGACATAGAGAAAATATGGATATGGATATAGAGAAAATGCAGGAGACAGACGAGCAAGGGAAATGTCTCTGTGGGACAAAATCCACAAAATCCAGATTGTTGGAAACTCTCCAGGACAAAAGATCTAGATTCTTCAAAAACAACAACATTGAGAAAAGAACTGCCAGAAAGAAAAAATACAGAAGGAGAAGATAAATTAAAAGAAACATGAGTTATGCCAGCCAAGTACAATGAATGGATCTGTTTTGGATCCAGGTACAAACAAACTGTGTAAAAATTTTAGAAGCATCCATATGACAGCTGAGAAAATTTGAACACTGACTTAGTGTTTGATGTTATTAAGAAATTTTTAATATTTTAGAGGTGAAAAATTGTATTGTGGGTATAATTTTTTAAAAATTTGATATTTGAAATTTTTTTGTAGATATATATTGAAATATTTATAGATCAAATTGTAAAAATCTGAGGTGGCCATTCATTCGTAATTGTTGAAGCTGGGTGATTAGTACATGGGGGGTTACTATATTAGGCTTTCTACTTTTGTATACATTTGAAATCTATTGTAAAACTATTTTAGAAAATATAAACAAAGTAATCTAATATTCCCCATGTTGGCCTCTGCAAAAATAATATCTCATGTAACTTGGGAAGCTTGGATATTTTTATGCATGGCATAAAAATGACAATGTACATCCCTCTCCCCTCAGGACACAGAACACATTTGTGAGTCTTTTCACCCTCATCTCGTTGGAGATTTTATTGGGCAAAGAACCTTCAGTAGGCACGAAATTCATTCTCACAAGCAGATGGATACGTTATGCTCCATTTATTGCTCATCCTAAATTACAAACATTTCCAGTGAATGGAAAGGAAGATATGATTGAAAAGGACTCTATAAAGACAGGATGTTTCTGTACAGTCCTCGTATCTGCTCACCTATTCCAAACTTTCCAGACATTTTACCAGAGGTTTAAGACATTCTCCTGAGGGTTTGTTGTAGAGGGATTTTTCTTAAATAAGGAGTGCAAGTAGCAAGCAATAGCCCACCCAATTGGAGATAAAAAAAAAAAGAGTGTCAGTTTTCCCCAGTGTTAAAAAAACAAAAAAGGCATCACCCTGCACATCCCTGGCAATTATACAAGGGGATGTACACAGCCCCCACCTTTCCTGAGTTCAAAAGGAAGGTGGGTTCTGAAAGAAGAAAAGGAAGAGTAGATCTCTTTGGATCTCTTGACACTCACAGCAAAGGGATTAAGGTATCTGAGTCAACTCTTGAGGCTTCTTTGAATTCAGGGATGAGGAGAGAATATGGTAAGCTTGACATCAGGTCCCAGAAGTTTTGAGAGAAAAGAACAGATTGCTCTTTGCAAAACAAACCAAGTGGGGTGCATGGAGCCCCAGTGAATGGGAAACAGAGAAGTCATCATACCATGAAATGGTCTGAAATGTCAGGTGCACCATCCCTTGTGAGTACCAAATCTGTGCTCCGCATAAACTTCTTCACCCAGAGTCAACTGGCAGGGGCAACTGGCTCACCAGGAGACCTAGCTATCCTCTTCTCCAGGCCCTAATTACACCTCCCTGCAACAGGGACTCTGCCATCTAACAGACAAGGAGGTGATTTGGTTCCCACATGTGGCTTTTTCTGCTGGGTCCCTTGAGGTCCATGGTAACCTTTTCCCCATTCTCCATAGGCCACACTTTATCATAAGATTGGAGGCAGAGAACTTCAGCAACCACCCCCTTGCCCTCTGGCCCTGGGGTCAGGGTTACTCAAACAATACCTGCTGCCCAAACCTGGAGAAGTGTAGATTTTGCCACTGATGGAAGGATAATAGCTATTGTTGATACTTAATCTTGGGGGCCTAGAATTCCCACTGTTTTCACAACTCGGAGCTTATTTCTACCAGCCCTGTCAGTGAGGATAAATGGGCATGAATAATGAGCAGACCAGTTTCCCAAAAGCTCAGACAGTCTGCAGGGAACATGTAATGAGCAGACAGTGCAGTTCATGCCGGGGAGCCCAGGTTTATCCAGGCCTCATCCTCACTACCTTTCTCTACTGATAATTGGACCCAACAGGACCATTCTGAGTCATTTTTCCCTCTTCATTTATTCTTCAGTTCCACTCAAAAGGTCAGCTTAGGGCATAAGGTCAATTACCTTCTGCAAGGCAATCAGGACAACAGTTACAGAAAATGATAGCAGCCTTACTCTTCCTGTAGGAATTACCAGCTTGTCAGCCTCCAAGCTCATGGAGACAAAGCATCGAAAAGTTAGATCCAGGTGCTCACCTATGTGTTCACTTATTCTGTGTGTGTGTGTGTGTGTGTGTGTGACATTTGTTGTAAACGAGAGGGCAGGAGTCAGTGACACAGTGGTGCAGAGAATAATCATATTCCCTGCCTTCATGGGGCACAGGGCTTGGTGGAGGACAAAGATGTGAATTCAGTAAGTGCCCCAATAAATATTCTCCTACAGTTGAAGAAAGGTGATATGATGTAATGTGCAACAGAGACTTTTACATGGTGGGGCCCTGGCAGGTCTCTCTGAAGCTGAAACTGGCAGGATGAGCAGGAGTTCACAAGACAGAGAGGGGTGAATGTGTTTTCCAACCACGTCTTAGCACAAACTGTTCTCTTTGCTGAGAGCTGAAAAAAGACAGTGTGACCAGAGACCATCAGGTAAGGAGCTGAACATGAGATATGACCTGAACAGGTGGAAGAAGGTGGTGAGAGACAAAGAAAGGAGTACGGTGCAGTAGAGAGGGCACAGAAGCTGATGTCAGGGTGTCTCAGTTTGGAACCACTGGCAGCCCTGCTCCTCTCCCATGTGGTCCCACCATGGTCTCTAGGGTCTGGGATAAGAGGTTAATGTGTACCTCATACCCTAAGTAGGGGTGGTCCCTGCACTTTGGCAAAAAGTTAAGGAACTAAAGAGATGGAAATGAAAAAAAAGATAGGATGAAGACTTAAAAGACCAAAGCCCTTGGATGTTTTCTTTTTTAATTTTTATTTTTTAATTTTTTATCAAGACAAGATCTCACTATGTTGCCCAGGCTGGACTCAACCTTCCAGCCTAAAGCACTCCACCCACCTTGGCCTCCCAATGTGCTGGGATTACAACATGAGTCACCATGCCCAGCCTCCTGGGATGTTTCTCAACAAAACACTGAACGCCAAGACTGGTTTTTGTGCCACGTGCCAACTTCACGGAAGCCAGTCTATGAGCTACCAGCTGCACTCAGCAATTCCAGCTCCCCAAGCTTTGGCTCAATTCCCGTAGATGCACCACTGCTTGTGGCCTGACTCTTTGCCACCCAAGTGCACTCAGCCTCCCCTGGGGAGTCTGCCAGGCTTGCATGGCTCCTACTACACTTGCTGTGCTGGGACCTAAAACAGTTTTTGTGCCCCTAGCTTGACTCCACTGTATTTATGGAGGCTTTGACCTCCTCAGTGGCTGCCCTGGGACAGGGAGGCTGGTTAGCACAATTAACACAACCTGGTCATGCAAGGCATTGGTAGTCCATAAGGTGAACTTTGACCAGTGAGAGACAGGAAATGGAAAGAAGCCAACAGAAAAATCACCTGGCCTTCCTCCCCTATGACAGAGTGTTCTGAGCCACAGTGTTTTACATGTCCTCCCTGGAGATGTCCCACATGACTTGAGCAACCAACTGGAGCTCTGGAGAAACTGCAGCCATGCTGATAACATATGACCTTGTATTTGCTTTCTCTCCTTCCTGCTTTATTTCCCTATGTCCCTTACTTTGGTTGTTGGGATTGCACCTCCCAATAAAGCATTAGCATGTCCGCTCTGCTTGGGGCTCTGTTTCCTGGGTTAAGACTCTGACTCTTGAATGCTGAGGCATTGTATTGAGAAGGAGTCCATGCTGGACTCACACCTGGTGAACAAGAGTGCTGTGGTGCATGAGTGAGTTCTTCCAAAGGTATAAGAAAAGATACTCAGTACCTGTCACCCCGAACTATTCTTCTGCAGCAAATATGTGTTTAAAGTCAGCAGCCCTTAAACATACTTGAGATCACAGATGAAGCAACATCAGACTAGCTCCCAACATAGAAAAGCACAATAGGAAAGAAATATTTGGTGCTGAAAAGATTATAGCTATGAGAAAATTAGGCAATCCCTCTGTGAGAACCAGCATGCACTATGGTAAAGGTTGAAAACAGAAGCGTGGATACAATTGCTTAATAGATATAATAATATGCATAACTGTGTGACAGGCAGTGTACTAACACCCTCATCTTTCATCCCATTTGCTCATCAAAATAGTAATAAAAAGGCATGCACTTTTTTTTTTTTTGACAAAGTCTTGCTCTGTCACCCAGGCTGGAGTGCAGTGGTGCAAATTCAGCTCACTGCAACCTCTACCTACTGGGTTCAAGTGATTCTCATACCTCAGCCTCCCAAGTAGCTGGAATTACAGCTATGCCACCACACCTGCCTAATTTTTTGTATTTTTTTTTTTTTTTTAGTAGAGGTGGGGTTTCGCCATGTTGGCCAGGCTGGTCTCTAACTCCTGTCTTCAAGTGATTCGTTCACCTCGGCATCTCAAAGTGCTGGGATTACACACATGAGCCACTGCACCCGACCAGGCATGCACTCTTACAAACCCTTATTTTACAGGCAAGAAAACAGGGCCAGAGAAGTTGGGTAACTAGTCCAAGGCCACAATAAGAGTAGCAGAGTCAGGCTTGGAGCCCAGGAAGTATTTCTTCAAGTTTCATGCTTCTAACCTGAGTGCTGTACTGCCTGGTGGAGCTCTCTGCTAATCCTAACTTTCAGGCAGAGGTAAGCATTGCTGATATTATATGCCTGTTCCTGAGGGCTAATACCAGGAGGGAGATCAGACTTTTCTGTCTGATCTGTTGCTTGTCCCTTCCATGAGTCTTGGGATCAGAATCCTGAATTAGAGAGAGATGGACTCTGGCCAAGGTAGGTATGATGGTTTGTATGTGTCCCCCAGAAAGCACGTGTTGGAAACTGAATCCCCAACACAACAGTGTCAGGAGGTGGCGCCTAATGAGAGGTGTCTAGGTCATGGAGGCACCACACTCATGAATGGATTAATGTCCACTATAAAGAACTTGAGGCTGTGAGTTCCATCTGTTGCTGTTTATGTCTTTTGCCCTCTTGCCTTCTGCCACTGGATGATTTAGTGAGAAAGCTGCCACCAGATGCAGCCCCTTGATCTTGGACTGCCCAGCCTCTAGAACCACAAGCCAATTAAATTTTTTCTTCATAAATTACCTGGTCTCTTGTATTCTGTTATAGCAGCACAAACAGTCTAAGACAGTAAGACAGTAGGGAAACGAGCTCCAGATGTACTTGAAGCCTCTCGTTCTTATTTTAGGAATTAAAGAGCAATCTCCACCAGTTTCCATTAGAAATGCTTCTTCTTCCATATCAAATATTGTGGGATAGCCTGAAACACCTCTCAATACTTCATGACCCTTCTCCAAAATTCAACAGATATGATTTCTATGGACTTTACTCACAGGGGCTCCAGTAGAAGAGGAAGAGGCTTGGGTTTAATTGAAGGTGGCCTCAGGCATCAGTGAGGAGCAGCTCCTTTGGAGACATATCTCCTACAAAGAAAGCATCAGAATTATTATCCTAATATGTGGACATTTGCGGTTCCTTCAGCACCATCGAAATGAAAAGACCATGGGGAGATGCAGGGAGAGGGCTCTGCACAGCATAGCCAACTTGTCAGGTTGAAGACAGACAACCTCCACGGAGCACGGACTTCAATTAGTTAATTCCCCACCCCCATTGTCACTTACTAACATGGGATGCTGATTAAAAATTAGATTCTCAGATTATCTGTGAGAAGCTTCACTTATAATTTAAGAACTTTTGCTGTACAACCATTGCAAAATAATTACATAAAGATTAATTAGCAAATTCCCAAAGCAGTAGTAAACAGCAAAGTAGTTTAATTAAGACCATTATCTCCAAAATCTGAACGTTAATAACAGTTGTAGCCCAGAGAGAAATATGAGGCACACTGGCACAGAGTGGGGTAAAGGGAGGATGTCCTTTGACACCAACAGTCGGCCCAAGTCTCCACAGCTGCTGTCCTGCTAATTAAACTCCAGAACTCTCTGGCCACTGCATCTTGAGAGGACCTGGGCTCCTCCTATGAGCCTCTGCAGCTATAGCCTTGACAAACATGTCATTGTCGGCCTGCCTCCAAGAACAGGCCTTTACCCCTCAGGAGAGAGGGAGGAAGCAGGGGGAGTGAACAAGACTTTCTAGTGGGGAATTCATAAAATTTAGAATCGTCAGAAAACATCTGTAACCATGACTCCTGTCTTTCAGAAGACACTGATAAATTTAACCCAACCCCTTAACACAAACTCTGAAGTAAAAGTTTGGCAAAGGAAGCCAGTGGGAATGAAATGTAACAATAGCAACTATGCAGTCAGCACACACACCGTACGATCTCACACAGTCACCAGATCCTCTCGAAGCCACACTGCCTTCATTCTGTTATTATTTATTCATTTATGAGACAGGGTGTCACTCTGTTGCCCCAGTTAGAGTCAGTGACACAAGGTAGTGTGCAGTGCTCAGTGCAGCCTCCAACTCCTGGCTCCAGTGATCCTCCTACCCCAGAGTCCCAAGGGACTGGGACTACAAGCACGAGCCACTAAGATCAGCTAATGGTTTTTAATTTGTGTGTGTGTGTGTGGAGACAGGGTCTGACTACATTGCCCAGGCTGGTCTCAAAGTCCTAGCCTCAAATGATCCTCCTGCCGCAGCCTCTCAAAGTGCTGGGATTACAGGCATGAGCCACTGTGTGCTGCCATATTACCTTTATTCTTAAGCCAAAGTCACTCGCTTAGCCTCGCACATGGAGAGCCTTCTCTTTTCAACTCTAAAGCCCATTTGTTTACCTCGATACCACAGAGATGCCCTTTGGTGGTGCAACATTTAGCCCATTGAAGGTGGAGACTCACCATTGTGTGAGTCTGGTGTGAGGTATAGCCTAGACTTGACAAAGATTGATTTCTCCAAAGAACCCCTTTGGCAGGGAGATCCCAAATCAGAGAGCCCTTACCCTCACCCGGGACAGCCAATGTCTGTGCAGCTCCACACGGAGCAACAGCTACTGTGGAGAGGTTGACCTGGACCAATCTAGGACAGGCTGAGGACTGCCCCTCCCCAGGCCCTTCCATGTGTCAGTTCCTGTCACAGGGGAGGGTGTGGAAGCCACCTCTCATCAGAGATCCACATCAGCTCATGCACCTGGCTCTGGTGCTGTCCCACCTCAGGATCATTCCACTTTCTGCTGCAGGGCCTTGTCTGATTTCACAAAGACCTCTAGGTCCACACTAAGAGACAGCCCAGAGGTATGGGGTAGGTGTTTACAATGGAGGTGTTGACAGTCATCCTCATCGTGGAAGCCACCTTCTGACTCACTGCACCCATCCCAGCCATACCTCCTCATCCAGCGGCTATATGTCGATTTGTCTCTCCCCTAATACAAGGCCCTGCCCTCCACCAGCAGAGCCAGACTGTCTGCCTGCAAGCCTGGCTTTTTATTCTGCTGCACTCAGAAATTACGCAAATCACAACTATTAGTATAACAGCTTCTGCAGAATTCACAAAGAAAAGGGAAAAAAAACACTGTCACAAAATCCCTGTGCTTGGTTAAAAGACCGTTAATTTCCCCATTATCCTCACTCACTCTCTTGTTAATATGAGATGTGTGCATCTGAAGCCTGCTTTTCAGTCATATGAACATCTATAAAAGAGACATCAGTCAGCAGAAACCTCTGGAACTGCAACATGAAAGAGAATGAGGGAAAAGCCCAACTCCAGCTAGGGTGGAGAAGAGAAGAAAGGCGAGATGTGGGAGGTGGCCCTGGAAGGCCTGGGCGGGGGTCTCTAGAGGAACCTGGGAAGACTCTGGTGTGGGACAAAGCTCCAGATGGACTCTGAGCACTCTCGCTGTCCTGGAGGACAGCTGTCTCACTGTTCTGGAGGGCCTCATTCCCCTTCTCATTCATCTCACTCACCATGCTAGAAGCCTCCCAAGGGCAAGAGCTGCACACCTGCACACCTGCGCCCCATCCCCTCCACAGCCCTGAGCAATGAGCAGGCACAGAGCCAGGGCCCGGGGAGGCCATGGAGAAATTGAGCTCCTTTGCTTGCCATCATTTCAGAGAGACCACAGTAGTCTTATTCCCTGTGAATGGATTGAGTTTCTTCTATCAATCAGGGTCCCCAAAGGAACAGGTGGCACATGGACATCAGAGGATTCAATAACCTGACAATTTGCAAAGATTTCGGCGGAACAGTGACAGCAGAGATGAAGGAGCACATGATCCCAGGTGCTCAGAAGGAGGAAGCTGCCTCGAGAGCAGGGACTCAGTCAGCCCGAGCAACCCAGCAGGGAGGACGCAGGAGGAATCAAGGCCCTGTCTCCCTCCTCACTCCGTCTGCCTTCCTCCCAAGGGCCCCCTGGGAGCTGAGGGAGTAGAGGCAAGTTAGCCACCTGGGCCATGCCTCCAGGTCCCCTCCTGAGGCACAGAGCAAGGCAGAAAAGCTTCTGGGCCAGGCTCTGGCAGCACCAGTTGGATTTCCTCTGTAAGATGAAGACAATGGTCCTGGGAGAGCACAGCTGACCACCTAGCACCCTGGGCCATGTCACCTTCCAGCTCACCTCTCATCTGAGGTCCACACCAGCTTATGCACCTGGCTCTGGTGCTGTCCCACCTCGTGATCATTCCACTTTCTGCTGTGAGGCTCTGTCTGATTTCACAAGAGAACTCTAGGTCCACAATAAGACAGCCCAGAGGTATGGGGTAGGTGTTTACAATGGAGGTGTTGACAATCATTCTCATCGTGCAAGCCTGGGCATTCAGAGGCATTCATATTAGGCCTAGCCCAGGTGTTCACAGCCATTCTCATCAGGGCCAGCCCAGGTGTCGCTGCTATCCTCACTAGGCCCACCTCAGATGTTCACAACTGACCTCATTGGGCCCATGCAGGTGTTCATAGCCATCCTCATCAGGACGAGCCCAGGGTTCATAGCTGCCCTCACCGAGGTTTGTTTATATTTTCATATAACATTGTGAAAAACTGGCTTGGGGCCACTGAGTATAGCTGTGATCACCTGAGTTTGGCCCAATGAGGACAGCTGTGAACACCTGTGCTAGGCCCAATGAGGACAGCTATGAACATCTGGGCTGGGCCCCAAGACTACAGCTGTGCTTATTGGACCCTGATCTGGTGCTCTTAGCCATCTTCATTGAGACCAGCCTAGGTGTTCACAGCTTTTCTCATTGGGTCCAGCCCAGTTGTTCATAGCTATTCTCATCAGGGTCAGCCCAGGTATTCACAGCTGGCCATGGAGCTCAGCCAAGTTGTTCACAGCTGTCCTCATGAGACCCAGCCTGGTGTTTACCACCCCCTCCCTGAGTTCAGCCCAGTTTTTTACATCCATCTTCACTGGGGCCAGCCCAGGTATTCACAGCTGTCCTCATTGTGCCAAGCCAAGGTATTCACAGCTGTCCTCATGGGGGCCAGGTGAGGTACTCACAGCTGTTCCTTTCAAGGCCAACCCAGGTGTTTACTGCTGTCCTCATTGTGTCCAGCCCAGGTGTTCATAACTGTCCTCATGGGGTTCAGGTGAGGTGTTCACAGTGATGCTCTTTGGAGCCAGCCAAGGTGTTCACAGCCATCCACATTGGCTTCATCCAAGATGTTCATAGCCATCCTTATTGGAGCCAGTGAGTTTGTTCACACCCATGCTAATACGTGTCAACCAAGGTATTATAGCTACACTCATCTGGGTGAGCCAAGGTGTTCACTGCTATCCTCACTGGGGCCCAGCCCAGGTGTTAATAGTTGTCCTTATGGGCCCAGCCCAGGAGTTTATATTGGTTCTCATCAGGGCAAGTCCGGGTGTTCAGTGCCATCCTATTGGGCCCTGACCTGGTATTCAGAGCCATCCTCACTACTCCAGCCCAGGTATTCACAGTCGTTCTCATCAGGGCCTTGTACGTGTGCTCATAGTTGTCATCATTAGGTGTTTATGGGTAAGTCCAGGTGTTCAGAGCCATCCTATTAGGCCCAGTTTAGGTGTTCAGAATCATCCTTGTGGTGCCTAGCCTAGAAGTTCCCAGCTGTAATTATCATAGTCAGCCAGGGTTTCCACAGTCATCCTCATCAGGAACAGCCGTGGTGTTCACATCCATGCTCACTGGGCCTAGTTAAGGTATTAGAACCATCTTAATCATCAGGGCCAGATCAGGTGGTAATGGCAGTTCTCTTTAGTGCCAGCCCAGTTATTCATAGCCATTCTCATTGGAACCAGATAATCTGTTCACAAACATTCTCATTGGGGCCAGCCAAATTATGATAGCCATCCTCATCAGGGCCAGCTCATCTGTTCACAGCTGTCTTCACCGGGGGCAGCATAGGTGTTCACAGCCATCCTCAATGGGTCCAGCCAAGGTTTTCACAGCTGTCCTGATTGGGCCCACCCCAGAGGTTCACAGCTGTCATCATAGGACCCAGCAAAGAAGTACACAGCTGTTCTCATTGAGCTCAGCCCAGGTGGGCCAGTGCCAATTAGTGTGACTATAATACCTTGCCTGGACCCAACTAGCATGGGCAGGAGCAAATTGGCTGACCCCAGTGAGGATGGCTATGAACATCTGGGTTGGTGGCAGTGTGGAAAAATATGAATATCTTGGCTGGCCCCAAAGAGAACCACCGTAAACATCTAGACAGGCCAAAATGAGGAAGTTTTGAAGACAGCCATGAACTCCTGGGCTGGCTACGATGAGGACAGTTGTGAACAACTGAGCTGGGCCAAATTAGGACAGCTGTAAACACTCATGCTAGGCTCAATGAGGACAGCAGTGAACACCTATGGTGGCCAATGAGGTCAGATGTGAACAACTGGGTTGGCCCAATAAGGACAACAGTGAACACTTGGCTTATCCGCATGAGGACAGCTTGGAACATCCGAGCTGATCTTGATAAGGACTACTGTGAATACATAGACTGAACCCAATAACAACAGCTATTAACACCTTGACTAGTTCCCTATGAGAACCACTGTGGACACCTGGGCTTGCCCCCAATGAAGATAGCTATGAACACTTGGGCTGACCTCAATGATGACAACTGTGAACACCTTTGCTGGCACTGATGAGGACCATTGTGAACATGTTGGCTTGCAGTAATGAGGACAGATATGAACGCCTAGGCTGGACCCAGTGGAAAGAGAAGTGAACACCTAAGCTGACCCAACAATGAAAATTGTGAAAAACTGGCTTGGAGCCACTGAGGATAGCTGTGGTCACCTGAGTTTGGCCCAATGAGGACAGCTGTGAACACCTGGGCTAGGCCCAATGAGGACAGCTATGAACATCTGGGCTGGTCCCCAAGACTACAGCTTTGAACAAATGGGCCGACCTTGATGAAGATGGCTGTGTACACCTGGGGTAGGCCCAGTGAGGACAGCAATTAACACTTGGGCTTTGCCTGTATGAAGTAAACTGTGAACACTTGTGCTGACTCCAATGAGCCTGGCTGGGAAGACCTGAACTGGCCCCAATGAGGATGGCTATAATACCTTGGCTGGGCCCAGTGAACATAGATGTGAACACTTAGGCAGGCCCTGATGAGGAGCACTGTGAACACCTAGGCTGGTCCTAATTAGGAAAACTGGGAACACTTGGGCAGGGCCCAGTGAGAATGGGCTATACTCAGTGATGAAAACTGTGAAGAACTGGCCTGGATCCTGTGAGGACGAATATGAACACTTGAGCGTGGACCAGTGAGAAAGGCTTTGAACACCTGGGATGGCCACAATGATGATGGCTGTGAACACCTTGGCTGGCCTCAGCGAGTGTTGCTATAATAGCTTGGCTGGCCCCAATTAACATGGGTGTGAACAAATAGGCTGGACCTAATGAGGATGGCTGTTAACACCTCAGGTGTCTCAGTTGAGGATCACTGTGAACACCTGAGCAGGCTCAGATGAAAATAGCTATGAACACCTAGGCTGGTCCTGATGAAGACAGCTAGGAACACCTGGGTGAGGCCCAGTGAGGATAGCTATTAACACCTGGCTGGCTTTCATGAGGATGGCTGTGAGCACCTGGTCTGGCCACTATTAAACAGTCTCTGGACACCTAAGCTGGGCCCAATGAGGACAGCTATTAACACCTGGGCTGGCCCAATAATGACCGTTGTGAACACTAACCCAGATAAGGATGGCTATGAAAATTTGGGCTGGCATCTAGGTAGATGGCTGTGACCTCCCAGGCTGGCCCCAGTGAGGATGGTTCTAATTCTTTAGCTGGCCTAAAAGAGCATGGATGTGAACACCTGGGCTGGTCCTAATGAAGACAACTATGAATACCTAGGATAACCCCCAATAAAAACAGCTGGGAACACCTGGGATGGCCTTCATTAGGAAGTCTCCAACACCTGGACTGGGCCTAATAGGATGGCTCTGAACACCTGGACTTGCCCTGGTGAGGACCTCTGTAATCACAGTGCTGGGCCCAATGAGGACAACTATTAACACCTGGTCTGAAAACTGGTGAGGAGTGCTCTGAACACTTAGGCTGAACCTGAGGAGGATGGCTGTAAACACCTGACCTGACCTCAATGAGGACAGCTGTGTAAAACTGGGATTGACCTAGTGAGGACAGCTGTGAACACGTAGACTGATCCTACTGGGGACAATGGTGAACATCTAGGCTAAGCCCAATGAAGATAGCTCTGAATACCTGGACATGGCTCCTATGAGATAAAGTGCAAATGCCTGGGCTTGCCCAATGTGGACAGCTATGAATACCTAGGCTGAGCTCAATTATGAAAGCTGTGAACACATGGGCTTGGTCCAGTGAGGACAGTGGTGAACACTCAGGCTGGCCCTCATGAGGACAGCTGTGAACACTTTGTCTGGGCCCCATGAGAACAGCAGTGAATACCTGGGCTGGCCAAAATAAGGTAAAACAACTGAGCTAAACCCAATGAGAATGGCTGTGAACACCTAGGCTAGACACCAAGAAAATAGCTTTGAACACATGAGCTGAGCTCCATTAGGACACCTGTGAATACTTGGCCTGGCACCAGTGAAAACAGCTATGAACAATTGGGCTAGGCTCAGTGAGGATGGCTATAAACACCTATGCTGAACTCCATGAGATCAGCTGTGAACACCTGGCTATAATACCTTGGCTGGCCCCAATTAGCATGAGGGTGAACACATTGGCTGGCCCCAAGAAGAATGACTATGAACACCTGAACTGGCACCATGTGAATGGCTGTGACCACCTGGGCTGGCACCAATGAAAACAGCTGTGAACAACTAAGCTAGGCCCAATATGAATGGCTCTGAACACCCAGGCTTGCACAATAAGGATGACTATCAACACCTCCATTAGCCCCAATGAGGATGGCTGTTAACACCTGGGCTGGCTCTGATAAGGACAACTGTGAACACCCAGCATGAGCCCAATAAGAACAGTGGTGAACACTTAGGCTAGGCCAAATAAGGTCAGCCGTTAAAACCTGGGCTGGCCACAGCAAGGATGGCTGTGAAAACCTGAGCTGGACCCAAAGGAAACACCTATGAAAAACTGGGTTGTGGGGTAGCTGGCAAGATGGCCGAAGAGGAACAATTCCAGTCTGCAGCTCCCAGTGAGATCGACACAGATGACAGATGATTCCTTCATTTCCAACTGAGGTACCCAGTTCATCTCATTGGTACTCGTTGGACAGTGGGTACAGCCCATGGAAGGCAAGCCAAAGCAGGGTGGGGTGTTGCTTCATCTGGGAAGTGCAAGGGGTCAGGGGATTTCCCTTTCCTAGCCATGGGAAGCCTTGAGAGACTGACTGTACCAGGAGGAATGGTGCATTCCGGCCTGGATACTGCACTTTTCCCGCAGTCCTCAAAACCAGCAGACCAGGAGATTCTCTCCTGGCTGTTTTCATTAGGGGTTATGCTAGGTATTCATAGTTGTCTTCATTGGGACCAGCCCAGGTGTTCACATCCATGCTCTTTTAGGCCAGCTAAAGAATTAGAACCATCCTCACTGGGGCCAGCCTGGGAGGTCACAGCCATCTACCTAGATGCCAGCCCAAATTTTCATAGCCATCCTTATCTGGGTTAGTGTTCACAACGGTCATTATTGGGCCAGCCCAGGTGTTAATAGCTGTCCTCATTGGGCCCAGCTTAGGTGTCCAGAGACTGTTTAATAGTGGCCAGACCAGGTGCTCACAGCCATCCTCATGAAAGCCAGCCAGGTGTTAATAGCTATCCTCACTGGGCCTCACCCAGGTGTTCCTAGCTGTCTTCATCAGGACCAGCCTAGGTGTTCATAGCTATTTTCATCTGAGCCTGCTCAGGTGTTCACAGTGATCCTCAACTGAGACACCTGAGGTGTTAACAGCCATCCTCATTGGGTCCAGCCTGGTTCAGTGGGTTCTACCCCAACAGAGCTCAACAAGCTAAGATCCACTGGCTTGAAATTCTCACTGCTCCACAGCAGTTTGAGGTCAACCTGGGATGCTTGAGCTTAGTGGGGGGAGGGGCATCCATCATTGCTGAGGCTTGAGTAGGCGGTTTTACCCTCACAGTGTAAACAAAGCTGCCGGGAAGTTCAAACTGGGCGGAGCCCACTGCAGCTCCCTGGGACAAAACACCTGTGGGAAGACTGTGGGTACAGCTTCAACCGACTTAAACGTCCCTGCCTGACAGCTCTGAAGAAAGCAGCAGTTCTCCCAGTACAGCGTTCAAGCTCTGATAAGGGACAGACTGCCTCCTCAAGTGGGTCCCTGACCTCCAATGTGTCCAGACTGGGAGATACCTCCCAGTAGGGGCTGACAGACACCTCATACAGGAGCGCTCTAACTGATATCTAGGGGGTGCCCCTCTGGGATGAAGCTTCCAGAGGTAGGAACAGGGAGCAATCTTTGTTCTGCAGCCTCCACTGGTGATACCCAGGAAAACAGAGTCTGGAGTGGACCTCTGGCAAACTCCAACAGACCTGCAGCAGAGGGGCCTGACTGTTAGAAGGAAAACTAACAAACAGAAAGGAATAATATCAACATCAACAACATCAAAGACGAAAGGTAGATAAATCCACGAAGATGACGAGAAACCAACACAAAAAGGCTGAAAATTCCAAAAACCAGAACGCCTCTTCTCCTCCAAAGTATCATAACTCCTCGCCAGCAAGGGAACAAAACTGGACAAATAATAAGTTTGACGAATTGACAGAAGTAGGCTTCAGAAGGTGGTTAATGATAAACTCCTTTGAGCTAAAGAAGCATGTTCTAACCCAATGCAGAGAAGCTAAGAACCTGGATAAAAGTTTGGATGAGTTGCTAACTAGAATAACCAGCTTACAGAAGAACATAAATGACCTGATGGAGCTGAAAAACACAGCACAAAAACTTCTTGAAGCATACACAAGTATCAGTAGCTGAACTGATCAAGTGGAAGAAAGTATATCAGAGATTGAAGATCAACTCAATGAAATAAAGTTAGAAGACAAGATTAGAGAAAAAAGAGTGAAAAGAAATGAACAAAGACTCCAAGAAATATGGACAATGTGCAAAGACCAAATCTACATTTGATTGGTGCACCTGAAAGTGACGAGGAGAATGGAACCAAGTTGGAAAACACTCTTCAGGATATTATCCAGGAGAACTTCCTCAACCTAGCAAGGCAGACCAACATTCAAATTCAGGAAATACGGAGAACACCACAAAGATATTCCTCGAAAAGAGCAGCCCCAAGACACATAATTGTCAGGTTCACCAAGGTTGAAATGAAGAAAAAAATGTTAAAGGCAACCTGAGAGAAAGGTTGAGTTACCCACAAAGGGATGCCAATCAGACTAACAGCTGATCTGTTGGCAGAAACCCTACAAGCCAGAAGACAGTGAGGGGAAAATTTTCAACATTC
This sequence comes from Homo sapiens, assembly GCF_000001405.40. Lineage (NCBI taxonomy): Eukaryota > Metazoa > Chordata > Mammalia > Primates > Hominidae > Homo > Homo sapiens. Next base: position 28,052,558 of record NC_000019.10, read on the forward strand.
TTAAAGAAAAGAATTTTCAACTGAGAATTTCATATCCAGCCAAACTAAGCTCCGTAAGTGAAGGAGAAATAAAATCCTTTCAGACAAGCAAATGCTGAGAGATTTTGTCACCACCAGGCCTGCCTTACAAGAGCTCCTGAAGGAAGCACTAAACATGGAAAAGAACAACCGGTACCAGCCACTGCAAAAACATACCAAATTGTAAAAAGCATCAACACTATGAAGAAACTTCATCAACTAGTGGGCAAAATAACCAGCTAGCATCATAATGACAGGACCAAATTCACACATAACAATATTAACCTTAAATGTAAATGGGCTAAATGCCCAAAGACACGGACTGGGAAATTGAATAAAGAGGCAAGACCAATTGGTGTGCCCATCTCACATGCAAAGACACAAATAGGCTCAAAATAAAGGAATGGAGGAAGATTTACCAAGAAAATGGAAGGAAAAAAAAATTAAGGGTTGCAATCCTAGTCTCTGATAAAACAGACTGTAAACCAACAAAGATCAAAAAATACAAAGAAGGGCATTACATAATGGTAAAGAGATCAATGCAGCAAGAAGAGCTAACTATCCTAAATATATATGCACCCAATACAGGAGCACCCAGATTCATAAAGCAAGTTCTTAAAGACCTACAAAAAGCTGGAGAGGATGTGGAGAAATAGGAATACTTTTACACTGTTGGTGGGACTGTAAACTAGTTCAACCATTGTGGAAGTCAGTGTGGCGATTCCTCAGGGATCTAGAACTAGAAATACCATTTGACCCAGCCATCCCATTACTGGGTATATACCCAAAGGACTATAAATCATGCTGCTGTAAAGACACATGCACATGTATGTTTATTGCGGCATTATTCACAATAGCAAAGACTTGGAACCAACCCAAATGTCCAACAATGATAGACTGGATTAAGAAAATGTGGCACGTATACACCATGGAATACTATGCAGCCATAAAAAATGATGAGTTCATGTCCTTTGTAGGGACATGGATGAAATTGGAAACCATCATTCTCAGTAAACTATCGCAAGAACAAAAAACCAAACACCGCATATTCTCACTCATAGGTGGGAATTGAACAATGAGATCACATGGACACAGGAAGGGGAATATCACACTCTGGGGACTGTTGTGGGGTGGGGAGAGGGGGGAGGGATAGCATTGGGAGATATACCTAATGCTAGATGACGAGTTAGGGGGTGCAGCACACCAGCATGGCACATGTATACATATGTAACTAACCTGCACAATGTGCACATGTACCCTAAAACTTAAAGTATAATAATAAAAAATAAATAAATAAATAAATAAATAAATAAATAAGACCTACAAAGAGACTTAGACGTCTGCAAAATAATAGTGGGAGACTTTTACACCCCACTGTCAATATTGGACATATTAACGAGACAGAAAATTAGCAAGGATATTCAGGACTTGAACTCAGCTCTGGACCAAGTGGACCTAATAGACATCTGCAGAACTCTCCACTCGAAATCAACAGAATATACATTTTTTTCAGCACCAAATCACACTTATTCTAAAATTGACCAAGTAATTGGAAGTAAAACACTCCTCAGCAAATGCAAAAGAATGGAAATCATAACAGTCTCTCAGACCACAGTGCAATCAAATTAAAACTCAGGATTAAGAAATTCACTCAAAACCACACAACTACATGGAAACTGAACAACCTGCTCCTGAATGACTACTGGGTAAATAATGAAATGAAGGCAGAAATAAAGATGTTCTTTGAAACCAATGAGAATAAGACACAACATACCAGAATCTCTGGGACACATTTAAAGCAGTGTGTGAGGGAAATTTATAGCACTAAATGCCCACAAGAAAAAGCAGGAAAGATCTGAAATTGTCACCCTAACGTCAAAATTAAAAGAAGTAGACAAGCAAGAGCAAACAATTTCAAAAGCTAGTAGAGGACAAGAAATAACTAAGATCAGAGCAGAACTGAAGGAGATAGATACACGAAAAACCCTTCAAAAAATCAACGAATCCAGGAGCTGGTTTTTTGAAAAGATCAACAAAATACAGAGACTGCTAAGCAGACTAATAAAGAAGAAAAGAGAGAAGAATCAAATAGATGCAATAAAAAATGATAAATGAGATATCACCACCAATTTGACAAAAATACAAACTACCATCAGAGAATACTATAAACACCTCTATGCGAAAAACTAGAAAATCTAGAAGAAATGGATAAATTCCTGGACACATACACCCTCCCAAGACTAAACCAGGAAGAAGTAGAATCCCTGAATAGATCAATAACAAGTTCTGAAATTGAGGCAGTAATTAACAGCCTACCAACCAAAAAAAAGCCCAGGACCAGATGGATTCACAGCCGAATTCTACCAAGGGTACAAAGAGGAGCTAGTACCATTGCTTCTGAAACTATTCCACACAATAGAAAAAGAAGGAATCCTCCCTAAACTCATTTTATGAGGCCAGCATCATCCTGATACCAAAACCTGGCAGAGATACAACAAAAATAAAGGAAAATTTCAGGCCCATATCCTTGATGAACATCAATGCGAAAATCCTCAATCAAATATTGGCAAACCCAATTCAGCAGCACATCAAAAAGGTTATCCACCATGATCAAGTGGGCTTCATCCCTGGGATACAAAGCTGGTTCAACATATGCAAATCAATAAACGTAATCCATCACATAAACAGAACTAATTACAAAAACCACATAATTATCTCAATAGATGCAGAAAAGGCCTTTGACAAAATTCAACAGCCCTTCATGCTAAAAACTCTCAATAAACTAGGTATTGATGGAAAGTATCTCAAAATAATAAGAGCTATTTATGACAAACCTACAGCTAATATCATACTGAATAGGCAAAAACTGGAAGCATTCCCTTTGAAAACTGACACAAGACAAGGACGCCCTCTCTCACTTCTCCTTTTCAACATAGTATTGGAATTTCTGGCCAGGGCAGTCAGACAAGAGAAAGAAATAAAGGGTATTCAAACAGGAAGAGAGGAAGCATATTATCTCTGTTTGCAGATGACATGATTGTATATTTAGAAAACCCCATTGTCTCAGCCCAAATCTCCTTAAGCTGATAAGCAACTTCAGCAAAGTCTCAGGATACAAAATCAATGTGCAAAAATCACAAACACTCCTATACACAAATAACAGACAAACAGAGAGCCAAATCATGAGTGAATTCCAGTTCACAATTGCTACAAAGAGAATAAAAAACCTAGGAATACAACTTGCAAGGGATGTGAAGGACCTCTTCAAGGAGAACTACAAACCACTGCTCAAGGAAATAAAAGAGGACACAAACAAATGGAAAATCATTCCATGCTCATGGATAAGAAGAAACAATATCGTGAAAATGTCCATCCTGCCCAAAATAATTTATAGATTTAATGCTATCTCCATCAAACTACCATTGACTTTCTTCACAGAATTGGAAAAAAACTACTTTAAACTTCATATGGAACCAAAACAGAGCCCACATAGCTAAGACAATTCTAAGCAAAAACAACAAAACTGGAGGCATCATCCTACCTGACTTTATACTACAAGGCTACAGTAACCAAAAGAGCATGGTACTGGTACCAAAACAGATATATAGACCAATGGAACAAAACAGAGGCCTCAAAAATAACACCACACATCTACAACCATCTGATCTTTGAAAAATCTGACAAAAACAAGCAATGGGGAAAGAATTCCCTATTTAATAGATGGTGTTGGGAACACTGGAATGCAGAAAGCTGAAACTGGATCCCTTCCTTACACCTTATACAAAAATTTATTCAAGATGGATTAAAGACTTAAACATAAAACCTAAAACCATAAAAACCCTCGAAGAAAACCTGGCCAGTACCTTTCAGGACACAGGCATTGGCAAAGCCTTCATGACTAAAACACCAAGGGCAATGGCAACTAAAGCCAAAATTGACGAATAGAATCTAATTAAACTAAAGAGCTTCTGCACAGCAAATGAAACTATCATCAGAGTGAACAGGAAACTTACAGAATGGGAGAAAATTTTTGAAATCTATCCATCTGACAAAGGACTCATATCCAGAATTTACAAATAACTTAAATTTACAAGAAAAAAAACAAACATCCTCATCAAAAAGTGGGCAAAGGATATGAACAGGCATTTCTCAAAAGAAGACATTTATGCAGCCAACAAACATGAAAAAATGCTCATCATCAATGGTCATTAGAGAAATGCAAATCAAAACCACAATGGGATATCATCTTGTGCCAGTTAGAATGGCGATCGTTAAAAAGTCAGGAAACAACAGATGCTGGAGAGGATGTGGAGAAATAGGAATGCTTTTACACTGTTAGTGGGAGTGTAAATTAGTTCAACCATTGTGGAAGACAATCTTTGTTGTTCTGCAGCCTCCACTGGTGGCCATTCCTCAAGGATCTAGAACTAGAAATACCATTTGACCCAGCCATCCCATTACTGGGTATATACCCAAAGGATTATAACTCATTCTACTGTAAAGACACATGCACATGTATGTTTATTGCAGCACTGTTCACAATAGCAAAGACTTGAAACCAACCCAAATGCCCATCAATGATAGACTGGATAAAGAAAATGTGGCACATATACACTGTGGAATACTATACAGCCATAAAAAGGGTGAGTTCATGTCCTTTGCAGGGACATGGATAAAGCTGGAAACCATCATTCTCAGCAAACTAACACAAGAACAAAAAACCAAATACTGCAAGTGGGAATTGAACAACAAGAACACATGGACACAGGGAGGGGAACATTATGCACTGAGGCCTGTGGGGGGGTGGGGGGTGAGGGGAGGGATAGCATTAGGTGAAATACCTAATGTAGATGACAGGTTGATGGGTACAGCACATTCTGCACATGTACCCTAGAACTTAAAACAAACAAACAAATGAATAAACAAACAAAAAAAAACTGGGTTGGACACAAGGAGGATGGCTGAGAACACCTGAGCTGGCCCTGATGAGAATGGATGTGATCACCTGGGCTGCCCTGATGAGGGTGGCCCTACGATATTGGCTGCACCCATTGAGCATGAATGTGAACACCTAGGTTGTCCCTGACAAGGACCACAGTGAACACCTAAGCTGCCCCCGATAAGGAAAGCCTGGTCTGGCCCCCATGAGGAAGGCTTTGATCACCTAGGAAAGGCACAATAGGATGGTTGTGAACACCTGAAGTTGCCCTGAGATGGACCTCTATACAACTATGTTTATAGTCATGAAAACATGTGAACTATAAACATGTGAACTGGGTCAGAGAAGTATCACGGTGAACACTTAGGCTGGACCCAGTGAGGAGAGCTATGAACCCCTGGCCTGGCACAATGAGAATGTCTATGAAAACCTGGGCTTTGCCCAGAGAGGACGGCTGTGAAAACCTGGATTGACCCCTAAGAAGAGGCTTGGAACATGTTGGCTGGCCTGCTTGAAGGCGGCTATGATACCTTGGCCAGCCCTAATTTCCATAGCTGTGAACAGGAGGACTGGCCCTGATGAGGATGGCTATGAACATTTGGGATGGTGATAATGTGGATTGTTGTGATGGGCTGAGCTGGCTCAAGTGAGGACCACTGTGAACACCTGCAAAGGCCCAGATAAGAACAGCTATGAAAACCTGGGATGCTCCCAGTGGAGACAGCTATGAACACCTGGGCTGGGCTGAGTGTGGACAACAGTGAAGACCTGGGTTAGCTCAGATGAGGACAGCTATGAATACCCTGCCAGGCCCCGATGAGGGTGACCTTAATACCTTGATTGACACCAGTGATCCACATTAGGACAGCTGTGAACACTTGTGCTGGACCCAATAACTACATCAGTGAACATTTCTTGGGGCTGGACCAGATGAGGACAATTGTGGACACCTGGGCTGGGCTCAAAAGAATAACTGTATATTAGGGCTGGGTATAACAAAGACAGCTTTGAACATGTGGGCTGTACCCTATGAGGAGAGCTTTGAACACCTGGACTGACACCTATTAGAATAGCTGTGAATACCTCCACTGGGACTAGGTCTCTATATGAACTACTTTGTACACCTGTCCTGGCCCAATGAAAATAGCACTAAACATTTACATTGGCCCTCATGAAGAGATCTTTGAACACCTGGGCTTTCTCTGATGATGATGGCTGTGAACACCTGGGCCATCCTCACTGGGCACAGCCAAGTTTTTCATAGCTGTCCTAACTGAACCCAGCCTAGGTGTTCACAGCTGTCATCATTGGGTGTAACCTGGGTGTTCACATCTACCCTTATTTGGGCCTAGCCCAGGTATTCAAGGTTTCCTCATTGGGCCCAGCACAAACATACACAACTATGGTTGTGGGCCCAGCCCTGGTATTCATAGCCATTGACATCGGGGCCAGCCCAGGTGTACATGACCATTCTTTCCAGGGCCAGCTAAGGTGTTCATGGCTGTCCTCATGGGGCCAGCCCAGGTGTTCACAGCTGTTCTCATAGGTCCTATCCCAAGTATTCACTGCTGTTCTAATGCGGCCTAGTTCAGGTGTTCACTGCTGCCCTCATTGTACCCAGCCCACATGATCACAGATGTCCTAATAGGGCCCAGCCCAGGTATTCACTCTAAAACCTGGCCAGGGCCCAATGAGGACAGCTGTGTTCATCTAGGCTGGGCCCCATGAAGGCAGCCTGGAACCCCTGGCTTGACCCAGGGAGGATTGCTGTGAACACCTGGGCTGCCCCAATGAGGGTGGCTATACTATAGGTTGGCTGGCCCCAAAGATCATGGCTGTGAACACATTGGCTGATCCTGATGGGGATGGCTATGAACACCTGGGCTCAGCCCAATGAAGATGACGACAAACACCTTGGCTGGCCCCAATGAGAATGACAATGAACAATTTCCTGGGCCAAAGGAGGACAGCTGTGAACACATGAGGTTGGCCCAATGTGGACAGGAGTGAATACCTGGTTGTCCTAGATGGGGACAGCTGTGAACACCTAGGCTTGCCCACATTAGGACAGCTATGAACACCTGGGATGGGCCCAGTGACACTAGCAGTGAATTCCTCAGCTGGATTTGACAAGGATGGTTATCAACACCTGGACTGGCCCCAACCTAGATGGCTATGAACACCTGGGCATGGCCCAAAAGCTTAACTGAGTACATCTGGCCTGGGCACAATGAGGAAAACTTTGAAACATCTGGGCTGGTCCCTGTGAGGACAGATTTGAACATTTGGACTTACCCTGATGAGGACAGCTGTGAATACTTTGACTGGCCCTGAAGAGAACAGCCATGAACACCTGGCCTGGGCCCAAGGAGAACAGCTATGAGAAAACCTGTGACTGGCCAAGAAAGGACCACTGTGAACACCTTGCCTGGTTTCACTGAGGGTGGTATCCTATTTGGGCTGGCCCCAATTAGCATGAGTGTGAACAAATTGGCTGGCTCCACTAAGAATTGCTATGAACATCTGAGCTGGTGCTAATGTGGACAGCTGTAACCACCTGGATTGGCCCCACTGAGGACCAAATGTACATTTATCCTTTTGGGCCCAGCCCAAGTGTTCATAGCCACCTAAGCTGAGGCTACCCCAGGTGTTCATAACCATCCTCATCAGGTCCAGCCCCTTGAGGTGTTCACTGCTATAGTCATTGGGTCCAGCCCAGGTGTTCATAGCCGTCCTAATGTGGACAGGCCCAGGTGTTCACAGCTGTTCTCATCTGGGACAGCCAGGTATTCACTCCTATTCACATTGGGTCAACCTCACGTGTTTACAGCTGTCCTCTTTGGACCCAGGAAATTGTTCATTGCCATTCTCATTGGAGCTTCCCAGATATTCAAAGCCATTCTCATCAAGGCATATCTGGTTTTTAAAGCTGTCTGCATTGGCCCTGACAAAGTATTCACAGCTTTTAAAATATTGGCCAGTGCAGGTGTTCACAGCTGTCCTCATTAGAGCCAGCACAGGTTCTTACAGCCATCCTCATCCGAGCCAGCCCAGGAATTTTCAGTCCTTCACATGGGGACCCAGTCCAGTGTTTAATAGTTGTCCTCACTGGGCTGAGCCCAGATGTTCACAGCCATCCAAATACTCATTAGGGCAAGTCCAGATGTTCAGGGCCATCCTATTCGGCCCTGCCCTGGTGTTCAGAGACATCCTCACTGGCCCAGCCCAAGTCTTCACAGTCGTTATCGTAGGGGACTTGTACATGTGTTCATAGCTATCATCATTAGGTGTTTATAGTGGTTTTCATCTGGGTGAGTCCAGGTGTTCAGCACTATCCTATTGGGCCCAGTTCAGGTGTTCAGAACCATCCTCAAGATGGCTACCTTAGGTGTTCCCAGCTATACTTACCATGGCCAGCCTGGGTTTCCACAGTCATCCTTATCAGGAACACCCCTGGTGTTCACATCCATGCTCACTGGGCCTAGCCAAGGCATTAGTGCCATCTTCATCATTGAGGCCTGACCAGGTATTAGGGCAGTTTATTTTAGTGCCAGCCCAGGTATTCATAGCGATTCTTATCGGGACCAGCCAATGTGTTTACAGACCTCCTCATTGGGACCAGCCAAATTATTATAGCCACCCTGATCAAGGCCAGCCAATTTGTTCACAGCCATTCTTCTCAGGGTCAGCCAACTTGTTTACAGCTGTCCAATGGGCAACCTAGGTGTTCACAGCTGTCCTCATTGTGCCCAGCCAAGATTTTTATAGTTGCCCTGATTGGACCCACCCCAGAGGGTCACAGCTATCATCATAAGACCCAGCTCAGATGTACACAGCTGTTCTCATTGGGCTCAGCCCAGGTGGGCCAGTGCCAATGAGTGTGACTATAATACCTTACCTGGACCCAATTAGCACGGGCAGGAACAAATTGGCTGATCCCAGTGAGGATGGCTATGAACATCTGGGTTGGTGGCAGTGTGGAAAAATATGACTATCTTGGCTGGCCCCAAAGAGAACCACTGTAAACATCTGGGCAGGTCTAGAAGAGGAAAGCTCTGAAGACAGCCATGAACTCCTGGGCTGGCTATGATGAGGACAGTTGTGAACAACTGAGCTGGACCAAATTAGGACAGCTGTAGACACTCATGCTAGGCTCAGTGAGGACAGCAGTGAACACCTATGGTGGCCAGTGAGGTCAGATGTGAACACCTGGGCTGGCCCAATAAAGAAAATAATAAACACATAGGCTTGTTCCCATGAGGGCAGCTTTGAACACCTGAGCTGATCTTGTTGAGGACAACTGTGAACACATAGGCTAAGCCGTATAACGACAGCTATTAACACCTTGACTAGGCCCCTGTGAGAACCACTGTGCCACTGTGAACACCAGGGCTAGCGCCAATGAGGATGGCTATGAACACTTGGGCTGACCTTGATGATGACAACTGTGAATGGTACCAACTTTGCTGGCACTGATGTGGACCACTGAAAACATGTCAGCTTGTAGTGATGACAGATGTGAATGCCTAGGCTGGGCCCATTAAAGAGATCAGTGAACACCTAAGCTGACCCAGTGATGAAAGCTTTGAACACTTGGCCTGAGGCCAATCAGGATAGCTGTGATCACCTGAGTGATCGCAATGAGTACAAAGCTGCCCAATGAGCACAGCTTTGAACAACTGGGTTGACCTTGATAAGGATGGCTGTGCATACCTGGGCTGGGCCCAGTAAGGCATCAATTAACACCTGGGCTTTGCCTATATGAAGACAACTGTGAATACTTGTGCTGGCTCTCATGAGCGTGGCTGGGAACGCCTGAACTGGCTCTGATGAGGACGGCTACAATACCTTGGCTGGGCCCTGTGAGCATAGATGTGAACACTTGAGCAGGCCCTGATGAGGACCACTGTGAACATCTAGGCTGGCCCTGATTAGGAAAGGTGGAAACACCTGGGCTGGGCCCAGTGAGGATGACTGTGAACATTTAGGCTGTACCCAATGAGGATAGCTGTGAAGAACTGGCCTGGGTCCCATGAGGACAGGTAAGAATGCCTGGGCTTGGCCCTGTGAGGACAGCTTTGAACACCTGAGACAGCCCAGATGATGATGGCAGTGAACACCTTGGCTGGTCCCAGTGAGTGTTGCTATAATAGCTTGGCTATACCCGATTAGCGTAAGTGGGAACATATAGGCTGGACCCAATGAGGATGGCTATGAACAACTTAGCTAGGCCCAATGAGGATGGCTGTCAACTCCTCAGCTGGCTCTGATGAGGACCACTGTGAACATTTGGGCAGGCCCAGATGAAAATAGCTATGAACACCTACGCTAGTCCTGATGAAGACAGCTAGGAACACCTGGGTGAGGCCCAGTGAGGACAGATATGAAACCTGGGCTTGCTCTCATGAGGATGGCTGTGAGCACCTGGTCTGGCCACTATTAAACAGTCTCTGAACACCTAAGCTGGGCCCAGTAAGGACAGCTATTAACATCTGTGCTGCCCAATGATGACAGCCGTGAACACTAAGCCAGATAAGGATGGCTATGAACATTTGGGGTGGCATCAAGGTAGATGGCTGTGACCCGCCAGGCTGGCCCTGATAAGGATGGCTCTAATTCCTTGGCTGGCCCAAATGAGCATAGATGTGAACACCTGGGCTGGTCCCAATGAAGACAACTGTGAATACCTAGGATAGGCCCGATAAAAACAGCTGGGAACACCTGGGATGGCCTTCATTAGGATGTCTCCAACACCTGGACTGGGCCCAATAGGATGGCTCTGAACACCTGGACTTGCCCTGATGGGAACCTCTGTAACCACAGTGCTGGGCCCAATGAGGACAGCTATTAACATCTGGTCTGAAAACTAGTGAAGAGTGCTCTGAACACTTAGGCTGGACCTGATGAGGATGGCTGTGAACACCTGACCTGACCTCAATGAGGGCAGCCATGTAAAACTCGGACTGGCCTAGTGAGTACGGCTGTGAATGCCTGGGCTGATCCTGATGAGGACGACAGTGAACATGTAGGCTAAGCCCCATGAATACAGCTCTGAAAACCTGGACATTGCTCCTATGAAAATGATTGTGAACTCCCGGGCAGGCCTCAGTGCCCTGTGGACCTGACTCTGGGGAGACCAAAGTAGCCCTCTGAGACCTGCACCCTGCCCCAGAGAGTCCCCGCATCCTCACCTCTGTGCCTTCCCAGTGACCCCCGCACCTCTGCCTGTGTTGCAGATTCCTCTAACATGAAAGAGTCATGATGTGGGGATGTCACCCTGGCCCAGAAAGGATACAAATCATGATGCTCTGGAAGATTTTATTTAGCAATGTCTTGTATATAGCTGATGTTATATTTGTTGTTCTTTTATTTGTTGTTTTTATAGTGGCTTTATTTGTTACGTCATTATATTTGTCTTGCTATATTATTTGTTGTCTTCTATATTTGTTTAAAGTTACATATTAAGTAATAGTTATCCCCTTCTAATTGCTTATAGAATATTTTCCTGTGAAATGAAACCCATGATAGGAAATCTCCCTCAGCAGAGCTAGGACTCACTGAATTAGAAAGCAGTCCCTCCAGTGACTGCCACTCTCTCTCTTATGTCTTCCTAATTTCATCTTAATTGGCCGAAGTACCAGCAAATACACCCTCACTCATTGTCTTTACATCAGTGTCCTTCGAGAGATTGTTGTCTGAAATCTGTTCCTTCCTCTGGAAGGGATCCTGGGAACAACCTTCCCCACGGTCTCCACAGTGACTTAGCTGTCAGGGCCTTTCCTGCCCCATGGTCAGCACAGCTGGTGTGAGCTTCCTGGCTCACTGGCGCTTTCCCTGAGTGTCTTCAGAATTTTTCTCCATTTTTTTCCAGCATAGAGTATTTCTTGCTGAGAGGTGGATGAGAGTCTAATTTTCACTTCTTTGTGTATTACTCACTCTTCTAGTCTAGATGCTTTAAAAATGCGTTTTGTCTTCAAGTTCAGGAGTTTACTCAAATATCATTTGCTGTTAGCCATTTCACATCAATCCTCAGTATTCTTTTGAAGAAACACTTACAAAACATTGTTTTTATTTTCAGAAAAAATTGGAATGATCGTTGTTCATATTTCCTTGTGTCTTTGCTTTGATTGTTCTCGTTCAGGCACCTTAATCATGCATCCATTTGGCTACTCTCCCTAAACATTTATAACCTCTTGCTCATTTTCTTTTGAAATATTCTCCTCACTTTAACCTTCTGTTTCTTAGAAGGCAGAAGCTGTCATTGTGTTGTCTCTAGTTTACATTTTATAGCTGAAGAGTGTTTCCAATTATTTTTCTTAGTCTTTTTGGAGTTTCATCCATGCATTGCTCTATTTCTTTAATTCTGATGAATGGTGTCCTTTTGTGTTTGATATTATTTTCTTAATGCCTTTGATCTCATTGTTGAAAAGGCCACAGTCCAGTGGGTGAGTTACATTGAGGTGGGAACTTTCACATTTTCTAGTGGTTTTACTCTATAAGTATTCATTTTGTCTATTACATGTCTTTGTATGAGAATTGGCATCAATATATTTCTGTTGCTGATTTTTATATGGATTTTGTCTTCATGAATTTGTAATGAGCATTATAATTCAGAAACCTTTTCCAACCTCATAGAGCTTCTCTCTCTGAAATCTCTGTGCAGTGCTCACAACTATGACACCGGTTTCCTGGAATTTCCTGCCTCTGTGCTTCTCCCCTTCTGTAACAGGAGCCTCCTCCCTGGTTTCCTCCACTGCACTCCAATCCTCTCTTTGGAACCTGCAACTGAATATTGCTCCTAAATGGGAAGACTGTCTTGCAAGGGGACAACTGCCACAATATTGCCAAAATGTAAGCTGATTCACTTTAAGTGCATATTCACTTTCCAGATCATTTTGTTCTTTTCTGTTATATATCTGAAAACCGGTTTCTTCTCTGACTTATTTTATTTATTTTTATTTGTCAGTATTTTATTCTTATGATTATCAATTTTTACTTTTTTGTGTATTTAAGATTTTTTGTATTTTGATGTTTATATTTGAGTGATTTTAGACTTAATTTTCACATGATTTTAGATGTATCTCTTTTCAAAGTGATTTGTTGTTTGCTGTGGGGATTTATCTTTAGGTATTGGGTGGTTGTTATTTATTTTGAATCCAGTAGATTCCCAGACATGCAGGGTCATGTCTAACTGGGCCACAAACTCTTTCTGCCTCTTGACATTTTCAGGCATAGACAACAGGCTCTTCACAGTGCACTGTGGATGTCACAAAATCCCCATAAATTGTCCTTAAATTATTGCCCATGTTTTATTAAAAAGTATTATTTAGGAAGTAACCTCTGAAAAGAAAGAACTCTTTTAATTTTCTTTACTAATATTTAAAAATTTAGTCCACATATAAAAGCATGTCTGTCATATTATGCCCCAAATCCTCTTATTGAGCAATTGGAAAACATATTCCTAAGCTGAGGCTTACAGTCATTGCTCGTTATCTGCAGGGGTTGGTTTCAGGACCCCCACAGATTCCAGCATCTGACAATGCTCAAGTCCCTGGTATAAAGTGGCACAGCATCTGCATATAAGCCATGCCCGTGCTCCTGTGCACTTGAAATCATCTCAGATCTCTCCTCAACCCCATAGGCAGGAACTGCTATGCAAATAGTTGTTATCCTCTCTGCCAGCCCCTACCTCCACCTACCTTGTCTTATGCCTCTCTTCCATGTGACTTTTCCTGAGCTGCATTTTTTAATATGAAATAAACCTGTACATATGAGTAGAGTGCTTTTCTGAGTTGTCTGATTCATTCTGGTGAACCTGAGGGAGGTGTTGTGGGAACTCCTGAATTGGTAGTCTGCCAGGAAGAAGCCTCGGCAGCTAGGCCACCCCATTGGTTGCTGGCATCTAAGTGAGGACAGTGCTGTGGGACCGAGCACATAATCATAGGCCTGCTGGCCATTTGTATGTCATTTTTTGAGAAATGTCTCTTCAGGTCATTTGACCATTTTTAAAGAGATTATTTTGTTTTGCTGTTGACTCGAGTTCCTTATATAGTCTGGATATTAATTTCTCATTCGATGGATAGTTTGCAAATATTTTCTCCCATTCTATAGGTCATCTCGTCACTCCCTTGATTCTTTGCTGTGCAGAAGTTTGTTAGCTTGTTTTGGTCCTATTTATGTATTTTTGCTCTTCTCACCTATGGTTTTTTTTAAAAATCTCAGCCCAGACCAATGTCTAGAGGAATTTCTCAATGTTTTCTTTTAGTAGTGTTATATTTTCAGGTTTTCCATTAAAGTCTCTAATCCATCTGGATTTGCATTTTGCATATAATAAGAGATAGGGGCCCAGTTTTTTCTCTACCTTTGAATGTTCAGTTTTCCCCTTATTTATTGAAGAGACTCTTCTTTCTTTAATGTATGTTCCTGGTGCAGGTAGGAACGGAGTGCTAGTAGGAGCTGGGTGCATGGCTCGAGTAGGAGCAGGAGCAGAGTGCTGGTAGGAGCTGGGTGCACAGCACAGGTAGGAGTTGGGCACGGGTAGGAGTGGGGTGCTGGTAGAAGGTGGGTGCACGGCATGGGTATGTACGGAGTGCTAGTAGGAGCCGGATGCATGGCATGGGTAGCAGCGGAGTGTCACCGCATGCCTCCCTGGAGGACCTGTCGGGACTGTGGCCCCAATGGCAGCCTGGCCCTGCCTCAATGGCCTGGGCTCTGAACTGCAGGATCTCACAGGTGGAAGAAACCTTGGAGACCCGCAGCCCCCAGGGCCATGGTGGCTCCCAACAGGGGAGGGCCACCCAAAGCCCCCTCCCATGGTGCCCTTGCCAAGGAGTCCCTGGATGGGCCTGTTTAGACTCCTTTGATGATGGGGCCCCCATGACCCCAGGACAGCCCTGACCATCTCTTACTCACTGTTGACCTTCCTTCAGACCAGGAGATGCACAATATTTGCCAATAGGAATCTCCCATCTTCCCTTAATTCAACTGTTTCACTGACATCCCACAAGCACCACCCCCCATCAGGTGCCCTTAACCTGTGTCCTCGACCCCATTGACCTTCAGAAGGCCTCACCCATCCAGTGGCTCCATGGCAGAACAGGTCTCCCAGAGCCCAGGCCATGGAGCAGAGCCTCCCGTGGCACCAACAGTGGCAGCAGTACCTGTGCATGCTCCCATGTCCTGAGCATGGACTCTGGACAGAGCAAGGTCAGGCTGCAAGGCTGTCTTTAGTCAGGGCCTGACCCTAGGACAGTGTGGAAACACTGGAATGGTTTCAGAAAGGGATGGACAGCATTGGATTTGAGGTCCTTAAAAGTGACTTTGGGTACTGTGTCGAGAGTGGATGGACTGGCAGGAGTGAGAGGCTCAGGGCAAGTGAGGAGGCAGCTGAAGAACTCAAGAGGCAGTCAAAGGGGGACTCGAGGGTGGGAGGAACAGGCACATCTGTTCACAGCTGTGCCTCAGAAGCCCTGTGTTTCACACACTTGCCGATTTCAGAAAGGGCCATCCATCATTCTCATGAAGTGTCTACTCATTCTGAAAGAACTCATCTAGATCTTGAGTGGCTGCCTGTTCTTTCCCCTTAGAGTTACAATTATCATTTTCATTTACTTCCAACTAATAAATGCAAGTGGCTGATTCTGATGAGACCTGTTTCATTTCCTGCTTGAAAGTCTAGAGCAAGAATACTTAGCTCAGAGACTGAAAGTCTAGAGCAAGAATACTTAGCTCAGAGACTGATCTGGATGAGGCTGGGGAAGGAGACCACCAGAGCTTAAACGAAGCCACTAAAAGCAGTAAGAGAAACAACTGTGAAGCCTGTGAGAAAAGCAGGGTGTGTTTCTGATAAGGAAAGGTATTAAGTGTGAAGGAAATGTTTTTATTAAAGAAAAAGTACTTTGTCCTTAACTAAAATGATTCGTTACTCCAGAATGAAAAAAAAAAAAGAGTAGGGCAAAATATAAATGGACATAGAAAGTTGTAGAAGGTTTGTGGAAGGCAAATGCATATGTGGTGAAGCCAGTAAGATTAGATACATTTATTTATAAAATTCATTAAATGTGGCCAATAGTGTACCGATGCAAAACTAGAATTTCTATTTCTGTCTGTTAAAACAATGGTTTCTTAGATTGTTGGTCGGCTTTTTAAAAAGATTGTAAAAAGTTTTTCTTTACCTTTTAAATTATTTGCCCAGGAAACAAAGATTTTGTATCTAATCATCATAATTTCTTGGGCTTAATGTTAACCTTTATCAGGTCCTTGCTTATGTAAGAGAATTAGTGCTCCTTACTTTTAAAAGTGCCTCTCAAAAGCAGATCCTAGATGAAACTTTCTTCTCCAATGGTCTTGAGATTTCCCAGAGGGATTTAGAAAAACCTGAGAGAATTTGTTCTTTCATCTCATGAGGAGATATGTTCAAAATAATGTGGTTTATTTGATAAGTTCAGTTGCCTGGAAAGATGATGTCAAATAAGAAACAAAAACCTTCCCTTGGTTTTATTTGCATGGGTAGAAAGTATTAACATAAATATTTCAGAAATTGTATGAAATTCCTAGAAATGTGTCAGTGTCTCTACTGCTCATAATGTGTCCGGGTATGTTATCAGTCATAATTCCAGCTGTTACTTTTAAATGTTGCATGCCATGGAAATCACCTAAATCCCTTGTGAATTGCATTATTTTTATAATGAGGTCTCAATAGGCCTTTAATATGGTCATTTTAAGTCTTGTCATTCACAGATTTTGTTATTCTCTTATTCTTCTTTAAAATATTTTCAGTTACCAGCCAAAGTGGCTCCTCTTCAAAAAAAAAAAAAAAAGTGATGGTCTGAGACCCATAGGGGCTTCGAGTAAACGTTTCCGATGACATTTACTTACATAATTTTGAGATCATACCACTTGACTGAGTTAAGATTTGCAGAATGAATGGAGGAGCTGACGGATGCATAAAACTGCTAATTCAAGATCAAGCAGAACAGAATTTAATCACATAGGACTGAATGAACTGATAAAGAATGATAATGGATTTTGTTTGAAACATTACCGGCTCACCCAGGCGCAGTGGCTCACGCCTGTAATCCCAGCACTTTGGGAGGCGAGGCAGGCCAGTCATGAGGTCAGGAGTTCGAGACCAGCCTGACCAACATGGTGAAACCCCGTCTCTACTAAAAATACAAAAATTATTCAGGTGTGGTGGCGTGCACCTGTAATCCCAACCACTCCAGAGACTGAGGCAGGAGAATTGCTTGAACCCAGGAGGCGGAGGTTGCAGTGAACTGAGATCGTGCCATTGCACTCCAGCCTGGGCAACGGAGCGAGACACCATCTCAAAACAAACAAACAAAAAACTCATAAAAAAAGAAACATTGCTGACTCTTTAATGTAGTATTTTCTGGGTGTATGGAACTCCTTTCTCTTTTCTGTTCAGCTGTCTACAACTCATAGACTAAATTTTGTGAACAGAAATAAACATTTTATCTTCTCCCTGCCTGATTCCTTCAGAATTTAGAAACTCTTAAGGGCAATAAAATTATTTGCATAAGTTCAAAAAGAATCTGTTCTCTTTGCAACAGGACACAATTAGAAATATTGGTTATATTACCAAGGCCTTGACTGGAATGTCATATTTGGGAATAATGCATAAAATCAGACATGACCAGACAATTTTAAGGAAATAAGATAAACTTTATGGAGCCAATGCCTACAAAGACTTCTTGAGGAAACCAGCCTGGCACCTGGCTTATAGGGTTTCCAGGCATACAGGTGACTAAGGAAAAACCACTTCACGGCATCCCCAGGAAACAGGATAATTTGGGGACCCGGAAAAAGAAGAATTCATTCACATCTATCGGTATTGGAGGTGATGGCTTAGCTTATCTTCCTAGGCTTGGGTTTCTAGGCTCAAGAGTCTTTTAAAGGCTAATTGGAGATTCTGTATTACAAGTTACAGAAAAGCTTGTCTATGTGGTCATCTCTTCTTGCTGCAGTCATATAAATAATCAGTTCAAATCTAATAAGATTACTTATGTTGTAAACAAGAATAAATTTACTTTGGTTATTTTTTATCAATTAACTGGGAGGCAATGACTATAGAAACTTCACATTTCCATGGAGACTTTCCAAACTAATGTTTGCAACTTTTCTCCTTCCCTCCTGACTTGGCTTATCTGAGAACTAGAACTGCCCTTTTCCCCAAGCCCTGCAACCTGAAACTGCATGACCTGATATAAGTTTCAAGAAAATCACACAACAACTCAAGTGTGGACAACCTTCATGCCTGCTGCTGTGTAGGCCACTCAGAAAGCTCCCCAGCACACTGCACAGTATCTCCAAAGATACTCAAGCTGCAAATGGAAAGAACCATTGGATGACCTTGCTTTTCCTCACTCCAGCATGTAAAGGTGTTTCAAGCCCAGCATTTACAAATCTGGGCTAACTGCCCTCTGGACTCTGAAGTAGTAGTTACTCTCATTTTCCTTTTTACTCATAGAGATTTTCATCATTAAATGCCTAAATGCTTGTATCATCCAGCAAATATCCCCCTCCAAATGAGAAATAATCTTGTATTGTTCAAAGGAAAGAACAATGTCTCTTTGTTCTTTGAATAAGGGGGCCAAGGGTAACAAAGACTATCTCGTTGACCAAGCTAGAGTCAGCCTCCTCTAAGTCCTCTTTTTGACTAGGCCACAGCTTTGAGCTCTGCTCTTGGCCCATTTAGTCCAGTTTTAGAAAGAACCCTGCTGAATCCATTTAGCAAACATCCTCCACTCTTGGTATCTGATCACTGTCCATATCTGACCAAATGCCAAATTGCTGACCCTCAACATGTTGTCATCATGGCCTGCCTTCAGCAAGAATCCTGGTGAGTTTTAGCCTTGATGTGTTCTCTTAGGAATTTACCATCCACTGATCCCAGCTCTGCTTCTTGGCTATAAATCTCCACTTGTCCTCACTGTATTCAGGGTTGAGCTTGATCTCTCTCCCCTACTGCAAAACCACATTGCAGTTGTCTCTTCTGGAGTAGGCTTCCTTGTCATCTTTAAGTGTATGAGTTTTTTTCTTAAAAAAAAACAATAGTTAGGGAGGACAGGTAGCATTAGGAGATATACCTAATGCTAAATGACGAGTTAATGGGTGCAACACACCAGCATGGCACATGTATACATATGTAACTAACCTGCACATTGTGCACATGTACCCTAAAACTTGAAGTATAATAATAATAAAAAAAGGTTATAAAAACAAAATAAAATTTGCATTTAGTGTACACAGTCTGATTGCCCTGAAAACTGTCTTTCCTAGTTTGTTCTCCAACCAACATGTGCAATGTGCCTGGGACCATGCCCTCTTATCAAGGGAAAGGCAGGAGAGAGCTGGCATGAGGGCCATTCAGGATATGAAAGTGGCTGGGTGTGGTGACTCACGCCTGTAATCCCAGCACTTTGGGAGGCCGAGGCTGGTAGATCATGAGGTCAGGAGTTCAAGACCAGCCTGGCCAAGATGGTGAAACCTGGTCTCTACAAAAAATACAAAAAAAAAATTAGTCTTGCGTGGTGGCGGGCATCCCAGCTACTCGGGAGGCTGAGGCAGAGAATTGCTTGAACCCGGGAGGTGGATGTTACAGTGAGCTGAGATGGCACCACTGCACTCTAGCCTGGGCCACAGAGCAAGACTCCGTCTCAAAAAAAAAAAAAAGAAAGAAAGAAAGAAAGAAAGTGATGTGAGAACAAGATGTTCCTGATGTGGACATCATGAACGACTCCAGACTGGAGTATCAAGGCTGACAAGGCTGGAAAGATTCCCTTGCTGAGTTTTGCAAGATATGCACAGTAACCATATACTAATTTTGAGTTGCAAAATTGAAGAATTGTTTATATATGTCCTCATCTTACAAGAACACCTGAAGTAGCTCAGTTGTAAGAGATTTAGATTGCAAATCAAAAGGTACTTGGATGGGGCCCAGGTTCCAGTAGGATGATCACCTTTTTTATATCCAGGTCTCATTTCAGTCATAAGAAGTATTCACAGCAGAGCTTCCCCTGCAGGATGCTCAAGTATATTTGCTGTGGCAACTGAGGGAACCAAGCCTCAGTCATGTTCCCCAGAGCTTGCCCATGGCATTTACATTTGCAAAAAGTAAATCTCTTGATTTCCTTTTGGTTTCAGTAGTGTGATTTCCTTTTCAAAAATAATAGCAAGTGATACTAGTTTACATATAAATAGAAACTGTAAAGTTCCTTTGTTTTTACTATTTATCAATATATTTAATAATTATATATATTTATATAGCCTGAAATAATGCAAACAACTTTAAAGAATTGACACATTTGTTTATATTTTACAGGTAAAAAGATTAAAATTTTGGCTTATTTGCCTGAAGTCACACTGCTAGTTAAATGACAGAGCTAAAAAATGTTAAATAAGTTGCTAAATGAATGTAATTAATTTGGTTTGTTTGTTTCCTAAAATATTGATTTAAATGTCTTTATTTAAATTTTAAAATGATAGCATTTGAAAGAGTATAAATAAAATTCTTAAGCCGCAATAGTAAAGGAATTTAGTTACAATGCATGAAGTTAGAAGCAATAGCTTTGGATTTGTAAATGTATTCTTGAAGGGTGTCATAAAGAAATATTTTATTCCTATTTTTCCTTTGTTTTGTTGGAGTAGTTTTCCCCCATCTTTAATGAGGTATAATTGCTTTACCAGTTCGAATAGGTTTTTATAGCCATTGTGGAGTCTTTAGATTTTTCTATGTATATGATCATGTCAACTGCAAATAGGGAGAGTTTTTCTTCTTCCTTTTAGATTTAGATACATGCTATTTCTTTTTCTTCTCTTATTGCTCTGGATAGAAGTTCCAATACTATCCTGAATAGAATCAATGAGAGTGGATATCCTTGCCTTGTATGGGATTTTAGAGGAAAGGCCTTCAGCTTTACACCATTGATTATGTTAGCTGTGAGTTTATCACCTACGGCCTTTGTTGTGTGGGGGATATGTTCCTCCTATACCTATTTTATTGAGAGTTTTTTTTAATCAATAATAGAAGTTGAACTTTGTCAAATGGTTTTTCTCCATCTGTTGAGATGATCACATGTACTTTTTCCTTGTTTGTGTATTCACCACATTAATTGATTCACATCAGCTGAACTACTCCCATATCCCAGAGATATATTTCACTTTGTCATGCTGTATGATCCTTGTAATGTGCTTTTGAATTCAGTCTGGTCATGTCTCATTGAGGATATGTGCATCTATGTTCATCAGGGATACTGGCTTGTGGCTTTATTTTCTTGCTCTTTTTCTGGCTTTGGTATCAGTGTGATGCCAGCTGCATCAAATGCATTTGGAAGTGTCCCCTCTACTTACATGTGCTGGAAGCATTTGATAAGGATTGTTATTATTCTTCTTTGAATGTTTGGTAGAATCCACTCACGAAGCCACCTGGTTCTGGGCTTTTCTTTTTTGGGAGGTTTTTGTTTGTTTTTTTAAAATATTATTCATTTTTCCATCTTTATTGAGGTATCATTAACAAATAAAAATGTATATGTTTACAGTATACAAAGTTATATTTTGATACTCATATTCATCATGAAATGATTTCCCCCAATCAAACTGAGTAACATGTTCTTCACCTCACATACTTATCATTCTTTTTGGGATATGGTAAAAACGTTTATGATTTACTCTCTCAGCAAATTTTACACATTCAATACAGTAATATTAACTAGTCACCATGCTGCACCTTTGATCTCCAGAACCTATTCATCTTGCATAACTGAAACTTGGAACCCTTTTACCAATATCTCCCTATTTTCCTCACCTCTCAGTCCTCGGAAACCATCATTCTACTCTTGGTTTCTGTAAGTTCAACTTCTTTAGATTCCACATATCCTGCGATTATGCAGAATTTATCTTCTGTGTCTGGCTTGTTTTGTTTAGCATGCCCTCCAGGTTCATTCATGTTGTGGCAAATGATAGAGCTTTCTTCTTTTTAAGCCTGAGTAATATCCTATTGAGTATATACAGTGCATTTTCTTTATCTATTCATCCATTGATGGATGGACACTTAGTGAGGGTGGCATGTGGATAGGAGGCGTTCTGCATTTCTCCAGTTAGATCTCAGTCTTTATTGAGCCTGTGTCTCTGAACTTCACATGGGTTTCTCAGGCTTCTCCCACGAGGTCGCAAAGGATAGCTAAGGTGGACTGGAGCTGGACATTTCCCTCCCCCAACACAGAGGGCTGGAGCTAGCTGAGATCCAGTCTCACTTTCCCTACCTAGGTCAGTGAGGTTCTGATAAAATCTTAGAAAACTTAGGTTCTGGTTAAGTAGTTTTGCCTGAGGACAGACTTTGTTAAGCACAGAGCATTCTGGTAGCATGAGTATTTCCCCCCAGTATTTACTGTGAGAACCTGGTTGAGCTACTGGAGGTCAAAACCACAAAACGATCTCGCTTCCCCATGACTGAGTGCCCCTGGTGTTTTTAGTTCTCAGGCCAGTCCACAGCCAGCCTCTAGCAGCTTCATTGCAGCTGAAGCTCTCCTGCCCTAGCCTGGCTCCCACAGAGCTTTCTGCACTTGTGTGTCTTGACTCCCTGCATTCATTTTCCTGTCTCTGTAATTTTGAAAGCAGCAGTTGCCCCATGAATTTAATTATTTTGTGAATCTATGATGAATAGTTGATTGTTCAGCTTTGTTCTTTTTGTTAACATGGTGTATCAGTCCATTTTCATACTGCTATGAATAAATAGTAGTGTGGGTAATTTATGGGTAATTTATTACTGGGTAATTTATGAAGAAAAAGAGGTTTAATGGACTCACAGTTCATATGACTGGGGAGGCCTCCCAGTCACAGTGGAAAGCCAAGGAGGAGCAAAGTCATGTCTTAGGTGGTGGCAGGCAAGAGCCTGTGCAGGGGAACTCTCCCTATTTGCCGATGACATGATCATATAGGTAGAAAAGTGATAGTGAGACTTATTCACTATCACAAGAACAGCACAGGAAAAACTTGCCCCCATGATTCAATTACCTCCCACCAGGTCCCTCCCAAGACATGTGAGGGTTATGGGAGCTACAATTCAAGATGATATTTGGGTGGGGACACAGACAAACCAGATCACATGGAATGGTGACTTCCAAACTCCTTATAGGCAGAACCCCAGACTGCAGGGGTGATGGCAGGAGGCAGTGCATGGTTAGGAAGCTGCACAGTCATCCTGTTCAGAGGAGATCAGGCTCTGGCCAGGTAGAATAGGTGGAGGGACAGAAGCAGTCAGGTGTGGACATGCTGTGAAGCTACAGAGAGGGGCTCTGCCGATGGAGTGGAGATGAGGTAGAGAGAAGACAGAAGTCAAGAAAAACAAAACAGTGGGAACCTGAACACCTGTGGGGATGGAGCTGCTCTCATGGAAGAGGAGGATGAGGGAGGTTGGGCTCAGGGGAGGGGTCTAGAGCTTGGGCTTGGTGTGTTAGATGTCAACATAGAGATGTTGTGGCAGTGGCTGTGTAGCTATGAATCTAGACTAAATGAAAGAGTGTGGAATGGATAAATACAGAGGTCATATCAGTATGGGTGGCATGTAAAGCCAAGGGGCTAGGTGAGACCAGCAAGGGGATGAGTTTCTGAAGAACAAAAGTGACGCAAGAACTCATTCATGAGTCAAAGCTAATGGTAACAGGTTTGAGAGAAAAATAGAATCCAACAACAGAGAAACAGAAAGGATGGCCAGTGAGATTGGAAAGAAAATAGCCCACTGAACTGGAAGCTAAGTAGTGGAGGCATTTCAGGGAGAGAGGGATGGACTGTGTCAAATGCGGCCAGTAGAGAAAAGTCAGAGGGACCTATTTGGGTGATGGGAGTGTTCTAAAATGGAATTGTGGTGCTTGTTTAATTCTGCAGATTTTGTTTTAAATTAATTGAGTTGGGTGAATTTTAGGACATGCAAATAATAGCTCAATAAAGTTGTTTCATAAAATATTAGCATATATCAACCCAGATGTTCTACTCCCAGAGAAAATAAAAGCTCATATTGATCAAAAGGACATATGCATATATCTATAATATATTCATAATACCCCACATTTGAAAATAAACAAAATGTCCATGAAATATTTTGTGTAATATTTGTCTCAGTAATATAAAATGTCATATTACCGAAACAAACAGAGTGAACTGCTTATCTACACAAGAACAGATAAGTTTCAAAAACACTTTGAGCAAAGCAGGCAGAGATCAGAAAGCACATTGTAATTGATTCCATGACCTTGATGCTGAGGCTCAACTGGGATGTGTTCAGAGCAACCTTCTCCAAGGCTGCGTGAGTCAGGGCGAGTGGACACTGATTGGAAAGGAACTGGGGGGGATTTCTGTGTTGATACACAGGACTCATACCTTGATAGGGTTGCAGGACGCAGTGGGGGTATAACATTTTAAAGGCTTATTCAAGCTATACACTTAAGATTGGCACCTTTCACTATATTTTAATTGTCTGTTGATACACATACAATAAGAAACAGGTAAAGAAGACTGATTACTAGACAGTAAGGAGACAAGCATGTTTATTTACTAATCCTCCTTGATGGTGACCATGAAACTGACTAGTATAGGCTGCCTGTTCCTGGTTGATTCCAGGTGGAATGCTGAGGTGTTCCCCAGGGTTTGTTGTGGTGCAGAATCCATGGTTGCAGGGATGGAGGGGCCGGGATCTTCTGTGAAACTTCGTTTGGGGCTGATATTTACGAAATGTGTGAGGTGATATATAAGATGCTGCCCAATGGCTTCAGTCCACAACTCACTTTCCAAAGCCATCAGGGGAGACACTGGTCTCATCAGCTTCTTGGTAGGTCTTTTATTTTTGTTCAGACTTGTTGAATCTGTTAGAAGCTGACTTTATGTAAGACATGAAAAGTGACTCACAAAACACAGGCTGCAGAATGTGAGAAAAAAATCAATTCATTTAGAAGCTTGGTGTTTTGAAAAAGGAGTATGCAGAGATGGAGGCAGCACTAGAGAATGCCTGGCTAAAGAAGGAGTCTTTAAATATTCCCAGCCTTGCAGATGCTTACAAAAAGGTGAAGAGTGCCAACTTGGTATCGATGAAGGAATTAACTTCTTTGGTTCGAGAAGTGAAAAAGAAAAGTTCCAAATGCTCTAACCAACGAAGGCAATGGAGGAGCTACCTAAAATGCTGGAATCCCTAGACAAGGTCGTGGGAATCAGCCCACAGCAAGGAGCTCTTCCAAGGTGGCCAAGAGTGTGGCCCTGCTGCTCCCTTCCCTGGGAGTGGGCCTGGGTCTTAAGGGAGCGCTGTTCCCTCCTCTCTACTCAGGCCTCCCAAGCCTCCAGGCTGCCTTCCCCACCTCGAGTCCATCTGGGGCGGGTGGATCCAGGAGCCCCTCCTGGGCTGGAGTTCCTCCACCTTCACATGCTGACATCACAGCCAGCTCCTTCATGTTCAACTCCTCCACATCCAAGGAACACGGGGCTTCCTGGCGTGCACCAAGAATGTGAGACTTTCTTAGTCTTCACAGAAAGTTTAGATTCTCTCTCACCAGCAGTGAAAAAATACTGTATTTAAGATACTATCTTTTACTCAGATTGAAACTTTGTCAAACTACATTTTTCAAGACAATGTTTTGTTAATATTATTTATATTAATCTTATAAGTGAATAATTTATATTTTATGATATAAATATTTTATTAAAATTTTAAAACAGATGGAATTTAACAACAAAGACTGTTAGTAGTCAATAGTGTAAAAGGAAAATAAAATGTTGGGACCCCAAACTCGCTATGCCAAAAGGGAAAGTTAAACTTGGAAACTGAGTCACACCCAGAAACCATCTTTCCTTTTGTTCCTAAACATATCTTTCCAGGTTACCTCCCTCACCCTGACCATGTAAATTAGCAACTTATCTTCAGGGATACAGGACAAAAGGAAACTAGAAATATTCCTACCACCACCCCAAGACAAATGCATGTTGATGCTTCCTCTACTCTATGTTTGCTTTATCTCATGTGAGGTGCAGCCTTACCAGTGCCAGGCGAGCACATAATCAGCTGTTCCTCTACCCCCTCCTTTTCATGGGCAACCTGTGGCTTCAGTGAGAACTAATGAAAGCCTCAAGACAATGAGACCACTTGTCTCATTTTTTCTACTCTCCCCTTTTTGTCTTCTTTCCTTTCCCTTTGGCCTGCTTTTTCCCCTATAAATATTGAAACCCTCAAAACTCTTTGGAAAAAGTGCAGGCCACAGATTCCACTGTGGCTTGTGTCTCTTTTTCCCGGGTGCATCCTCAACCTTGGTGAAAAAAACCTCTAAATAGATTGACACCTGTCCCAGACACTCTTTTTGGTTTCCAATAGCAGTATTTTTTCCCTAGAGTTGTATTCCTAATGCCCTTAAATCATGAGTAACAGCAACAGTTTTGCCTAGGTATGAATAGTATTCATTGAACAAAAGAGAAGATAATAGATCTATTTTGGGATGGAGTTAAATGGTACACTGCAAGATAAATCCATATTATTTATTTTTTATATACTCATCTAATAATGGCAAAATATTTATTTAAAAAAAACAAAATTGATAAATGATCTGGAGATTGTATTATTTCCCTGCCAGAAAACTGCAGCGAGAGTTTCCTCACTAGGAAGCAATGCCCCTTGGGCAATGTGGGGAGATGTCCACATCGCTGCCTTGTCCCTTTCTCACTCACCTATGAACCCTCCTCAGGGGACAGATGAGGGGAGTCTCAGTCTCTCCCACATAATAAACCTGGGATCCCCACAATTAGTATCTGTAGTTACAAATGATGCCCCCACTTTAGACAATGAGCATGAAGTGGGTGTTGTTTTAGTGGAAGAAGAGCAGCAAGTGATCCTTTGATTAACTGGTGTAGTCACATAAGATAAATGACAAAGCATCCAAAGAAAGCTAATGGCTTCCTCTCAAGAATGAGTAAAACAAACAAACAAACAAACAAAAACTATGCTTGAGTTGGAGACAAAGCAATGAAGACTAGAAAGCCAGAGCATCATGGGGCCAAAACCATGGCGAGGTTGTGCAGAGGCATCTTGTCACCATCTCCTTTTCTGCCGCCCTTCTCAGGCGGTCCAGAGGGAAGAGGAAGGTCACCAGGTTGGCCTCCAGGAGAAACAGCGGCAGGTTGAGTATGCAGCTGTCCTTTGCAAGGTGGTCTGTCTGAAAGAGCAATGCCCTCGGTTAAGGTGAGGTAGAACTTGTCAGTGAAGAGGGGCTTGGGCTGCTCACGGAAGTATCTATATTAGACAAATCTAAAGAGACATAAAGTTAGAGATTATTACAGGCTGAGAAAAGGAGGGAATACAAAGTTATTGATTTATGGGTACAGAGTTTCTTGTTAGGATGATGAAAATGTTTGCAAATGGTGGTGATGGTTGTACAACACTGTAAACATAATTAATGGCTAATGTTATGTATAAATTTGAAATACACATTGGCAATTTTAGGAAGCTATACAAAGAGATACTCTCAATGACACTGTGGATAAATCAAGGTTTTATTATAAAAAGTGCTGAAGTAACAAACAGGAAGGCAGGAAAAATAAAAAGAGAAATAAACAACAACAACAACAAAGAATAGAGAGCAATCACAAAGCAAAAAGTAAAATGCCAGACTTAAGCCCTGACAAATTAAGAAAGAAATGGGCAGAGTTGATTTTAAAAACCTTAACCCGAGTAGCCTCACTAAGTGAAACTCACTTCAAATATAATAATATAGGTAGCTTGAAAGGTAAAGGATACAAAAAAGTATATCATGCAAATATTAATCAAAAGAATACAAGAGTGGCTATATTAATATCAGATCATGTAGACATCAGATCAATAAAAATCATTATAGACAGAGAGAAACTATATATAATATTGTTTACATAACAATACTATGTATATGTATGTACATATATACATATGTATTATATATACATGGAACACCTCATCTAACAACAGCAAACTACTCATTATTTTCAAGTGCCCACAGAACATATACCAAGATATATCATATATGGATCATAAAACAAACTTTTCAAAAGTTTAAAAGAGTTGAAATTATACTGAGAGTATCCTCCAACCACAATGGAATTCAACAAGAAGATAACATAAAGGTAAGAGGAAAATCTGCAAACACTCAGTGTGGCTGTTTCCTCATGTGAAAATGTAACATACAAATGTGACTAGCTTAAAGACTTTGGAATGAGAATATTATTCTGGCTTATCCAGATGGGCCATAACTATAATCACAGGTGTTCTTATAAGATGGAAAGAGAGAGAATTTTAACCACAGAAATGGAGAAAGCCACATGATGATAGGCACAGAGACTGGAAGGGTGCAGCCACAAGCCAAGGAATGTGAGCCATCACCTGAAGCTGGCAGAAACAAGGAACGTATTCTCTCTGGAGCTGACAGAAGGAAGCAGCCCTGATGATACCTTGATTTTAGCCACATAACACTCAGCTTAAATTCCTGGCCTCCAGAACTGAGAAAAAATAAATTTCTGTTGTTATAAGCAGTTAAATTTGTGACAATTTGTTACAGCAGCAAAATAAAGCTATTATACTGTGAATCTAAACACATTCTAAATAATCCCTGGGTCAAAGAGAAAGTCTCAAAGGAAATTTGATATTATATTGAACTGAATAAAAATATAATATGTCAAAAATTGTGGGACAGAGCTAAAGAAGTGCCAAAGGGAAAATTTACAGCATAAAATGTACGTATTAGAAATTCTCAATTCAATTATCTAAGCTCCTACCTCAAGAGTCTAGAAAAAGAAACTTAAAATAAACCCAATTCAACTAAAAGAAAGGAAATAATAATCCCAGCACTTTGGGAGGCTGAGGCCGGTTGATCACGAGCTCAGGAGATCAAGACCATCCTGGCCAACATGGTGAAACCCTGTCTCTACTAAAAATACAAAAATTAGCCGTGCATGGTGGCGTGTGCCTATAGTCCCAGCTACTCAGGAGGCTGAGGCAGGAGAATCGTTTGAACCTGGGAGGCAGACGTTGCAGTAAGCCGAGATCGTGCCACTGCACTCCAGCCTAGGAGACAGAGTGAGACTCTGTGAAAAAAAAGTGAAAGAAGAAAGAAAGAAAGAAGGAAGGAAGGAAGGAAAAGGAAGGAAGGAAGGAAGGAGGGAAGAAAAGAAAGAAGAAAGAAAGAAAGAAAGAAAGAAAGAAAGAAAGAAAGAAAGAAAGAAAGAAAGAAAGAAAGAAAGACACAGAAAGAAGGAAGGAAGGAAAGGAAGGAAGGAAGGAAAGGAAGGAAGGGAGAGAGAGAAAGAAAGGAAGGAAGGAAGGGAGAGAGAGAAAGAAGGAAGGAGAGAAAGAACGAAAGAAAGAAAGAAAGAAAGAAAGAAAGAAAGAAAGAAAGAAAGAAAAGCAGTGAGATTGAAAACAAAAATAATACAGAAAATTAATATAACCAAAAACTGGTTCTTTGAAAAGATGAATAAAATGGACACATCTTAGCAAGTCTGCTAATGAGAAAAAAGAGAAAATACATCAATTTTCATTATCAGGAATAAAATGGGATATCACTATAAACCATGCAGAGATCAAAAGGATAATAAATAAATACTGCAATCAACTCTGCACATACAAATTTGACAGCTTAAATATTCACAAATAAAAATTCACAAATTCATTGAAAAACATAAACTAACATAACTCAATGTAAAATAAATTGTTTGAATATACTCACAATTATTAAGTAAATTGAATTCCTATATTAAAATTATCAAAAAAGCAATCTCCAGGTCCAGATTGTTTCACTGTAGAATTTGGCCAAACATTTAAAGAATAGCACCAATTCTACACAATATCTTTCAGAAAACAGAAGAGAAGGAAATACTACAATTTATTTCATGAAAATATATTACCCTGATATCAAAACCAGACAAAGTACAAACAAGAAAACTACAGACACATAAATGTAGAAACAGAAACCTTTAAGAAAATATTAGCAAATAGTATTCATTGATGTATAAAAACAGTTACACACTATGACCAAGTGAAGTTTATTTCAGGAATGCAAGGCTGCTTCTATGTTTGAAAATCAATGTAATCTACGACATTAACAGGCTGAAGAAAAAAATCAAACGATTATATCAGTCAATTCAAAAAAATCGTTTGACAAAATTCAGCACCCATTCATGAATTTATGAAGAAAACTATCTGAAAAATAGGAATAGGAGAATTTTTAACTTGATAAAATCATCTGTAGAAAAAAAAAGAAAGCTAAATTACACCTGAGAATGAAAAACTGAATGCTTTCTGCAAAAATTGGGTGTATGGCAAAGATGCCCACTTTTGTCACTCTTATTCCAATATTGCTAGAAATTCTAGCCAGTATAGGAAGGCAAGGAAAATACTATAAATTAGAAGGAAAGAAACAGACCCTAGTTGCAGATGACATGATCGTGTGAAAATTCCTGAAACTTTCAAATAATAAGCAAAAAAAACCCCTCCTGAAATAAATGAGTTCATGTGTGTGTGTGTAATGTGTGTGTGTAATGTGTGTGTGTGTGTGTGTAATACATATAGTTGGCACTTGGTATCTGTGGGTTCCACATCTGCAGATTCAATCAACCAGAGATAATAAATATTTGAAATAAAAACTAATAAAAAGAACAATAAAATATAAAATATTATAAATTAAAAACAATATAACAACTATTTATATAAAATTTACATTGTGTTAAGTATTATAAATAATCTAGAAATGATTTACAGAATACAGGAGAATGTGTGTAGGTTATATGCAAATACTATGCCCTTTTTAGTTTTAATTTTTTTAATTTTTAATTTTTATGGGTACACAGTAGGTGTAGATATTTATTAGATACATGAGATGTTTTGATATACTCATGCCATGTGAAATAATCACATCATAGAGAATGGGGTATCCAGCCCCTCGAACATTTATCCTTTGTGTTACAATCCAATTACACTCTTTTAGTTATTTTAAAATGTAGAATCAAGTTATCATTGACTATACTCACCCTGTTGTGCTATCACATAGCAGGTTTTATTCATTCTTTCTAAGTATTTTTTGTACCCATTAACCATACCCACTTTCTTCCTGATCCGCCACTACCCTTCCCATTCTCTGGTAACCATCCTTCTACTTTCTATGTCCACGAGTTCAATTGTTTTAATTTTTAGATCCCACAAATAAGTTAGAACATTCAAAGTCTGTCTTTCTGTACCTGGCTGATTTCACTTAACGTAATGATCTCCATTTCCATCCATGTTGTTGCAAATGACTGGATCTCATTCTTTTTTATGGCTGAGTATACTCCATTGTATATAAGTACCATATTTTCTTTATCCATTCATCTCTTGGTGGACACTTAGGTTGCTTCCAAATCTTGGCTATTGTGAACAGTGCTGCAACATACATGGGAGTGCAGACATCTCTTTAATATACTGATTTCCTTTCTTTTGGGTATATATCTAGCAGTAGGATTGCTGAATCATGTGATAGTTCAATTTTTAGTTTTGTGAGGGACTTCCAAACTGTTCTCATAGTGGTTGTACTGATTTAGATCCCCTTCAACAGTGTAAGAGGGTTCCCTTTTTTCCACATTCTCACCAGCATTTACTATTGCTTATCTTTTGAATATAAGCCATTTTAACTGGGTGAGACAATATCTAATACCATGACCTTTTATATAAAGGACTTAAGCATCTGCAGAATGTGGTATTTGTGGGGGTCCTGGAACCAATCTCTTGTGGAAACTGAGGGATGACTGTATTGGAAATAACATGCAAGCATTAAAAAATTTTTAAAAGTACAATCACTTAGAAAATAATACAATAGAGTAAATCTAACAAAACATGTACAGGACTTAAATGTTGAAAACCACATAACACTGATAAAATAATTCAAAGTTCTAAGTAAATAAAAAACCATACTATGTTTATGTATTGGAAGATTCAATATAGTAAAGATGTCATTTTTCCCTAAATTGATTCATAGGTTAGAGGTGATTCCTTTTAAATCCCAGCAAGGTTTTTTTTTTTTGTAGATATAAATAAGATTATCCTAAATGTATACAAAAAGACAAAGGAACTAGAATACCCAAAACCATCTTGAAAAAAAATGAGAGAAATTTGTCTACTCTATTTCAAGACTTACCTAGTCAAAAAGGACAAGGTAGAGAGATAGACCTGTAGATCAATGGACCAGACAGAGAGCTCGGAAATAGAATCACATAAATATTCTCAACTGATTTTTACAATGGATGAAGATTGACTTTCAACAAATGGTGCTGCTATTCACAATAGCAAAGACTTGGAACCAAGCCAAAAATCCAACAATGATAGACTGGATTAAGAAAATGTGGCACATATACCCCATGGAATACTATGCAGCCATAAAAAATGATGAGTTCATGTCCTTTGTAGGGACATGGATGAAGCTGGAAACCATCATTCTCAGCAAACTATTGCAAGGACAAAAAACCAAACACAGCATGTTCTCACTCATAGGTGGGAATTGAACAATGAGAACACAGGGACACAGGAAGGGAAACATCACACACTGGGGCCTGTTATGGGGTTGGGGAAGTGGGGAAGGATAGCATTAGGAGATATACCTAATGTTAAATGACGAGTTAATTGGTGCAGGACACCAACATGGCACATGTACACATATGTAACCAACCTGCACGTTGTGCATGTGTACCCTAAAACTTAAAGTATATATTAAAAAAACCAAATGGTGCTGAAATAATTACACATTCATAGGCGAAAATCCTTTAGTTTTAGTCTCATACTTTATATATGAATTAACTCCAAATGGATCATGTATTTAAATGTAGAATACAAAACTATAGAAAAAAAAACCTTCAAGATCTAGGACTAGGCAAAATATTCTTTTGATAGATACCAAAAGCATGATTTGCAAAAAGACCCATTTATAAACTGGACTTCACCAAAGCGAAAACCTTTTGCTCTGTGAAAGATCCTGTTAAGCAGATAGAAAAACAAGTTTTAAACTGAGATCATGTATTTTCAAATTTATGTATGACAAAAGACTGGCATTTAAACTCAACAATAAAAACTCAGTAACAAATCAAACCACCAAATTAGAATATGACCAAACGCATGAAGAGGCATTTCAACCAAAGAAGGTATACAGAAAGTATAGAGCACATGAAAAGATGTTTGACATTGTTATCCATTAAGAAACACAAATTAAAACCACAATGTGCCATAATTAAATGCCTATCAGAATAACCAAATTTAAAAATATCCTAATAACCCTATTGCTGGTGGGAACGTAGTATGATAAAGCCACCCCCTGATGAACAGTTTGGGAGTTTCTGTAAAAATTTGACACATGCAACTACCATACAAACCAGTTACTGCACTCCTCATCATTCATCCTACAGAAGAAATGACTTCTGTTTTCACACACATAAATCTATGCTGGAGTGCTTTTAGCAGCTTTATTTGTAATAGCCAAAGCCAGAAAACAACCCATATGTCCTTCAATAGGTGAAAGGGTAAACAAAGTGTGGTACATCTATACAATGAATACTACTCAACAATAAACATGGGTCGGGCACGGTGGCTTATACCTGCAATCCCAACACCAGAAGGCAGAGGCAGGAGGATCACTTGAGCCCATGAGTCTGGGACCAGCCTAGGCAACATGGCAAAATCCCATCTCTACCCCCAAAATACTAAGAAATTAGCCACGTGTGGTGGGGCACACCTGTAGTCCCAGCTACTTGAGAGGCTGAGGTGGGAGGATCTATTGAGCCTGGGAGTTTCTACCACTGCATTCCAGCATGGGTGACAGAGGAGACCCTGTCTCAAAATAATTAATTAAAAAAATTTATAACTTAGGAAAACATAATGAATGAGTTATTTACACACCAATAACCCAGAGGAACTGCTGGAGAATTATACTGGTAAAAAAGCTAACCATCAAAAGCTATATGCTGTACAATTCCATATATGTAACATTCTTTAAAAAAATAACAAAATGAAGAAGCAATTAGTGATTTCCAGAAGTTAATGAAGGTGTGGAGGTGGGAGGGAAGTGTGTGTGGCTAGAAAGAGCAACATGACTGATTGTTGTGTTGATTTACGATTCTGCATCTTGTAATATCAACGCTAATATCCTGGGAGTGCTGTCCTTCTATAGTTTCACAAGGTGTTACCATTGGCAAAAACTGGGTAAATGGTACACAGAATTTCTGTATTATTTCTTGCACAGTATGTACATCTACAACTATCTCAAAAAATGTTCAATTTGTAAAAAGTAGCTGCAGAATGTACATGACATCCCTAGGTGAAGGTGACCTATTTATAATAGCATTACATGTATAAATCCCTAGGAATGGATTTAGTAAGAATATGAAAAAAGTATATAGCTTTATTACTGAATAAAGGGAATTCTGTCCTCGTTAGGATACTCAGTAGAGTAAATATAAGAAAATTTCCTGAGGTAAACCTAAAAATTCCACCACAAACCCAGTCATAATCATAATATATTTCTTTATGAAACTCTAGACACTCAATCTTAGGTTTCTTCAAAGGAATAAATGCCCATTAGTAGCCTGAAATACTCTGAGGAAGAAATGAGAAGTGAAACATGGCTGATAGTAAAATATAGTGTAAATTTACAGTGATCAAAGAGAACTACATCCTAGTAGGAAGAGACAAGTAAATCAACACAACAAAGTAGTCTCTAGCAATGCACACAGGGAGATTTTGTTGACTGTAAAGGTGATCTTACAGGAAAAAGAGGAATGAACAGACTATTTGACAACTTACTGTCTAAGTGGAAAGACAATAAAAGGATAAATGTCCATCTTACATAAAGTGTTCTCTAAATTAAAAATATAATACATTGGCATAAAATACAACATACTGGTAAATGATACATACAACCAGTTTATAGAAGGAAAGCAAATAGCCGATAAACATAAAAAGATACCCAACCTCACCAATAATTAAGGAAATATAACTCAAAACAACATTCACTTGTCAGATTGACAAATGCTTAAAATATGTAAATACTTAACTATCCAAAATATTAATATCCAGGGTTGGAATAGAAATGATTGAAATGGAGGGGGCGTGGAGCCAAGATGGCAGAATAGGAACAGCTCCAGTCTACAGCTCCCAGCGTGAGCAACGCAGAAGATGGGTGATTTCTGCATTTCCAACTGAGGTACCCGGTTCATCTCACTGGGGAGTGCCAGACAGTGGGTGCAGGACAGTGGGTGCAGTGCACCGTGCATGAGCCGAAGCAGGGCAAGGCATCACGTCACCCGGGAAGTGCAAGGGGTCAGGGAATTCCCTTTCCTAGTCAAAGAAAGGGGTGACAGACGGCACC
The DNA here is from genome assembly GCF_000001405.40 of Homo sapiens. NCBI lineage: Eukaryota > Metazoa > Chordata > Mammalia > Primates > Hominidae > Homo > Homo sapiens. Next base: position 28,087,913 of record NC_000019.10, read on the forward strand.
TGGAAAATCGGGTCACTCCCACCCTAATACTGTGCTTTTCCAATGGGCTTATCAAACGGCACGTCAGGAGATTATATCCTGCACCTGGCTCCGAGGGTCCTACGTCCATGGAGCCTCGCTCATTGCTAGCACAGCACCCTGAGATCAAACTGCAAGGCAGCAGCGAGGCTGGGGGAGGGCCCCCCGCCATTGCTCAGGCTTGAGTAGGTAAACAAAGCTGCTGGGAAGCTCGAACTGGGTGGAGCCCATCACAGCTCAAGGAGGCCTGTCTGCTTCTGTGGCTCCACCTCTGGGGGCAGGGCACAGTCAAACAAAAGACAACAATAACCTCTGCAGACTTAAATGTCCCTGTCTGACAGCTTTGAAGAAAATAGTGGTTCTCCCAGCATGCAGCTGGAGATCTGAGAACAGGCAGACTGCCTCCTCAAGTGGGTCCCTGACCCCCGAGTAGCCTAACTGGGAGGCACTCCCCAGTAGGGGTGGACTGACACCTCACACGGCCGGGTACTCCTATGAGACAAAACTTCCAGAGGAACGATCAGGCAGCAGCATTTGCAGTTCACCAATATCTGCTGTTCTGCAGCCTCCAACTGCTGATACCCAGGCAAACAGGGTCTGGAGGGGACCTCCAGTAAACTCCAACAGACCTGCAGCTGAGGGTCCTGACTGTTAGAAGGAAAACTAACAAACACAAAGGACATCCACACCAAAAACCATCTGTACGTCACCATCATCAAAGACCAAAGGTAGATAAAACCACAAAGATGGGGAAAAAACAGAGCAGAAAAACTGGAAACTCTAAAAATCAGAGTGCCTCTCCTCCTCCAAAGGAACACAGCTCCTCACCAGCAATGCAACAAAGCTGGACGGAGAATGACTTTGACGAGTTGAGAGAGGAAGGCTTCAGAAGATCAAACTATTCCGAGCTAAAGGAGGAAGTTCGAACCAATCGCAAAGAAGTTAAAAATTTTCAAAAAATTAGATGAATGGCTAAATAGAATAACCAATGCAGAGAAGTCCTTAAAGAACCTGATGGAGCTGAAAACCATGGCACGAGAACTGTGTGACGAATGCACAAGCCTCAGTAACCAATGCGATTGACTGGAAGAAAGGGTATAAGGGATGGAAGACAAAATGAATGAAATGAAGCATGAAGAGAAGTTTAGACAAAAAAGAATAAAAAGAAATGAACAAATCCTCCGAGAAATATGGGACTATGTGAAAAGACCACATCTACATCTAATTGGTGTACCTGAAAATGACGGGGAGAATGGAACCAAGTTGGAAAACACTCTGCAGGATATTATCCAGGAGAACTTCCCCAATCTAGCAAGGCAGGCCAACATTCAAATTCAGGAAATACAGAGAACACCACAAAGATACTCCTGGAGAAGAGCAACTCCAAGACACATATTTGTCAGATTTACCAAAGTTGAAATGAAGGAAAAAATGTTAAGGGCAGCCAGAGAGAAAAGTCGGGTTACCCACAAAGGGAAGCCCATCAGACTAACAGCTGATCTCTCGGCAGAAACTCTACAAGCCAGAAGAGAGTGGGGGCCAATATTCAACATTCTTAAAGAAAAGAATTTTCAACCCAGAATTTCATATCCAGCCAAACTAAGCTTCATAAGTGAAGGAGAAATAAAATACTTTACAGACAAGCAAATGCAGAGAGATTTTGTCACCACCAGGCCTGCCCTAAAAGAGCTCTTGAAGGAAGCACTAAACATGGAAAGGAAAAACCGGTACCAGCCACTGCAAAAACATGCCAAATTGTAAAGACCATCAAGGCTAGGAAGAAACTGCATCAACTAATGAGCAAAATATCCAACTAACATTATAATGACAGGATCAAATTCATACATAACAATACTAACCTTAAATGTAAATGGGCTAAATGCTCCAATTAAAAGACACAGACTGGCAAATTGGATAAAGAGTCAAGAACCCTCAGTGTGCTGTATTCAGGAAAACCATCTCACCTGCAGAGACACAGATAGGCTCAAAATAAAGGGATGGAGGAAGTTCTACCAAGGAAATGGAAAACAAAAAAAGGAAGGGGTTGCAATCCTAGTCTCGGATAAAACAGACTTTAAACCAACAAAGATCAAAAGAGACAAAGAAGGCCATTACATAATGGTAAAGGGATCAATTCAACAAGAAGAACTAACTATCCTAAATATATATGCACCCAATACAGGAGCACCCAGATTCATAAAGCAAGTCCTTAGTGACCTACAAAGAGACTTAGACTCCCACACAATAATAATGGGAGACTTTAACACCCCACTGTCAACATTAGACAGATCAACGAGACAGAAAGTTAACAAGGATACCCAGGAATTGAACTCAGCTCTGCACCAAGCAGACCTAATAGACATCTACAGAACTCTCCACCCCAAATCAACAAAATATACATTCTTTTCAGCACCACACCTATTCCAAATTGAACACATAGTTGGAAGTAAAGCACTCCTCAGCAAATGTAAAAGAACAGAAATTATAACAAATTGTCTCTCAGACCACAGTGCAATCAAACTAGAACTCAGGATTAAGAAACTTACTCAAAACCACTCAACCGCATGGAAACTGAACAACCTGCTCCTGAATGACTACTGGGTACATAACAAAATGAAGGCAGAAATAAAGATGTTCTTTGAAACCAATGAGAACAAAGACACAACATACCAGAATCTCTGGGACACATTCAAAGCAGAATGTAGAGGGAAATTTATAGCACTAAATGCCCACAAGAGAAAGCAGGAAAGATCTAAAATTGACACCCTGACATCACAATTAAAAGAACTAGAGAAGCAAGAGCAAACACATTCAAAAGCTACCAGAAGGCAAGAAATAACTAAAATCAGAGCAGAACTGAAGGAAATAGAGACACAAAAAACCCTTCAAAAAATCAATGAATCCACATGCTGGTTTTTTGAAAAGATCAACAAAATTGATAGACTGCTAGAGAGATTAATAAAGAAAAAAAGAGAGAAGAATCAAATAGATGCAATAAAAAATGACAAAGGGGATATCACCACCGATCCCACAGAAATACAAACTACCATCAGAGAATACTATAAACACCTCTACGCAAATAAACTAGAAAATGTAGAAGAAATTGATAAATTCCTCGACACATACACTCTCCCAAGACTAAACCAGGAAGAAGTAGAATCTCTGAATAGACCAATAACAGGCTCTGAAATTGAGGCAATAATAGCTTTCCAACCAAAAAAAGTGCAGGACCAGATGGATTCACAGCCAAATTCTACCAGGGGTACAAGGAGGAGCTGGTGCCATTGCTTCTGAAACTATTCCAATCAATAGAAAGAGGGAATCCTCCCTAACTCATTTTATGATGCCAGCATCATCCTGATACCAAAGCCTGGCAGAGACACAACCAAAAAAGAGAATTTTAGACCAATATCCTTGATGAACATTAATGCAAATATCCTCAATAAAATACTGGCAAACCGAATCCAGCAGCACATCAAAAAGCATATCCACCATGATCAAGTGGGCTTCATCCCTGGGATGCAAGGCTGGTTCAACATGTGCAAATCAATAAACATAATCCAGCATATAAACAGAACCAAAGACAAAAACCACATGATTATCTCTATAGATGCAGAAAAGGGCTTTGACAAAATTCAACAACTCTTCATGCTAAAAACTCTCAATAAATTAGGTATTGATGGGACATATCTCAAAATAATAAGAGCTATCTATGACAAACCCACAGCCAATATCATACTGAATGGACAAAAACTGGAAGCATTCCCTTTGAAAACTGGCACAAGACAGGGATGCCCTCTCTCACCACTCTTATTCACCATAGTGTTGGAAGTTCTGGCCAGGGCAATCAGGCAGTAGAAGGAAATAAACGGCATTCAATTAGGAAACGAGGAAGTCAAATTGTCCCTGTTTGCAGATGACATGATTGTATATCTAGAAAACTCCATCGTCTCAGCCCAAAATCTCCTTAAGCTGATAAGCAACTTCAGCAAAGTCTCAGGATACAAAATCAATGTGCAAAAATCACGGGCATTCTTACACACCAATAATAGACAAACAGAGAGCCAAATCATGAGTGAACTCCCATTCACAATTGCTTTAAAGAGAATAAAATACCTAGGAATCCAACTTACAAGGGACGTGAAGGACTTCTTCAAGGAGAACTACAAACCACTGCTCAATGAAATAAAAGAGGATACAAACAAATGGAAGAACATTCCACGCTCATGGGTAGGAAGAATCAATATTGTGAAAATGGCCATACTGCCCAAGGTAATTTACAGATTCAATACCAAACCCATCAAGCTACCAATGACTTTCTTCACAGAATTGGAAAAAACTACTTTAAAGTTCACATGGAACCAAAAAAAGAGCCCACATTGCCAAGTCAATCTTAAGCCAAAAGAACAAAGCTGGAGGCATCACACTACCTGTCTTCAAACTATACTACCAGGCTCCAGTAACCAAAACAGCACGGTACTGGTACCAAAACAGAGATATAGACCAATGGAACAGAACAGAGCCCTCAGAAATAATGCCGCTTATCTACAACTATCTGATCTTTGACAAACCTGATAGAAACAAGGAATGGGGAAAGGATTCCCTATTTAATAAATGGTGCTGGGAAAACTGGCTAGCCATATGTAGAAAGCTGAAACTGGATCCCTTCCTTACACCTTATACAAAAATTAATTCAAGATGGATTAAAGACTTAAACGTTAGACCTAAAACTATAAAAACCCTAGAAGAAAACCTAGGCAATACCATTCAGGACATAGGCATGGGCAAGGACTTCATGTCTAAAACACCAAAAGCAATGGCAACAAAAACCAAAATTGACAAATGGGGTCTAATTAAACTAAAGAGCTTCTGCACAGCAAAAGAAACCACCATCAGAGTGAACAGGCAACCTACACAATGGGAGAAAATTTTTGCAACCTACTCATCTGACAAATGGCTAATATCCAGAATCTACAATGAGCTCAAACAAATTTACAAGAAAAAAACAAACAACCCCACCAACAAATGGTTGAAGGATATGAACAGACACTTCTCAAAAGAAGACATTTATGCAGCTATACAGACACATACACACGTATGTTTATTGCGGCACTATTCACAATAGCAAAGACTTGGAACAAGGCCAAATGTCCAACAATGATAGACTGGGTTAAGAAAATGTGGCACATGTACACCATGGAATACTATGCAGCCATAAAAAATAATGAGTTCATGTCCTTTGTAGGGACATGGATGAAGCTGGAAACCATCATTCTCAGCAAACTATTGCAAGGACAAAAAACCAAACACAGCATGTTCTCACTTATAGGTGGGAATTGAACAATGAGAACACATGGACACAGGAAGGGGAACATCAAACACCGGGGACTGTTGTGGGGTGGGGGAGGGGGGAGGGATAGCATTAGGTGATATACGTAATGCTAAATGACGAGTTAATGGGTGCAGCACACCAACATGGCACATGTATACATATGTAACAACCCTGCACATTGTGCACATGTACCCTAAAACTTAAAGTATAATAATAATAAAAAATAAAAAAATAAAAAATAAATAAATAATCAAGGCTTTTACAGAAAAAAAAAAGAAATGATTGAAATGATTATTGCCAGAAGCACTTGGTGGGAATATGAATGGGAACTGCTTTTTTTTTTTTTTTTAGGATAATTTAGTTGTGAGATAGGAATAGAACTGGGTTGTTGCAGGAAAATGGAAAAACCCAAACAATAGCTGAAACAAGAACTAGGCACAAAAACCCACAGGATAACAGAAAACCCAAAATAAGGGAGAGAAAATGTCTAAAGCCCCAGTGAGGGTGACATGTCCATGACCCTTCCAGGCAAACCCAAATAAGGGAAAATAGGGGTCAGTAACTGGGGAGTCCATGAAACCCCTCCTTTTCCATAATATTTCATGATTATTTCACTCTCAAATTAAAGAAACAGGCATAAGATAGGAATGCTGGGTGATCACAGGAGAAGCAGGAAAATATCAAGAAACAATTTTACATAATGTCAAGAAAAGAGCTGTTAAAATTAGCTATAAGGACAAAGATGAGCCTGGCCTGATAAGATCCTCACAGATAAAATGGGGCCACACTGGCTGAAACAGTCTAGGTCCAACATGGCATTGGATTTGACCCATGCCCTACTCCAGACCTAATTATATGCCTATTCCAAAACTAAGTCACACACCCACCACACCATGGTAGATCTGAGCATGGCCATATTTCTTATAAAAATGGGTGGCCCTCAAGCCTAAGAAATCTCCACCTTTTTCCTAGAAAATCTACTCTTTTCCTAGCAAATCTATTCTATTCTACTTCCTAATTAGAAGACACCATAACATTAGATACCCAGACTCTCCTGTGCACAATTCACTCTCCCAAGTATACCTGCACTCCAACTCTCAAGTGCATACTTTCCCTTTGCAATAAAAGCTTTTTGCTTTTCCCTTCATTCTGACTCATCCTTGAATTTTTTCTTGCAACAATGTCTACAACCTGGAACACTGGCTGTGGCTGGGAGACCTACCTAGGTCCTCCTGCAACACTTGAATCTATTCAAAATCCAAAATGTGCCTACCCCTTAACTCATCAATTCTCCTTCCAGGGTATAGCTGTAGAATACACTCACACATGTTCACAGAATGACAGACAGGAAGATGATCATTGAATTTAACTTTTGTCTGCAATAGCAAAAAGAAGTAGAAGGAGGAGGAGGAGGAGAAATAGGAAACAAAACATAATGTCCTTTAATTATTATACATTATACATTCATGCCATAGAATACCAGTCAATCATTAAAACAAATGGCATAAATACATGTTTTGGCATGAAAATATTTGATATATAATTATATGCAAAAAATGTTTTACAGAATGATACATGTAGTATGAATACAATTGTTTTAAAAACCCAGTCACAAACTACCAGAAATATATTTGTACAAATTTCTATATATTTAGATGTAAATGCACAGAGAATGGACTGGAATTATGGACTTGTTGGCATGTGTTACATACAAAGAGGGAGGTGGGTGTAGGAGTGGTAAAGAGACCTATTCACATCTGTCCACTTATATTTTTATTGTTTGAATATAGTATCTCCCAAAAAACCTTATGTATTACATGTGCAATTGTAGAAATCAATAAATTTTAAAACAAATCTAAACCAACAAGAAGTCGCAGGGCATAAAAGTCTATGGGTTGCCCAAAAAGAACCACATATAGCCAGGACCCCTAATCATGTCTATTTTTAACTTCTGCATATGATCTTCAAGATAACAGGATGTCAAGGCTGGAGGGGCCTGAAAGATCTCAACAGCTCAGCAAGGGGATCTTTCGGGATGAGTCACAAGACATGGGTTTGGGGTCGAGGCAGAGAGCAGAGGATAGGATACAGATGGGTACTCCAGAGCCGATCGACATTTCAACTCACCTCTAATTTTACCTGTGCCTCAAAATGACTCTGCCACCTTCAGTATTCTTAAACCTTCCTAATGTAATATTGAAGAACCCTTCCAAATGCTGTTTACTTCCAAATAACTCTTCCATACACCCATGGTATAGCCTCTCTACCTGTATCTTGAATGTTCTTTTCCCTGGTCACAGAGAACTTTACGGCCTCCCTAGCAACCACATAGTAGATATACTTGGAGACAGGCTTCTGATTTCTACAGACTTCAGACTCTTAGAAACAATAAAAGCTCCTTTCAAATTTATTTCTTCCATTGTTAAAAAATTTAAAAAGCAAACAAATAAAGCAGAGCCTTCTCTGGATCCCATCCCAGTTTTTGCTCCTCCTCCCCGCCTTCCAATTCTATTACTTTATCTTCTTTTCCAGACCAAGCCACTAGGGGAAAAAAATAATAATTCTCTACTTCTCTCTACCCATTCACTGTTTTTTTTTTCTTTTTCCCCAGGCAGACAACTGAATTAGGGGATTTATTCTACCCAGGCTATACTCAGCTACAAATGATAGGAGAACCCACCTAGAATGGAGCAGATGCAAGGCACACAGGTGATGATTTTAGTTCATTGCAAGGTGGGTGTTCTGTCAGATGTGCTCTGGACAATAAAGGATCTGATAATGGAGGTGAAGTATCAGGTGTGTTGGTTGAGTGAGCAAATTCCCAGCTAGCAGCACAGTCCCCAGCACTTGAGTCCACATTCCGGCTGCTGTGGCCTCAATGCACTGCTCAAGGTCTGTTTCCTTGAACCCCTGCCTTGCCTTTCTCCTCTTGTCATTCATTTAGCTTACTTTTCCCTTCCTCTGATTGACCCTCATGGCAAGGAGGTATTAGCCAGAGTGGAATTAGGGCTGGGGGACACCTTTTTGTCTTTAATTCCTGCAAACCTCACTGGCCCACTCATTTGAACTGATCCGTTTTCTCCAACTGCAAAATTGAAAACATTTACTAAAAACATCTTCCTTAAATATTGTGAATTCCTTACTATTGATCACACTGTCTTCCTTTCTCTTCCCTCATCTCTGACCTTTTTTTCTTATAAAAGTGGTCCCTTAAAAGCCAAAGTTTCATGTTTCTGTCCTAGAGGTCCCTAGATCTTTGTCTTCCTCATTAAATGATTAATTCAACACAATATTAGTCATCCAGGAGGCACTCATTCAATGTCTGTTGAATAAGTGAATAAACATATGATAATTGCCTACACTGATAAGGGTCTGACCACAAAGGGAAAAACCAGCTTTTGTCTTTGGGTGGCCATCCAAAAATCCATGGCATCAATGCATGGATTTGGGAGAGGGCATATTGGAGGATACAAGAAAGAAGTATAATTTTCATGATATTGTCCTAGCCCTCAAGTCACCAGAAAACTAATATGTTTAAGAAAATGTGAACCAGTGCCACTTTGTGCAGTGCTAAGTAGAAATGGACTGAAGTCCAGAAATGAGAAAGCAGACTATATGGGGCCAAGTCCCCTTAGGGCTTCATGTAGAAGCAACTGGAAAGATGCAGAAGATCCAGACAGGAAGAAAGAGCAACATCCCTTCCTAAAGGAAAGAGTGAGTGAAGAAATCCTCAAGTTCCTTGTTAGTCTGTGGGCTAAAAACACCAATGAACTTGAAAAACACAATTAGCATTAATATGTGATTTTCAAATATAATTTCCATGTTCAACTTTCAACTTCAAATATAATTTTACTTGTACCTCCACATAAAACAGAAGCTATACATGAGTGGGAGGTCATTTAGTGGGTGTTGGAAACAGAATGAGGAGGACAGAGGACTTCTTAGACCTAGCAGGGGGACCATGAGACCATCTCATCTCAAAAGACCAGGAGATCCAAGCACTCATAGAATCTAGGCACTGGAAGAGCCTAATGCATATCCAGCCCATGGTCCCACCAATATCCTTGACAGATTGTGGGGTCGTTCAACCTCACTCAGAACATGACCAATAATGGGGGAGTGACTGGAGCAAAAAAAAAAAAGAAAAGAAAAGAAAACTTCGGGCCAATATCCTTGATGAACATTGATGCAAAAATTTTCAACAAAATACTAGCAAATTTAATCCAGCAGCACATCAAAAAGCTTATTCACCATGATAAAGTAGCCTCTATCTCTGGGATGAAAGGTTGGTTCAACATACACAATTCAATAAATTAGATTCATCACGTAAACAGAACTAAAGACAAAAAACATTATTATCTCAATAGATGCAGAAAAGAGTTTTGATAAAATTTAACATCCATTCATGTTTTTAATAAAATACCCTCAATTAACTGGCTATTGAGGGAACATACCTCAAAATAGTAAGAGCTATCTATGACAAACCCACAGCCAATTTCATACCGAATGGGCAAGTGTTGGACACATTCCCCTTTGAAAACCAACACAAAGCAAGGATGCTTTCTCTCACCACTCTTATTTAACATACCATTCGAAGTCCTTGCCAGGGCAATAAGGCAAAAGAAAAAAATAAATGGCATCCAAATAGGAAGAGAGGAAGTCAAACCATCCCTGTTTGCAGACAACATGATCCTATATCCAGAAAAACCCATAGTCTCAGCCTAAAAGCTTTTTAAACTGATAAACAACTTCAGCAAAACCTCAGGATACAAAATCAGTGTGCAAAAATCACTCACATTCCTATACACCAACAACAGTCAAGCCAAGAGCCAAATCAAGAACAAACTCACAATCACAACTGCCAAAAAAAGAACAAAATACCTAATGTATAGCTAAGTAGGGAGGTGAAACATCTCTGCAAGGAGAACTACAAACAACGGCTCAGAGATATCAGAGGCGACACAAATGGAAAACCTTTTCATGCTCATAGATAGAATCAATGTCATTAAATTATCATTAAATAATAATGATTAAAACCTGAATGGTAAAAAAATTATCATTAAAATAAACTTCTCTCTGACTTTCTTACCATAAAAACTGGCCATAAAGAATGATCTGGCCTACCTTTTTGGACTGTAGATCAGAAAACCCTCATTCCAGAGAGTATCCTGCCCTATACCCAGAAGGAAGAAATGCTGCTCAGAGAGGCCAAAAAGGATCTAGAAAGACGGGCTTTTCCGGGTTTCCCCACTATGTCTAGTAGCATTAGATCACATGCTTTCTGTCCAATCATATTTCTACATGGCTTTCCTACTGTGTCGGACCTAAGCACAACAGTAGACAATTTTCTTTGTATCTTTGTGTCTTCATTCTGAAGGTCTCAATGTGCACACATTGAATAAATTTGTATGCCTGTTCTCTAATTAATCTGCCCTTTGTGAGCTGATTTTTCAGGGAACCTTCAGAGGGCAAAGGGGAACCTATATTCTCTGGTTCCCTATAAAAGAAGAAGAAGAAGAGAATCTTGGAAAGGTAAGACAAGAGCAGCCAAAGCCAGGCAGAATAATGTAAGAAAACCCAGAAGGAGAAAATGCCAGATGCTGAACTAAGGCCAGGTTGCAAGTTTGCCACTAGAATGGGCAGGAGAAGAATCCTAAGGACCCCTTGGGTTATGGCAGAAGGAGGAAATAGGAGATGCCAAGAAGGGGGTGACCTCCATCCATTCCAGGAGCCTAAATATTGAATGCAAGCATGGAGGAAGCCTGAGTCCAGAAAGAAAAGCAGGAGAGGGCCGGATCTGCCTGGAGCTCAGAAAAGGATTCCTGGGGATGGTGCCACTGCAGACAGGTCTCATGGACTGGGGGGTTGCAGCTTTTACTAATAAAATTTTTAATTGGGGGAAACAAAAGGAAACTTGAGAGAAGGTGCACATCTTCCCTTCTTCCTGCACATAAGTGACTACCCATGCCTGGCTAAGAGCTTGCAAGCTTAATCAAGATACAATAACCAATGGTCATTATTGGGTGGGGAAATGAAGGTGCTTGTGGTTATGAACAGCTCCATAAGCATGAATCCAGGAAAGAGTGGCTCTAAGGGATTTGGGCTATAGCCTTATTATCAGAGCCATTCTTCTCATCTTTAAAATAACCTGGCAGGGCCTTCCAATGATCACATTGTGGCAATGGTAATTCAGCTTTGTCACCTCTGCTGTGATGACCTGTCAGTTGGTTCATATGAGCTCCAGGAGCATCTAGGGAGCCCAGAAGGTGCTGAGCCATCCAAGGAAGATGAGGTTCAGGTGGAAAGGTCAATGGTGACATTTCATTTCAAGAGATCTGAAAGGGATCACTTCCCTTTGACAAATGTCTTTGTATCTCCCCGTGGGCTAGAAGAACCATGATTCATACAAGATCTGAGTCTATGGAAGTAGAGGAGTTCAGTGAAGAGGGGAGATGGAGCTTTATAAGTTCAGTCTAAACATTATCAAAGAGGGGGATACAAAAATCTCAACTGTGCAGGAATCAAAGACTAGAGTACACACCCAGCAGCAAGGAAAGCCCTGGAGTCACATGGACCACCTACAGAATGGGGCCACAAGTGATAGGCAAATGGCGAAAGTCAGTCATGCTAGGTCTTGAAGGGCCCATTGACCTCAGGAATTCAGAAGACGCTCAGCCCTGCCTGTGTGATGGAGCACTGTGATGAAGAAGTGGGCTGGGAGACAGGCCATCTGCATGGTAGAACTGGCTGCTCTGCATGAGCTGTGCCAGTGGAAAGTCACATGGCTTCTCTATGCTTCCATGTCTTCCTCTGCATGACAAGAATAAGAATATGGGCAGCTTTTAAGGGCTGTAGGAAGTATTCAATAATATAACGTGTGTAATGTGCCTGGCAGGCAGTAACTATTTAGTCAAAATTGGGTTTTATTACTTCTTACTCTATATATAGCAATCTGAGGAGCATGGAGAAGTTTTATATGTTCATTTATCCTTCTTTGGAGCAAATTAGTGAAGCTGGCTCCTCTGCACCCCACAGTCCTTCCCCTGTCAGTGGCCTGCTGACTTCCCTTGCGCTTCTTTGTCTTTCTGTGCCTGAGGACCTTCCTGGGAACCATGTGTACAGCAGCCTGGAAGTGCTGGAAATTGCCACTATCTGGGAAAGCTGTCAAACAATGATGATTCCCTTTCAGGGGATAATTCTGAGGCAAGTGCTGTTCATATTTAGTGACTAAATATGGCTCCACTAGGCTTGGAAATGTGTGGTCAAACTGGTGTCCCTATTTAACATGTTGAGGCACTTGGATAGCTCTTGCTCATGGAAGCCTGAAGCCCATTGACAGGAGCTTTGGCCCTAATGTAGGCATCTTCTCCCACCCTTCCTGCTCTCTGCAGCAGGCATGGATGGCTAGATACCTGCTGTAGTCTTTTCTCACACTGCACTCAACATACCTGTGAGGCCAGTCACTCAGCAAAGATGAGCTGAGTATAATGGTGTTTGCATTCAGCCTGGACCTGATGGCAATATTTCCATACTCTAGTAGAGTTTATTAGTGATGATTGCAGTTATTAGCAATGATTAGTATGTCGTTGGTACTATCAGAGGCTTCTTCGGGTCACATTGATCTATCAGTGCTAGACACATGGTTTCAGCAGCTATTGGCTGAGGGGAAATGTTTAGTGGCCAGGAAAAGGGGCAAACTGGACTTGTGTTATATCTTCTATTAGCTGTGTGGCACTGCTCATACCATCTCTGAACCTGTTTCCCTAAACCGCTTATCTCTTATCTGGTTATAAATCAAAATAGAAATTTTAACAGACTTCCTAAGCTGTGTAGGGCAGTATTCATAAGCAGATATTTTATTATTGTTATGCCTCTGACAAAGCCCAGTGTATTCTTTTTGAGGTTATAAAATAAAATTCCTACAGCATTTAAGCAATAAGTAAAATTGAACAGATTTAAAAAATAAAACTGGTGGAGTTTACAATAAAATTTGTATAAAAATTATATAAAATTATATAAAATAAAAATTATAAAATTATAATAAAATTATATTATTAGTTTAATAAAACTAACAATATTAAGCAGGTAATATAAATAAGTACACTTGAACAGATTTAAGAAAATAAAACTGGTGGAGATAATAAAAACTTAAGGGTGTATGCCCTGCCTGAAGACATTCAAATTTAAACAAATAATAATACTGTGCTATTCAAACAAAGTATGATTTCAGGCCAAATAATGCCAGTGTGTGATTTTTTATGAGTTCCTCCAACATGCTCAAAAAACTACTTTTCAAGATACAAATCCCATTCTATCCCAGAATCAGAAGACCAAAAATTTTGGATAGATTAATGAATGAAGTCATCAGCTAAAGGCTGATCTTTTTCTCAGACCTGAAGGCCTGAGTTTTATTCCCTGCAGCAACCAATTGAGCCATCATAGCTCCGTAGCTGCACATGATATAGGAGAGTTGCCTCTTTGGTAAAAATTTATCTCCAAAAAGCAGGGGACTACCATTCCTGTTAAAGTCCCACAGTTGTCTCTATGCCAAGCATCTATAATTTCTTCAATTATTCAACTGCCCTCCCTGGAAATGTTGACAGCACCACTTTCACCTGCATTTCTTTAGGGAATCACAGATCTTACTTAAATGTCCTGGTAACTAACTTTTTTTTCACAACACCACTTCACTAAGCTAAAAAAGGACATTGCCTTCCTCTCTTTAGAACTCAAGCTGAAGCTCCTCATTGACAACCTACTTTTGAGAGTCCTAATTGAACTATGATCTCAATACTCTCTCCCTGCCTTCAGGCTATTCACTAACAACACCTCTTTATCCACACCTGACTGATGCCTGGACTCTCTGAGCCTCTGTCAGGTCACTGTATTTAGTTAGTTGTAATACAAAGAAAGCACTCTCCCTAAATTTTCTGTCATGTGGATTTCCCCCACTGCATCATGGATAAAAATCCTTAGGAGTGTATATAAGAAGGGCGACATGCTCAGCAGTTAAGAAGGGCTAAGTGCCTTGTAGAGGACTTACATGATCAGGTGAAGATGGTGGGGAACATGATCTCTTTTCCAGCCTTTCAGACATGAAATAAATGTAGACTGTCTTGCTCTATCATCTAGCTCTTCAAGAAAAGCAGAAAATCCAAAATTTTAAATCTGGGGAACAAAAATATGCATTCAAAAATACACAACAAAAAATGCAAGAGTATTTTTAAATTTTGCCTAATAGAGGAAAACCAAAATTTTACAGAAAATATCTACAACAAACTGGGTGGCCAGGTATCCCCATCAACCCGAAAATTTGGACAGATGGGTTAAACTTCAGACAAAACCTCATGGCATCACCATCTTCTTGGAAGAAGGTGGGAGAAATGCAGCAGCTTCTGATGGTCCTGGGAGCATGGAATCAATGCCACCAGCAGGTGCTCACAGGATGCGCGTCAGGTCAGCCTGAAGCAGCTTCTGAAAATGTGAGCACGCTCTTCAGGCTCCAATGTATAAGGATGGCTCCACTAGAAGGAGAAACTTTTTTGAATGTATCCATTTGATTTGCTTTCATTGTTTACAAAAACATTATTCTACTTCATATTCTCTTCTATAATAACTTTGTTTTATTTTTTATTTTATTATTATTATACTTTAAGTTTTAGGGTACTTTGTATGTGATTTGACTGCAGTTATTGTGTCTTGCTTATTTTTAACTGAAAAAAATTTTACTTGAATTTTGAGAAAAATGGAAAGGGCCAGGAGAAAATTGCTAATTTTATAGCTTTAAAGCTACCTCCTCAGTTCTTTGCATGAAATCTGTGTCTTCTGCTTCAATTTGATCTGGACCTTATTCAACTCATAGTGAAAGAATATATCATGTACCTTAGAATATTAACCCAGGACTTTTGACTGAAAAACAAATTTTGGTAAAACAATTTAATTTAAAAAGTAAAGAAAAAATTATTAGAGCTTCTGGATAAAATGATCAAGTCACACATAAAACAAAGAAATTCAGGATTTGGGTGTCTCAGGTTGGGTTTCCCTGGAACAGACACTGAGGCAGGATTTGTGTGTAGAGAGTTTATTGAGGGGTAACCTCAGGGTAAATACCTATGGGGAACTAAAGAAACTAGGGAGAGGAGTTGAACTGTACCTCAGCCACAAGGATCTCAGCTAATCTCACATGTCCTTCTAGAGCTGAGATGGCCCTTCAGAGCATCCCACCTTGAAACGAGGGGACAGGCTTTTTATCCCCACTTCTAAATTAGCGAGTCATTGGGCGAGGACTGTCAAAAAGGAGGAGACATGTCCTCGGATGAAATGCCTCTTTTCCTCAGAGGACACGTCCCAGACAGGAACTCACCTGAGCGTGGTCAGCTGCCAAAACTCCCCTAGCACGTGTGACTGCATGGTCCTGAGGGGACCTGGGGGTGCACGAAACCATTCACCACAGATTGCGTTTAAACTTTTTAAAGCAATGACTTATGCCAGAATAAAATCAGGAAATACATTAGAAGTACTAAGGAAAGAAAGTGTGGGCCATAGTAATAACTAAAATTAAAAATGGGGGGTCAACTATGGCTATTATAAAGCCTGAATAGTGTAAAATGCCTGCAGAGATACATTAACCGTTCTAAATATAAAATGTGCCAAAAAAGAGGGCAAAATACTCAAAATCTAGCAGCCTAAAACAGCAAGCCTTTCCTGTCTCTCAACATGTGTGGGGCGGAAATCTGGGTCATCATTAACTTGGTGCCTCCTGCTCAGAGTCTCCCGTCTGGCAGCAGAGTGCTGGGTAGGCGGGCACTTCAGCCTCCACTGAAATTTACCTCCATGCTGAGGGAAGGCTTCAGGCTTTTTGGCTAATGACATCACATTCCTGATCAGTGGACCTCTCCACAGAGCAACTCACAACAAGCAATGGCTTCCTTCAGAGAAACTGTCAGAAAGACCACCCAAGAAGACAGCACAGCCTCTTTGTAACCTGATCTCCAAACTGTCATCCCATCCTTTTTGCCTTATTCTATTATTTCAAAGTGAATCCTAATTCTGGCCCACACTCAAGGAGAGATTACACAAGGGTGTGATTATCAGGAGGTGGGGATCATTAAGCAGTATCTTAGAGGCTGCCTGCCACAACTTGTGAAATATAGTGCCCCATACACATGTACCATTATTATGTGTCAATCATAAATTTTAAAAATACAGTTTTTTAAAAATTTAAAAATTTAAACATTATTCTGCTTTTTAAAAATAGAACTGTACTTCAGATTAGCCTAATATGACTATATTAAGAATTAATATAGGCCGGGTGAGGTGGCTCACGCTTATAATCCCAGCACTTTGGGAGGCCAAGGCGGGCGGATCATGAGGTCAGGAGATCGAGACCATCCTGGCTAACACAGTTAAACCCCGTCTCTACTAAAAATACAAAAAATTCGCCGGGCGCGGTGGCAGGCGCCTGTAGTCCCAGCTACTCTACTCGGGAGGCTGAGGCAGGAGAATAGCATGAACCCGGGAGGCGGAGCTTGCAGTGAGCAGAGATAGCACCACTGCAGTCTGGCCTGGGCGAAAGAGCGAGACTCTGTCTCAAAAAAAAAAAAAAAAAGAATTAATATAAATAAATACAATAAAAATATAAATATAATATATTAATATAATATATAAATATAATTAAAATATTCCCCATATTTCAGCCAATAATAAATTAAAGAATCTAGACAATGACCATCAACGATGCCTAACATCATAACAAAGATAGTTTGACCTGAGGTGCTTACTGAGGCAGATGCACAGCTTGACCTATTTTGCAGTCTTCCCCCAAAATCATCAAACCTAAATCTAATCAAGATTCTAGATCTAACTACTTATTTACAAGAAGTACAGAAGAAACAACACTATAAGTAAGCAATTAGCATACTTCAGAATGTGGGAAACTACGGTAACTACTGATTTCTTCAACAAAAGAATTTCAAGGCAAAATAAAAGAGAAAGAGATGGAGAACTTATGAAAAGAGACATCAAAAGAGTCAAGAAAAACATCAACCAGTTGCAACATACGGACTTTACTTATATTGTAATTCAAACAAACAGGTACAGTTATAAAACAATCAGGAAACTGTGAACACTAACATGTAATGGTACAAAAAATTATTGGGATTTTTAAAGTATAAAATAATATTGTGATTACAGGTTTTAAGAAATTTCTTATCTTTTAGAGATACGTTTTTAGTTACAGATAAAATCGTATGATATTTGGGATTTGCTTCAAAAATAATCTGGGTGTAGGTCAGTTGGTGGGGGTATAGATGGTCATGAGTTGAACACTTTTGAGGCTAGGACATGGGACATAAAAGTTTATTTCAATCAAACAAAGTCATTGTACCGGGAAGAATAATACCTGTGTACCAAATGTGGTCAGTTGAATATAGTTTTGTGATCTTTGGTCTATACACATAAAATGGCTTAAAAAGTTAATTAACCTGTACCACTCAATTCATTAAACATTTAGTGTGTGTAAATCCTTGTTAAGTTTGCATGAATTGAATTTTTATTTGAGACAGGGTCTGTCTTTGTTGCACAGGCTGAAGTGTAGTGGCTAAATCATGGCTTACTGCAGCCTTGACCTCCTAAGCTACTACTGCCGCTGGCACTTTCTTGCAAGTGCCACCTTCTGACTGGAGACCAACGAACACTGTCCATTACAACATCTCCAGGCAGAATAACACGGTGTCCAGGAAGGAGAAAACATGGGCATGACCTCAGCTATCACCATTGCCTGCACCATCCTGGCTAACCAGGAGGTCCCTAGTATATCCATGAGATCTGTTCATTACTACCACAACTGGCATTTGAGAAAGCCAATATACAGAGGCTATCTATAACCAAGGAATCTCACAGAGTCTATGTCACTCCCCTGCCAACCCCATCAGGGCTGGTGCTGGTTCCCACTACTGGGAGACTTAAGGATAGGTTACATCACTGGATCCCTTGAAGACATTCCACAGCACCAGCCTGGAGTGTGGCAGCGACACAAGGCAGCTAGACTCAGAGGAGCAACAACATGTGCAGTAACCTGGCTCTGAGAGACTCCGACTCCTAGGGGAAGAGGGAGTGAACCACATGAAAGGAACCCTCCATAGGACAAAGGAACTGGACAGCAGGACTTGAGTCTCAGATCATTCCACTGGTGGGAAGTGTCTTTCAGCAGAAGGTCAGTTGTAGTGCGAGGCTCAGCAGGGAAAGTCTGCAGCTCTCTCCAGCTGCCAGGCAGTTCTGGTGCTCATGAAGGAGCTTGGAGAAGAAGGCTTTTTCCCCCGCATCCACCACTGCAGACACCGCTGGGGCTTTTCCCATTGGAAGGCGGTGTGGGTGCACCTATAGACAGCCTCTCTGGAACACTTCAGAGCGACTGCATCCCCCCAGGAAAAGCACCATCCACGTGCGGGCCTGCACAAGGGGTAGAGTCACAATTTCTTTCTACTTGGAACATCACCACTCCCACAGATATAAAGAGGCACCTGTCTGATCTGAATAGCTGGAACACTGGTTATGGAGTGTGTCTGGGAGGTGAATAGCATTCCTGCCAGCCTGGGAGAAGAGCTGAGGTAGCTCTGGTCCTTCCCTCTGATAAGACCTCCGTGTGTTTCACTGAAAGCTCCCCCATCCACTCTGTAAAAGCTGAGACCTCTGCCCATGAAAGGGTACTGCATCTGCCCACCTGCTTTAGCCATAGACAATTTCTACCTGTGGATGCCTCCTCTATTAGCCCGAAGCCTAAATTATTCAACCCAGTAAATAAAATACTAGGGAAATTAGAAAAATAAATAAGCGCACACCACAGAAGAGTGAAATAAGCTTCAAGAGACCTCTGCCACTCCAATCCCATAGGAGAGAATGAACTTGCTCACGCACCAAGCACATTGCTACTACAATAAGCATCCAAGAAAGGCATCATACAAAGACTGTCTGTAACCAAGGAACTCTTACAGAGTCTTCACCTCTGAAAGCACTAAGAGCCAAATTAGTTTGCAATAAACTGTAAATGTTAAAGTCATATCCTTAAAGGGGAAAAAATTAAAAAAAAACAGTCAAATAAAGAATAAATGCTAGAATAATTATAAAAAATAGTCTATCCAAATGACAAGGAACCAGAAAAATAAATCTGGCAATATGACAAATCAGGGTTCTATAACACCCCAAAAGATCACCTCAGCCCTCTAGCAATGGATGCAAAAAAAGTTGAAATATTTGAAATACGAGATAAAGAATTCAAAAGGTTGATTATTAAGCTACTCAAGGAGATACCAGAGAAAGATGAAAACCAACAAAAAGAAATTTAAAAAAAAAACTATTCAGGATATAAATGAAAAATTGTCTAAAGAGATCGATATTTTAAAGAAAAACCAATCAGAACTTCTAGAAATGAATGGCACATTTAGAGAATTACAGAATGCAGTGAAAAGTTTTAACAATAGACTAGAACAAGCACAAGAAAGAATTTCAGAGCTTGAAGACAAGACTTTTGAATTAAACAAATCAGATAAAAATATAGAAAAAAGAATCAAAAATATAAATCAACAAAGTCTCCATGAAATATGAGATTATCTAAAATAGCCAAAGCTAAGAATAATTAATGTTCCTGAGAGAGAAAAGAGAGCAAAAACTTTGAAAAATGTATTTGAGGGAATAATAGAGGAAAACTTCCCTGGCCTTGGTAGAGATTTAGATATCCAAATATAAGAAGCTCAAAGAATTCATGGGAGATCCATTGCAAAAAAGATAATCACAAAGGCATATAGCCATCAGGCTATCTAACATCAACATGAAAAGAAGAATTGTAAGAGCAGTGAGACAAAAGCATCAGGTAACCTATAAAGAAAAACCCATCCAACTAACAGAAGACTTATCAGCAGTAACCCTACAAGCCAGAAGGGATGGGGGTAATGTTTTAGCCTCCTAAAACAGAATAACTCTCAGCTAATAATTTTCTATGCAGCAAAACTAAGTTTCATAAATGAAAGAGAAATAGTGTCATTTTCAGACAAATACTGAGGAAATTTGTTACTATCAAACCAACCCTACAAAAAAATGGTAAAAGGAGCTTTAAATCTTAAATAAAAAGCTTGATGTGCACAAAAATAAAACCTTTTGAAAGCATAAAACTCACATGGCCTACAAAACAATAAACCAATGAAATAAACAACAGCAAAGTATTCAGGTAACAACTAACATGATGACTGTAACAGTACCTCGCATCTTGATATTGTTAAATATAAATGGACTAAATGCTCTACTTAAAATACACAGATTGGCAGAACAGACAAATATCACAAATAAAATATTTGCTATCTTCAAGAGACTCACCTACCACATCAGGATTCATATAAACTCAAGGTAAAGGGGTAGAAAAAGACATTCCACATAAATAGAAACCAGAAGTGAGACTAAAGCAACAAGAATAGAAAAATAAAAAGATGGTCATTATTTAATGATAAAAGAATCAATCCAACAAGCGGATATTACAATTCTAAATTTATATGCACCTAACACTGAAGCTCTCAGATGCATAAAACAATTACTACTAGACCTAGGAAATTAAATAGACAACAACACAATAACAGTGGGAGATTTCAACACTCCAGTGACAGCACTAGTAGATTATCAGGACACAAAATCAACAAAGGAAGAATGAACTTAAACTGCATTCTAGAACAAATGGGTCTAACAGATATTTACGCAACATTCTAACTCCAGAATAGAACAAGAACTCCAGAATATACATTCATCTTATCAGCACATGGAACATTCACCAAGATAGACCATATGACAGGTCAAAAAACAAGTCTCAGTAAATCTGAAAACATCAAAATCATGTCAAGTATTTTCTCAGACCTCAGTGGAATAAAACTAGAAATCAACTCCAAAAGGAATCCTCAAACTATACAAAAAAATAGAAATTAAACAATCTGCTCCTGTGTAATTTTGGAGTTAACAATGAAATCAAGAGGGAAATTTAAAAATTATTTGAAATTAATGATAATAGTGACACAATTTAGCAAAACTTCTGGAATATAACAAAAGAGTGTTAGGAGGACAGTTTATACCACTAAATGTTTACATCAGAAAGTCTGAAAGATCACGCACAGATTGACAACCTAATGTCACACCTCAAGGCATTAGAGAAACAAGAACAAACTGAATAAAAAGCTAGAGGAAGAAAGTAAACAACAAAGATCACGGCACAACTAAATGAAATTGAAACAAAAAATACAAAAGTTTGATTTAAAAAAAAGCTGGTTCTTTGAAAAGATAAACCAAACTGACAGAACATTAGCTTGATTAACCAAGAAGAGAGAAGATTCAAATAAGCTCAAATAGAAATGAAACTGGAGATACTGCAACTGACACCACAGAAATACAAAAGATTATTCAAGATCCTATGAACTGATCTATGCACACAAACTAGAAAATTTAGAGGAAATGGATGAATTTCTGAAAACATACAACCCTCATATATTAAATAGGGAATACAAACCTTGAAAAGATTAATAAGAAGCAATGAGATTGAATCGGTAGTTTTAAAAAGCCAACGACAACAAAAGCCCAGGGCCAGATGGATTCACAGCTGAATTCTACCAAACATATTGGTACCAATCTTACTAAAAATATTCCAAAAGAAGAATAGGGGAAATACTCCCTAAGTCATTTTGTGAAGCAAGTATCACCCTGATACTAAAAACAGGAAAAGATATAACCAAGAGAAAACCCCACAGACCAATATCCTTAATGAACATAGATGCAAAAATCTTCAACAAAATACTAGCTAACCAAATCCAATAGCACGTCAAAAAAATAATATACCATGAACAAGTGAGTTTTATTCCAGGGATGCAGGGATTGTTTAACATATGCAAGTCAGCAAATGTGATACATCACATAAACAGAATTAAAAACAAAAGCCATATGATCATCTCAATAGATGCAGAAAAATCATTCTATAAACTTCAGCATCTTTTCTGATAAAACCTTCAACAAACTAGGCATAGAAGGGACTTACCTCAAATGAATCAAAGCCATCTATGACAAACCCACAGCCAACATCATAGTGAATGGAGAAAAGTTGAAAGCTTTCCCCCTGAGTACTGGAACAAGACAAGGATGCCCACTTTCACCACTTCTGTTCAACATAGTAATGGAAGTCCTAGCCAGAGCAATCAGGAAAGAGAAGAAAATATAGGGTTTCCAAATAAGAAAAAAGGAAGTCAAACTACTACTGTTTACCAATGGTATAATTGTATACCTAGAAAACCCTAAAGACTCCTAGATTTGATAAAGGAGTTCAGTAAAGTCTCAGGTTACAAAATCAATTTACACAAATCAGTAGCACTGCTGTACATCAAAAACAACCAAGTTGAGAAGAACTGAACCCCTTTCACAGCAGCTGCAAAGAAATAAAACACCTAGTAATATACTTAACCAAGGAGGTGAAAGAGCTCTACAAGCAAAACTATAAAACACTGCTGAAGAAAACACAGTTGAAATAAATAAATGAAAACACATTCCATGCTCATTGATTGAAAAAGTAAATATCATTAAAATGACCATACTGTCCAAAGCAATCTACAGATTTAATGCAATTTTCATCAAAATACATCATTTTTCACAAAACTAGAAGAAACAATTCTAAAATTTATTCGGTACCAAAACAGAGCCCCAGTAGCCAAGGCAATCCTAAGTAAGAAAAGCAAAAGTAGAGGCATCAAATTGCCAGTGTTCATATTTTACCACAAGGCTGTAATTACCAAAACAACATGGTACTGGTATGAAAGTAGACACAGAGACCAATGGAACACAATAGAAAATCCAGAAATGAAGCCAAATGCCTACAACCAACTGATTTTTGAAAAGCATACAAAAACATAAATTAGGGAAAGAACACCCTATTTAATAAATTGTGCTAGGAAAACTGGCTAGCCACATGTAGAATTAAATTGGATCTCTATCTCTCACCTTGTGCAAAAATCAACTCAAAACGTGTCAAGTACTTAAATATAAGACCCCAAAGCATAAAAATTCTAGAAGATAACCTTGAAAAAACTCTCCTGGACATTGGCCTAGGCAAAGAATTTATGACTAAAACCTCAAAAGCAAATGCAACAGAAACAAAAGTAAATAAATGGCACCTGACTAAATTAAAAAGGTTCTGCACAGAAAAAGAGATAATCATCAGAGTAAAGAGACAACCCAGAAAGGAAGAAAATATTTGCAACCTGTGCATCTGACAAAGGACTGATAACCAGAATATACAAAAAAAGAAAAAAAACATCTCAAATCTTCAAGGAAAAAAATAATTCCATCAAAAAATTGGCAAATAATATGAATAGACATTTCTCAAAACAAGATATACAAATAGCCAACAAACACGAGAAAATGCTCAGCATCACTAATCATCAGGGAAATGCAAATTAAAACCACAATGGAGCACCACCTTGCTCCTGCAAGAATGACTATTATTAAAAAGTCAAAAAAAAATAGATGTTGGCATGGATTTGGTGAAAGGGGAGTGCTTATTCATTGATGGTGGGAATGTAAATTAGTACAACCTCTATAAAAAAACAGTATGGACATTCTTTAAAGAACTAAAAGTAGATCTATTATTCAATCCAACAATCTCACTACTGGATATCTACCTGCATTAGTTCGTTCTCACACTGCTAATAAAGACATACCCAAGACTGGGTAATTTTTAAAGGAAAGAGGTTTAATTGACTCAAAGTTCAGCATGGCTGAAGAGGCCACAATTTTAGAATTGTTTCTCCTAGTTTTGTGAAAAATGATTTATTTCAAAACTTACAACCATGGCAAAAGGGGAAGCAAACACGTCCTTCTTCACAAGGCCACAGGAGAGAAAAGTGCCACGCAAAGGGAGGAAAAAAACCTTATAAAACTATCACATCTCATGAGAACTCACTCACTATCATGAGAAGAGCATGAGGGGGACCTCCCCCATGATTTTACCTCCTACAAGGTCACTCCCCAACACGTGGGAATTATGGGAACTACAATCGAATATAAGATTCGGGTGGGGACACAGAGCCAGATCATATCATTATTCCAAAGAAAACAAGTCATTATACGAAAAAGACATATGCACATGAATATTTATTGCAGCCTGATTCACAATTGCAAAGATATGGAGCTAGCCTAAGTGCCATTGACCAATAAATGGATTAAAAAGGCATGATATATAAATATATATATGGATATATATATGGATATATAAATATGGATATATATATGTATGTGTATATATATATATATACACACACACACACACACCATGGACTCAGCCATAAAAAGGAACAAAATAATGTCTTTTGCATGGACTTGTATGGAGCTGGAGGCCATTATTCTAGGTGAAATAACTCAGGAATGGCAAATCAAACACTGTGTGTTTTCACTTATAAGTGGGAGCTAAACAGAGAATACACAAAAACATATGGAGTGATGTAATGAATCCTGGAGACTCAGAAGCAGGAGATTGGGAGGGAGGGTATGGGATAAAAAACTATATATTGGGTACAACATACAGTACTTGGGTGATGAGTGCACTAAAATCTCAGAATTCACCACTATATAATTCATTCATGTAACCAAAAACCACTTGGAGATGGGCATGGTGACTCACGCCTGTAATTCCAGCACTTTGGGAGGCCGAGGCGGGTGGATCACCTGAGGTCAGGAGTTCGAGACCAGCCTGCCCAAAATAGTGAAACCCCGTCTCTACTAAAAATATTTTTTAAATTAGCCAGGTGTGATGGTGGGCGCCTGTAATCCCAGCTACTTGGGAGGCTGAGGCAAGAGAATTGCTTGAACCCAGGAGACAGAGGTTGCTGAGAGCTGACACAGTACCACTGCACGCCAGCCTGGTCAACAGAGTGAGACTCCGTCTCAAAAAAAAAGAAAAAAAAAAAAACCCTTGGACCCCAAAGCTACTAAGTGTTTTTAAAAAATCAAAAGTAATACAAAATAAAGGATAAATAAGTACTGCAATTTTTTAATTTGCAAATTTTCTCTTTATTATGTTTTTCAATGTTCTGGTTACAGAATTAATATTTCTTATAAAAATTAAAATGATACATGAAATTTTTTAAAAAGATACAAGAATAACTCCATGCCTTTAAGAAAAATGTGATACAGTGACAAAAATAAAGCACATACACATAATGGCTCAAGGAAGCAAGTGATTCATGACATTTGATTGAAGAGCCCAAGATTTCAGAAGAGGCTATTGCCTTCTGCAGAAGGCAATGAGAAATAATGCCAAGAAAAGTTGGCTAGTCCTGAAGGGTAAACATCATATGGATAGGAAGGGAGAGGTCATCAAGGGTAATCCAGACAATGAGTGACATGATCAAAACTGCAGAAGCGCAAAGACAAAGAGTGTGCTTGTTGAATACCAAGTTGTATAGGCTGCAGAAGAGGAAGTGGTGGGACTGGAGTCTAGAGAGTCTTGAACACCAGGTTTGGGAGGCTGGAGTTCACTTGGTGAGCAACAATCTCTGGCAGAGGAAGACTCCGTCTCAAAGAAAGAAAGAAAGAGAGAGAGAGAGAGAGAGAAAGGAAGGAAGGAAGGAAGGAAGGAAGGAAGGAAGGAAGGAAGGAGGGAAGGAAGGAGGGAAGGAGGGAAGGAGGGAGGGAGGGAGGGAGGAAGAGAGAGAGAGAGAAAGGAAGGAAGGAAGAAAGGAAGAGAGAAAGAGAGAGAAAGAAAGAAAGAAAAGAGAAAGACAAAGAAAGAAGAAAGAAAGAAAGTAGAAAGAGAAAGAAAGAAAGAAAGAAGAAAGAGAAAGAAAGAAAGAAGAGAAAGAAAGAATGAATAAGAAGGAAAGAAAGAAAGAAAGAGAAAGAAAGAAAGAAAGAAAGAAAGAAAGAAAGAAAGAAAGAACGAATAAGAAGGAAAGAAAGAAAGAAAGAAAGAAAGAAAGAGAGGAAAGAAAGAAAAGAAAAAAAGGAAAGGAAAGAAAGAGATCATTACCAGCTGGGCACGGTAGCTCATACCTGTAATCCTAGCACTTTGTGGGGCCGAGGCGGGTGGACCAGGATCACCTGAGGACAGGAGTTATCATTTTGAAATCAGCCTGGGCAACATAGCGAGACCCTGTCTCTAAAAAATTTAAAAGAATGAAAAAAATTACCCGGGTATGGTGGTGTGCATCTTTAATCCCAGCTACTTGGGGGGCTGAGGTGAGAGCATTGCTTGGGCCCAGGAGGTTGAGGCTGATGATCACACCACTGAACTTCAGCCTGGGTGACAGAGCGAGACTCTGTGTATAAAATAAAATAAAATAAAAATAAAAGTAAAATAAAATAAAATTAAATAAAAATTGCCTGTTAAGTCACTATGAGAAAGCAAACAACTATTTACCAGAAACAAGAGACATTGTTACCAAGACTATGTCACTAAAATAACAGGCTACAGGGAGGCTAGTTTGAATATTGTATATAAATAATCACATTAGATTACATTTGATCAAGATACGGCTTATATAATCCCTGTATGATCTTAAATCAGAGTGGAAATATCAGAACAATAAATTTGCCTGCATCTAATGGTTTTGCCAAACAATAGAGTGAGAAGTAGAGGTCATTCAGGGTAGGAATTTTATCACCAGCCAATTCAGATATGTCTGGTGCCTTGTCATGGTTTCACCTGAATTATCTTTTTTGGCCATAATTTCACCAACTGCATTAGATTATGGCAGGCTACTAATACCCAAATGTTCTGTGTGTTTTGGTAATATGAGAATGTAATACAGAAGGTAGACCAAAAAGAAAAGATAGACAAATTGTATTTAAAAAGCAAAAGGCTGATGAAGATTATGCTTACCAAGTGCCGCTCTTAAGGCTGTCTAGCCAATAAGTTAAAAAAACAGTGAGCCGAGATCGTGTGACTGCACTCCAGCCTGAGCGACAGAGCAAGACTCCATCTCAAAAACAAAACAAAACAAAACAAAAAATACGCTCACCGGCTTGTTTTGGGGGTCATATGATCCAATAGGAAGAAGACGGACTTCAGAGCAAAACCACCCTGGTTTGATCCCAGCTCCTTCTCTAGTCAGCTATGGACATGGGGTACTTACTTAACCTTTCTGACCCTCCATTCATTCATGGCAATTTGGGGTTTATCGCAGCATATTTGCTGTAAAAACTGCATATATTGTTTCATTCAAAGTACATACAACAGGTCTGGAATTCAATAGATGGTCATCTAATGTTAGCTCCTTCCTCCTCATCCTTTTTATATTGATTCTGAAAGAGATCTTATTGTATAATTCCTTATGCTATGAGGGAAATTTAAATACAAAATACTAAAATTTTCACATAAGAAAATCACAGTATGAATTTTACTTATTTCAACTTTTAGACACATAAAAGACACAAAATTCAACTAAAGCAAGCTATGATTATTAATGAGGAAATGAATAATGAATGCGTGGGTTGAGACTGCGTAATTGGAAATGGGGCAAAAGGACTACGGTTTCACTTTCCTTCAAAAGTTTGATTTGCCAACTTAACAGAAACTTGCTAACAATAACCAGTTTTAGAAGCTCCTGGCCACAGTGAAAGCAAACCCAGTCCATGTGCCTGGTTCATGAAAGGCTAAGAGTTCGGGGAGAAGATGGGGAGAGGGTGTGACTGAGACACATCCAGAGAGCACACTGTGCCTCTCACATGTACTGCCTGGTGGCTTCACTCTCGTGGGTATGTGTACCCGCACTCAAATGTAAATACCAGGTCCCAATCTCACAGGGCTCTTGCGGGTACACAATTAGGAGCTCTGAGTGCACTTGGAGGAAGATAAAGAATCCCAACCGGCAAACTTTCAAGTCCATCTTTTTTTTGTTTGTTTTGTTTTGGTTTGGTTTATGTGTTTTTTGTTTTTGTTTTTTTATTATACTTTAAGTTCTAGGGTACATGTGCACAAAGTGCAGGTTTGTTACATATGTATACATGTACCATGTTGGTGTGCTGCACCCATTAACTCGTCATTTACATTAGGTATATCTCCTAATGCTATCCATCTCCCCTCCCCCCCTCCCCCCACCCCATGACAGGCCCGGGTGTGTGATGTTCCCCTTCCTGTGTCCAAGTGTTCTCATTGTTCATTTCCCACCTATAAGTGAGAACATGCAGTGTTTGGTTTTTTGTTCTTGCGATAGTTTGCTGAGAATGATGGTTTCCAGCTTCATCTGTGTCTGTACAAAGGATATGAACTCATCCTTTTTTATGGCCGCATAGTATTCTACAGTGTATATGTGCCACATTTTCTTAATCCAGTCTATCATTGATTCAAGTCCATCTAATTGTAAAGTCTTCTAAAAGAGTGTTGTCCTATATTGTAATCACCCAGCACTCAGAGATGAAATCTTCATGAAATTAGCGTACTCTCTCCACAAGTGAAAGCATTTATGGCTGTGCCCCCAGTCAGTAAATTATAGCAGTTGGTGCTGAGCTCCAATGCTGTTTCCCGTGCTGGCCCTGCCCCTTCCACTTGTTCAGCAAGCCCCACGGGTGCTGTGTCTGATTCGCAGAGACCATTCACTGGTCCATTTCTCTCTCATCTGGTGGTGTCCTCTTCCCCAACTATTTGAACTCAATCTCTAAACATTTGTGCCACCTTATCTCTTGCTTTGGTCTCAGCTGGGCAAAACTTTACTGTTTTTCAGGGCCCCAGCTCCCACCTGAATTTGCTGTCTCTCAGCCTCAATGCCTGTAGAATTCCAAGATTCAGAACTCACTGTGGACCCAAGCAGCCATGGCAATCTTCCAGGAAATGATGGGCACACCCTTGTCATTATAGGATGAGCACTGTTAGGATAACAGAAAAGAACAGAGAGTTCCTAGGGGTTATTTTGTGCATGATATATTTATTAATGATGGGCTTATTCTGTGGCTTAGGAAATGATCTCCAGTATTAGTTGAATGCCATGCAGAAAAACAGGATGTTGGCATCTCTGCACACAGTAGATACATTCTAAGCAGGGTCTGTTCAATAGGCAAGATGAATGTGGCTCTCTATCCCTCAGTGTTTGCCAAAGCTAACAGAAAGGGCAAAGGCTAACAAAATTCTGAGGGAGCCCAGCAAAGATATGGTCTTGGTGAAAAAAAAAAAAAAACACTGCTAAATTGCCTGAGCCAATACTCTATTTTGCTCTTACTGCAGCATAGAAAAACATTGAGACTAATTCTGTACAGCTACACTGGAGTTCAAATAGTGAAATCCTATGAGTAGTGGAAATTAATTCATTCAATTTCCATTTTCAACTTGTATGGTTT
This sequence comes from Homo sapiens, assembly GCF_000001405.40. Taxonomy (NCBI): domain Eukaryota; kingdom Metazoa; phylum Chordata; class Mammalia; order Primates; family Hominidae; genus Homo; species Homo sapiens. Next base: position 28,117,602 of record NC_000019.10, read on the forward strand.
TTAGCTTACTTTTGCCATACTTGAACTTTCAAAGGAGAAGCTTTGTTCATAATAGTCATAAACTGGAAACAAAACAAATTTTCACCACTTGGAAAATGAATAAATTACAGTGTTTTCATAATGAAATACATATATTCAGAGCAATAGACAGAACAAACTGCAATATAGAGATGCACAAGAACCTGGCTGAATGTTAAAAATATAGTATTGTGTAAAAGATGCTGAAGACCAGAAGTTTGATCAGTATGGAGTCGGCCTATTAATATGAAACTCACAAAAAAGGTAATAGTATTGATGATGATGGAAATCAGCATATAATTATCTCTGCAGGATTATTAAGTGAGGGGAAGGCACTGAAAGCTCATATGTCTCAGGCCGGGTGCAGTGGTTCAAGCCTGTAATCTCGCACTTTGGGAGGCTGAGTCAGACGGATTGCTTAAGCTCAGGAGTTCAAGACCAGCCTAGACAACATGGTGAGACCTGTCCTCTACTAAAAAAAAAATTAAAAAGTTAGCCAGGTGTGGCGGTGCATGCCTTACTGATCCATTTACAACCTGGCAGGATCCATGATGACACCAGCCGTTTCACCAAATGAAACAATAACTCAAGAGGACCCTTGGAGTGACGTGGCACCTGCTGGCCTCCCTTGCCTTTTCTGCATTCCAAACCCTTTATTCAAAGATGCCTGTGTTCCCTCCACAAACTAAAGAGTGGAATGGTGCTCTGCTCTTTCCCTTGCCAGCATGGATAGTAAGGGAATCTTGCTTCCTCTTATCATAACTCGTGATTGGTTTGACTTGTTTTCACAAGCGGTGAGCAGCTGGACCCCTTTGCCGGTTACAATCGCTTGGACATATGTTTTTAATTATGATGACTTCTAACTATGGAGCTCTTTAAAAGGAAAGAAAGTCCGCTCAAGTCTCTTATTACCAGATGTTAGCTGGGACAAACAGCTGATATTCCTGGCTCCTGAACCTTTACCAAAGCAATCTCTCAAGTGAAACTAGTAAGCCTCAACCAAGGTTATGACTTAACTGAAGACACGAGAGGCATCTCCACAGAGTTGCAAAGCAGTCCTCACAAGACTCAGAATCACTGAAAGGCAGCTCAAGGAAAGTAAAGTTCTGCTGGCCACAAATGGGATACACCTTACATTTTGTTCAGCCATTTTCTCTAGGGTCTCAGCTTCCCAGCTACTGTCTACACACAGAGGCCCCAAAGCCCTGTAAGCCTCCACAGATTGAAGACAGGAAATCAAAAGCTGTTCCTGGAAGAAAAAATAATCAATAAATGGCAAAAGTCACACAAATATTAAACCAAAAGGACTGATTCCCTGATTCTGAATTTTAACCACGAAATTACAGTGTGGACCAGCTTCCATTGTTAATCCCACATGGACTCCAAGCAGGCAGCCTGAGTGGGCACAGGGTTTTTAGCTTTGTTTTAGGTCATTTTGGTCTGTTTGTCAAAGGAATTTTAAGGGTGGTCATGACACTATTTATGTCTTTTGCTTTTTTGTTTATTTTTAAACTTGATCCTACCATCTTCCTTAACCATATAAGCCAATAAGGCTCATTATGGTGGCTGATCAGAGATTGCCCCATCAGAACTAAGGCTCTCTACACCCTGCCCTTAGAACTTTGCTTCTGCCTTAGAAGGTATATATATAAATAAAACTAAGTTTCTCTATACCTTCACTCACTCACTGGGTGAAGGAGTCTCTTTGAGTGCTCTTAGCATGAGTGTTCCCACAACACCTTATCTTTATGGACCAGCTGAGTCTGACTGAACTGGGAAGGACCCCCACCAAACCCGGGGCCAACAGGGAAGGTCCCCTGCAGGGTCCAGATGGAGGAAACCAGAACAGGGACTGGGGAGAGACCAAGATGAAATGAAGGGAAGAGGTAGAGAGAAATAAAGTCTCTGAAATCTTCAACCTTAAAGCAGGAGATCCTAGATTTAGAGGAACTTACATGGTGTCTTTCCAGTGCAGTGGGAGAGACAACTGACCTGTAGGCCTCTGTGTGGTGACTCCCAGTGATGCCAAGAGACCCTGGGGTTCTCCATGGATTTCATCCTCATTACCAGATATGTTCACTTAAAAATATACAATCTATAAATTTAGAAAAGAAGGAGAGGAGACTTTATTTCTTATAAAGGGTTACAGTCTGCAGGGTGGCCATTCTAACAGACTGGGAAGCAGAGCCTCCAGTCAGAAGCCAGAAACAGACATTTCAGAAATTCACTCTTTACATGCTCAACCCGGCATCATCACCTTGATCTGCTTGGGTTTCCTATCCCTACACTGTCCTCTGGAAAACTCCTCCAGAAAAAAAGCTGGGGCATAGGGCCCTCCTCACTTGCCTCCCATGTATCTGGAACCATAATTGTACACTGTCAGCATTACCAATGCAGGCACAGTGCTTTTATATATTTGTCCAATGTCATCACGGTCTATCACAGGACAATGAGTTCAGTACCCAAAACTATATTATGACCTGAAGAAGAGCTCCTACTAAAGGATTTTAATCAAGAGAGTTCTATAATACCATAAGTTATAGTTTTTCCTCCTCCAAAATTTACAATTAGTAGCAGGGACAGGTCTTGACACAGTTAACACAAGGAAGACTAGATTAAATGCAAAATATATCCAAAAACAATCCACTTTGGAAGATGTTAAACCAGCCATGTGCTATCTTGTTCCTTAATTGGCAATATGTGCTTCTCAATCTTGCCAGAATGTAGGTTTCTCAGTCCTGCTCCTCTTCTATCTTTAGAATCAGTGCTACATACACCCCTAGGAACTCAATAAAGACACACACGTCAGTGGATTCGCACTCCAATCAAGGAGCTAGATGCATGGTCCAGTGCAATAAGAGGAGCCTAGCTTCTCCTTGACCCTTGGATAGATCACCCCCACCTTAGAACAGGATGGTGGAGACTGCAAAAATGTTCTCCAAGGTCCTGGTGAGAAAGCCTCTACATCAGAGACCTTGTCTGTTAAATAGAGAGTGAGTGTAGCCCTCACAGAGTGAACAGTTGAATTCTCATTTGTCATATTCTGCATTAGAATGTAGTAGAGTAATTATGAATTACCTTTTCATTATGTATGTCACCCCACACATCTTCCTATATCACCCAGCATTAAAACACGCTGATTGAAATAAGAACACTCCACTTTAAAGTGCTTGTCTTTATGCACAGTGCCCTAGAACAAACCAGCCAACCTCTTTAAGTCTCAATAATTTGATATCTTAAAGGCATTTATTCAAACTCTTATTGCATCATTGGTCCATTTCTTTTCCTTATCAGCTCTGTAAGTTACCCAGGCCAAAAACTCTGGTCTCAGTTTAAAAAACCCAAAGTTCAGCAACTTGAAACGTGAATTTAAACAGAATAAAAGCTCATAGCAGTAGGGATCCTGGCTCTTACTTTTCCTTATAATGGAGATGAACATAATATGTGCCCTAAATGGATTGACTGACTGATTGATGGATAACTGATTGATTCACCGCCATGTAGGAAATTATATGCAGATCTAGAACCAAAATATCTGCTATCTCATTTTTAATTTCAAAAATCTAATTGAAATTGGCCAACTTTATCCCACAACAGAAACATTAGCACCAAGCCTAGGATGTATAGGGGTGTATTGAGAAACAAAGATGAGATTGTCTTTGGTTAATGGTTTCTTAACATTTCTTCCTTTGCCACTTCCATCTAAACACAGAACAAAATGGAAATAAGATTATATGGGATAGGGCTAGAGAAAAGAGAGAGAAGTAAATGTATAGGTTTCTTCTTCTCACTTTTTTTTTTTTTTTTTTTTGAGACGGAGTCTCACTCAGTCGCCGAGGCTGGAGTGCAGTGGCGTGATCTCAGCTCACTGCAAGCTCCACCTCCCGGGTTCATGCCATTCTCCTGCCTCAGCCTCCTGAGTAGCTGGGACTACAGGTGCCACCACCATGCCCGGCTAATTTTTTTTGTATTTTCAGTAGAGACAGGGTTTCACCGTGTTAACCAGGATGGTCTCAATCTCCTGACCTCGTGATCCGCCTGCCTCGGCCTCCCAAAGTGCTGGGATTACAGGCGTGAGCCACCACACCCAGCTCTTCTCACTTTTAGTCTACTAAATATTTGTGTAAGAATAAAGTTTACAAAGGTAAGAGAGTAGGTCATAACCTCTTTCTTGTACTCTAGACAAACAGACAGACAGACAGTGAGGCTGTGCTTGGACACAGGCCTGTAGAGCTAGTCCATCCCTACGAGGCTAGAGTGGGATTTCATCCATTCAATTTGTTATAGTAATTCCATATCAACTCTCTCCTAGGCTCTTAACCTCCAGGAAATTTCCCCAGGGTAAAAGGTCCTAGCCTCACCATCTGTTTATCAGGCTTCCCCCATCAATTCCTCTGAACATTAAATCTTTAGCTCCAACAGTGGGTTCTAATTAAACATTTACAATTTTTATCTTTGGTTATTCTGTTGTTCCTAGCTTATGCTTGGTAATTCCAGCTAATACTATTCCCTGCTTATGATAAATTTATTGAAGTAATTCTTCACTTTTTTCAAAAAGAGGGCTTATTCTCCATTCATTGAACCTGAGATGACCTTATAACTTGCTTTTGCCAGTAGAATCCAGAGGAGGTAACACGGTGCCATCTCCAAGCCTGTGGCTCGAGAGGTCGGGTAAGTTTCCTCTTGCTTGTAGTTGAAGCTCTGCCTCCACAATGAAACACGACTGAGCCAGCTGCTATAGGAATATGAGAGACATATTACAGAGAGTCAAGATTTCCAGTCCTTCAAAGTAAGGCCACCCTGGATCAGCCAGCCAGCAGACACGCAACTGACCTCACACTTATGAGCAAGCTCATCCAAGATCAGCAGCACTGCTCATGTGACCCACAGACCTGTGAATGAAAATAAATGGTTGCTATGTGAAACCACCATGTTCAGAGTTGCTTGTTACACAGCCTTAATTATAGCAATAGATAATTGATATGCTGTTATTACCTTATGTGTTAAGGTTTCATTTATGTTTATAAATACAAATACATATATGGCATAATATCTCACATCCAATATAAGTAACTTCCTAATGTGTTATATCTACAAACAAAAGTTTATTTGTAATAGTGGCACAAAACACTTCCATGAAAGAATGAGCCACCACAAATATGCATTGAGCAAAATGATAGAATCTCTGGTAAATTGAGGATTATCTACAGAACCCTTTTCTTCCACTCTCCTGAATATGTCATGTAGACATTCATTAACTGACTTATTCAGCAGCTGCTTATGATGCACCTGCACACACTCATCCCTGAGTGAGGCATCGCACAGTCTGTCATAAATTCTGCTGAGGAAGTTTCAAAGCCAGAATCTATGGCTTTACCAGAGGCAGAATTGCTCTCAGGGATGCGAGGTGACCTGTCTCCCGAGCGTACTTGAGGATGCTAAGGCAGGCCATAGAGAGGAAGCTCCCTTTCTGCCACATGGCAATAGTCAGCGATACACTTCCTTACCTGAGTCCTCTCAGCAGACCCTTAAGTTAGTAAAATAAATATAAACTATTATATATCCAGAAGCTATCAGTATTAAATAGCAGTAAGCCAGCAAGCAGAAGCTTTATATCACAGGGGAGACTGAAATTACCTTGGCACCTTACCCTACAAGGAAGCTAATATCATAAAGTGCTCAAAATACTTTTCTGAAAAGGTAGCCTTCCTGTGCTCTTCTGAGCAGCTGAAACTCATAGTACTGGCTCCAGTTCTAGATCAGTTTGAGGCAGCTTGCATCTGGCAATTTGAGAGGTAATGTGCTTCCCTGAAAGTCTGTTAGAAAAAAATGAGTGTCATCCTTGCCAAATGATGGGACAATTTACTCTCAAAACCCAGCATGTGTTGAGTATCACAATTCTGAGACGAGAAAATATTATTTTTTTCTCTAGTTAAAAACATGAAGTGTTTTTGCAAAAACTAATGAAATGTTTAATGCTTGTCTGCTTACAGAAAAGAAGCTCTTTCTAATTGGAAAACAGCCAGCAAAGTTGTTAATTCCAAAAAACAAGTATGTCTCTGGAGTTAAAAAATTTTCTGTAAAGAGCCACAGTGGCTTTGCCATCTCTAACACACTCCAAGAACTAGTATCCTTGCCACACATTCCCGAAGAGATTAATGTTATATTGGAGTCCTTAGAAACAAGAACATACCAATCATATCCTTCAATCAGTCTCAACAATGAAAAGCCTGAGAGGTAGGAATCCAGAAGTTACCTGACAGCCACCACCTAACCTGCCTGCCCCAGGGAGGAAGCACCTTTTATGATTCTCTAAGTACAAATATGGGGTCACTGGGAGTTGTCTTTTAACTTTGCCTTTGTCTTCTCTGTTAATTGTGTCTTAATATGTCTGTCTTTGCACTTTGATTTAAACAGATAAATAGAAATAGGATTGAAAGGGACACAGATGGTGAGAGAGAAGAGAGAGAGAAAGTTATGTTTAGGTTCTCTCTTCTCGAGAAGATTCTGGATGTAGTATGGAGCAAACACACTGCGTGATCAACTTCATGAGCCACTTCACTTTTGCTTTCTGTTTAAATAAGTAGGCGTGGCCTAAACCTAGATTCTATGTGCCAGACACTTTACAAGGATTATGTAATTAAATTTTCCCAGCAATCTTATAAGAGGGTTCGAAAATTATCCCTATTTTAAAATATTAGGAAATGAAAACTCAGAGATGATAAGGGACATGTCTGAGGCTACAGCAGGAGGGCAGCCAGGCTGGTATTCAGTCTTGTCTCATGGCAAAGCCTGAGTGCTGACCATGCTGCTGGACTGCCTTCTCCATGTCTTCTGATGACAGAAGGCTTCCAACCTTGCCGCCACACATGCCCTGCACACACATTCCCCTTCTACATGAGTGTGGGCCTTGCTGCATCTGTCTGGACAGACGTGATGCCCTTGACTGTGGGTTTTTGCTCCTGCAAGTCTCTTCATCCTTCACTGCATCAATATCTGTTAGACATCTTACTTCCTGTCGCCTGTTCACACTCCACCTGTAACACGGGAGCATGTCTAGACCTCTCCCTAGCATGGGTCCCACAATAACTGGTCTATTCCACCTGGTAATCAGGCAGAGCATAAGAGTCCTATAAAGCATAAAGAACTGTGACATCCTGTTTACCTCAATAGATCAACAATTCTTGAGATCAGGATCTATTCGGCTCAGTGTTATGTACACAGTAATTGCTCAAGAAATTAGTCTGGGGAGTAGGAAGAAAAAGCAAGCTTCAGCCCCACAGCCATCTGTCTCCTTTATTCTTGAATCTCATCTGACTTGTCCACTGTGGTATCCTCAGAGCACAGGGCAGCTCTTGGTACATGGTGGATGCTTGTCAAATGTTTGTGGAATGAAGGAAAGAAGAAATCTAATTATCCAGAAAGAATACAAACAAGGTACTTGAGCCCTGTTTTTGAGTATGCAGGGTCAGGGTCCCCCCAGTCTGGGTCCAGCCTTGGTCCTGCCTCTCGTTATGGTGAGACTGACCCCTCAAAATCTCTCATTCTTCCAAAAGATGGTAACAATTGTGGCATCTGCCTGGCAGAGACAGTCGTGCTCAATAAGTAACTCATGGGTTTCCCATTGCTTCACAGCCCCTTTGCAGTTTGTCTGGGCTATCTGAAGATTTCTGGCCAATAGTTTGTAAGGGGAATTGGAACACTTCAATTCTCATCTGATACATTTAAGGAAAGATACAAGTTCTCCACACTTTGCTTCCAACTTCACAGACAAGAGATCTAAGAACTTGGAGATGGAGAGTGACAGGAAGGGACCAGCTCAATCTCTGAGTTTCTGCTGGAGAAGGATGACCAGGGAAACTACAGCAGACTGTGATATGGTAAGAAACACAGCCAACTTGTGTCAGATTGCTGAGATTTCAAGATTTGCTTATTACTGCAGCATAACCTGTCCTATTCTGACTAATATAATCTGTTCTCTGGAATTCTGAGGATTAAAGTAGATAATGAACATCAACTCTAGTTCAGTGTCTGACACATAGCAGTACTCAACACAATGTAGTCATTGTTACTATCATTATTATTGTTTCTACTAATATGATTATTATTATTACCACTCTTAATGTTGTTATCATTACCAATAACTGTGGAAGCCATTATTTTTCATCTTGATTTATCCCTCTCCTTGTCTCTGTCTCTCTCACACAGGTACATATGCCCATGGAGATAAACAAGGTTGCAGGATTTTGATGCCATTTCTGACCCTTAGAGCTACCTGCTTAGTGATAGACACTCACAGAAATTAAGAGCTGGGAAACAGTCAGGTATTACACATAAAATCTCCGGAGAACTTTTTTCTGGAACCAGCTCTGAGACCCCAGCTGACAGTTCCCTCTGCTTGTTCCTTCACAAAAGCGCAGACCTGGTTTGCTGGTTAACAATTATACATTTTAAACAGTTCTGTGCTCTGGCTGCATCCTCAAATGCCTCTGAAAAATAAGCACATTTTAAAAACACAAAAAAGAATAAACAACAAGACAGTTCAGCAAGAGAAAGAAAAACATAAGCCACTGCTTCATTACAGAGCCATGGGCAGGCCTCTCAAAGGCAGCAGCTTTTATAAATGATTTCTTGGAAAAGCTTTTATGTCTTCAAAGTGTTTCTGCTAAAAGAAGCTAAGTGTTTATCTTGTGTCTCAGGAGAGGATATAGCATAAAGTCCAGGTCACTAAAAAGAGGTATTCTGAGCTCTTATTTATGTGTCAGGCCTGGGAAGCCAGCTTCAGAAGCTGGCTCAGTGATAAATCATCCACATGGTTGCTGCATCTCTAAACACCGCATCTTTCATTACATCAGGGAGTTAATAAATATTATCTATTTTATCAATGAAGGGCAGTGCCTTTGACTCAGATAATTTTATTGTAGAAAAAGACACAGTTTGTTGATTTTTTAAAGGTTCACTTTAAAATATTTCTGAGATACTGAGTCATTTGTAGGGAATAAACACTAAGCCACAAAACTCAAGGCCTAGACAGATATTACACAGCAATCTTTTTGAACAAATTGGCTTTCTTTGCCTTTTCTTTTTGGCCCGTTGTCTTGGGTCTCTAGGGAACTGTGCCTATGAATAATGTCTGTCTGGATGCAATAAAGGGCCAGCTAAGTGGGAGAAAGGGTGGTGTGAGAAAATATGACAGCAGAGATTATCATGAGTTCTGATGAGATGAAGTTTAGGTTTGGGATTTTCCTGCTTGAAGATGAGCCTGGCCCTTTTGGGCTCCAAACTCCTTATTGAGGGCATCTTGCTATCTCCTGTATCTAGCACATAATTAGCCTAGAATATATCTGGTGCTCAAAAATGAATGGTTGGATGAATAAATGAATCAATAGGGTATAGCCACTTCTCACTTTTTATCAAAGAATCCCCTGGGAATTCACCCATAAAGCATGCTATTATAAAGCTAATTGCATTTCCCCACAAAAACAATGCCTTTATTGGAGGTTTGTTCTAGACCAAGAGCTCAACATCTAATAAATCAGAGCTATGACAAAACTGTCTTAAGCACAACTTTGTAATAGATGAAAATCTCTTTAGTTGTGTGCCCAAGCCCCATGAAACTACACTGCTTATCTTGAGTATGCAAAGGGACCCATCTGTGACTCTCTACATGTTCAGCTATTCTGCATTACAAATGTAATTGATACGTAAACCCTGATAAAAAATTAACACATACAGAATCATAACATTGTTGTCCTCTGAGTGGATAGAAAGGTTTGAGAAGTGAATTTGGATGACAAGTATTTAAATTTTACACCCAGGCCGGGCATTGGGGCTCACGCCTGTAATCCCAGCACTTTGGGAGGCTGAGGCAGGCGGATCACCTGAGGTCAGGAGTTCGAGACCAGCCTGGCCAACATGGCGAAACCCTGTCTGTACTAAAAATACAAAAATTAGCTGGGCATGGTGGTGAATGCCTGTAATCCCAGCTACTTGGGAGGCTGAGGCAGGATAGTCTCTTGAACCCGGGAGGTGGAGTTTGCAGTGAGCCAAGATTGCGCCACTGCACTCCCACCTGGGGGACAAAGCGAGATTCCGCCTCAAAACAAAACAAAACAAAACAAAATTTACACCCATGCCACAACACCCAAGTGCCACTCATCGTTTCTTGCTGAACAATTGTATTATTTACTGACTGGCCTCACATTTTATGTCTTTTCTTCTCCAATCCATTTACACATAGTAACTGCTGTGATTGTCGAAGAACAGTAACCTAATCTTACACTCTGCTTAAAACGCCTCCCACTTCTGTTAACAGGCTCTTTTCAGCTCTTCACCGTGGCCTTTGAGGTCTTCCTCATGTAACCCTGAGTGTGTCCTGGGTCTGTAACACTTGCATCACCCTCCAGGCTCTAAACCAAGGTGCCCTTTATACATTCTATTCCTCAAATACACATTTGTCTCTCGTTCCTTGTGCTCCTGCTTCTGCCTGTAACTCTTTCTTTTTTTGCCAGTTTCTAGTTATCTCAGATTTCCATCAAATAGGAGAGCCTTCTCTGAACCTCAGGACAAGTCAGGCTGCCCTATTCCCCACACACCCAGCACTCTGAGCTCCACAGCAAATGATACTTCCAGGGTTAAGTAATACAGGTTATGTTTACTTAGTTAACTCCATCTCTCCTCCATCACTGGAAGTCTCATTCTTATGTCTTTCTGGCTTTTATCGCCATGTGCTCAGCAGCCAGAGCAGAATCCAACCAAGAATAGGCAACAGATGTGTGTGAAATAAACTAAAAAAAAAAAAAAAAGACTCCATCCTGTGCAAGCCGGGTCTTCATTGGGAGAGCTTCTCAATTGGAAATCCTTAAGATGTCAATGGTTACCCAACCCCTTGTCAGGTGTGAGCCGGCCTGGTTTCTATGCCAATTGCTGTGGCTCATAAGAGGCTTATTCCAAGATTCTCAAGCTCATCCTCCAGTTAAGCCCTCTTAACATCAGGTTCTTGAAAAAGGAGGAAAGGCCTGCCTACTGAGCGCATGGGTGTAAAGGAAAAGAAAAAAAATGGCATCACTCACACAGCCCTCATTTTCCACCACCACCACCCTGGCCCCAGGATGGAAGACTTTTGCTTGGGGCTTCATTTGCCTTGGGATGGGTGTGGCTTACAGAAGATTCCTTCTGGACTATGGCTTAGATTCTCAGATCACTATAATTTCACCTCTCATGAAGAGGCAGAGAAAAAATCTCAGTTGAGTCTGTTTTGGAATGTCTTTCTAAGTGGAAAAGAATTTAAGCTTCATGAATGAGGGGCCGTTAGCCTTAACCACCATCACTTATGAAAGTGCCTTTACTGTGTTCAGTACTCACACCTTTAGCAAACTTCCCTGCCCATATGCACATGGATATAGCATGGATGTGTCCCCTCTAAATTTCATGTCAAATTGTAATCCCCATTGTTGGAGGTGGGGTCTGGTGGGAAGTGGTTGGATCATGGAGGTGGTTTCATCATGAATGGTTTAGCACCATTCCCTTGGTGCTGTTCTCTTGATAGTGAGTGAGTTCTTGTGAGATCTGATTGTTTAAAAGTGTGTGGCACCTTCCCTCTCTCTTTCTCCTGCTGCTGCCAGCTGAGAAGCCTGCTGCCCTTTCACCTTCCATCATAATTGGAAGATTCCTGAGGCCTCCTCAGCAGCAGATGCCTGTGTTATGCTTCCTGTACAGCCTGTAGAACTGTGAGCCAATTAAACTTCTTTTCTTTATAAATTATCCCGTCTCAGATATTTCTTTATAGCAAGGCAAGAATGGCCTAATACACACACTGCTGTCTATAAGAGCTGAGACAATTTATTTTCATTCCCAAAGTCAAAGGGAAATGGGGCAGTAATCACTCTGACTTGGTTTCTCCTAATGTCCACTAAGGAGGAGGAATCTGACTCTGGTAGCTCTCCATTATATCATTTTTAGGAAGAAGAGTAAGATTAAGAAATCAAAACATTATTCTGGCTGGGTTGCGTTGAATCGAGCCAAGCTGTATTTGATTCATGTTATGAACCAAAAAAATTCTGATGATCTGAATGCAGATTATGTCAATATCACTACTTCTGTCTTTATTGCTAAAGGGGAAGAAGATTTGCAAAGCACAGCCTCAACTCAAACAGTGACATCTGCTTAATCTTTTCCTTCTCAACCCCTGAGTTTAAATCTTCACCAACATAGCTTTGAAAAAAATGTCACTTACAGTGATAAATCCCTTAACATTGACTTTAGAAGAAAGCTTGTATAGCTTTCTCTCTTAAAATAACTTTTAAAAATAACTTTTCTGCAATTAAAGATAAAGATAAGTTCAAAAAGATGTTTATGAAGCGAAAGTAGTGAAAATCATCTACTCTGATCTCATTTTCTGTGACTCAAACCAGAAAGTCTAAATTCAACATGCCAAGTTAATCATTTGTTGTTAGGTCATGGCCTTCAGTAAAAACCTTCAAGCCACCAAGAGAGACTGCAGCTGTCATTCAAGAATGAGCCACCTCAAGAGGGGTCATAAAGGTCCACTTGACCTGTCTCAACCAGAGAACAAGTGGGGCCAGGAAAATCTACTCTGTAAATCTCAGAAGCCTCTAAACACAGATGTGACAGCATCTTCGCAGGCCCTGCAGGTGAATTCTTGGCCTGGCTTTAGAAGGAAGTATGATGTAAATACACTTGCAAAAGACAGCAGTGTGAGTCTGCCTTGAGCAGAAAGAGATCCGGAGGGAGGCACAGGAGGGAGGCTGCTTGATTATGGTGTTTGTGGGTGGGCTGGCCACGGCACTTCCCTGCCTATTCTGCAGTTGCTCTGCTTACGTGTCTTAAAGAGTTTATTTCCACACCATCTAGAGGAAGATTTAGAGGACAAATGAAATCATGATATGGGTGAGATAAGGTTATGAGTGTTGTTCACTAACAAATCTATTCAACTTTACAGGCCTGAGGCTGACAGTTCAGCTGCAAACACTCACTGGGAGTGGATGGCATGTGGGGAAAATAAAGAGAGATCAGATTGTTACTGTGTCTGTGTAGAAAGAAGTAGACATAGGAGACTCCATTTTGTTCTGTACTAAGAAAAATTCTTCTGCCTTGAGATTCTGTTAATCTATGACCTTACCCCCAACCCCGTGCTCTCTGAAACATGTGCTGTGTCCACTCAGGGTTAAATGGATTAAGGGCTGTGCAAGATGTGCTTTGTTAAACAGATGCTTGAAGGCAGCATGCTCCTTAAGAGTCATCACCACTCCCTAATCTCAAGTACCCAGGGACACAAACACTGCAGAAGGCCGCAGGGACCTCTGCCTAGGAAAGCCAGGTATTGTCTGAGGTTTCTCCCCATGTGATAGCCTGAAATATGGCCTCACGGGAAGGGAAAGACCTGACCATCCCCCAGCCCGACACCCGTAAATGGTCTGTGCTGAGGAGGATTAGTATAAGAGGAGGGCATGCCTTTTCCGCAGTTGAGACAAGAGGAAGGCATTTGTCTCCTGCCTGTCCCTGGGCAATGGAATGTCTCCGTATAAAACCCAATTGTATGTTCCATCTACTGAGATAGGGGAAAACCGCCTTAGGGCTGGAGGTGGGACAGGCGGGCAGCAATACTGCTCTGTAAGGCATTGAGATATTTATGTGTATGCATATCTAAAGCACAGCACTTAATTCTTTACCTTGTGTGTGCTGCAGAGACCTTTGTTCACCTGTTTATCTGCTGACCTCCTCTCCACTATTATCCTATGACCCTGACACATCCCCCTCTCCGAGAAACACCCAAGAATGATCAATAAATACTAAGGAAACTCAGAGGCCGGCGGGATCCTCCGTATGCTGAACGCTGGTCCCCTGGGTCCCCTTATTTCTTTCTCTATACTTTGTCTCTGTGTCTTTTTCTTTTCCAAGTCTCTCGTTCCACCTAACAAGAAACACCCACAGGTGTGGAGGGGCAACCCACCCCTTCAATGGCACCCATTGCTTTACCAGCCATTTCCTCAGCGAGTGAGCAAATACACACTTCAGGTGAGACAGTCCTTCTCTCACTGTGTCAGTGCCTGTGTTTTTGGCCAAAGGTAATGGCTTCAACCTAAAGTGGCTCAGATAGGGGGATTTAATTCCTCACATACAGAAACCCGGGATAGTTGATTCCAGGGTGGCTCAACTCTCATCAGTCTGTGGCTCCATCACGTCATTATGGTCAAGAGCCATTTTCTGTAATAAGATTGTTTGAGTTCGGGAGCCAGGCCTGCCCCTGAGCTTCTTTCTGTCTCAGTTTCTCCTTTTGTAAAATAGGGTAACAATGGTATGTTAACATTGTAAGGATTAAATGAGTAAATTTGTGTAAATAATGTAGAAAAGTGCTGGTTCTATAGTAAGTGCTCTGTGAGTAGTAGCTAATAATGTTACCAATAAATGTCAGCAGCCTGTCCTACTCTGATATCCTCAGCTCTGGCATTTCACCAGGGTGGAATTCTTCTTCCTGCTCTGACATTCCAACCATATAGAATTCTTATGTGATCCCTTGGATGAATACAGTGTCATGTGTAGATGCGGCACACCCCACAGAGAAGGAACATCCTTCCTTTTAGTTATGAAAGCCTTTCCTCAAAGTTCCCTAGCTTCTCAAACTATCTGAGATGAAGAATTAGTTTGTTTTTATTTTCAATCCATTATGAATCAATATTTTTGTAAACTACAATACAAATCAACAAATTAATGAAGGAAAATATATACAAATCCAAGCTTCAATTATTTATTATTATTAGATTTAGCAAGCATAAAATTAGTCCATTAAATTACTATAAACATTTTTAGATGCAAAAATGGCAATCTAAGTCCATGAAGTGGCACCATATTTTGTGTGACTCTGTTTAAGCAGTTATCACTGGAGTGTACCCAAGGGCCAATGCTGGGTCACATGGCTAGGCTAACACAATCTCTGGAAGAAGAAGAAGACCATCGTGACTGGGCCAGCAAAGCCTCTGCTCCATTGGTTCCATTCAACACACACACACACACACACACACAAACACACACAGTGCCTACTGCGGGCAAACAGCTGGCCAGGCAGCCTGGGAGGTGTCCCATGTGGAATGCTATAAGGTGGCATGCTATAAGACAATAGGCACAAAATAATATTTTGACAAGGGTCCCAGAAACGGCTTTGTACAGCAGGGAGGGTTCAAGCTGACTCTTGGCTAATGGTGTGTGCTGCTTCAACACAGTGACATGTGATGGGAGAAGATACTCCAGGCAGCAGAAACAATGAGCTGCAGCTGAGGGGAAAGAAAGTTGTTCAAGGTACAGGGAGTAAAACCAAAAGGCCGTCATGCCAAAATACTTATTGTAGAGAAAAAAATAATGTGGCAGACCATCTTCTCACTACTTAGTGTGGGATTTGGAATGGGCAAAATAGTGGACCTCCAAAGATGTCCACACCCTAATCCCTGAACCTGTGACTATGTCACCTGCCTTGAGAAAAGGAAGTCTGCAGATGTGATGAGCGTTCTGGACCCTGAGGTGGGGGGTACCCTGAATTACCCAGGGGGGCCTTGTGTGTGGACGTGGGAGGCAGAAGCGTGGGCCAGAGAGAAGCCATGACAAGAAGAAGAGGCAAGAGCGATGGTGGCGTGTGAAGGGTGTGACACCCCATGTGGATTTGGAGACACAGGGGACTTATGTGCAAGAACCAGGAGGAAATGCTGGGAGGTAAAGATGATTGCCAACTGCTGGCCACACGGAAACACTGCCCTCAGCAGTGCCACTTCAGGGGCTGAATTTTGCCAACACCTGAATCCGCAAGAACATGTCTTCTCCCCTAGAGTTTAGTGAAAGGACACAGCCCTTTGAACCTTTTGATTTTAGCCTGGTGAGGTCCATACCAGACTTTTGAGCCACAAAACTCTAAAATAATATATTTGCATTGTTTGTAAGGAACAACATTTGTAGTAATTTGTTGTCACAACAACATGAAACTAATATAAAATTCATCTGTAATTTCTCTTTTTTAATGTGGTGTTCTGGACCCGACCTTCAGAGGTTCTGGCTTGTCAACTGGGGCTAGTTGTTTTAACAAGCTTTCCAAGTGTTTTTGTCTCATTCCCTTTCTTAGAGTTGGAGAACACAGAGGCCCAAGCTCTCATGGGGAATCAGCATCAGACAAGAAGCTGGCCTCCAGCTCTCCAGATGCCCAAGCCTGGGCTTTCCATCAAGAAGTGTAAAGAAGAAGCTCTGTAAAGTGGAGATGGCTTTGGAGTAAGATTAACCAGGTTTAACACCTAATCTTGTTACTTATTGCTGTGTGCCCTTGAATAACTTACTTAGCCTTTCTGGGCCCCAGCCTCCTCATCTTATAGTCAGTGATATAAACACCTACCTCTCAGGTTTAAATGATCTCATTGTGCAAACCATTCACGCAGTACCTACCACATAGTAAATGCTAAAGCTATTATTAGATATGTCCTGCATTTTACCAGGCAAGAAAATAGGAGCCACATAACTTCAAAATCTCTCCATACATTGCTGATGGCTGCATCTGTGTCCTCCCAACACAGTGCTCCTCAGTCAGGAAGAACAAGTGAATTCATTTGTTCATTAAATATAGTACAATAATATTGACTCCACCCAGAAATGTTCATTCTATTGTGTGCCAGGCACAGTAGATATGAGAAAGACCTGTCACTGCCTTCCAGAGGAGCTCCCAGTCCAGGGGAAAGTGTTTCTCAAAGTGTGAGACATTAGAACCCCTGCCCTGGGTAAGATAAGAGGGAATTGTAGGTGACTCACAGACACAGTATAAAGTCACATCACTGCAGAGTGAAAAGTTACTGCATGTTCAGTCACCTTCCATGCTTCTGATTACATTTAGGAAAAGGTCTGAGTTTGGTGCCAGCCTGTCTGTCGCCTTTCTATCACTGGCTGATCTCAGATATAGAGCAGGTCTCATGCCTGCTTTGACAGGCGACAGAGTTCTGCTGGAACTGAAGAATGTTGTCCAGTCACCGCTTTGGCAACTGTTATTGGTGTCTCATCTACAGAGGAGATGCTAAGCTTCCTTGTAAATTTTATTGATTTATTTTCTATTTCTGATTCGGGTGGTTGGTACATGGGCAGGTTTGTGGCATGGGTGTATTTTGTGATGTTGAGGTTCGGGTTTCTAATGGTACCATTGCCCAGGTAGTGAATACAGTACCTCGTAGGCAGTTTTTCAGCCCTTACCCTTCCTCCTTCCTCCCCACGTTCAGAGTTCCTAGTATCTATTGTTTCCTTCTTTGTGTCCCAACTTTTACCTCCCAACTTATGAATGAGAACATGTGGCATTCGCTTTTCTATTCCTGTGTTAATTTACTCAGGATAATGGCCTCCAGCTGTTTCTGTGTTGCTGGAAAAAAAAAAAAAAAACACCCATAAGTTCATTCTTTTCTATGGCTGTGTAGTACTCCATAGTACATATGTACCACATTTTCTTTTATGATAGAAAGCATTTATTTATTTATTTATTTATTTATTTATTTATTTATTTATTTATTTTACTTTAAGTTCTGGGATACATGTGCTGAATCTGCAGGTTTGTTACATAGGTATAAATGTGCCATGGTGGTTTGCTGCACCTATCAACCCATCGTCTAGGTTTTAAGCCCTGCATGCATTAGGGATTTGTCCTAATGCTCTCCATCTCCTTGCCCCCCACCCCTCAATAGGCCCCTGTATGTGATGTCCCCTCCCTGTGTCCATGTGTTCTCATTGTTTAACTCTCACTTATGAGTGAGAACATGTGGTGTTTGATTTTCTGTTCCTGTGTTAGCTTGCTGAGAATGATGGTTTCCAGCTTCATCCATGTCCCTGCAAAGGACATGAACTCATTCTTTTTTATGGCTGCATAATATTCCATGGTGTATATGTGCCACATTTTCTTCATCCAGTCTATCATTGATGGACATTTGGGTTGGTTCCAAGTCTTTGCTATTTTAAATAGAGCTGCAATAATCATACGTGTATGTACCACATTTTCTCTATCCTATTCACCATTGTTGAGCACCTGGGCTGATTCTATGTCTTTGCTATTGTGAATAGTGTCCTTGCAAATGTTAAAGGTGACCGAACTTAAGGAAAATCATTAAGACAGTAATAGTATGAATAAAACACAGACACAGGAAAAATCATGAAAGTAAGACACACAAGATGTTTGGACAACCCTGTAATAGTAAATAAAGACATGTAAACATTTGCAAGGTTGAGCAATGAGAGCTAAGTATATGCTAGGCAAAGGGAGTGCAGAGATGGGATGATCAAATTTGGCTGAGTAGGGAAACATCTTGCAAAGAAAGGAGATGCTTGAGTTTCAATAATACATACAGATGAGTGTTTCAGGGAGTGGTGAGTAGGGAGGGAGGAACTCCTGTCAGAAAGAACAGTGTGTTCAGAGGCACAGCTGTGCCACCCAGCACTATGTTCAGGAAACTGCTGTGAACTAAATGCTTCTCATAGAAGAGTTCTACTTTGTGCACACAGTCACCACACTTGCTGGGAAAATCCTATGTGTGTGTTTGTGCCACTTGGAATGCAACAATTAGTGTTTAAAACCTCATAGAACATATGAGTGTCTTTCTGCTCTATGGTTTGGTGAGCAAAACTTCACATCAAGCATCCATTCCTCCTTCGACTGGAAAACTGGATGTTTTTGGCCTCAGAACTTTGCATTAGCTTTCTTCATTGTCTTAAACCTATTTTTAAACTGAAATACACCCATAAACTGGCCGAGAAAAGACAAAGCTGTATTTGTTACCGAATAGCATTTCGGAAGGAAAACTTGTCAGAGTCCTTCATGATCACTCACACAGTTTTGTTCTTTCCAAAGCAGGGGCGTAAGAAGCCAGGCCCAGGTGCATCCTTAAATGTTACCCTCCACTGCCTAATGCCCCACATGCCAGCAGGCGGGATTCTCCACTACAACCTGTCAGAGGATGCCTTGCTCATCTAAATAGAATGCCAGGCTCCTTCGTAATTAAGAGCAGCCTCTATATGTATTGTCCCACTGAAGAATATTAAGGACAAAATAGTTAGCTGTCTGTTGAAATCCATTATCAGAATGTTAACTGAAAACATTGCAGTTAAAAACTTGGATGATGGATAACAAGAGAGAAAGAAGAAAAGAAAAAACAGAAGGAGGCTTATGTATTTGAACTTCAGAGCAAGCCCTAAAGACCCCAAGGCTATGATGAGATCATTTCCTCCAGAGATGTTGTCCCCTCTGCTTGGAGCTGGCCTCTGTTGGTTGAGTTAATGGCTTTTTGTTTTGGTTTGGTTTTTTTTGTTTTGTTTTGTTTTGTTTTTGTTTGTGTGTGTGTGTGTGTGTGTATGTTTTCTTTTTGAGACAGGGTCTTGCTTTGTCACCCAGGCTAGAGTGCAGTAGCGTGATAATGGCTCACTGCAGGCTCAGCCTCCCAGGCTCAAGCAATCCTCCCACTTCAGGCCCTCAAAGTAGCTGGGTCTACAAGCATGTGCCATTTTTTAAGTTTTTGTAGAAATGGTGTCTCACTATGTTGCCCTGGCCGGTCTTGAACTCCTGGCCTCAAGCAATCCTTCTGCCTTGGCTTAATCCCAAAGTGCTGGGATTCCAGGCATGAACCACCACACCCAGCCAGGCTTATAAGAAGGTGAAGATTCTACACTGTGCCCAGATTTAACAGGAAAACCCAATAGTTATAAGCTCAAGCTCTGACCACAGAAAACCTGGAGTCTCAAGCCCAGGCCCCAGACAAGCAACATCACTCACTGGGTCTCAGTATTTTGTGTTTAAAGTGAGGATGACAAGCAATGAGAAAATGCACACACAGGATCCAGCACAGGGCCCGGCACAGAGCACCTGCTCGGGAGTGGCCGCTGCTGCCCTCAGGGACACTTCAGCTGAAAGAGGTCTAGGAGTGTGAGTGGGACTCTGCCGAAGCTGCACAGCTGGCTCCATGAAGGCTCTGTGCAGCGGCAGGAGGCAGAGGAAGACATGCTTTCACTGGGCTTTGGCCTCACTGAAGTGACACCAAAATTAATTAATTAATTAATTAAAATAAAACAAATAAACCCCTAAGTTCTTTAAGTACAAGAGGAAGAGTTCAGCACCCTGGTCCTGATCAGTCCTGGAAGATGAGGCTTCTGAGGGCGAGGCGGCACCAGGGCTTCCCCTTCCAATGACTCTTCCAAACCACTCAACTCACTGAAGACTGAGTCATTGCTGCCATTGTATTGTTGTTGTTGTGTCATCGTTGTTGTTGCAAAGCTCTGCACTTTACTATCAGAAAGGACTAATGGACCAATTAGGGAGGGTTATGTTGTAACATTACCCTCAATACACAACCACGAGGTGCCAAACATGTCTAAGAGACACAGGGAGGATGGGGTGCACTAGGCTGCCTCTGTTCCCAAATTCTAGCCTTGTGGTGAAGACAGATGTGCAAACAGCCAACTCTAGTGCCAGACAGAGTGTGATGAGCTCTGTAACTCAGGACTGCAGAGCAGGGAGCAATTCACTGTTTCTGAAGGAGGAGGCAGCAATCCAGCCAATCCTTAGAAGGTAAGTAGGATTTCAATAAGTAGAAAGGGGAGGAAGGCATGCCACGGTGAAAGAACAGATGGGATGAAAGCCCAGAAATGGCTGTATGGGAAGAAGGGACCACAGCCATCCTGTGAATTATTAAGAGTTATTTTTTTAAAAAGCATTTGGATTCCAGATTGCAAAGGATCACAGTAACAGATGATAGGGGCTGAGGAGACAGCCACTGGCATATCGGCATACGGGTCACATGTTCTTCTACCTATCCTGAAGTCCCTTGGTACAAATATAGACTCCTGTTCAAGTTGTCTGTTCACCTGAGTGCCCCCCAGGAGGCTGCAGGCTCAAGAGCTGAGACTGTGACTGGTTATTCTTCATCTGGGCACAGAACAGACAATTCAAATAGAGCTGCAAGGCCTACAAGAGTACATCATTCACTCCCAGGAAAACGAAAGAAGCCTCACTTTCCTCCTCCAGAATCATTCTTGGTGAACATTGTTCTGCTTTAGCATTGACTTCAAACACCTGTAATCACCATGACTACCAATGCTTTTCTCTCCAAGCGGATCAAATCTCACTACTCTGGTTTGGACTATTGCAGGAACCTCATGCTTACCCTGAGCCCCCACGCCCCAACCCTGCAACCACCCCTATGAAAGCAGAGCGTGAGACAGCTGCCTACAGGCATCCATAAAAAATGGACTATGATCCCAGGGAATAGGAATGGGGCACTAGGAAGGGCAAGGCAGAAAAGGATGGTCAGCCAATATGGTGCCACCAATATGGGCAACTGGTTCAGAACTCTGCCATGATCCTCTGAGGAGCCATTTAGGATACACTGCAAATCATTCCAGCCAGAGGACAGGAGGAGTATTCATCCATTGTCT
The DNA here is from genome assembly GCF_000001405.40 of Homo sapiens. Taxonomy (NCBI): domain Eukaryota; kingdom Metazoa; phylum Chordata; class Mammalia; order Primates; family Hominidae; genus Homo; species Homo sapiens. The sequence goes on from NC_000019.10 coordinate 28,139,067, forward strand.
CCAGCCTCCCGTTGGTCAAGTGTGGCCCCCATGGGGCTGCAAATTCCCTCACAATTTCAGGTCACATATGCAAGCTTTCAGGATGGCTCTCACAGACACTTCACAGTATCAGAGAAGCACTAGAAGAAGGAGAAAAAGATCTACATGGCGCAGGCAAACCAGAGTGCTGGCTGTTTACACCTGCAAGAGGACAATTGCTGTAGCAACAGACGGAATAAAAGGTAGATGGAAAAGGCATAAGGTAGAGAAGCCTGGCATAGTGTCCAGTGTGCCTGTTAACTTGTCTCTTCCACCTCAGGGTGAGTCTAACCTGGTGACTACAGCATGCGAGGTCCCTCCATAGTGAGGCCTCCACTGGGCCCAGCGTCTTCTACTCCTGTGACTCCCAGCCATGTTCCAGCCACAGGTGACTTCCCCAGAGTGACCGCTGTGCTCTGGTAAAAGTGACTCTTTGTGCCCTGAGTGTTCTCTGCTCTCCCTGGAAAATCTCCTATGCAGATTTTGATTTATTTCAAATAGTTCCTCGACCGTGAGGCTCCTCTGGTGCTCACATAGACACACCGGCACCTCTTCTATTCTTCAGCAACACTTTGGAGGTTGCTCTCAATCAAACAGAAATAGAAATTTAGTTTTATTCATATTTTCATTCTCAATTTTTAATTAATTATTATATTGACATATATTTCACATATCATAAAATTCATACTTTTGAAGTGTACAATTCAGTGGGGTTTTCTGTTTGTTTGTTTGTTTGTTTTTGAGACAAGGTCTCACTCTGTCACCCAGGCTGGAGTAAAGCTGTACAGTCTCCGTTCACTGCAACCTTCGTTTCCAGAACTGAAGCGATCCTCCAACATCAGCCTCCTGAGTAGCTGGGACTACCAACGCACACCACCATGACCTGCTAATTTTTTGTATGTTTTGTAGAGATGGGGTTTCGCCATGTTGCCCAGGCTGTTCTCAAACTCCTGAGCTCAAAGTGATATGCTCGCCTCGGTCTCCCAAAGTGCCGGGACTATAGGCATGAGCCACCGCACCTGGCCACAATTCAGTGTATTCTAACATAGTCACAAAGTTGTGCAACCACCACAACTATTTAATTTTACAAGTTTTTCATCACCCCAGTTAGAAACTTTCTAGCCATTAGCATTCCTTCAGCCGTTTTTTCCTTTCCCTACCCCCTGAGAAACACTAATCTACTTTCTGTATCTATGGATTTGCCTTTTATGAATGCAAAAGGATGAATAAAAACTTGGGACCCCAATTCACTCTGTCAAAAGAAAAAAAAAAAAAACATGAAGCCGAAAGCTGAGTCATGCAAGAAGCTGCCTCTCCTTTTGTTCCTAAGTGGAGAGCTACAGATGAAAGGCTACAAATCTCAACAGGTAGCGACTCTGTGTTCACCTTATCTTGTGTAAAGAGACGATTTACTGAGTGTGAGCTGAATATCTAATTGACAATTCCCCAACTGCTTCTTTTCCCTTGTAACATATGGATTGAGTAATGTGACCATGCCCTCTTTCTTTCTCCTCCAGACACTTTTCCCATTAAATAGTAAATCCCTCAAAGTCATCTTCGGAGAAAGGCACAGACCTGTCTCTCGGGTGTGCATCCTTAACCTTAGTAAAATAAACTTCTGAATTGATTGAGACCTGCCTCAGGTACTTTTTGGTTTACACAGACATTTCTAACATACCGTACTATACAATGTGTGCCATTTGGGTCTGCTGGCTTTCACTTGGCATATTTTCAAGATTTATCCATGTGGTAGCATGTATCAGTACTTCGTCTTTTTTACTTCCATATAATATTTCATTGTATGAATATGCTACATTCTCTCTATTGTTCATCAGTTGGATCTTCGTTTTGTTTTCACTTTTCAGCTATTGTGAATAGTGCTGCTGTGTCTTGAGTGTTAAGAGGGGGACATGTCAAGGGTTTTTCTCCAGAAATTCTTAAGCAAGGAAGAGGAGCACACAGGAGACACCCTTGGCCTATCCACCCATCCTACTCTTCTCGCCTGGGCTTGCCTTTGTTCCTTTCTCCTTTGCTCTCTGTTTTGGTAAATGCTTGTTTACTGCTGAGTTAGTTGTCTATGTTGACTTAGTTTTAAGTGCATAGTAGGTAAAGCTATTTGGCAGTTCTGTAATGTTACTCACAATATAGTTAACCAAATTTTTTTTCTTAGTGTCATATTTGGTCACTAGCGACTCTCTTAATGGTCTAACAAATAAAAGCTCCCTGACTTTATTTCTAATTCAGGGTAAATGAAGAATAAACTAATATTTGAATATGATTATGAAAAAGTCCCTTTGGGATTGCTACAGTAAATATTTATTAAATTGATGTTTTTATGAGTTATTCTCAGCTTTAATAGCACTAGGGACACACTAGTTGTTGGATAAATACTGATTCTCTAGCACTAGCTGGGTGTCCTATAATGCAATTCAATTCTGACACTCTCTGCATGGAGTCAGCATCTCATCTCACACATTAAGAGATTTTCTCCCACAGGACAAACCCCACTTGAGGCCCAAGACTCAGGCTACCTGCACTTCTGACGGAGCAGCTATAAATGGAGGGGCTCCATGACCCCCTTCTCAGGTAGAATTATTTGATGGAAGGGCTCACAGAACTCAGGAAAACATTTCCAACTCAGAAACAGCTCAACGGAAGAGACACTTAGGGCAGGGTGTGGAGGGTGGAGACACAGCTTCCATATCCTCTCTGGGCACACCACCCTCCCAGCACTTTGGCATGTTCACCAATCTGGAAGCTCATCCTTTGGAGGTTTTTAGGGAATTGTATTATGTAGGCATGATTGATTATGTCATTGGCCATCAGTAATCGAACTCTAACTGCAGCCCTTCTCTCCTCCCAGTAGCTCAGCAGGCAGAGCTGAATGTTCAGTCAAGCCTAATCAAAGCTTAGTCTTTCTGGGGACCAGCTGCTATCCAGACACTCCCAGGAAATGACTCTCAAAGAGCCACCTCACTAGCACTAATGCAGGTATGGTTGAAAGGGGTTTGTTATGAATAACAAAAGTTACTCCTATTATTCAGTAAATTCTAAGGGTTTTAGGAGTTCTATGTCAGAAAGCAGAAACAAAGAATATATATATATATATATATATGCTCATAGAGTAAATGGATAAAAGGAGGGGAAAAAGAAATAGTGAAAAGATGGAAGAAAGGAAAGAGAGAGAGAAGGAAGGAGAGAGGGAGAGAAGGAAGGAGAGAGGGAGGGAGAAATGGAGAGAGAGAGGAAGAAAGGAGAGAAGGAAGAGAGAGAAGGAAAGGAGAAAAGGAAGAGAGAGAGGAAGAAAGAGAGAGGAAGGAGAGAAGGAAGAGAGAGAGGAAGAAAGAGAGAGAGAAGGAAGGAGAGAGGGAGAGAAGGAAGGGGAGAGGGAGGGAGAACGGGAGAGAGAGAAAAAAGGAGAGAAGGAGAGAAGAAAGGAGAGAGAGAGAAGAAAGGGAGAGGGAGAGAAGGAAGGAGAGAGGGAGAGAAGAAAGGGAGGGAAGGAAAGAAGGGGGAAAGAGGGAAAGAGAGGAAGGAAGAGGAGGAAAAAAGAGGAAGGGAGAGAAGGCAGGAGGGAGGGAAGGGGAAAGGAGAGGAAGGAAGGAAGGAAAGAAGGAAGGAAGGGAGGGAGGGGAAAGAGGGGAGGGAGGGAGGGGAGGAAGGGAAGGGAAGGAAAAAAAGAATAAGAACTCTACCACTAATGCTACCTCTGTTGTTGGTGGGGCTATATTAAATCTCCCAGATTAAAAATGTTTGGCCAACACTGGCTTAAAAGCTTCCCCTAAAAATACCATTTCATCAACTGAGTGACCACTGAGGCTCCCAAATAAACTTGTACAAAAACAGTCCCCATTGATTATTTCAGCCCACATCTCAACCATGGCTGCCCTTGGGCTCAAAGCTCACATAGCAAGAAGGGACTTGCGGTTGACATGCTGGCAACTCAGCAGCTAGAGCAGTTTGGAATTGGATGAGCATTGGCTGCTCCCACCCTCTCTTTTCTCTGAAATGCAAATAAGCCCTAGGTAAGGACATGGTGAGCAAAGCTGGGGGTAATCCAGCTTATTGTAGGGGGCACCAGCAGGTCTCCTTCCATCATGCATCTTAATCTAGATAAGGAAGTGATGCTGGTTTAGGAGAATGAGTTGCTTCTTTGTTGGCTGTGGACTCGCTTCTGAATATCTGCAAAATTGTCAGGAGAATAAACAAATTTCTGCTTGCCTGTGTATATGACAAGTTCCAACTTCTTCACCAATTAAAGTCCGAGCCACCTCTACCCCACCACCATTCATCATTTCCACAGTGGGAAAATTACACAGTTTGCACTTTTATATGTGGTAGCAATTAAACATCTTCTGGAAGCCAAAATTCATAGCAATGCAGAATGATGATATAGAAAACCCCCGTGCAAATGCCTAATGTCATTTTTTCTCCAAAGGGCTATAGGTGTTGCAAAAATCCAGGAGAGAGGAAAGTCTTCTAGTTATAAAGCAGTTGCCCAGTCGAGTTATTCTTAAACTGCTTTTGTGCCAAGATATCTCTTGATGGAAAATGTCTCCATGCTTAATGTGGACCATGGACAACAACATGGGCAAGACAGAGTAGAGTTATGTGTAATGTGTGACATAGCTGCAGCCTTTCTCCCCTATTCCTGGAAGTGAATCAGAATACATAAGGATGAAAGCCATGTTGCTCTAGGGAACAACTTAAATCTGTTTTCTTTTTTTTATTTTTATTTTTTTAGATGGAGTCTCACTCTGTAGCCCAGGCTGGAGTGTAGTGGCACAATCATGGCTCACCGCAACCTCTGCCTGCTAGGTTCAAATGATTTTCCTGCCTCAGCCTCTCAAGTAGCTAAGATCACAGGAATGCACCACCACGCCCAGCTATTGTGTGTGTGTGTGTGTGTGTGTGTGTATGTGTGTGTTTTTAGTAGAGACGGGGTTTTGTCATGTTGGCCAGGCTGGTCTTGAACTCCTGACCTCAGGTGATCTGCCCACCTCAGCCTCCCAGAGTGCCAGGATTACAGGCATGAGCCACCATGCATGACCTTAAATCTGCTTTCATTTACACAAGAACAAAAAATCATTTACAAACACTACTACTTTATTATTAATAAATTTCCTGGAGGAATCCTCACTGCAGTCCTCACAATTGTTCACAATAGCACCTCCTTATCAAGATGCAAAATTGAGAATTGCTAGTCTAGAAAAGTAAACCAGTTATCAGCTAAGGTCTCCCTGACCTCTAAAATTTAGAAAGGATAATCTTTATACCGTGCCCTGGGGAAGGCCAATCCTGGCCTCACATTCCCACAAACGCATGGGGAACTTCCATCTTGTGGCCACCTAAGTCTTCAACTTCCTGCTTCCTCTCTCCTGCATCTTGAGGCAGTTTCTGTAGCTTCACACACACATACACATACACGAGAGAGAGAGAGAGAGAGATGGCATCTGTGTGTAGCATATTAGCAGAGCAAGTAAGTGGTTAAGAGCAAGTTCTAGAATCAGACTGCATGGGCTTGAAGGTTGATTCTACCGTGTTATAACTTTGTGATCTTGGGTAGGTCATATTATCTTTCCAAGCCTCCATTGCCTCATAGTTAAAATGGAGATAATAGTAATACTCAACTCCTATGCTGCTGGAAGGATTAAATGAGATAATGTATGTAAAGCATTTTGTACAGTATTTGGCACTTAGTAAGAGCTCAGTTAATAACAGCTTTATCACCGTCATCATTAGGACTGGAGGTTTGAGAAGACAAAGGGGTTCCACTGCAGTGAAACACACAAAGCAAACTCTAAAACTGGTAGTTAAACACTCCTGGTCTTAATCACCTGGCCATGTGCTCAGCCATCCTTCCTCTCTCATCCTCTTTCTTCTTCCCTTTTCTACTCTTCCCCAATCCATCCTTTGCTCATTTCTGATGCCTGCCAGTTTGTTTTCTGATTTGAAGCCTTGCTTCTCACTAACAAATGTCCCCATGGTCCTACCTTCTCCCGCCAGCAATTTATCAAGGTATTTGGTTAGACAAAAGCAATAGTCTTTCAGTTCCTATGATAATATTTTTTGTACTATACTCTAGAAGTTAAAACCCTAAGAGATGCCAGCTCCATGCAATTTCCTGCCGCTGCAAACAAACTCACTACGGTTTTTAAGAAAACAGGTTTTTATTATTTGGTTGTGGTTTACTATTGGCAGTGATGTCAACTGCAGGAGAGGGGAGATGAGTGTGATGTGTAAGACACCACCCACTCATTGCAGAATGTGGCCCAATCCCCACTCCATCTTGGGCTTCCTTTCACTCTTGCCCACCTGCTGTTTTGCCCATGATATAATACCCATTCTATTCCCTGGAAGAGATAAGAAACAGACTACCCTTATGTCCTTGAATTTTCCTGACGTGCCTGGACAGAGGCTCGGGTCATGACAGAGAGCCCATCAACAGACAGGCCACGCTCTGCCCAACAGAGCCCTCTGCCACCTGCTGCCGCTGCTGCTTATGGTTGGGACATGGACAGAAGCATCCCCTGGTGTTTTTAAAATATGGCCTTGGTGCTGATCTACCTTTTAGGCAGCTGTGCTTTTTCTACCCCAATGGTTGATTGTGTCCTGGCTTTATTTACTTAAAGCCAGATCTCAGCTCTTAGTTACTTGCCAGTGAGGACAGAATTTGCCAAGTGGGTGAGAAATGTGAAGTTTGGAGATCCAGAAATCAAGTCTTTTGGTCAAAAATCTGTGCAGATAAATCAGAATTTAGGAAAACAGTAAAAAGGGGATTGACCCTAAGACCCTGGGCAACCCAGCATGGAGAAACCTTGCACCATCTTAGCTTCTTAGTTCACCTTCTTCCCCACATCCAATCAGTTTGCAAGCTCCATCCAACCTTCACACATCTCCTAGATCCTTCCTCTCTTCTCCCTCAACTGTTCTCCCTTCCATCTTGGCGCTGCAGCAGACACATTTTATGTATCCGTTCAGACCCTTGCCCCCTCCCTGGTCCTCGGGGCTGCAGCCTGACAATGCCCTGCCTCATGCCTAGAGGTTTCCCTGCTGATAAGGCAGGAGATGCACAGACTCTCTATGTGCCTGTCCCTGTGCAGTCTGGATGTATGAGGAGTTGCTGCTCCATGGGACCAATTTTCGTCAAGGAAAAATCCTCCAGAACATAAACTCCTTTTCTATTTTCCCCTCGGATGCACTGTCCTGGAAGCAGTTAGTTATGTGCCTCATGGGAGAGAATGCCCTGATACTAAGCTGTGTGCTTGACACAGGGCAGCAGCAGCTCAATGGCACATGCACTCACTGACTCTCCTCCCACTGCCGCACCCTACCCTCACATCATTCATTCCTTCAACAAACCTGGATTAAATGTCAGATGTTGTCCTGTGTCCTGGTACAATGCTTGTCAGTAATATAGAACACCTGTCTCTTTCAGAGAAACCCAGGCTAAGGCACACGTGCATGCATCACCTCACATCTGGAGGACTGCAGAGGTTTCCCAATCAGTTTTCCTAACTCTAGCCTCTTTCCCTGCTTGCTTTTCCTATGATAAATATTTTCTCCTTCCCATCTTTATTCCTAGTTATTCAAATGTTCCCATGTATATGCATTTCAAGGCCCAGTCTGGTGGACATCTTCCCAATACTTCTTTATTTTGGAAATTACCCCTCACTCCATTCCCACTCATGGGTATGGGTACAGTGACACTAGGAGCTACCACATTCTTCCATGAGCCATCTCCATCATCCCCCTCCACCAGAGTTCCTTGGTGCTGAAACAGACCAATCAGAGTTCTTGGCTGAGATATTTTACAAGAGAATTTAATAAAAGATTGATTCCCTCTTTAGTCACAAACTAAAATGTGTGAGCCTCCACAGCTATATTTCTCGCTGTGTGGGGAGGGGATCCACCGTGAGGTAGAATGATGCCCACACAAAAAGAAGCAGAGGAGAGAGATGGAGAGAGTCCCAGAAGCATTCAAGTCCCTGATAACAGAGGCCCAGCCATCTCTCTGTATTTTCTATGCCTCAAATGCTTGACCTTTTCCGCAATTATATGAGATACCCCAGTATTCCTCCAATACTTTCTTACTTTTTCCTATGCAAGTTCAAGTTCAATGTTAGCTTCTCTCACATAATTTATTCATTCAACAAACTTCTATTAAATGTCAGGCACTGTTCTACATGTTAAAGTGTCATGGGGAGCAAATCAGATAAAGTCACTTCCTTAATATCGTATGCAATTTTACTGAGGGGAAACAGCTAATAAAAAAGAAAATAATTTAGAGCAGTGATAAGCATTAGAGAAAAAAATCAAGTGGGGAATGAAGGAAGGGATGTTGTATTTAGCCTCGTCGAGGGAGGCCTTGCTAAGCCAGGGATAAATCACAGATAATAAAAAAAAGCCAGCCATGCAAAGGTAAAATTGGATGTAAGAGCTATAGGAAGGGAACCGACTTGGAGTGTTCAGGGGCAGGATGGAAGCCAGCACAGCCGGGCACAGGGAGGTGAGGCTAGAAACTCAGGCAGAGGCCAAAGCAGGTGGCTCCTTGGAAGACAGAGTGGGGAGCTGGGTGCTATTCAGCCCAGCATACCCAGAAACCTTCCCAATGCCACCTCCCTTTTCATTTGAACCTGTCAGCCTGAGTGGAAAGTTCACCATAGGGAGAGCTAAGGGAGGCTGGAGTCCCTCTCGGAGATGACAAATTTCGAACCACTTACTCCAGAGCCATGTCAGGCCCTGGGGTTTTGCTCCCAGTCTCACCATGGTAAGATGGGAGGACTTTTCATATTTTATGGTCTTCTTTCCTCTTTTACCGATACATGAGAATTTGATTTTTAAAACTCCTCCAGCTACATAATGGCCCCAAAACTGATTGTAACAAGCAGAAACATTCATGCCCAGTGGCTCTTGCCTGGTTCCCCATGTGTACCCATTTGAAAATGAATGGACATTATGGAAACTTGTAGGCAGACAGGCGGATGGGAGAGCAGGCAGCAAGCGCTCAGGTGGAGGGCACGCATCTGGGCTCCAGGCCATCTCTGTCTCTCAGTGGCCAAGAGGTCCTGCCTTACTCAGACCAGACAGTAAAGTTATTACAAACATTGAAGTCTGTGTGCCCTTTCTGGCAAAGCTTCAGTGCTAGAATGATGATTTCAGCTTCTGTTTACACTGTATTCAGCCATGTGCTGTATGCACTGCGTGCATTATCCTACATGATCCCTTGGACAACCCTACAGGATAGGTGCTCCTGTGTCCGTTTCACAGACTAGGACACTAAGGTTCCCATAAGTCCTGGCACCTGCATGCTCACCGAGGCTGTCTCTGCCGCTCATCTCCTGGGCCCATTTCACAGAGGAAGACTCTAAAGCTCCTGTAAGTCCTGGCACCCGCCTGCTCGCCAAGGTAATCTCCTGCTGCTCATCTCCTGTGCTCCTGCCATAAAGGTCTGTTCTCTTTTCCTCAAACACTCAAAGTCTGTTCCTGCCTCAGGGCCTTTGCACTCGCTTCTGTCTCTGCCTGGATTTCTTCACCAGGCCAGCTTCTTCATTAAGATTTCAGTCCAAGTGTTCCTGCTCAGAAAAAACTTTCCCAGGCATCTGGGTGAAGTATATTTCACCTACCTCAGCTGCTCTCTTTTCCATTTCCTTTTTTTGTTTTATAAATAGCCTATATCACTACCTAGTACTTCCTTTTTTTTTAAATTTGTTTGCCTTTTAAATTGACTGACCATACTACTGGTAGAATATGAGTTTTACGAAAAGCAGCACCAGGTCTGTCTGCTCAGCAGCGTGCCCCAGGCATCTTGCATGGTGCCAGGCCTTTACTGGTGCATGATCCTCATCTGTTGAGCAATCCATAAATGAGTGAATGAATGAGAATTTGTCCAGAGTCACACAGCTGCCAGCACATGAAGCCCTAAGGCTTTGTGGAACACGGATTTGTGACAAAAGTTGACAGCAATTTCAAGCTATAATTCTGCATCTCAATACCTGATTCATGCATCCATTTACTCATCTATGTATTCAGTGGACATTTACTGCGGTTCCCACCAGATGCCTGCACTGTCCTAGGTGCCTGGGGGTCATGGGAAATGAGACAAAATGTCTGCTTTCTGAGAACTGGCACTGTAGGGGGATCAGCACTCTGTGAAGGTGTCATCATCTAACTTAACATCAGGCAGTGATAACCCCTTTGTAGACAGAGTGAGAGGAGTTGCCTATTTGTGCACTGAGGCCAGAGAAGGCCTGTCCAGAAAGAAAGCAAAAGCCATATAAGTATCCAGAAGAGAATTATAGAAGATAGACCATAAAGTGATTTTCTTGGAGTCAGTTTTGGAATGTCAAAGAATAAAAAGGACAGTGTGGGTGGAACTGAATCAGAAAGTGAGAGGGGCAGGAGCTGATGTCATCAAGGCAGGCAGGAGCCTCGCCGTTCAGGCAGAGGCGCCGTGAGGACACCGCAGTCTCTCTGAGGACAGACCTACGGAGAGGATTCTCAGTGGGGACAGACGTGATTGGATTCACATGTTAGAGAGACTACTCTGGCTTCTATCTGGAGAAGAAGTTGAGGAAGAGCACCATGGAAGCTGGTGTCTCATCTCCTGAGGGCGAGCCCTGAATCCTGCTGAGACTGCAGCCACTGAGCTGAAGGACAGAGGGCCCTGGGGCACATGGCCATCCTAACTGCTCAACTTTCTTAGGAAGGGAAGCAAGTCGCAGAGGAGGAGTTTGTGCAAGGGCCTACATAAAATTGGGGTGTGTTTTGTTATTAATATAATCCGCACCAGCTCTCGGTGGTGTTCGGATTTGTTGCTTTAGTGAACACTAAACTATGCTCCCTCCGAGGGAAACGTCATTGGAACTCCCGTCCCAAGTGTACGCTGCTGCCCCATGTCACCTTCACCCTCAGTCCTCTCTGCCTTCCTAACAGACTGAAACTCCAGGCCACAATTCAGACAGCTTTTTATTTATTCTTTCAATTATCTATTTACTTTTCCTTCTTACATTTACTTTTTCCAAGATTGCCTGTGGATTCTGAGAACATCAGGTTCTGAAATGTGGCCTTCGTAACTGTTCTCAGTCCTGATTCCAAGCAGAGCCTGGCTTGGATAAAGATCCCTGTGTCTCAGCACTGCCAAGCGGGGATGGGTAAGCAGAAATTCCCAAATCGCTCCTATCAGTGGCTGTTTTAAATCTGCAAATGTCCCCAGGCTTGCAGCCAGGGAGACCAGCACTATGGCTAAGGGCTTATGAGCTCCCTCAGGAATCTGCCTACCTGCCCTTTCCTTAGTCCTCTGACAAATGTCCTCAGAGCCCCACACTTTGACCAGGATCCCCACTGTTCCTGTTAACACCCTATGGGGGTGGGGTCACAGAGGTGCTCATGGAGGGGCCGCCAGAGCTCGCCAAGGTCTTCAGCACCCTCCTGTCTAACTGGCCACTTGGTTTAGCCAATCCTTCAGTTCAAATAACTAGAATAACCTTTTTTGTCTTTTACTAATAATATGTTTTGCTGACTGCATCCACTGTCTGTTAGGCAGCAAAGAGTCTTTAAACTGTGGAAAGACGGGACACGTGACGTGCCTCTCTCTTTGTCCCTTGGGCAGAAATGTGCTGAGAGAACACTTCCACCTACCTCACAATGTTGAATCCTCACCACTACCTGTGAGTCTTTTGTTCCTTTTGTGTGTGTGTGTGTGTGTGTGTGTGTGTGCGTGTGTGTGTGTGTGTGACAGAGTCTTACTCTGCTGCCCAGGCTGGAGTGCAGTGGCACCATCTTGGCTCACTGCAACCTCTACCTCCCAAGTTCAAGCAGTTCTCCTGCCTCAGCCTCCCGAGTAGCTGGGATTACAGGTGCCCAGCACCATGCCTGGCTAATTTTTGTATTTTTAGCAGAGATGGGGTTTCATCATGTTGGTCAGACTGGTCTCCAACTCCTGACCTCAGGTGATCCGCCCACCTCAGGCTCCCAAAGTGCTGGGATTACAGGCGTGAGCCACCGTGCCCAGCCTCTGTTCTTATTTTAAAGGCAAAAAACTGAGGCTCAGCAAGGAGGACAGTCTGTTCAGCACCACAGAGCTAGTCAACGTTGTGATCTGTGCTAGTTTCCTGGGGCTGCCTTAATAAAGCTCCACAAACTGATTGGCTTAAAACAACAGAAGCTCATTGCCTTGCTTTTCTGCATGCTAAAAGCCCAAATTCAACACGTTAACAGAGCTGTGCTCCTTTCCCAACCTCCAGGAGGATTCCTGTCCTTGCCTCTTCTCACCTCTAGTAGCTCAGCTGCTCTTTGGCTTGTGATAGTTGTGGCAGTATCGCGCCAAACTCTGCCTCCATTTTCTCTCAGTGCCTCTGTCTGAATTGTCTTTTTCTTATAAAAACACCAGTTCTATTGGATTAAGGATCCATTCTATTCCAGAATGACCTCATCTTAGCTACTCCCATCTGCAACAACCCCAGTCCCAGATAATGTCACATTCTGAGGTACTGGTAGTTAGAATTCCAACAGACCTTTTTTGGAAAACAAAATTCAATCTATAACATGATCCTAGCTACAACTTTGGTGTCTTTTCTCCAATTTCAAGGCAAATTCATCTGCTATGGGGAGGAAATCTTCCACTACACCAGAGTGGCCATCGAGTTAGAAACAGAAGCTATACCAGGCAGTTTCGTCCTTGTGGCTGGCAGGATGACACATGACCATTTGCCTGGGAAAGTCCAGGTTTATGCCTGTGACCCAGAGTAAATACTAATAGTGCCCTTTCCATCTCAAAGTTGATGAATTTTGGACAATTATTTGACATCCCACTTAGAGTAGACATTTTCTGGAGCATTTAGTAAGTATCAAACACTGTGCTAAGACAGTCACAAGCATTGTCTTAGACGATAACCTTATAACATAATTGTCCCCACCTCACAGGTGGAGGAACCCAGGAACTGAACAGCCACAGCCCTGCAGCTGGCAAGAGGCAGAGCCAGGGTCTTAGCTCAGGTGGGTTTGATTCCCAACCCTGTGAACTTCATCACGGTATCCTAGTGCCCCCTGGGTGCAGATGGAGCGCAGATTCCTATTTTATTATTCAGAAACTTCAACGAGCTGAGCTAAGCCTCTTCTCAGCCTTCCCTTCCCCAAGCTGATATTTTACAAATCGCAACCATAATCAAACAATTGTTCTTTTGAATGCATTGCGCTGATTGTTCTGAAAGGAAAGTCATAGGCTGATGTGTTCCTGGATGGAGCAGAATCTATCATTTTTCTACTCAGGAAGAGGCTGGCTCTGAAAACACAGTGGAACAAATTCATCACCCGGGAATGGCGCTAACTGCGTTTCCACAGAGGCCCTGCAGCTCTGGTGGCTGACACTGGGGGCAGGTCTGGATCTCTGCAGTGAAATTGTCCCTTCAGGTTGGGTGCCACTTTGATATTTAAGAAGGAAGATTCCACTTCACACAAGTGACCCCTTTTGCTAAGAATAACTCCATTAGCTGCTCTTGAAGCATTGTGGATCAGCGATTGTTTAGTAGCTGCGTGGTTTTGGTGACTGTTTTGAGTTATACATGTTGTGTCATCTGATGAAGAAGATTCTCATTTTAGTGAAAGTTTGAGGAGTGAGTGCCATGCCTGCCTCTGTGAGCCCTGTCCTGAATGCTAGCAGGCATCACCTTGGATTGAAAGCTGGAAAGTTAACTCTGATGCAGGAATACAACAAAAAACATTCAGTGATGCACCTTGTTTAACAAAACCAAAGATTTTGTCCATCCCGTCATAAAGACAGCTTCTGGTAAATTTGGAGAAAGAGAGGGATATTTCTTATCTCTCCCTGAGAAAGTGCAGGCTACGTCTTGCACCTGTGCCGCCACCTTCTTTAATGGGCCGAGTGGTGCACCCTAAAATTTGTTGAAGCCCTAACCCCTAATGTGACTGTACTTAGAGACAGATTTTACAGAAGTAATTAAGGTTAAATTAAGGTCATAAAAGTGGAATCCTAATGACCTTAGAAAGCGGATCCCTTTGTCTGCACGAACACACAGTAAAAAGGCCGTGTGAGGACTCTGAGGAGGCCGCTGCCTGCCATCCAGAGTGAGAGCCCTTACAAGACTCTAACCCTGCTGGCACCAAGATCTGAGACTTCCAGTCTTCAGAATTGTGAGAAAATAAATTTCTGTCACGTAAGCCTCCCAGCCTGTGGTATTCTGTTATGACAGTCTGAGCTGACTAACACAGCCTTGATCTCCATAGCCCCCACCCTCCACACTGACATGCTTCTCTCACCCTGAGGACTGATCCTTTTCCTTCATTCCCCAAAAGCACCACACTTTCATAAAAGCTTGGAAGCATGCTGGGTGACTGCAGCACAGAGCTTATAACAAAATCATGAATGTGATTGCAGACATAAGTCTTCCTAGAGATAAACCTAATTGACAACTTCCCCCTGTAGGAAATTTTCTACGGCCCTTATATCAGCATGCTGCTACACTTTTCCCAGCACCCTTCTTACACCTGTCATTTTCCCTGCACTTCAAATGAGAAGGAAATTCCTTCTATAGAGTCTGGGGCCCTGTGCCCATGTAGGGGATTTTCTCAAGAAGACCTCGATAATACAGGGAGAACAAGCTATTGAAGAAAAGCCCAAAATTCAAGTAAGGGTGAGAACTGCAACCTCCCTACCAAACTGGTGAGGTCAAGCTAGCACCCCTGATGGCAGACACCGGGGAGCTACAAGGAAGGAATGTGGGCACAAAGTAAAAACTGTGCTAAATTGCCAACGTTTCCAGTTTTCCAGCTGTGGCCATGGTAGCCAAAGCCATCGTAGCCCAGCCAAATTTACTGAGCATTTCTGGCTTCTGTCTCCACAAAGCCAGATGAAGGAGTAAAAGGGAAGACTTGGAAGCCTAATATCTCTAAGACACTATAAAGACAAGAAATGGATAACAGTGGTCACCAGGAAGGAGGCAAAACTGGAGATCTGGAGAACAGAAATGGAATAAAGACTTCATTTTTCACTCTAGATTCTCAATTTTCACTTAGTTTTCAGGGCTTTTTTTTTCTAATCATAGATTAGCAATTAAACACTTTTAATAAAATGATTTTAACAGCACTAAATTACATAAGAAAAAAATTCACAGTGCTATAGAAAATAAACCAATGGCCAATGAACATAGAAAATGCTATCAACATGACTCATCATTAAATAAATGCAAATTAAAGGTAGTAACAATAACATCCAAATTACTCCTCAGTGATTTCTCAAAGAACTTAGAATGGCCGTTTGAACCAGCAATCCCATTGCTGGTCATATATCCAAAAGAAAAGAAGCTGTTGTACCAAAAAGACACATGCTCGTGTGTTCATCACAGCACTATTCACAATAGCAAAGACATGGAATCAACCTAAGCTCACATCAGTGGTAAGCTGGATAATAATTCCATGTACACCATGGAATACTGGGCAGCCATAAAACAGAATTAAATCATGTTCTGTGCAGCAACACGGATGCAGCCAGAGGCCATTATCCTAAGCAAATTAACGAGTAAACAGAAAACCAAATACCACACGTTCTCACTTATAAGTGAGAGCTAAACACTGGGTACTCACGGACATAAAAATGACAATAGAAATTGGGGAATACAAGGTTGGGGGAAAGGGTTGAGAAACTCCCTATTGGGCACTGTGCTCGCTACCTGGGTGATGGGATCCATCATACCCCAAACCTTAGCATCACGCAGTATACCTATGTAACAAATCTGCACATG
Organism: Homo sapiens; assembly: GCF_000001405.40. Lineage (NCBI taxonomy): Eukaryota > Metazoa > Chordata > Mammalia > Primates > Hominidae > Homo > Homo sapiens. The sequence continues at coordinate 28,154,843 of NC_000019.10, forward strand.
TACCCGCTGAATCTAAAATAAAGGCTGAAATTATTTTTAAAAATATTCCTCACTGGCCTTATAAGTAGGCTATATTCTCAGCTTGCCAGAAAGACTATTTTAAGAGTTGCTTTTTAAAAATTTTCCCAAGAGTTAATCTGTCAATCTAAAACTTCTTTTCCACTTGTAATTTCATAGCAAAACCAATACATATATATTTCCTGAAGGTGGGGAGAAAAGGAGAATGTGAATTTTCTCTTTTAAAAAGCAAGTGTCAGGGGTTATTACATTTCAGAGGTTATCACACAAATCCACAGGCTTTGGGTCAGGCTATAACTCTGGGAAACAGGAGTTCTCTTTTTCACTCTATCCACTTTAAAATATAACTTAGAAAAGTAATTTATGTCCTTCTTAAAATTCCACTCATGTTTACTGCATGGGACTGTGAGTAGAAGAGGCCTCCAGGCACCTCACACACCACAACAAGCAGGACCATATTACTTTGGTGACAGTTCTTATATATGAACTATTGCTTAGAGCAATGGGGATGCAAGAAGGCCGCAAAGACTTCAAGTGGAATGCATGCATCTGTCTATCAACTTTCAGGCCAAGGGGGAGTAAACAAGAGAAATAGATCCATTAATAAGACAAAAATGTCAAGAATAGACAGACATCAACAGAAATTACAGTCTCTGAAGAAGCAGTAGCAATAGAACTGCTCAGATGACAAGAAAAGGATAGTTTCTGTGGATAACACTGTTAAAAGCATTTCCACATTTATTTCCTTCTGTTTGCAACCTTAAGATGTGCAAAATGTTAAACAGAATCAATGCCTGGAGAATAAAGAACACTTGGAAAAGGAACTCAGAGAGCCGTATCTTCCAAGCTGGGAGGCCTGGCTTCCCCACTTGTTCCTCCCAGTACCGTGGAGGCAGCGTGGGAAATGCTCATCTGCTGTTATTCTGGGCAAGAGGGGAGTGAGGTCCCTTGGAAGCAAACACGAGCTTCTTAGTTATCTTTCTACCATCATCCTTTCAGTACCAGCACAATTTTTCCTCCTCTTCTTTTCAGATTTGCTGGTATGACAGTCAGATTTCTCCCATGGATGTTGGCCAGAAAATTCCCTGGTCTCTCAATGCCAGGAAAAGATGCTGACCTCACTTCTCTCCCAAACGGAGAGCTTGGCCAAAGAGGTTAAATCACAACAGCCCCAAATGATTTTTTAAGTGAAAATAGATTGTCTAATTTTCCCACCCAAAAGCCTTGCCTGGGTCACCCCTAGAGCTAAGCTTATGGGGATAATTCATCTGTAACATTTTTAATTACATCGATCCTGTCACTAAAATTGTGCTAACATTTTTTATTACATGGAAAAATACTTGTCAACAATATTAGTAGTGAAAAAACATAAAAATTATATAAAATACTCTCTCAACTTTTTCACTTATTTTTGCATAAGAACTGTCCGATCTTTTTCTGTTCTCTGCATCACTCTATATATTTCTATTTTTCCCAAATAAATAGAAGTTTTCTCATAAAACGTGTAATTTTTAACAATCTAATGGAATTTTTAGTATAAAAAGAAAGAAATACATTTTAAAGCTGAATTTAAACATGCAGAGAAAATTGTTGGGAAGCAAATTTCTAATTAGAATAAACAACCACTGCACTAAAAACAAAATTCCTCAATTGAACTTTCTCTTGTCCCTAAAATTACATCCTTCAGCATGAACTAGGGGACTAGGCAGAATCAGAAGCCTGGAAAACCACCACTCCTCTCGCCACTCACTCTCTCTGTGGCCTTGGGTAATAACCTAATCAAATATCAATTTCACTGATAAGAATCTGCCAACTGTTCTAATAAAAAAAACAAGCAAAACATAGGTGTGGGGGGCTTAAATTTAATTATTGATTCTCTGCACATGTAGACCTACACTTCCATTAACTTTCGCTTGGACACCTGAAAGAAAAAGCAGAACCAAAGTAGTTTCAAAAAGGACTCTCCCCAAGGCACTTTTTACCAGCCCACCATAAATTCCACCATTAAAGACTTCTGTCTCTGTGTTGATTATTTCTCCTCTTGTAAAAGACGCACACATAATGTTGTGGTAAGTCAACGGTTTTCTTAATGGGCCTCATGCAGTCTTGTGGGGCAAGGTTGGGGGTAAACTCAAAGTAAAAAGGATGGAATTGAGTGATTAGACCTCAAAGGATGGAGCTCCTTGGAGTGTAGGAAGGGAGATGGGCTATGTAGAGGGTGCTGATGCAAAACAGGAGATGGGGGATTTGGAACCAATCATCAGAGAGAACAAAATAATAATTTTGGATAAACTGTGACCTTACTATTAGAGTTGCCTGGTGATCAGCCAGATTTGGTAAAATAATTTATATCAGCCAAGATCCCCAAAAGATATAGAGAGTCCACTCAGTTGGAATTGAAGAAATTTAACAGAGGCTACTTACAAAGGTGGGGGTGCCAGACAAGGTCCAGTCAGAGAAAGAAACTACATGAGTAACTGAAGCAGGGGAAGCTGATACAAAGAATTGTTAACTAGAAAGAGTGACTTTCTTCACAAAGAAGTAAAATAAGTCTCAAGGGTTCTGAAAGAAAATGCAGAAAGCAGCTGCCACCTGTTGCCTGAGAGAAAGTGAACAAAGAGGCAGCTTAAAGAGGGCCTGTGATATAGACTGAATTGTGTCCCTCAAAATTCATATATTGAAGCTTCAACCCCCAATGTGACTGTATTTGAAGACAAGGCCATTATGGAGGTAATTAAGGTAAATTAAGGGCATGAGAGTGGGGCCCTGATCTGATGGGATTAGTGTCCTTGTAAGAAGATGCACTGGCACTCATCCTCCCACCATGCACCTGCACTGAGAAAAGGCCATGTGAGCACAGAGAGAAGGCAGCCGTCTGTGACCCCAAGGGAGAGCCCTCACTGGATACTCACACTGCAGGCATTGAGAGCTTGGATTTCCAGTTTCTAGAAACATGAGAAAATAAATTTCTTTTGTTGAAGCCCTGCAGTCTATGTCATTTTGTCAGAGCAGCCTTAGCAGAATAATCCAGCCTCTCGAAGCTGAGATTCAGATATTTTTGAAGAGATCCTGGCCACCACCACATGCAGCCTGCAGCAGAGGGAGCGAGCTGAAGCTGGTCATAGGACAGCCCACCAGGTGACAGAAAAACTTTTCAGAAAGTGCTGGTCCAAACTAAGAGCCCAGTGGCTTGTAGAAAAACTTGCTAGAGGCTGTGGGTGGGCCAAAGCTGGTCCCTAGAAGACTGCTGAAGAGAATGTCTTCATGCCTCCCACATTCCCATTCACTGTGTCAAAAATATGCATGGCCATGAAGTGTTCTTTAATGCTCTCTATTAATAAAGTTTCATACTGAATGAGCTGGCAAAGGAGAATTGTTTGCACGTTTTATGTTCAGTGCTACAGAACTGCACGTTTGGGCTGAGAGGCAATAAATTGATAACTGACAGAGGGAAAAACAAGGCACATTGAGGAACCGTGAGACTAGCAACAGTTGTAAGACCTATAACTCAGGTTTCAAGCCAAGGTAGAAGAAACAATGTTACTCAAGTTTGGTAATTAATAGAGCCACAGAGCTGCAGTCATAAAGAGATAAAGCCCTGACAGATATTATAGTGTGCAAAATCCCTCTCTCCCTCCACTCTCTAATCTGTTCCTGAATTATCCTGTCTAAATTCACCTGGAAGCAAGAGGGAAATGGAGCTAGGTGATGCTACCTATAAGCATTTTAGCTTGGGCTCCCCAACCATCAGATCTTGAGACGAGTCTGTGAGTACAAATAATTCAATTGGGAGAAGATGAAGGGAAGGAACAGAATAGTGAGATATAGAAGGGAAGGAAGCAAATAAAAGGTACAATATTAAGCAAGGAAAAATTATAAGCAAATAAAATTTCCAAGCCAACTCTGGGAGACAGTGTAGACCATTGCCCCAAGAGGGTTTAGTTATTATTTATTCATATTTATTTATTTTTGAGATAGGGTATCACTTTGTCACCCAGCCTGGAGTGAAATGGTGTGATCAAAGCTTACTGAAACCTCAAACTCCTGGGTTCTAGGAATTCTTCCACCTCAGCTTTCTAAATAACTATAACTACAGGTATGCAACACCATACCCTGCTAATGTTTGTACTTGTTTGTAGAGACAAGGTCTCTCTATGTTTCCCAGGCTGGTCTTGAACTACTTCCCTCAGGCAATCCTCCTGCCTCCCAAAGCATTGGGATTACAGGGGTGAGAAACCATACCTAGCCAGGTTGATTTATTTATCTATCAACTTTCATTGGTCATTAGTTGAAAATCTCCCCCCAAAAAGAAACCAGTGAAATTTCTCAGGAGCAAAAACCAAGGCTAAAATATAATGGTATAACATCTTCAAACTGTGAGAAAAAAATTATTGTTAACCTGGAATTCTATACCCAGCTGAAGTATGATTCATATGTAAGGACAAAATACTTTTCAGATTAAAACAAATTAGGAGTTTTTATTTATGTGCAGGGTCTCAAAGAATGAACTGTCAGACTATTTCCTTCAAGTAATAGGAAATAAAACCTGAAAGAAAAAAATAAGTGTAAGGGACAAATATAAAAAAAAAATTGGCAAATAGATGGACAAATGTAAATGTGTGTGTATGTTGTGTGTGTATGTGTTGTGTGTGTGTGTGCATGTGTCTAACACATCATAGGAAAACTGCCAAACATTGGAAACAAGGAGAAAAATATTAAAAGCAATAAAGAGTGCATTGCATATAAGAGAATGTATATAAGATATAATATTGCATATGTGTACTACATATTGTTTATATATACCTACATACATATGTAGATACATATAAACACACATGTATTATGTGGTAATAATGAAATATTATTAGCTTTTAACAAGTTAGCTAGAACTGAAACACTGGTGAACAATAACATAAAGTATGGTGGGAATAGGCCAGAGATAAAGTTTTCTAAATTTTTTAACCATTTAAGTTGAAGATGAAAATACTTATTAATTTTAGACTCCATCATCAAGTATGCATGATTAATGTTCTTTAAAGAAGCAAATAGAAGTTTTATTTATATTTTTAACATGGAATAGGGCTTGTTATTTTATTTTAAATTTAAAAAGAAGTACATATTTATCATCTGCAATTGTTGTTTTGAAGTATGTATACATTATGAAATGGCTAAATCAAGCTAATTAACATATACATTACCTCACATACTGATCATTCCTTCTGTTGTGAGAGCACTTAAAATCTATTTCTTAGCAATTTTCAAGAATATAGTAAGTTTTTACTAACTAAAATCACCATGTTGTATGATAGATCTCTTTGTCTTATTCCTCTGGTCTAACTAAAATTTTGTATCCTTTGATCAACATCTCTCCAACCTACTCCCCATACACGCCTACCAACTCTAGCCCCAAATCACTATTCTATTCTCTACTTCTATGAGTTCAACTATTTTAGATTCCACATATAAGTTAGATCATGTGGTACCTGTCTTTCTGTGCCTGGCTTATTCTCTAAACGTAGTGTAGTCAAAATTTATCCATGTCCAAAATTTTCTTCTTTTTAAGGCTCTTTTTAAAGACCAAATAGTATTTCAGACACACGCCTACACAACACACACACACACACACACACACACAGAGGAACTTCAAAAAATTAGTGAAAAATTAAATTAAAGGATAAAAATTAAAAATATAAACTTTGTTTCTCAATGTAAGCTCCATCAAGTTCAATTAACTTTGTAATTGATGACATCAGCCATTAAGTCAATTTCTAAAGAACTGAAGGTCCTGGAAATTTAATCATGTCAGTGCAGTCTTTTTCACATTATTGACAGAAAATAAGTGGGTTCTCTTTACAGATCTTTTTAACATTAAGAAGCAAACAGAAGTCAGAAGGAGCCAAATCAGCACTTTCAGATGGATGTGTAATGATTTTCCATCAAAACTCCCCCCACAGTGTTCTTGCCAATGAGAGAAATGAGCAGGAGCATTGTTGTGGTGGAGAAGGATTCTGGTGAAGTTTTCTTTGGCATTTTTCTGCTAAAGCTTTGGTTAACTTTTTTGAAACACTCTCATAACAAGCAGATATTATTGCTCTTTAGTCCTCCAGCAACTCAACAAGCAAAATGCCTTGAGGATACCAGGAAACTGTTGCCATGACCCTTGCTCTTGGCTGTCTGATTCTGTTTGGACTGGACCACTTCCACCTCTTGGTAGCCATTGCTTTGATTGTGCTTTGTCTTCAGGATCATACTCATTAAGACATGCTTCATCTCCGGGTACAATACTTTGAAAAAATGCTTCAGAATTTTTATCCCCCTTGTTTATATGTTTCATTGAAAACTCTGCTCTTGTCTGCAGCTGACCTGGGCACAACAGTTTTAGCACATATCAAGTAGAAAGTTTGCTCAACTCACTGGGTGTGGTGGCTCACGGCAGTAATTCCACTTTGGGAGACCAAAGTGGGCAGGTCACAAGGTCAGGAGTTTGAGACCAGCCTGGCCAACATGGTGAAATCCTGTCTCTACTAAAAATACAAGAGTTAGCTGTGTGTGGTGGTGGGTGCCTGTAATCCCAGCTACTCGGGAGGCTGAGGCAGGAGAATCACATGAACCCAAGAGGCAGCTCAGCTTTAACTTTTCAGAGAGAATTGTGTAGGCTGAACCGAATGAGATCTCTATGGCACTGGCTATTGTTTGTGTTGTTAATTGTTGGTTCTCTTCAATTATGGCATAAACAATATGAATTTTTTTTATTATTGCTTACGTACGCAAATTGATGTGGATAGTCTGCTGTTGCATACTTTATCTTCAACATGTCTCATCCCTTCTTAAAACAAGGTATCCATTTGAAAAGTACTAATTTTGGGGGGGCATTGTCCCCATGAACTTTTTGTAAATCACCTATGGTTTCATCCTTCTTTGACCCAAACTTAACCATAAATGTAATTTTTTTGCTTCAATTTTAACAGACTTCATGTTGCTCAGATAGGGGCTCTTTTCAAACTCATGCCTTATTCTTCTACTAAGTGTTGTTCACACATATTAGGTATGAGTTTATTTTGTTGCAAAAAAATATTTTGAAATCCATACATGATTGTTTTTTCATAGTAATCATTTTCCATGAGCTTATTGAAGAGCCCTTGTGTGTCTGTATGTATATCACATTTTCTTTATCTATTCATCCACTGATAGACACTTAGGTTGATTTCACATTTTGACTGTTGTGAATAATGCTTTGATAAATATGAGAATGCAGATATGTCTTCAACATACTGATTTCATCTTCTTTGAATGTACACCCATTAGTGAGATTGCTGCATCATACCGTGGTTCTATTTTAACTTTTGAGAAACCTCCACACTGTTTTCCATAATGGCTGCACCAATTTACATGCTCACCAACAGTGTGCAAGGGGTCCCTTTCACACATCCTTGTTAACACTTGTTACTTTCCCTCTTTTTGATAATAGCTCTTCTAACAGGTAGGGGGTGATATCTCATTGTGGGTTTAATTTGCATTTCTCTGATGATTAGTGACATTGAACATTTTTAAATATACCTCTTGGCCAAGTGTATGTCTTCTTTTGAGAAATGTCTATTCATAGGCTTTTCTCATTTTTAATCTGGTTATGTTCTTACTATTGAGGTGTTTCAGGTCTTATATATTTTGGATATTAGCCACTTATCAGTTGTACGGTTTGTAAATATTTTTCTTCCATTCTGCAGGTTGTCTCTTCACTATATTGATTTTTTATTGGTTATGCAGAAGATTTTTAGTGTGATTTAATCAAATTTGTCTATGTTTTTATTGTTGTCTGTGCTTTTTTGTTCATAGCCAAAATACCATTGCCCAGGCCAATGTCAAGAAGCTTTTTCCTATGTTTTCTTCAAGTAGTTTTACAGTTTCAGGTCTTACTTTTAAGTCTTTAATCTATTTTAGTTGATTTTTATGTATGGTGTGAAATAAGAGTTTAATTTCATTCTTCTACATATAGACATCCAGTTTTACTAACATCATTTATTTAAGAGACTGGCCTTTCTACATTGTGTGTTTCTGACACCTTTGTCAAAATCAATTGACAGTAAATGTATGGCTTTATTTCTCAGCTGTTTATTCAGTCTCACTGGTTTATGTGTCTGTTTTTAATGCCATTACCATGCTATTTAGATTACTATAGGTATGTAGTATATTTTGAAATCAGGTAATGTGAAGCCTCTGGCTTGTTCTTTTTGCCCAAGATTTCTTTGTTCATTTGGATCTTTTGTGATTTCACATGAATTTTAGAATGGTCTTTTCCATTTGATAAACTCTTAAGCATAATTACTAAAAATTTTCATGGAACACATAGTTTCCTCTTGATAAAAAAATAGAATAAGTAAAATTATAATGACATTTGTATACCATTTACTGATTCTTTTTGTTCTCATTGTTTGTGTAAACCTTGAAAAGTAAGGAATTAAAAAGAACGTTTTTTCTTTAAGCATAATTTATTTAAATCATATTTCGGATTTTGCTGATTTGGTAGGTGCTAGCTGGGGTTAATGGAGGCCACAAGGAGGTTTCCTTAGGTATTTTGCACTTCTTTCCAGCAAGACAAAGAAAGTAATATGACTGAAAAAAAATAAAGATAAATGTAACAAAGTATCTGAGGAAAGCAACCCGAACTTTTTATGTTATCTATTTCCCCTAAATGAAATATGAAGCACTGTTGACCTTTTACCCTGAATGAGCCAAACTTGTAGCAGAAACGGGAGCTTGGCTGTTGTCTGTGCATTAAAACCTTTCTCTCATTTACTATTTCCAGGTAACAAACTAGAAGAGCGTCACAGCTTGTCCAGAGAGAAAGCTGAGCCCATTGTCAAAATCAGTACTGCAGCCTTTGCTGACTGTGACTATTTAACATCTCAACACACTGGGGGATTAATTACTTGAACATTTGGGGGAATAACAACAACTTGAAACTCATATTTTAACCTGTATGTCATGAATATTAACAAAGACAAATTTATAACTGACTTGACTATTTTGTGTGTTTTTGCTTTTAAGAAACAGTTGGCTTCTGTAGGAATGAACAATAAGAAATAACAAAATTTATTTGTTAGTAAATTTTCCTCCAGTGAATATGCATGCACCAGACTCACTGCAGCAAACTCAGTCGTCTTTGAAGGATAAAACACAGAAAACCATTTTGTTGTACAATGAGATGAGTTATTTGAACTTAAGACATGTTTTTTTTTCATAAGTTTTTATGAACTAGGTATCGCATGTCCCATAAGGGGTAATAGATGTGTTTTCTTTGCTCTGCTCAGCACAGATTTGAACCATTTCTCCAACTCCAGGGGGCTCAGCCTCATGCTCACCTTCAAAATCACAACAAGGCCTCCTCTACACCTTTTGCAGCTATGGTTAATACCCAGTGAGTTCAGCCTCTGTGGGCTTTCTGCACCTGCACATATGTACCTCCGTGTTTTGTTATCTCTTGGTGGATACTGGAATTGTACCCTGGGCTGTACAGCATCAAGTTGCATTTAAATCAGAGAGCTGGCATATCTCACTCACCACAGCAGGTCTGCGTCAGCTGAATCTTGCAAAGCGTGTCTTATCTTCCAGAGCATAAATCAGTAAGGGACTGCAAAGCTGCTATGGGATCTTCTCCCTCCCTGTGGAAAGGAACACAGTCCAGGAATGCCCTCAAATGGACAAACCACTCTCTTCATATCATTTGTTGTCTTCATTCTATTTCTAATTCAAAGACAGCTGAAAGCCACAGACAATAGCAGAATCCCTGCATGGTTGGTGGTCCTGGAAGAAGACTGGAGAGAGAGGTGGAGTGGATCTCAAGGCAACAATTAGTTAGAGCTCCTGCTCTTTGATTGCTTGAGAACTCAGAAAAGGATGACTAAGGTCACTTAGGTGTAGCTAAAAGGGCTTTAGAGTCTTAGGAAAATGAGAACTCTGAGGAGCCTACACACCAGTCACTAAGCTGGCACTAAGGGTGTTTGATCAGGGAAGGGTCACTGCTTGTTTGAGATGGACAACCATGGCTCTGACCCATTGGCTGACCCCTGAGGAGCCTGTGGGGCTCCCTAGAAACAACCCAGAAGTGGCTTCATCCAGAACAAAGAGGAAGTTTCTAAAAGGTGTAGACATACTCAGAGACAAAGCTGGCTCTTGCCTGAGTGACAAAGACATTGAGCTTGCAGGGGTCCCACCACAAGGTAGGTAGAAGCAGAGTCCGATGGTTCTGATCCCACAGACCATTCATTATCCAGTGTTCACTGCATTTCTACTCCACAACCAGCAAGCTCTAGGGAACATGTTTTTTAAAAATTAAAGCAGACCTTGTTGATGTTATAGTTTTTTTGGAGGAAAAAAATTGACTTATGATATATAATGTAATATTATATATAATATATTATATAATTATATATTATAATTTGTATTAGATATTATAAAATCAAGAGAGTATGTAATCAAGGCACTAATACATGGAACAGGAAGACAGTATAGAGTGTTGGAAGGGGGCAGTCAATACGAATGAAGCACTGATCACTTAGAGACGAGAACAGCCCTGAGAGCACAAGCGTGACTTCACTGCCTTCTGTTCCCCAGCACCTGCCTCTGGCCTGTGCCCTAGAAAGGACACCAATATATTGCAGTTAAACATATTAAATGTGGTGAGATTTGGACTGAATCTTGGAGATTAAATTTCATACAAGAAAAAACAGCATTATTAGAAGTCTATGAAAAAAATAGAATGTTTCTCTAAAAACTGACAAAGTGTAAGAGCTAAAAGAGATCAGGAATGTCCCTTTTAACCCACCTGACCCTCCCCTGGACTGTTAATTCCTTACCCCATTCAGTGCCCAGCATTCAATAAATATCTGCTTATTATTTATGCTCTCTTATTCCACACCGGTAGGTTAGCAAACATATAATCAATTCATTTTGGATAAGAGCCTTTCTCAAATTGATTATATATTTCCTTCTTACACAGAGTAAGCTGAACATAGTTTAAACTTTTTTGTTGGATGTTGTCCAACATGTTCATTGAACAAATAAAGAAACTAAAACTTGGAAAGGGGAAGAGCTCGCCAATGTGTCACGGCCCTTGAGGGTTGGCACTGGGTTCAAGCTCAGTGTCAATGTTGTTTTCACACTGGAGACAATCTCTTATTTTCACCAGACGGGCCTTTGTGAAACACATGAAGGAACCCTCAGAAGACCACTTCAGAGACCCCCCCATGACCACAGTGGAGAGAGTCAAGAGAAGTTCATTCAAGGAGGGGCTGGTAAAGTAGCAGGAGCTGGGCCATGCAGGGACTCACAGGCCGCACCTAGGGGTTTACACTCATCCTAACCGAGGCAGAAAACCACCGCAGAGTGCTGAGGATGGTGAAGGCATGAGGATGAGTTGGAAGAAGTGAGTTTGGCTCTGCTCTGGAGAATGGCTGAAAGGGTAGTGGGAACAAACGGAGGCAGCCACCGAGGAGGCCATCGCAGGTGCAGGTGGGATGCAAAGGGGAGTGGGCACAGGCTTGGAGAACAGGGATGCGTGGGAGTGCAAGGCAGTCAGGTGGGAAAAGGCAGTAAATACGAGTGGCTTCTCCAGAATGTAAGCTCTTTCCCCTTCTCCAAATCATCCAGAGCAAAGGCCAGACTCTTGGCCACAGTGTAAAAGGCCTCTGGGAATCACACCCAGGCTTCCACTCCACACCACACCATGCCCCAACACGCCTCCATAAAACTTGATTCTCCTTCTACCTGGAGCTCTTCTACCCACTTTCTACCTTTGCCCAAACAAGCTCAGTTTACCTCTCAGGTCTCAAGATCGATGCTACCACCCCTGGAAAGTCTTCCTCGATGCTCCCACCCACCCCTTTCCATCGGCCACATTCCCATGACATGGGTTCTTTCTCTACCTCCACTGAGGCACAGCTCTGCATTATAACTGCCTGATCACCCACCTGACCCTCCCCTGGACTGTGAATTCATTGCCCCATTCAGTGCCCAGCATTCAATAAACATGTGCTTATTATTTATGCTGTCTTATTCCACACCGGTAGGTTAGCAAACGTATAATCAATTCTTTTTGGATAAGAGCCTTTCTCAAATTGATTATACATTTCCTTCCTACACAGAGTAAGCTGAACATAGTTTAACCTTGAACACAAGGTCATCATTATGAATGCAGTCACAATTAAAGAATATCAGACATTAGATAGTCTATCCCATGCATTTTTTAGATGGGTAAATTGAGACCCAGAGAGGTGGAGGGACCATGGTTTGAGGTGGTAAATCTATGATTTGAATCTTAGCACCCTGACTTCTAGTCTAGCCCTGAAGAAAGCTGCATCCGAGGAGCCATGGTCAAATTCTCTGGGTATTTAAGATGCCTAGACTCTTTGCTCCAGCACCACAGGGCTCCAATTGTTGTATTTTATTTTAGTTATTGTGCCTGTTTTCATAGCTCTTCTGCCTCCTCCCATGTTATCAACTCACTTCTTAATCCTTCAGTCTATCCAAATCAAACAAACTCTATTTGTTTTGTTTTGTTTTGTTTTTAAGGGACAAGATCTCATTATGTCACTCAGGCTGTAGTGTAGCGGCACAATTCTGGCTCACTGCAACCTTGAACTCCTGGCCTCAAGTGATCTTTCAGCCTCAGTCTCCCGAGGAGCTGGAACTACAGACGGAACGTACCATCAGGCCTAGCTAATTTTTCATTTTTTATTTTTATTTTTTTTATAGAGACAGGGTTTCACCATGTTGCCCAGGCTGGTCTTAAATTCCTGGCCTCAAGTGATCCTCCCACTTTGGCCACCTAAAGTGATGAGATTACAGGCTTTAACCACTGCACCTGGTCCCTATCTTTATTCGTATGTGTTTGGGAGGCAGATAACAGTTTTACCTCCCCAAAGCACCACAGTGCTTATTATTATCTATGAACATTGATGCCTTACTACCCAGTCTCCTCCACTAAACTAAAATTCCAGGTCCATTTTATTGTCCTCTCTGCACCTGGTGCCTAGCACAGAGCCCAGCATATTCACATGTGCTGAAGAATTATCTAGCTTCTTAAGCATCATATAAAATAAGCATTATTAGTCATAGAAAAAGTATAAGCTCCAATTCACTGGTTTAGCGATGCCTATTTTCCTAGGTTTCTTTTCTGATTCCTAGATGTGATTGACAGAGCTTAGTTCTACTAAGCATGCTGTATTTAGATGAAGTAAGAAGTGACTGGCATTTGTGGAGGGACTGTGTCCTTTTTTGCAGTAATTAGAGGTTGTTGGCACATCCAGTCTTTGAGACTGTTTTCCTTACGGCTCCCTTTTCGTAGACAGTTGCAGCATGAGAAGCTGAAGGAATTTTATGAAGTAGACATTGGAGCCTCCCAGTGATTGCCCCTTCGGGGTTTTGCAGCAGGCATATGCTATTTGCTTGGTCCAGAGTGAAGCGCCTCTACTTTTCTGGAGAACTGTTCCTTCCCAGCTACAATAAGGAGGCTCAAGGCAGAGCGGGTGTCATTCATTTGTTTAATGTAGTTGCTGTCTTGGTATCCATTTTTAGTCCTAATAAAAGTTATTTGAAACCCGGTTGTACCATGTGTCACTTTGGGCCTAATTAAAACTTCCCCTACCCATGGGGTTGTTTGCAGCATAACCCACTTGTTCCTCATCCCACTGACCAAAAATCTAACACACCCACAGCTACTGACCATGAGAAAACCAATGATCAACACCAGAGTCATGGAAATGAGCTCCCCTTCACGCATGATTTCTTTAAAGGAGCCAACCTGCAGCTTCCCTGCAGGAGAGTCTGAAAAACTCCCAGGAATTTAACAAAGGCAGAGTCTCACAGGCCTCAGGCCTCTCTCTTCCCTGCTGTCTGAGCTTCCTGCCTCCTCCAGACCTCCTGCTGTCCTCTCAGCAACACCTCGAACCTCTCTGTGACTTATAAGTAATGAATTCCTTCTGTTTCAGGCATTTTGGTTTCACCTCCTCAGTGTGTTTCATCTGACAGACACACCCAGGCCCAACATCCCCCTGGTCAGAGTGCTCCTACAGATGGCTCTCTTGGCTTATGGTCACTCTTAAGAGGGTAAGACCCTCTTACCCTCTTAAGAGTTATGTGATTTGTATCATTATGGTTTCCTGTTTGTAAAAAAAAAAAAAAAAAAACAGGAAACCATAATGATACAAATCGCAACAGCAGGATCACACTGCCTGGCTAAAGGCAATTGCTTTGCAGTGAACACGTAACTTAAGCCATGTCAATTAAGGTTTTTCCCTGGAACTTTTGGAAATAAAGCCATGGAAAGAGATTCTTGCAAGGTAAGGGTGGCAACCATGTTTTCCTCCATGAAAGCAAAAATGAACAACTTAAAACAACGAAGTTGAGATGCAGAGAGGAGTAGAGATGAGAGGGCATGGTGACTGAGCTCAAGTCCCTAGGGGTCCAGCACCACCATTCCCCGCCGTGGAATCTGACTGCAACACCTCTAAGTCACAGGAATGCCACTCTGCTGCACCTAGCATCTGCAACCAGAGGATTCCTCAGTGCAGAAAACACAGGAGATTTAGAGAAGCCCATGGAGGACAGACCTCTGATATATAATTAGAGAAAAGCCAATGGTTTAGAGCTCATTCCTCATCTGGGAAATCTGTTGCCATGAACCAAAACCAAAATGAGCTTTAGGGAGTGATTTTATGGGTTAAATCCCAGAGTCTGAAACAAGGAAGCGAGCAGCCCCCTCCCCTGCTGCCCTCTTCAAAGCCTCCTGTGTCACAGCTCTCAGGCTAAGCCTCTGTGCTGAAACATTACACCATTTCAGAGAGTAAATCTGGCTCTAGAGCAGGGTCTCAGCCCAGCATAGGAAGTGTTTCCTAAAAAGCACAGCTTCCCTCTAGGGGCTACTTTATAAGGAGATAAGCCTCCTGCAGTGTATGGGGAGTACTCCAGGAGAGTTGTCGGGATATGGGGGAATCACAGAGGAAATGCTAAACAAATTGTTTGTGATTTGCTTTGCTAGTTCTGCTCACTTCCAAGAGTCTGTGATTCTTGGCTTCAGTCACAAGGGCAAGTCAGTTGGGCAAATTCAAAACAAATGTCAAAACCATTATCTGGTGAGGGAGTTGGTGATTTCTCTTCTGCTCTTAATGAAACCTCCACCCTGTTTTCCTGAAGGTACAGTTCGTCCCATCCTTCCCTCCCCTTCCCTGGCTGGAAGAGGCAGCCTCCCTCCTCCCATTGCCCAGGAGGTACTCTGCCAATATCAGCAACCCCCACTGTCATTTCTGTGCAAATCCCCTATCATCCCAGTAATCTGGCCAGCCCTACACATCAGTCAGCCTTGTATAGCTCGGGTTCACCAGGGAGCAGGCTCTAGAGCTCTGGATGAACACCTGCCTATGTCTTGGCTCTGAAACTTGCACCTGCTCTATAAGTAGATGACCCCGCCCCTGCAGACATGGGTCTGTGTGCGGCTGACATGCACAACCTGGAAAGCCATGGAGGCCCTGCCTTAGTCACTAAGGCTGAGGGCAAGGGTTCCTATAATCCCAGGACAAACCTTGTAGGTATCCAGTGGGATAACCTGTAAGTATTTCAGCTTCTCCCATCTGCAGCTATTAACCCTTGAAGTGCAACAGTAAATGGAGGAAATCGGCCAGGAAAGAGGAGACCACAGTGTGGATTCTTGAAGGCCTTCACGTGGGGAGGGATACAAGGCTCTAATAACATGCATCAGATGTGGATACTGATCATTCACACTACAGATTATTTCCATCAGTACTTCTTTTTTGATGCCAGAAATTACATTTGGAGCCTGGCTGAGACTCTGATGTGCCAGTCTTTATAAATGTTGATGTTCAGTCAGAATGGCTATTATTAAAAAGTCAAAAAAACAACAGATGCTGGTGAAGCTGCAGAGAAAAGGGAACACTTATATACCATTGTGGGGACGTAAATTAGTTCAGTCACTGTGGAAAGCAGTTTGGAGATTCCTCGAAGAAGTAAAAATGGAACAACCATTGGACCCAGCAATCCCATTACTGGGTATCTACCCGAAGGAAACTAAATTATTCTACCGAAAAGACACATACACTCATATGTTCATTGCAGCACAATTCACAATAACAAAGACATGGAATCAAGTTGGGTGTCCACCAGTGTTGAATGGGATAAAGAAAATGTGGTAAAAGATGAAAATGTGGTATCCTCTGTGACCATAAAATAAAACGGTACTAATTTAAAAGTCAATAGACTAATTTAGAAGTCAGTAGATGCCATGAGTCCCCATTCATCCCTGTGCTGAAAATTATGACTTCATTCCTCTCTCTTGCATTCTGCATTCTACTTCTTCTTTTTCTTCTTTTGTTTTTGAGAGGATCAGTGTAATCTTTATTAAATTTATTTTTAATTATTATGGGTACATAATAGTAGCATATGTTTATAAAGTACATGTGATGTTTTGATACAGGCACACATTGTGTAATGATCAACTTAGAGCAATCGGAGCAAACACCACCTCAAGCCTTTATCATTTCTTTGTGTTAGGAACATTCCAATTCCACTGTTCTAGTTATTTTAAAATATGCAATAAATTATTGCTAACTATAGTCACCCTGTTGTGCTACTGAATATTGAATCTTGTACATTCTCTTTAACTGTATTTTTGAATCCATTAACTTTCCCTTTTTTTGTTGTTTTTTGTTTGTTTGTTTGTTTGTTTTTGAGACAGTCTCACTCTGTCGCCCAGGCTGGAGTGCAGTGTCACGATCTTGGCTCACTGCAAACTCTGCCTCCCAGGTTCAAGCGATTCTCCTACCTCATCCTCCTGGGTAGCTGAGATTACAGGTGTTCACCACCACGCCCAGCTAATTTTTACTATTTTTAGTAAAGACATGGTTTCACCATGTTGGTCAGGCTGGTCTCAAATGATCCTCCCACCTCATCTCCCAAAGTGCTGTGATTACATGCATGAGTCATCGCGCCCGGCCTAACCTTCCCCTCTTTATCCTTCCCCCACTTCCCAGCCTCTGGCAACCATCATTTCACTCTCTGTCTTCATAAGTGCAATTTTTTTTTCAGCTCCTTCAAATGGTGAGAACCTATGATATTTTCCTTTCTGTTTCTGGCTTATTTTATTTAACAGAATATCCCCCAATTCCATCTATGTTGTTGCAAATGACAGAGTTTCATTCTCTCTTGGCTGGATAATATTCCACTGTTTCTATGCCCCGCATTCCCTTCATCCATTCAACTGCAGACGTGCTCCACTTGCTCTGAGTCATCCTCCCTGTGTCACCTCCCGTGTGCTTCAGAATAGATGTTGTTGGCTCCACGTCCTCATTCTACCCACGTCAGCTGTCCCTGCTGACAGCAAGTTTCTGCCGGGGTGCCCCACATGTCTAAGCCCCTGTGTTGGCTCGGGGTCTCAGGGTTTAATGACATGTGCTTAGGTTGCCAATGGCCAGTGGAAGCAGAGCCCAGACACGCCTCAGGATCTTCTCCAGTGCCTGCATCCACATTGCCAGAGACAGCTCACCCCAGCCACCATGACCAGTGCAGAGCTCCCCACGCCTCAGCATCTAGCATCCAGGCCCAACTGCTCCAACCAGGCCAAGTATGGGTCTCCTCCCTGACACCTACTTTTCATGGCAGAACACCTACTTTTCACGGGAGGAACTCTCGTCTCTCTCTCTCATCAGGCTGTGATAACGCCTCATGGCCCCAGAAGTCCAAAGTCTGGTTGTTGTAGCATGGATATGGGTTTGCTCTAAATCTCTGGTTAAAATGTGACCTCCAATGTTGGAGGTGGGGCCTGGTGGGAGGTGTTTGAGTCATGGGGGTGGATCTTTCATGAGTGGCTTGGTGCCCTCCCTAAAGTAATGAGTGAGTTCTCACTCTATGTGTTCATGAAACAGCTGATTTCTTAGAGGAGCCTGGCACCTCCTCCAGCTCTCTTGCTGCCTCTCTCACCATGTGACATGCCTGTTCCTCCTCCACCTTCTGCCATGAGTAAAAGCTTCCTGCACCCTCACCAGAAGCTGAGCAGATGCTGGTGCCATGATTATTGTACAGTTTGCAGAACCATGAGCCAAATAAACCTCCTTTCTTTATAAATTACCCAGTCTCAAGTATTTGTTTAGCAACACAAAATACACTAATACACTGGGTAACTTCATAGTCAGCAGATGACCACCCTTTTGTCTCATTCCCTCTCTTCCCAATCATTCCAGATACTTTTACATCTGTCCTTCAAACCATGGCTGGAGTACTGTGGGACTCAAAATCGATAAATAATTAATAGATTCTAAATTCTGTGTGAAAAGAGAGCTAATAACTAGCATAATCTTAGGAACATGCTAGAAATGGCCCTAGCAGAGATGGGGCAGAGGGCAGTATGTTTTTGAAGGGAGTGAAGGGGAAGACAGCCAGAGCAGTGCATGAGGGAACCCCCAGGACAGGGGTCAGGACAATGGGAGAGAGGGGAGCCATGAAGGGCACACTTTGCTTTCTCCACTCCTGAGGGCTATCTCTGAATTTTGCTCTCCATTTAGCTGAGAGTGTGAAATTGAGAATTCATAAAATCACTTTTATTCCTTTAAATGGCCCTTATGAAAAGCTTTCAAGAGTCATCTCTAAATGTACTTTTCAGTTGCATTTTCATGAACAATATTCAAGGTCAGAATGAGCAAATGTCTAGTTAGCCATTGGAGAAAGGACCAGTAGCACACAGATATTTCCAGCATTCTAGAGACATGTAAAGTACCCTTGGAAGAGCCGGCATTTAACTTGTTGAACATTAAATGCCATTAATGCTCAGCTGCACAGAAATTTCCATTTCTGAATATTCTTCTCCAAATTTCTCCCTTGAACCATATTATTTTAGTTCAGCCTCAATTATACCATCAAAATTCCACCATTCATAAATGTATTACCATTCTGAAAATGTACTTGATGGCATCTTTATACCATGCTGTGGAAAAATGTGTAGCAATAAAAAAAGATAAATCACAAGGTTTTTTTTTTTTTTGGAGCCAATTAGCCAAACAAAACTTAAATATAAATCAAGCTTGGTAGAAACCACAGGTCATGCTCAAGTTTATGAATTCGTTATAGAGCAGCACTGCCTTGAATTCAACCTTGCCTAGCTTTGGTCTTGACCACAGCATCACAAGAGTGGTAATAATATCAGTAGGTTTACTGACATGCACAAGCATATTCCCAGGTTGCAGTGCAGGACCCGAGGTAGAGCCGAGACTCCCCAAAAAGGCAGTTCAGAGGTAGGCACGCCCAGTGGGTCTGCATCAGAGCCCCTGCGTCTGGTTCAGGGACTGAGATGAGTTTCTCGGCTTCCCTGAGATGTAATATTTTTACCTATCAAATCAAAATTACTGTAACTTCTGCCTCACTGATTGTTTTTGTTAGAATTCAATAAAGAAATGTCTCAAAGCAGTCACACGGTACCTGATACGGTGAACACTCCATATGTTGTTCTTTATTATATATACACACACTAAGTTATATACATAAATACATTAAAAATTAATTTATATTTTTCATAACTATAATTTATATTTATTCATAACTATAATCACATAATTCAATTATATGTAATAGATAATTTTATAGTTATATAATGTGTGTGTGTGTGTGTGTGTGTGTGTGTTTGTTTAAAATGTCCTTGGAAAACAGAAGCAGGTAGAGATGGGAGGAGACAGGCATTGTTCTTCGGGCTGGGCTGGCATCCAGGGGGCCTCTCTGGCCAGCCAATTGCACATCTTCTGAGCAAGGGAGAGGGAACATGGACCAGAGAACAGCCATTGGAAGAGAAAAGCAGAAAAGAAATTATTTTCAGTTTTCCCGAATTTCTTTCCAAAGTCATTTCAAAGACTAGGAGTGAAGGCTGAGGCTGGGTCTGGGACCCCCAAACTTCCCAGCCACTCTGTGACAAAGGCAGGTTCGAGACGATTATTCCCTCTGCACAAACAAGGAAACTTAGGGTGAAGGAGGAGCTCAGGAGGAGTTAGCAGGGAAACCTGGCACAGACCAAGGCCCTCTAATGCCCACAGTGTGCCGCACGATTGGCCCTCACCCCACACCCCTGAGGCTCCGTTTTCACCCCATGTCCTATAGCTAGCCCTGCTGGCTTCCCTGTGGTTTCCATACTCCAGGTAAGCTCAGGCAGTGGGGCTTTTGCTCCTGTTGTCCCCTCTGTGGAAACTCTCTTTTTTCAGAGAGCCCCACAGCTTACTCCCTCATGTGGGTTGGTTCTGTGTCCCACCCAGATCTCATTTTGAATTGTAATCCTCACATGTTGAGGGAGGGACCTGGTAGAAGGTGATTGGATCATGGGGGTCATTTCCCCCATGCTGTTCTTGTGATAGTGAGGGAGTTCTAACAAGATCTGATGGTTTAAAAGTGTTTGGCAGTTCCCCGCTTACTCTTTCTCTCTTGCCACCATGTGAGGAAGGTATTTGCTTCCCCTTCACCTTCCTCCATGATTGTAAGTTTCCTGAGGCCTCCTTAGCCATGTAGAACAGTGAGTCAATTAGACTTTTTCTCTTCATTAATTACTGTCTCAGGTAGTTCCTTATAACAGTGTGAAAACAGACTAATGCACTCCCCACCTTCATCCAGGTGTTTGCTTCAATGTAACTCTATGTGAGAGGCCTTCCTGGCCCATATCATCTGAATAGCACCCCCATTATTTTCTATCTCCAATACTGTTTTCTTTTTCTCTCTTTTCACCACCCAACTCATAATAAGGTGATTGTCTACACCACCCATCCACACCAACTGTAATGTAAGTTCTAGGAGGGAAGGAACATTATTTTATTCTTTGCTATATTCGGTGCATGGAACAGTGCCTGGCATTAATAAAAATATTTTGGGTGTAAAAACTCTAGGCTTAGAAGCCTGATCCTAAAATCTGTTCTGCCTAAGTTCTGTGTACTCTATCAGAGACCTGAACATTGGTGGGTACCTGGCTGCTATGGCCAGCCAACCATATGTTTTATACCAGTGAATGTGGTGTCTGGAAAATGGGTTGAGCTCTTTTCTCTTTTTCATTTATCTTGGGCATTGCAAGACTTTGATCTACTGGATTCAACAAAAGAACACTTTGACCCTATGTTTATAAGTAAAAATGCTTTGGTCAAAATTATTCCAACTCTGGTGAAATTTAATTTGAAAGCATTTTCCAAAACCAATTCCACAAGCCATTTTGATTTGTTAGTGCTCAGTTAATGTTATCAGGTATTTGGCTGAAACCACCTATATAACAGTTAACATAGGACCACAGAGTAAAAGTTGCAGGCATAGTTAAAAGTTAACCAGCCATTGTTTCTAAGCTCATCCCATAATTGCTTACTGCCCAGAAGCCATGTAGCCAGTGGTCACAAGGGCTGTAACTTCTCCTAATTGCTCTTATAGATAGCATCATTGTTGAAAACAAATGCTTAGTGCTACAAAGAAGAACCAGCACTGAGACAAAGGATCTCTCAGCAAGGCAAATTTTCTTCTGCAGAAGGGTGCTTCTCCCATGTGGAGCAATGGAAAGAGCACAAAGAACAAAACAGAGCAGGGGTTTTTATTATCTCTTAACGCTGCTTGTCACTGTTACTGTGTCTGCCTCCATTGGCTAGAGTTGTACCACACAGTCTAAGCTGAACCTGGTTGGTTAACTTGAAAAATGCAGAAATGTAGTTACATCAGCAGTGGGAAGACAAGAAGATCAGTTTCAGTGGGAGAAGTCATTGCATTGGGAGGGGTAATTCACAGAGTGGGTAGCAGATGTGGAATGTGGGCTCTATAGATAAGGACTGGCAGGAATGTTGTTTACCAGGGCTGGGGGAATATAGAGAGTAAGGAAGTCTGGCCTTGAAATCAGGGAACAAAGGACAAGAAAACTTAAACAAGCTAAACCTTTGAAGAAGAATTTCTTACTGTAGTCAATGATCATTATTGTAAAACCTATGACTGTTCTTCAAAATATTTTTCAGACTTGTCAACCACTGTACCAAATGGCACTGACTGGACCAAGGGCCCATTCCAAGAAATTGATTCAACAGGCTGACACCCCTGCCCAACCCAGAAACTGGATTAGTGCAAGACAATCAATACTCTACACCCCTATGAGTTCATCCCTAGCCAATCAGCAGCTCTAATTCCCTAGACCCCTGCCCACCAAACTACCTTAATAATCCCAGCCTCTAAGTTCTTAGGAAGGTAGATTTGAGAGATTTCTCCTGTCCTCCTTGCTTGGCTCTCTTGCAATTATTAAACTCTTTCCCTGCTGTAACACCTACTGTCTCAGTGTATTGTTTTTCTCTGGGCAGTGGGCAAGAAGAATCCACCAGGCTGTACATTGTAACCACCCTTTCCCTTGCCCCTTAGGCCTCAGGACAGCAGTGTTCCTCACTGTTGCTAGCTCAGGGGTTCTATGCCATCTTTTGTTAATTTTATTTAAGCCTACTCACACTTTTGTAAATAGTTCTTTCCTTAAACCCTCTTCAATTACCTAGTTTGCATGTGTTAACCACTTCTTGCCTGCTGGTCCCAGACTTATATAGTTCATTTATTTATAATCAGTGAAGATACTTTCCTGCTTCCACATAAAACCCTAGGCAGTGACTTTTCTGTTCATTCTTAGGGGAAAACAAAAAACAAAAAAACTATGGGCAGTTTGAGTTAAAAACTAAGTCAAATTTGGAGGGAGGAGCCAAGATGGCCAAAGAGGAACAGCTCCGGTCTACAGGTCCCAGCGTGAGTGAGGCAGAAGATGGGTGATTTCTGCATTTCCATCTGAGGGACCGGGTTCATCTCACTACGGAGTGCCAGACAGTGGGTGCAGGTCAGTGGGTGCATGCACCGTGCGCAAGCCAAAGCAGGGTGAGGGATTGCCTCACTTGGGAAGCGCAAGGGGTCAGGGAGTTCGCTCTCCTAGTCAAAGAAAGTGGTGACAGAGGGCACCTGGAAAATCGGGTCACTCCCACCTGAATACTGAGCTTTTCCGACCGGCTTAAAAAACGGCACACCAGGAGATTATATCCTGCACCTGGCTCAGAGGGTCCTATGCCCACGGAGTCTCGCTGATTGCTAGCACAGCAGTCTGAGATCAAACTGCAAGGCGGCAGTGAGGCTGGGGGAAGGGCGCCTGCCATTTCCCAGGCTTGATTAGGTAAACAAAGCAGCCGAGAATCTCCAACTGGGTGGAGCCCACCACAGCTCAAGGAGGCCTGCCTGCCTCTGTAGGCTCCACCTCGGGGGCAGGGCACAGAGAAACAAAAAGACAGCAGTAACCTCTGCAGACTTAAATGTCCCTGTCTGACAGCTGTGAAGAGAGCAGTGATTCTCCCAGCACACAGCTGGAGATCTGAGAACGGGCAGACTGCCTCCTCAAGTGGGTCCGTGACCCCTGACCCCCGAGCAGCCTAACTGGGAGGCACCCCCCAGCAGAGGCAGACTGACACCTCACACAGCCAGGTACTCCAACAGACCTGCAGCTGAGGTCCTGTCTGTTAGAAGGAAAACTAACAAACAGAAAGGACATCCACACCAAAAACCCATCTGTACATCACCATCATCAAGGACCGAAAGTTGATAAAACCAAAAAGATGGGGAAAAAACAGCAGAAAAACTGGAAACTCTAAAAAGCAGAGAGCCTCTCCTCCTCCAAAGCAACGCAGTTCCTCACCAGCAACGGAACAAAGCTGGACGGAGAATGACTTTGACGAGCTGAGAGAAGAAGGCTTCAGATGATCAAATTACTCTGAGCTACGGGAGGAAATTCAAACCAAAGGCAAAGAAGTTGATAACTTTGAAAAAAATTTAGAAGAATATACAACTAGAATAACTAATACAGAGAAGTGCTTCAAGGAGTTGATGGAGCTGAAAACCAAGGCTCGAGAACTAAGTGAAGAATGCAGAAGCCTCAGGAGCCGATGCAATCAACTGGAAGAAAAGGTATCAGCGATGGAAGATGAAATGAATGAAATGAAGCAAGAAGGGAAGTTTAGAGAAAAAAGAATAAAAAGAAACAAGCAAAGCCTCCAAGAAATATGGGACTATGTGAAAAGACCAAATCTACATCTGATTGGTGTACCTGAAAGTGACGGGGAGAATGGAACCAAGTTGGAAAACACTCTGCAGGATATTATCCAGGAGAACTTCCCCAATCTAGCAAGGCAAGCCAACATTCAGATTCAGGAAATACAGAGAATGCCACAAAGATACTCCTGGAGAAGAGCAACTCCAAGGCACATAATTGTCAGATTCACCAAATTGCAGATGAAGGAAAAAATGTTAAGGGCAGCCAGAGAGAAAGGTTGGGTTACCCTCAAAGGGAAGTCCATCAGACTAACAGCAGATCTCTCAGCAGAAACTCTACAAGCCAGAAGAGAGTGGGGGCCAATATTCAACATTCTTAAAGAAAAGAATTTTCAACCCAGGATTTCATATCCAGCCAAACTAAGCTTCATAAGTGAAGGAGAAATAAAATACTTTACAGACAAGCAAATGCTGAGAGATTTTGTCACCACCAGGCCTGCCTTAAAAGAGCTCCTGAAGGAAGTGCTAAACACAGAAAGGAACAACCGGTACCAGCCACTGCAAAATCATGCCAAAATGTAAAGACCATCGAGACTAGGAAGAAACTGCATCAACTAACGAGCAAAATAACCAGCTAACATCATAATGACAGGATCAAATTCACACATAAAAATATTAACTTTAAATGTAAATGGACTAAATACTCCAATTAAAAGACACAGACTGGCAAATTAGATAAAGAGTCAAGACCCATCAGTGTGCTGTATTCAGGAAACCCATCTCATGTGCAGAGACACACATAGGCTCAAAATAAAGGGATGGAGGAAGATCTACCAAGCAAGTGGAAAACAAAAAAAGGCAGGGGTTGCAATCCTAGTCTCTGATAAAGCAGACTTTAAGCCAACAAAGATCAAAAGAGACAAAGAAGGCCATTACTTAATAGTAAAGGGATCAATTCAAAAAGAAGAGCTAACTATCCTAAATATATATGCACCCAATACAGGAGCACCTGGATTCATAAAGCAAGTCCTGAGTGACCTACAAAGAGACTTAGACTCCCACACATTAATAATGGGAGACTTCAAGGAGAACTACAACCACTGTCAACATTAGACAGATCAACAAGACAGAAAGACAACAAGGATACCCAGGAATTGAACTCAGCTCTGCACCAAGCGGACCTAATAGACATCTACAGAACTCTCCACCCCAAATCAACAGAATATACATTTTTTTCAGCACCACACCACACCTATTCCAAAATTGACCACATAGTTGGAAGTAAAGCTCTCCTCAGCAAATGTAAAAGAACAGAAGTTATAACAAACTATCTCTCAGACCACAGTGCAATCAAACTAGAACTCAGGATTAAGAATCTCACTCAAAACCACTCAACTACATGGAAACTGAACAACCTGCTCCTGAATGACTACTGGGTACATAATGAAATGAAGGCAGAAATAAAGATGTTCTTTGAAACCAACGAGAACAAAGACACAACATACCAGAATCTCTGGGACGCATTCAAAGCAGAATGTAGAGGGAAATTTATAGCACTAAATGCCCACAAGAGAAAGCAGGAAAGATCCAAAATTGACAACCTAACATCACAATTAAAAGAACTAGAAAAGCAAGAGCAAACACATTCAAAAGCTAGCAGAAGGCAAGAAATAACTAAAATCAGAGCAGAACTGCAGGAAATAGGGACACAAAAAACCCTTCAAAAAATTAACGAATCCAGGAGCTGGTTTTTTGAAAGGATCAGCAAAATTGATAGACCACTAGCAAGTCTAATAAAGAAAAAAAGAGAGAAGAATCAAATAGATGCAATAAAAAATGATAAAGGGGATATCACCACCGATCCCACAGAAATACAAACTACCATCAGAGAATACTACAAACACCTCTACGCAAATAAACTGGAAAATCTAGAAGAAATGGATAAATTCCTCAACACATACACTCTCCCAAGACTAAACCAGGAAGAAGTTGAATCTCTGAATAGACCAATAACAGGAGCTGAAATTGTGGCAATAATCAGTAGCTTACCAACTAAAAAGGGTCCAGGACCAGATGGATTCACAGCTGAATTCTACCAGAGGTACAAGGAGGAACTGGTACCATTCCTTCTGAAACTATTTCAATCAATAGGAAAAGAGGGAATCCTCCCTAACTCATTTTATGAGGCCAGCATCATCCTGATACCAAAGCCGGGCAGAGACACAACCAAAAAATAGAATTTTAGACCAATATCCTTGATGAACATTGATGCAAAAATCCTCAATAAAATACTGGCAAACTGAATCCAGCAGCACATCAAAAAGCTTATCCACCATGATCAAGTGGGCTTCATCCCTGGGATGCAAGGCTGGTTCAATATACACAATTCAATAAATGTAATCCAGCATATAAACAGAACCAAAGACAAAAACCACATGATTATCTCAATAGATGCAGAAAAGGCCTTTGACAAAATTCAACAACCCTTCATGCTAAAAACTCTCAATAAATTAGGCATTGATGGGACGTATCTCAAAATAATAAGAGCTATCTATGATAAACCCACAGCCAATATCATACTGAATGGGCAAAAACTGGAAGCATTCCCTTTGAAAACTGGCACAAGACAGGGATGCCCTCTCTCACCACTCCTATTCAACATAGTGTTGGAAGTTCTGGCCAGGGCAATTAGGCAGGACAAGGAAATAAAAGGTATTCAATTAGGAAAAGAAGAAGTCAAATTGTCCTTGTTTGCAGACGACATGATTGTGTATCTAGAAAACCCCATTGTCTCAGCCCAAAATCTCCTTAAGCTGATAAGCAACTTCAGCAAAGTCTCAGGATACAAAATCAATGTACAAAAATCACAAGCATTCTTTTACACCAACAACAGACAAACAGAAAGCCAAATCATGAGTGAACCCCCATTCACAATCGCTTCAAAGAGAATAAAATACCTAGGAATCCAACTTACAAGGGATGTGAAAGACCTCTTCAAGGAGAACTACAAACCAGTGCTCAAGGTAATAAAAGAGGATACAAACAAATGGAAGAACATTCCATGCTCATGGGTAGGAAGAATCAATATCGTGAAAATGGCCATACTGCCCAAGGTAATTTACAGATTCAATGCCATCCCCATCAAGCTACCAATGACTTTCTTCACAGAATTGGAAAAAACTACTTTAAAGTTCATATGGAACCAAAAAAGAGCACACATCGCCAAGTCAATCCTAAGCCAAAAGAGCAAAGCTGGAGGCATCAGGCTACCTGACTTCAAACTATACTACAAGGCTATAGTAACCAAAACAGCATGCTACTGGTAGCAAAATAGAGATATAGATCAATGGAACAGAAGAGAGCCCTCAGAAATAATGCCGTATATCTACAACTATCTGATCTTTGACAAACCTGAGAAAAACAAGCAATGGGGAAAGGATTTCCTATTTAATAAATGGTGCTGGGAAAACTGGCTAGCCATATGTAGAAAGCTGAAACTGGATCCCTTTCTTACACCTTATACAAAAATAAATTCAAGATGGATTAAAGACTTAAACGTTAGACCTAAAACCATAAAACCCCAGAAGAAAACCTACCATTCAGGCATTACCATTCAGGACATAAGCATGGGCAAGGACTTCATGTCTAAAACACCAAAAGCAATGGCAACAAAAGCCAAAATTGACAAATAAGATCTAATTAAACTAAAGAGCTTCTGCACAGCACAAGAAACTACCATCAGAGTGAACAGGCAACCTACAAAATGGGAGAAAATTTTCGCAACCTACTCATCTGACAAAGGGCTAATATCCAGAATCTACAATGAACTCAAACAAATTTACAAGAAAAAAACAAACAACCCCATCAAAAAGTGGGTGAAGGATATGAACAGACACTTCTCAAAAGAAGACATTTATGCAGCCAAAAAACACATGAAAAAATGCTCACCATCACTGGCCATCAGAGAAATACAAATCAAAACCACAATGAGATACCATCTCACACCAGTTAGAATGGCGATCATTAAAAAGTCAGGAAACAAGAGGTGCTGGAGAGGATGTGGACAAACAGGAACACTTTTACACTGTTGGTGGGATGGTAAACTAGTTCAACCATTGTGGAAGTCAGTGTGGCAATTCCTCAGGGATCTAGAACTAGAAATACCATTTGACCCAGCCATCCCATTACTGGGTATATACCCAAAGGACTATAGATCATGCTGCTATAAAGACACATGCACACGTATGTTTATTGCGGCATTATTCACAATAGTAAAGACTTGGAACCAACCCAAATGTCCAACAATGATAGACTGAATTAAGAAAATGTGGCACATATACACCATGGAATACTATGCAGCCATAAAAAATGATGAGTTCATGTCCTTTGTAGGGACATGGATGAAATTGGAAATCATCATTCTCAGTAAACTATCGTAAGACCAAAAAACCAAACACCGCATATTCTCAATCATAGGTGGGAATTGAACAATGAGAACACATGGACACACGAAGGGGAACATCACACTCTGGGGACTGTTGTGGGGCAGGGATGGGGGAGGGATATCATTGGGAGATATACCTAATGCTAGATGACTAGTTAGTGGGTGCAGTGCACCAGCATGGCACATGTATACATATGTAACTAACCTGCACATTGTGCACATGTACCCTAAAACTTAAAGTATAATAAAAATAAATAAATAAATAAATAAATAAATAACTAAGTCAAATTTCATTAGGTAAAACTGCCCAGTCCCAACTAATAATCAAAGCTCCAAAGTTACTTAGCACTAAATATTTTTTCCCTTCCATAGCAAAGCCTAAAATTGCATACTAGCTACTTGCAAGGATGGGTCAGAGGAAGTCAAAAAAGGTGAAGAATATGTTCTTTCTCCATTTCATTATCTAGTATTTCTTCTTTCTCTGCAAATTGCTTATTAAATTTTCAAGCTCTACCTGAGTCAAAGAAGGAGATGAGAAGAAAAGAGATAATGATAAAAAAAAAAAAGTGTGAAACAAAAATAACATTCTAAGCCCCCCTTACTGACTGTACAGACCCTCTCTTGGCCAAGGGGATTCCAAAAAAGCCTGAAAAACTGAGAAAGGCCTTGTTGAGAAGGGAAGTCAGACATGCCTCATTGTACCACCTCTCTTTGGAGTTTAGTTCCAACTGACCAGCATTAACATTAAAACAGAAATCTTAACACTGACAAAACAGACTCTTTGTAGCAATAGGACAGCAAGTTTCAACTGGCTCTGGTATAGCATCACATGACAGATAACAGGTCCTAAAAGAAATCAAAGCATTTTATCCTGAAACATATGTATTTGATGTATTTTGAAATTGCCCTGCAAAGTTGTCACTTGTGGAAAAATTTGCATTCTGTAGAGAATCTCCTTCCCTTTATGTGTGTTTTCCTGATCCAGGAGGAGATGCAACTAAGAGTTTGACACCTTTTAAGGTTCATTAAAAAAAGAAACACTTACCATCTATTTTCTCTGAAGTCTGCTAGTTAGAGGCTTTATCTACATAACAAGAGCCTTGCTTTTATCTTCCCCTTAACTCAAGCATTTATTTTAGCTAACTTCAACTCTCTAGGCAAAGTTTAAATTTTTCAACCAATTGTCAATTAGAAAATATTTGAATCCACCTGTAAACCACTCCCCACCACACCCTGCTAGAAGATGTCCCACCTTCCTGGTTGAACCAATGTATATATCACATGGATTGATTCATGTCTTTGCTTGTAACTTCTGTCTCCCTGTAACGTAGTAAACCAAGGTATAACCCAATCACCTTGGCCACATGTTCTCAGAACAGCTTGATGCTGTATCCTGGGCAATGGTCACTTATATTTGGCTCAGTAAAAACCTCCTCAAATATTTTATAGAGTTTGTCTTTTCTCATCAACAGTGGTATTTACCTGACAAGTCTGATCCTCATCCATAGGAAACATTCATGTTTTTTCCACCTCAACAATGTCTGGAAGAACACATGTCCCTCATGCAGCAGCACCTCTTCTCCCCCCACTAAAGCAGCTATCCAGGCATGTTTTGTTCTCTACACTTCCCAGTGACCCCCTTACTATAGGGGCAGATATCAAACTTTTGGGGATGTGCCATTAAAGTCCCTTTCACCAGACAGGAGGAGAGACACACTTTCAAGGGCTTGGGAACTCATAGCTATGGAGAACACTAAAAGAAGGGGAATGGCAAGAGATGAGGGAAGAAGCAAACTCTACAGCACTCACCTCTTGCTGCTAACCTGCTGAGTCACTGCATGAATCAGAAAAGCCTGCAGCCAAGTTTGAGAGAGATATACCCAAATCATAACCCTCTTGGGGCTATGGCTTCTGAGCAGTAAGCAATTTAGAAAGGCAAGCTTAGAAACACTGGCTGGTTAACTTTTCACCTTGCCTGCAACTTTACAGGATTCAGGCCTTCACCATGGCATTTTCTCTGTTGCCCTATATGAATTTTTATATAACCCTCACAACCTTAACTGATCACCTTCATTTTTTGTCACTCTTATTTGACATATTTGACCTCAAATGCCAGTATTTAAAGCAACATTACACATTTTTCCTCCAATATCCTCATTTTACTGAAATTGGGGCTCACAGTGGCAGGATCACAGACAGGACATGTCAGGTAAACTGAATGTCCCAGGCCCCCTGAGCTTGTGCATCATCAGCCAGATTCACTCAAGAAAAAAGAAACCACACTAGTCCTGTAAACAGAAGGAATCTGACATAGGGAGCTGGTTAAACAGGCCTAGGAGACGGAACAAAAAGCCAAGAGGGAAGAGCAAGGGCACACTAAGACAGCAACTTCAGGGAGAAACTCTTCGCTCCCAGGCTGGGAGCAGAGGGAGGAAGTTGTGCTTACTAAGAGCCTGCAGCTTGGAGGAGAGATCATCAAGCTGGGAGCCAGCCTCATGAGGAGGAGGCTGGTGTTAGTGTCTCCAAGGGAATGTGATGAGGCTGGTTCTGGCACTGCAGAAAAACCTGGAAACAGGAACACAGCAACCAGCTTCCGTCACTGGGGTGAAGAAGTATTATTGGGTGATGTGAGCAGAACAAGAAAAAACAAAAAAACAAGTCCTGTCTTCCTCACCCAGCTCTCCAGTCTCCATCCAGCATCCTCTATTAGCAGAACTAACAGAGAGACCCATGGCAGAAGAGGAATGTGGTTTGCAGGTTCCAATCACAGCATCATGAAGCAAAGTATAAGACATGGTTTGCAGCTGGGAGATAACAGCTCAATAACTAGTAAAACATCCAGATGAGGCCAAATTAATGTTAATGCCCAAATTTTGCTAACTCATAGCACACACTGTCAAGAGAGCTATTTTCTTCCTCTGCCACATTCTTGCCAAGAGCCATGAAATAGAAACTTTTGACCTCTCAAAAGTTTTCAAAAGTAATCTTCTGGACTTTTCTCTACTCACTAACTAATTCCTTCACATCACAGCTTAGCCTGCATCTGGGAGCTTTTCAACCCAGCATGCCCTGAAGTCACATTCATGTTCTTTCCTTTGTTTATTGAGGAGCAAAGACCTACTGCAGTCCAGCTGCTCTGCCTGTATCTGGGTGGAAAATAAGCAAGACTCAAATCCAAGCATGTTCTACGAACCAACTTCAGCAACAATAAAGTGATACCTTGAATCTTTCTCACTCTTATGTGTATATCTCAATTCGTTCACAACTTGGAGAGGAAAAGAGATGAATGATTTCTCTCTGAAACATTTTATGCAAGCTTACATAAAAATGGACTGTCACCCACTGTGATAGTCCACTGTGTCACCACCACCCCTCCTCAGCCTCTCTGCCACAGGTCTGCCTATTATGTCTGGAAGGTTCTGGGATGCACACATTCTCAGTCCAGTCTCCAGGCTGAATGCAACCTCCCAGCAGCTACCTGAGGAGCTCATCTCAGCCTTCATGAGAACATGCTTCCTTGCCCAGAGCTCTGCTTCCCAATGTCCCACAAAAATTC
Organism: Homo sapiens; assembly: GCF_000001405.40. Taxonomy (NCBI): domain Eukaryota; kingdom Metazoa; phylum Chordata; class Mammalia; order Primates; family Hominidae; genus Homo; species Homo sapiens. The sequence continues at coordinate 28,186,921 of NC_000019.10, forward strand.
CTGGGCTCCTTTTAGTCCCTTTCTACCAGAGTAATGCTGTGTTTCAGGCAAACATGGAAAATAGATATTTCTCCATCTGTGTGGACCTTGTTATCAGAGTCCAAACCATCTAGGCTGTGGCCCTGGTCTCCCAAAGCCCCCAGCTGAGTCCTTATTTTAGTATTGCTTAGAGAGAGAATAGATATCAAATTGTTCTCACCATCAGTTAGCACAGAGTAGCACATTTCTGACCACTGGAGCCCATGCTGGAACATCATCCTTGTGGGCCCCTTTCCCTCCCTATCAACTCATGCAAATTGACACCTGGGAAAGAAGTAGGATTACCAACCCCTCAATTTAAAAGACGTGATAAAGCTTTGAATCCCAGTTTGGGCTCAGCTGTTATCACCTTGTATCAAAATAATTTTTTAGTCCAGATTCTTTCAGTTACAAGTGTTAGAAATCTACCTAACTCAACTTCAGACAGCAAACTGAAGCTATGAGCTCATGAAAATGGATCCTGGTGCTCTTGCAGTACCATCAGGATTCAGTCTCTGCCAGGCTTCTCCTTAAGCTGCCTTCAGATTTAATAGACTCACATCGTGGTGGCAAAAATGTCACCAACAGCTTCAAAGTTCAATTTCTACCAGTTCAGTGACTCCAGCTAAAAAATAACTGTGCTATTCAAAACGTCCAACAAAAATCCCAGCTCTAAATATTATTGGACCAATCTGAGCCACATGGACATCCCTGAATTAATAAGCACTGTGACCTGGGGGGCGGACTAAACCAAGTGGCCATCCTTGAATCAAGCCATTCCCTCAAGAGACAGGAGTGGAACCAGCCAAGCTAGCCACAAAATAAAGCATGGACCTGGGTGGGCTCTACAAAGGGAAACTGCAGGACTTTAACCAGCGGAAGGGAAAGCAAATGCCAGACAAGCAGGACCACAGCTCTTCCTCAATGTTGTGGGAAATCAGGGACCCCAAACAGAGGGACCAGCTGAAGCCATGGCAGAAGAACGTGGATTGTGAAGATTTTATGGACATTTATTAGTTCCCCAAATTAATACTTTTGTAATTTCTTATGCCTGTCTTTACTGCAATCTCTAAACATAAATTGTGAAGATTTCATGGATACTTATCACTTCCCCAATCAATACCCTTGTGATTTCCTATGCCTGTCTTTACTTTAATCTCTTAATCCTGTCAGCTGAGGCGGATGTATATTGCCTCAGGACCCTGTAGTAATTGCATTAACTGCACAAATTGTACAGCATGTGTGTTTAAACCATATGAAATGTGGGAACCTTGAAAAAAGAACAGGATAACAGCAATTGTTCAGGGAATAAGAGAGAAAACCTTAAACTCTGACTGCCGGTGAGCTGGGTGGAACAGAGTCATATTTCTCTTCTTTCAAAAGCAAATGGGAGAAATATCGCTGAATTATTTTTCTCAGCATGGAACATTCGTGAGAAAGAGAATACGCGCCTGGAGGTATAGGATTATAAACAGCCCCCCAGGTGTGCCTGTCTCTTATGGTTGAGGCTGCAGAGATGAAATAAACTCCAGTCTCCCATAGCACTCCCAGGCTTATTAGGAAGAGGAAATTCCCACCTAATAAATTTTGGTCAGACCAGTTGATCTCAAAACCCTGTCTCCTGATAAGATGTTATCAATGACAATGGTGCCTGAAACTTCATTAGCAATTTTAATTTTGCCTCGGTACTGTGGTCCTGTGATCCCGCCCTGCCTCCAATTGCCTTGTGATTTTCTATTACCCTGTTAAGTACTTGATGTCTGTCACCCACACCTATTCGCACACTCCCTCCCCTTTTGAAAATCCCTATAAAAACTTGCTGGTTTTTGTGGCTTGTGGGGCATCACGGATCCTACCAATGTGTGATATCTCCCCCGGATGCCCAGCTTTGAAATTTCCCTCTTTTGTACTCTGTCCCTTTATTTCTCAAGCTGGCTGATGCTTAGGAAAAATAGAAAAGAACCTACGTGATTATCAGGGCAGGTTCCCCGATACTCCAATACCATGTATGTCCATCTTTTGACTAATTTTTGTGTCTTATATTTATATTACATTTACTTCTTATGTATTGTAATATGGAAGTTTCTTGGTAGTCCCCAAACTACTTAGCAAAAACCTGGCAAATGCTAGTTGATTAGGTTCTCAGAATTCTTTGGTACCCGTTGCCCTGTAAAAAATAAAACCTCTTTTGGGACTATGAAAACAGAGTGAGAGATAGCTGTATCTCTGAATGGCAAATGGGACAGTCAACTCCCTCAATTCAGAGAAAGTCTGGTTGCCAGAGGTTTTTAAAATTAAATATTCAGCCATGAGGAATTACACCAAAAGCAAAGCCTGAGAAAAGAAAGTAGGAATGGACATTTTGTTTGGGAGGTGATCTCAGGAAGCAGGAGTGTGGGAGCTGAGAGAGTGGTCAAAAGAATAAAGATTGACCAATATAAGGATGCACTGTTCAAGTCACTGCTGTGAGCAAAAGCAGCTCAGTTCTGCCGGGGCCTCTTGAGAGGCATGGAGAATGGCTCCCAGAATTATCATCTCAGGACAGGCAGTGTAGGCTTTTTTTCCAGTTCCTGTCCCTCATTGCTGAGGACTGCACCTTGAGGCAATAGTTCTTGAAACCCCACTTTTGGGCTGTAGCATCAGAGAAATGCTGAGTTGGAAATAGAGGCAAATAGCACAAGCTTCAGGTTGGTGACTGTCAGAGGAGACCCTGAGCCTGGGTGGAACTGTCTGCCATGGCCCCAGCTCTCACTGGAAGAGGGCTGAGGTGAGGTGGACAAAGGTACCAGGGTGCATGTTACAAGGTGTGCCCGCCTCAGGGAGTTCTGCCAGACCATTTCTCAGCCTGGGTCAGAGATGGACCCAGTTCAGATGGATAAAGGTGGCTGGATCAAGCTGCCATTCCTACTAAAACTGTTTAACTACATTAAAAATCACCACATTTCTGGTCTTGCCAGTACCATCTTCCTCCTCCAACAAACATGCATAGTTTTCAACCCATTTTAGGACAGATGTGTCATTTCACACCAGCTCTCAACATTGCATTCAAAACCTAACAGATATGCTTTGAGACTGGAGTAGCCACGGGTCAGGCATGGTAGAGACTCCATTACAGTGCCGCTCCCCCTGTGACCTCAGCATTGCTATCTTTTAGTGAAGCTGTAAGACTAGTAAAAGACAAACATGATTTTCTCCAGGCTTGTTTGCTCCTCTCTGGGTATGAGGCAGCAGCATATCAGAATGAAACAGAACTGGGGGCTACAACCCTAGAAAACTGAGCTCAATCAAACTGGAAAATACATATTCTCCAACCAAAGCCATAAGGTTCTCTTCTCAGATGCCAACAGCTGTGACAAATCTGCATTTCCCTTGTTTTCAGTCACTCTCTCTGGGCCCTCTTGGATCCCTTGCACACACCTCCATCAGCCTGCCTCTGGGAATTGTCAGCTGCAGTTAGTGGGACAGCTAGGCTGGGTCGAGAGAGGCAGCCCTCTCCAGAGCCACCAAAATCATCAGACAGTGAGAATGCAGCAGACACGGTCCTGCAGTAGATGTGGTCCTTCTCTGAAGGACTAAGTGGATTACCGAGAATGCTGGCCACAGGGAACTCTTGATGGCATTTGTGAAATGGTTACAAACACAAAACCTGCTGCCTTTATTTATGGTCAACCACTGAACATCTTTCCAAGCCTAGCCTGTAATCCTCAGTGCTAAAATAATAAGGTAGGCAAGCTGTGTTTCTTGATTCTAAGAGTCTATGATTCTGCCCTAGAAAACAAAGTTTATAGTTGCTGAGGCAGGATCCTCAGGGTTGGCTTTTCTCCCTACCCCTGATACATGACCAGTGAAAACCACAACTACAATTCTAAGCCCCCCAACTGACTGAATAGACTCCCTCTTGGCTAAGGAAATCCCAAAGAAACCCAAAAAACTAGTTCAGGCCATAGTGGGAAGGAACGGTCACACATGCCTTCCTTTGGAGTTTAGGTAAAACTGGCCAGCATTAACATTAGAACAGAAATCATAAGACTGACAAGATAGACCGTTTGTAGCAATAAGACACCAAATTCCAACCTGACTCAAGTAGAGCATTATAAAACAGCAGATGCTGCTTTGAAGAAAATCAAAGTGTTTTCTCTCTAAATATGTTTCTTTAACATATTTTGAAATGACCCTACAAAGATTTCTTTTGTGGGGGAAATTTGTATTCTGTAGAGAATCTCCTTCCCTTACTAGGTCTTTTCCAGAGAGTCTGACATCCTTTATTTATCATTTTTTTTCTTGAGATGGAGTCTCACTCTGTTGCCCAGGCTGGAGTGCGGTGGCACTATCTCAGCACACTGCAACTTCCACCTCCCAAGTTCAAGCCATTCTCCTTCCAAGTAGCTGGAATTAAAGGTGCCCACCACCACAACTGGCTAATTTTTGTATTTTTAGTAGAGACAGGTTTCACCATGTTGGACAGGCTGGTCTCAAACTCCTGACCTCAAGTGATCCACCCATCTCCGCCTCCCAAAGTGCTGGGATTACAAGCATGAGCCACCACGCCCAGCCTGACATCTTTTACCAACTACCCTCTCTGAAGTCTGCTACCTGGAGGCTTCATTTACATTGTAGGTACTTTGGCTTCCACAACCTCCTTTATCTAAATTCAAGCATTTTTTATTTTTTCTTTCCAACTTTTATTTTAGGCTCAAGGGTACATGTGCCAGTTTGTTACTGGGTAAATTTCATGTTGCAGGGGTTTGGTGTATAGAAAATTTTGTCACCCAGGTTATCAGCATCATACCAGATAGGAAATTTTTCAATCCTCACCCTCCTCCCACCCTCGACCCTCAAATAGGCCCCAGTGTTACTTGTTTCCTTCTTTGTGTTCATGTGTACTTAATGTTTAGCTCCCACTTTTAAGTGAGAACATGTGATATATGGTTTTCTGTTTCTCTATTAATTCACTTAAGATAATGGCCTCCAGTTCTATTCATGTTGCTGCAAAAGACATGATCTTGTTCTTTTTTTATGACTGTATAGTATTTCTTAATGTATATGTCCAGTCACTACTGATGGGCTTCTGGGTTGATTCTATGTCTTTACTACTGTGAGCAGTGCTGTGATGAACATACACATGCATGTGTCTTTATGGTAGGACAATTTACATTCCTTTGAGTATTAAGGCTGGCTTCAAGCTTTTCAGGCATAGGTTAACCTTTTCAACCTATTGCCAATCAAAAAAAAAATCTTTGAATCCATCTATGACCTAGAATCCCCTGGCTTCAAGACATCCTGTCTTTCTGGGTCAAACCGATGTATACTTTCCATGTATTGATTTATGTTTTTGCCTACATCTGTCTTACTAAAATTCATAAAACCAAACTGTAACCCAATCAATAGGTTCCCAGGACCTCCTGAGACTGTATCACAAACCATGGATCTTAACCTAGGAAAAAAAAAAACTCTAAATTGATTGAGATCTGTCTTAGATAGTTTTTGGTTTATACCAACAGCACATCCACCAGCTGTTTTTCTCACTAGGTCAACCAGTAAAATCAGTAAAATGCAATCACTTTCAATTTCCTCCTCACCCACAAATCTCTTCTTTGAGCAAAACTTTGCACGTCCACCATGTTGCTAAGACAGGCTCTTGAGGACTCCTCCCAAGGGGAGTAGCTAAGTCAGGTGTGGAGGCTAGCGAAGAGGCCTTTGGGGGCAAAGGGGGAATCTCCCTCTGTGGATAGATGCTGGGGTATGAGCACAGAGAAAAGCTGCCTCTTTTAGCCTATTTTTCCCCAATATCTGTTTTACTTTCATAACAATTCCTTAAACATTCTTTCATCACAGTCTTAACAATGACTTTATGAACAGGAATTCTTAAAAAATGTTTGCAATAATGTCACTTCTGAAGAATGTTCTCCTGCCTTCACCTGCCTTCCAGACTCCAACAAGCTTTGCTTCTGTCTCCCACCCACACGCACCACTAATGTCTCTTGTGAAAGGAAAATAAATCTTGAGGCCCCCAAATCACTAAGCTTAAGGAAAAAGTCAGGCTGGGAACTGCTTAGGGCCAACCTGCCTCCCATTCTACTCAAAGTCACCCCTCTGCTCCCCTGACCTAGATGCATATCTGATTTGTCTGCTTTTGGAAAGGCTAATCAGAAACTCAAAAGAATGCAACCATTTGTCTCACCTATCTGTGACCTGAAAGCCCCCTCCCCGCTTCATGTCTTCAAGTGTGCCACCCTTTGCTTCAAGTGTGCCACCTTTCCAGGCTGAAGCAATGTACTTTTTACATACATTGATTGATGTCTCATGTCTCCCTAAAATGTATAAAACTAAGCGGTGCCCCGACCACTTTAGGCACATGTCCTTAGGACTTCCTGAGGCTGTGTCACGGATGCGTCCTCAACCTTGGCAAAAGAAACTTTCTAAATTAACTGAGATCTGTCTCAGATTTTCTGGTTTTACACTCTGTTGTCTTAGTCTGAGCTCCTCAGAAGCAGACACTGAGATAATGTGTCCCTTGAGTGCAAGGGGAATATTGGAAAGACAATCTTAGGCAGCATTTGTAGATGAGTCGGGTATGAGACAGGAAGGGAAGGCAGCCGACACAGGGCACATTCAGGGATGGTGTGGCCTCAGGCAGCTGTGGCCCCATACCCTCAGGGGGACCTTTGGGAAATGATGTGACACACAGGACAGTCCCACAGTAGGGACAAGGATCTGAGGTGTTTCCCTACCACTCCTATTGGTTATCACTGAGGGTACTCCCCAGGGTGTCAGTGTCCTGAACTCTCAATTTACCCTGCTTATGATGCAGGAGAAAGCCTTCAGGTCTTGGAGAGTGACAGACACTCACAGAAATATACCAGGAACACATACAGGAAGCACCGAGGGGATCCAGGCAGGACACCAACCGCCTCTTCAAGTCCCCTAGCCTGCTGGTTTCAGCTGTGCCGTGGCTGTCACTCCTGTGAGCCCCACACCCTCCTGGAATCAGAAACTGCCTGCCATCTCTCTGTCTCTACAACACCCCTCAGAAGACTCAGTTCATAGCAGATGCTCAGCAAATGCTTTCAAAAGAAACAGAAGCAGTAGCATGAGGTAATTGTTGACCAAGAAAACTCAGAAAACATTTATTTGGGCAAGAAAGTAGAACGAAGAAACCCACCAATTCCTAGTGGAGGGGAAGAAGATTGGAGAGGGATCTTCAGGGCATGGCATAAAGCCTGTTCCGATGGAGAAACCAACCATCCTGATTCCCCCTTGCTGCCCTGGGAGCCACTTGGCATTAAAAGGTAGCTTTCCAGGGCAAAGACTTCCCCTGGAGAGACTGCAAAGATCTCCTGTCCTCCCTATAAGTCAGCAAACAGGCATGACTGTACGTTTTTGGTTTTGTCTGTGTCTTTCTGGTCTTCCCAGCCATCAGAGAAGAGAGGATTGGGCTTTCTTCCATTTAAGTTCTGGGCTGTAAAGGCACTTCCTGAGTAGGCCTGAGGGGCTGTGGTGAGAGAATAGGGCTTTGTGTAGAGGGGCAGCCTGGGTGGAGGCTGCCTGGGAAGCAGACTGTTGGGAGGGTGTGAGAAGGTGCCCTGCAGCACAGTTCTTGCCTGAAGACCTCCTGGCCCTCACCTGCTTCCCCACGTCTGCTACTAGCACTGCTCCATCTGGTTGCCTTCAAGGAAACCCTCCAATATCCCCTGTCTCCTTCCCCAGGATAACTTTAAGATCAAAAAGTGTATGACAAGAGATGGAGAAGAGGAGCTTCTGCACTTGGTTGGAGAAAAGAAAGGGAACAAGTGGAATTTGTACCAAGGAACCTGGAGCTTGCATTTAATTCAGACTGATTCAGCTGGGCTAGGCTCTGTGACTCTGCACTTGTAACGAGTTCCAGGTGATCCCCATGGTGCTGGTCAGACACTTCAGTGAGCAGCAAGTCACCAGGTGCCTGAGCTGGTGCACTGCGGAGTGCACACATCTATTACAGCCACAAATTACACAAGGCCCTCTCCTTTGGCTAGAAATTACATGGGGCTTTGATTGCATTTCTTTCATGATTAGTGATGTGAGGCATTTTTTCATATGTTTGTTGACCATTCCTATTATGTCTTCTTTTGAGAAATATCTGTTCATGTCCTTTGCCCATTTTTCTACAGGATTGCTTGGTTTTTTTCTTGTTACTTTGTTTAAGTTCCTTACAGATTCTAGATATTAGTCTTTTGTTGGATGCATCATTTTTGAATATTTTCTCCCATTCTGTAGGTTGCCTGTTTACCCTGTTGATAGTTTCTCTTACTGTACAGAAACTCTTTAGTTTAATTAGGTCCCGATTGTCAATTCTTGTTTTTGTTGTGTTTACTTTTGAGGACTTAGTCATAAATTCTTTGCAGAGGTCAGCGTGGTACATATGTACCACAGACTACTACAGACATGAAAAAAGGATGAAATCCTGTCCTTTGCAGCAACATGTATGCAACTGGAGGCCATTCTCCTAAGTGAATTAATGCAGAAACAGAAAGTCAAATACACCATGCTTTGACTTGTAAATGGGAGTTAAGCATTGAGTATACATGGATGTAAAGATGAGAACAACAGACACTGGGGACTACTAGGTGGGGAGGGAGAAGGCAGAAGGTTGAAAACTAACTATTGGGTACTATGTTCTACGTACTATGCTATTTGTGTGATGGGTTCAATAGAAGCCCAAACCTTAGTAACACACAATGTATTTATGTAACAAACCTACGCATGCACCTCCTGAATCTAAAATAAATGTTTTTAAGGAAAGAAACTATAAAAAGCTTTAATTTATTATTGTGTCAATCAGAGTCCTTGCAGTAAAGAGATGGCTCACCTAAATTGGACAATTTGAGGAGAGAATAATATTGCTATTTTATACATGATATCTTAATGAAGATATCATGTGTAAAAGTGTGGGCAGAGTGTAGGAAATCCAAAAGAATAGTGCAACATCCCAGGGCCAGTCACACAGTAGAGGAGAGGGCCTTTGATGGGAGCCTTGGCCTTTGGCCAAGAGAGACAGCCAGCCCAAATAATCCAGAAAAAAACCAACTCCCCTCCTTCCCTCTGATCTCCTCTGCCCTCTCATGGGTCAAACGCAAACCTGGATCAAGGAAACGCTGCCTGCCCAGGTCAGCCTCCTGGGGCCTTAACAGAGTGGAGCAGAGTAAAGGGGGTATGAAGGGGCACAGTTAAATGTCTACATGTTGTAAGTCCTTGTTCAGCTGCCTAAGCTTTTTCTGAGCAAGTTCAGGAATATATTAATATAAACCAGGGATAGGCAGCACTGTTTGTAAATTACCAGCTAGCAGATATCTTAGTCTTTGCAGACCAGACTATCTCTGTCACAGACACTCAACTTGGCCTTTGTAGTGAGAAAGCAGCTGTATGCACGCAGTAAACCATGAGTGTAGCTGCTTCTAACACAATGCCACTCACAAAGGCAGGCCTGCGGGTCAAATGCACTTTGCCCACCCTGATAGAAACACACTCACACATTCTCTCTCTTCCTCCCCACTCCTCCTCATTCTTTCTCCCCCTCCAAGCGTGTGCTGCAACAGGAGGAGGTGAAACTGGATCTGATTTGGGGACAAGGATGGTTTGCAGAGAGGAATCGGTGAACAGTGGTGGGAAAGGAAAAGAAACATCCAGAGGAGATTGGTGAGCAAAAGTAGGAGTCATCTTTGTGTAAGAGGGAAATAGATTTTTTTTAAAAAATGGTTTAACTATGAGGACTATGCAAATCAGGCAAAAACAATCAGGGCCACCTTCAAGAGGCATTAGGGAGACACAGGAATGGGGGTCCCAGGAGGATGGCCCCGGCAGGAGGACAGGCCACCACACAGCATCCCCACATCGGCCCCAGTGAGAGCTGCAGAAAGGCTGTTTACTGTGCTGGATCCCACACCAAACTACTGATTAACTGTGTCACAGCTTAAATGTGTCATTTTGTCAGCAAACTTGTATCTTCCTACAAGCTGTTAATTAACGTGTCAGAAAAAGCGACTTGCAGAAGGCTTCTCGGTGCAAAACAGGAGCCCAAAACCAACCACTAAGCAGCACATTCAGAAATGGCTCCTGACAGACATGCACAGATATGGAGCAGATGCGGTCTGCCGGCCAGCATTCTAACACACAGCATTCTAATCCCAAATCCTTGGGAGCCTCAAGGAATGACCAGCTGTGCATCATGGGGAAAGGGCGGCAGTGGGCAGAGGCCCAGGACAGCTCTACTTAAGGCTCTGGGAGACTGTAGCGGAGACAGCCCCGGCCCCATCCTCTCTGCCTTAATCACCTACAGGCATCCTGCCGTTGTCCACACTGCCCCACCTGGTGCTCTCTCTGCACAGGGATGGGGTCAGGCTGGATACAGGAGGGCACTAATGCTACTCCCCTCCCCAGCAGCCCTCAGGCAAAGACAGAGACAAGCTGAAGTCAGAAGACACATAACCAGCATTCTCAGCCCTCAGTGGAACAACTATCACATGACACCCATGTCCCTTACTAAAGGTCCCATGCTAACACTGAACCCCTGCTGCCCACGATGACAGATAATCTGCTCATATTGTCTGTGGCACCACCCCCACCCCCCACCACGCCCATCTCACTACCATAGTTCCTGCAAACGCTTGTGTTCACATCCTTGTCTCAGGGCCTGCTTCTTGGAAAACTCAGCCTCAGGCACTTATGTCCCACTCTCCTGGGGATGAGGAATCGAGTACCCAGTCTTGGGAAAGCCCTTGCTTCCCAGCCACGATCAGAGGGAAGCATGCTAACTCATCTGGGCTCGGGCATCAGGGCATCCAGAGAGGAATAAACTGGTTCCCATCAGGAGATCATCGTAAGTTAGGGTTAAGCAACTACCATTCATTGACTTGTGGCCAGCATGAATCTCTGCACTCACCATGAAGTCTCCTTGCACCTGTCTGCCCCTTCCTACCTGGCAAATCCCAACCCAAAGCCATGGTATGTCCAAAATGTCACATTTCTGTTTTGTTTTTAAGTTACCGTAATTTCAACTCTGAGCCCACATTCCTCTAGCTTCTGTCATTCTCAGAACTGCCCATTCTTTGAAAACCAAATCCAACCTCACCCAAGTGGCACAAAGGTCCTAGTTAAGGCATGAACCATAGAATCAGATGACCTAGATCTTAATTCTGCCTCTGCAAATTATTAGCTGGGTCACCTTGGGTGAGCTGTTGACTTTTGTGAGCCTCAGTTTCCCCATCTGTATAAAGAAGATAAGAACAGTAACTGCCTCATGGGGATGTTGAGGATTGAATGAGGTAATATGCGCAAAGCACTTAGGACAGCACCTGGAACTTGGTGAGCTCCACAGAAGTGTCCATCCCAGGTACACGGCCCCTCCAGGCTGGCCCTTCTGCTGCTGAACTTCAGGTTTATAAATCTCAGGAAACAGACACATTGCAAGTCTCTGATCCTGAAAGCCACAAGCCTCCCCCAACCTTCCATCAGGAAGGAATCTAATTTGAGTCCTGCAAAATCCTTCCCACTCTCTGTGTTCCTCCGTGACGTCCCTCTCCAATCTCCTCCCTGGCGTACCTCCCCGAGGGGCTTCAGAGACAGCAACCAGGACAGGCCGCCTTGCCAACTATGCTGTGCTCTGCCCTCCATTCCTCCTCGAGGCAAGAAAGAAGGGGCTGTAGAGCCCTGGGATAGGGAATGGCAATAAGAGAAGTAGAGAGAAAGCGCCCATGAACACCACAGAGGGAATTACCTGCTGCATGTTCGTCATCGTGGAATGGTTATGAATGACTGAGTGTGCAGCAGGCACTGTGCTGAGCCCTGGAAGACAATGCCAGGGAAGACAGTGCCGGGCAGGTCCCCTTCTTACTTGTCAGGAAGCAGTGCTGCTTCAATGTGAATGTGCACACAAATGCTTCCCAGGGCTTCCAAGCCCCATTCACAGCAATCACTTCGGAAAACCATGAAGTCGCCCAAAATCTCCATTTTTTTTTTTTTTTAACAGAGTCTCACTTTGTCACCAGGCTGGAGTGCAGTGGCGCAATTTTGGCTCAATGCAATTTCTGCCTCCCAGGTTCAAGCGATTCTCCTGCCTCAGCTTCCCGAGTAGCTGGGATTACAGGCACACACCACCACGCCCAGCTAATTTTTTGTATTTTTAGTAGAGACTAGGTTTCACCATATTGGTCAGGATGTCTCGATCTCTTGACCTCGTAATCCCCCTGCCTCAGCCTCCCAAAGTGCTGGGATTACAGGCATGAGCCACCGTGCCCGGCCAGAAATCTCCATTTTTAATAAACATACCTGCGGACTGGAATGTAGATCGTCCTCAGGCCCTACCTTGAAGACAAGCCTAGGCCTAAAATGTTAAATACCAGGGGAAAGCAGCCAGTAAGTGCACAGAGTTCAGAAATTGCAGTTGAGTGCATTATGGTGTGACTTTATCTCTTCTGTCCGGTGTTGGCAAGGAGAAGCTGCCTCCTATTTCCTTATGTTCTGCAGCAAGCATGGTGTCATACAAGGAAGCTGCGAGGTATGGGTCCCTCAAATGATTGACTGGGGAAGAGACGGGAGGGGCTGGCAAGAACACAAAGTACAGTCAGTTACCCACCGCCTGCTGCCAACATTGCATTGGCAGAGCAAGCTGCCAGCTTCTTGATGATCCTGAACTCTCCTGCAAGTAGAGGCAAAGCAAAAGCAAGTGTGAAACATGCACGTGTATTCTCCGAAGAGGTTGACCCATGAACATGCATGGCATTGGCCAGTCCCAACAGCCTTGAGCTACTTGTGTGACACCACCACAGCTCCAGCGTAATTATCTGTCTCTCTCCTTCACCTGTCTCAGGAAGCCAGGCCAACCTGAAGACAGCACATGTAGGCTCTGGCTACGTCTCTCTTGGTGATCTAGCCCAGCCTGGGACACCTCCACCTGTCTCCGTCTCCTGGAAAAAGGGCCCCGGGACTTTGGAGTATGGCCTGCCCATAATGAGGGAGGTCTTTAGCATGATTCTCAGTTGTAAGCTTGGGCTAGACTTGCAGATTTAGAATTTTTTTCTCCGATTAAAAAAGCACATTCATGTATGCCTTACCCAAGAGGAAATTCTGAAGATAGGAAATATCATCAAACGAATCAGGGTAAATGTTTGAATTGTCCAAACATTATTTGCATGCCTCAATTTTGTGTAATATCCCTTTAAGTGATTTTATTATTTATTTATTTAAGAGACTGGGTCTTGCTCTGTCACCCAGGCTGGAGTGTACTTAGGCTAAAGTGATCCTCCCACCTCAGCCTCCTAAGTAGCTGGGACCACAGGTTAATTAAAAAATTAACCAAACCTGGCTAATTATTTTAATTTTTAATTTTGTTTTCTTTTTATAGAGATTGAGTCTCCCTGTGTTGCCCAGGCTAGTCTCAAACTCCTGGCCTCAAGCAGTCCTCCTGCCTTGGCCTCCAAAAATGTGGGGATTACAAGCCTGAGCCACCATGCCTGGCTTCTTTAAGTGATTTTAAATAAGAAAGGAGGAACGGTGATAATAAAGAAAAGAGGAACAGATTAAGAAGAAAGTGGAGAGGGAGGGAAAGGAAGAGAGAAAAGAAGCAAGGATGCATGCGGAGGCTGGAGGCAGGGGAATTGCGTCTGGCCCGCCCTCTGCCATGAAATCCCGACCTTGCAAGTTTCCACGATCTTGCATAGGGAATCATGAGACTTCAGGCTTTTGTCTCCATCAGAAACCAATCAGAGCCAGGTACACTGCTGGAAGCAGCTCCTGCTTGCAGAGGATGCCAGGTGGACAGTGGCAGTCCCCTCCCCACTGAAGCCTCTGGGTGAGCAGCTAATTCCCACCCTGACACATAGACATCTGAGAAATTTTGGCATTCTTTTCCAGTAGTAGCCACCTACACTGTACTCTGATGACAGCCTCCCTTAAGCAGAATGCCAGAGCTCGGCAACACAACCAGGAGACTATCACTGTCTCCAAGGCTTGGGTTTGTTGTGCATTCTTGTTGATTTCAAAACAAGGCAAAAAAGCACACCCCTCATGTGAAAAAGTAAATAAATAAATCAGGCTGGACCTGCCCCTCCTGCTATGAAAAATCAAAGTGTTCCTTTTCCTGGGTTCTATTAGAGAAAGGAGCAGCTCAAGTTCAAAGCCAGAAGCAGGAGAATTGAAGGAGGACATGAAAGCATTCTCTCCCCTTAAAGAAAGTGCAGATCCCATGAAAGATAACCCATGAAGGTTATCTTTCAGGAACTCTAGTCCTAACTTGATTAGTGTCTGTGCTAGGATTGAGAAGTCCAAGGGAACACGTGCCAGGGTTGCATATGGGGCTGAGGAGGGGAAGCCTCACGCCTGGCAGTCCCTGGCCTGGGGTATGCCATACAGCACCTTGGTTCCAAGCCTGTCTCTCTCATCATCCATCTTTCTCTCCCCCTGGGAATACCCAACACACTAAACCCTATCAATCTCCATAAAACACCACTGCATGTACAACACCCCTTGCCCGTAATGCTTGCTTGGTTCTCCACTTCCAAAAACCCAGCCTTTCGGGCCCCTGCTTTGGCCCACTTGTTGCTTCCTGTGGGCTAGTCAGGCCAGAGGCCCACTCAGACACCAAAATGACAGCATTCATCACCAGCTCCAAACTTGGACCTGTACTGCCCTTTCAACTTGCTCCTCCCCTTCCCCATTCAAATCTCCACCAACTTTCAAGCCTTATCCACTCAGGAAGGCCTTTATCCATCTCATCGCTGAGTCCCAGCTCTATGCCAGGCACTGTTCTAGGCACCAGGACTGTTGGTACCTCCTTTCCCCAAGATCTCAAAACACCTGTTTGTTCCATGTTTTCAGCCACTTGTTGAATACTGTCCCAGAGTTTCCCTCATTAATCATAGGAGATCATTCAATGAGTCAGTGCCTCACACCTTCCTTATTTTTTTAGACGGTGTCTCACTCTGTCGCCCAGGCTGGAGTGCAATGGCTCAATCTAGGCTCACTGCCACCTCCGCCTCCTGGTTTCAAGTGATTCTCCTGCCTCCGCATCCCAAGTAGTTGGGATTACAGGCACCCACAACTACACCTGGCTAATTTTTGTATCTTTAGTAGAGACAGGGTTTCACCATGTTGGCCAGGCTGTTCTTGGACTTCTGGCCTCAGGTGATCTGCCCACCTCAACCTCCTAAACTGCTGGGATTACAGGTGTGAGCCACCATGTTTGGCCACACCTTCCATTTTATACCCAGCCATTATTTTCTCTCTGGAAGCTTAGGGGGATGACCAGAATGCCAGCAAAGAGCAGATTTTCATGCAAGCAGCCAACAAACTCATTTTTAAAAGTTCAACATCACATCATCAGAGAAATGCAAACTAAAACCATGGTGAGATAACATTTTACACCAATCAGAATATCCATTATTACATGGAATCAACTAAATGCCCATAAATGGTAGACTGGATAAAAAAAAATGTGGTACATACACACCATGGAATACTATGCAGCCATAAAAAGAACAAGATCATGTCCTTTGCAGGGACATGAATGGAGCTGGAAGCCATTATCCTTAGCAAGCTAACACAGGAACAGAAAATCAAACACTGCATGTTGTGACTGTTAAGTAGAAGCTAAATGATGAGAACATATGGACACATAGAGGTGAACAACACACACTGGGGCCTAATGGAGGGTAGAGGGTTGGAGGAGGGAGAGGATCAGGAAGAATAACTAATGGGTACTAGGCTTAATATCTGGGTGATGAAATAATCTGTACAACAAACCTTCATGACACAAGTTTATCTATCCAACAAGCATGCACATGTACCGCTGAACTTAAAGTAAAACTCAAAAAAATAAAAAATAAAAAAACAACAGATTTGTCATGAATACAGAGAAAGGGAAAGGCTCATACCATGTTGGTAGGTACATAAGTTAGTTCATCCTGTATGGAAAACAGTACGGAGATGTCTCAGAGAGCTGAAAATAGAACTACCATGTGACCCAGCAATCTCACTACTAGGTATCTACCCAAAGGAAAATATATCATTGTATTAAAAAGACGCCTGCATTCAGATGTTCATCACAGCATTATTCACGATAGCAAAGTCATGGAATCAACATAAGTGTCAACCAATACATGATTGGATAAATAAAATGTGCTATAGATTCACTGTGGAATACTATGCAGCCATAAAAATGAATAAAACCATGTTCTTTGCAGCAACATGAGTGCAGCTGGTGGCCATTATCCTAAGTGAAGTAACTCAGAAACAGAAAGCCCAATACCACATGTTCTCACCTATAAGTGGGAGCTAAACTATGGGCACACAGAGATACTAGGATGAAAATAATATACACTGGGGACTCGAAAAGCAGTGAAGGTGAGGAGGTGATGGTTGAAAAATTACCCATTAGGTGAAATGTTTACTATTTGGGGAATGCATACACTAGAAGCCCAATTCCCACTAGTGTTCAAAATACCCATGTAATAAATCTGCCCATGTACAGAATCTAACATAAAATATATTTTTTAAAGTACATTTTTAGGCCCGGTGCAGTGGCTCACACCTGTAATCCTAGCACTTTGGGAGGCCAAGGTGGACAGATCACAAGGTCAGGAGTTCAAGACCAGCATGACCAACATGGTGAAACCCTATCTCTACTAAAAAGACAAAAAAAAAAAATTAGTCAGGCCTGGTGGTGTGCACCCATAATCCCAGCTACTCAGGAGGCTGAGGCAGGAGAATCCCTTGAACCCAGGAGGCGGAGGTTGCAATGAGCCGAGATTGTGCCACTGTACTCCAGCCTGGGCGACAGAGCAAGACTCCGTCTCAAAAACAAAAAACAAAACAAAACAAAAGATTAGATTTTTAATGATGGGAGATGGCCCCAGAATAACTGCTGTGGTTCTTAGAACAACAGAAATAATAGCTATGGTTCTTAAAACAACAGAAAGAAAATCATGGGTGGAAATCCTGAGTCTGTTTTTGTTTGTTTTTAACCTCTCCAGGATGCACCCTGAAAGATAAGTCAATGAGTTGATGTCTGCTGGTGAAAGCTCTGATGTAAGAGGGAAAGAAGCTACTTGGGAGAAATAAACTAGAAACCAGAAGAGGAAGGAATATTCTTCCCCAAACACCTCTCTTAGGAAGGGGAAGGAAGGGTGGCATTTGTTGGAAATACCTTCAGATGCTGAGGGTGGGAGCTGTACAGCCTTAATGCTGAGGGAGAGGAACAGTGGAAATGAGCTCTGCACCAAAGAGGAGAACAGGTTTGCTCTGAAGGCGGGTGGGAGAAAAAGGTGAAGGAAAGCAGGTTAAGAAAGAAAAGAGAAGATATTTACGGTAGGCAGCTGTGCAGTGTGCAAAGTTACCATCCCTCATAGCCTGAAATCCTCCAAAAAGCATTAAAAAACTTACAAAATGTTTTCTGAGTGGATTTTTTATTGTACCTATAAGTTGTTTTTATTATACTTATAAGTTCTAGGGTACAAGTGCACAACATGGAGGTTTGTTACATATGTATACATGTGCCATGTTGGTGTGATGCACCCATTAACTCGTCATTTACATTAGGTATATCTCCTAATGCTATCCCTCCCCCAGCCCCCCCAACCCTATGACAGGGCCCAGTGTGTGATGTTCCCTGCCCTGTGTCCAAGTGTTCTCATTGTTCAATTCCCACCTATGAGTGAGAATATGGAGTGTTTGGTTTTCTGTCCTTGTGATAGTTTGCTCAGAATGATGGTTTCCAGCTTCATCCATGTCCCTACAAAGGACATGAACTCATCCTTTTTTATGGCTGCATAGTATTCCATGGTGTATATGTGCCACATTTTCTTAATCTAGTCTATCATTGATGGATATTTCGGTTGGTTCCAAGTCTTTGCTATTGTGAATAGTGCCGCAGTAAACATATGTGTGCATGTGTCTTTATAGCTGCATGATTTATAAACCTTTGGGTATATACCCAGTAATGGGATGGCTGGATCAAATGATATTTCTACTTCTAGATCCTTGAGGAATCGCCACACGGTCTTCCACAATGGTTGAACTACTTTACAGTCCCACCAACAGGGTAAAAGTTTCCCTATTTCTCCACATCTTCTGTAGCCCTATTGTTTCCTGACTTTTTAATGATCGCCATTCTAACTGGTGTGAAATGCTATCTCATTGTGGTTTGATTCGCATTTCTCTGATGTCCAGAGATGATGAGCATTTTTTCATGTGTCTGTTGGCTGCATAAATGTCTTCTTTTGAGAAGTGTCTGTTCATATCCTTCACCCACTTTTTGATGGGGTTGTTTGACTTTTTCTTGTAAATTTGTTTAAGTTCTTTGTAGATTCTGGATATTAGCCCTTTGTCAGATGGGTAAATTGTAAAAATTTTCTCCCATTCTATAGGTTGCCTGTTCACCCTGATGGTAGTTTATTTTGAAAAGAGGAAGTCAAATTGTCCCTCTTTGCAGATGACATGATTGTATATCTAGAAAACCCCATTGTCTCAGCCCAAAATCTCCTTAAGCTGATAGGCAACTTCAGCAAAGTCTCAGGATACAAAATCAATGTACAAAAATCACAAGCATTCCTATACACCAATAACAGACAGAGAGCCAAATCATGAATGAACTCCCATTCACAATTGCTTCAAAGAGAATAAAATACCTAGGAATCCAACTTACAAGGGATGTGAAGGACCTCTTCAAGGAGAACTACAAACCACTGCTCAACGAAATAAAAGAGGATACAAACAAATGGGAGAACATTCCATGCCCATGGATAGGAAGAATCAATATCATGAAAATGGCCATACTGCCCAAGGTAATTTATAGATTCAATGCCAACCCCATCAAGCTACCAATGACTTTCTTCACAGAATTGGAAAAAACTACTTTAAAGTTCATATGGAACCAAAAAAGAGCCCGCATTACCAAGACGATCCTAAGCCAAAAGAACAAAGCTGGAGGCATCATGCTACCTGACTTCAAACTATACTACAAGACTCCAGTAACCAAAGCAGCATGGTACTTGTACCAAAACAGAGATATAGATCAATGGAACAGAGCAGAGCCCTCAGAAATAATACCACACATCTACAACTATCTGATCTTTGACAAACCTGACAAAAACAAGAAATGGGGAAGGGATTCCCTATTTAATAAATGGTGCTTGGAAAACTGGTTAGCCATATGTAGAAAGCTGAAACTGGATCCCTTCCTTACACCTTATACAAAAATTAATTCAAGATGGATTAAAGACTTAAATGTTAGACCTAAAACCATAAAAACACTAAAAGAAAACCTAGGCAATACCATTCAGGACATAGGCACGGGCTAGGACTTCATGACTAAAACACCAAAAGCAATGGCAACAAAAGCCAAAATTGACAAATGGGATCTAATTAAACTAAAGAGCTTCTGAGTGGATTTTTAGTAAAATTCAGGGAATAACCAGAGACATGGGGCAAAGCAGCAACAGACAGCAAAAATGAAGAATCCAGGTGCATTTGCTAAGAGTTTAGGGAGGAGTAAGTCTTCTCTAAGTTATGAAATTGAATGTACCAGAACAAAGAAAACAAATGAAAAACTCACAGGCAGGGTGCAGTGGCTCATGCCTGTAATTGGAGCACTTCAGTAGGCCAAGGTGGAAGGATCACTTGAGCCCAGGAGTTTGAGACCAGCCTTAGCAACATGTCAAGATCCTGTCTTCACAAAAAATACACAGATTAGCAGAGTGTAGTGATGCATGCCCGTGGTCCCAAGTACTCAGGAAGCTGAGGCAGGAGGATTGCTTGAGCCCAGAAGTTTGAGGCTGCAGTGAACTATGATCATGTCACAGAACTACAGCCTAGGCAGCAGAGTGAAAAATTCTCTCAGGTAAAGGAAGGAAGGAAGGAAGGAAGGAAGGAAGGAAGGAAGGAAGGAAGGAAGGAAGGAAGGAAGGAGAGAGAATGAGAAAAATTCACAAAACATCAAAAACCTGGAGAATTTCCAACACCCAGTTTCAGAGATGTAGACTCTCGAGTGCATAGATGGGGCTGCATCCTGGAAGGAGCTAGGTTCCTCAGCATCCTGCCTCCAGGAGGAGGCTCCTGAGAAGGAAAGGCCTGGCCTAGGAGCTTAGGCACCCCAGCTTCCCATGCACTTGATCAGTATCACCTCTTCTCCTTGCTAGAGCTCTTTTGATAAGTACATGTCATCAGGACTTTGAGTAGCTTAGAGCTGCCAGGCCTTGTGTCTGCAAGTACTGATGATGTATCACAGGCTGTAGCCTGTCTTTCTACAGCCTGATAGACACCCCCATGGAAATATGGGAGCCCAGCCTCCTCTCTTCAAGGCTCCTCCACGGTCTGAATCAGAAGTGTGCATCAGAATAACTTGGGAGCTGTTTTGGGTCTTACTACCCTCGCAGGTCCGTCCCTTCCACTTCTCAGTGCATTGCTGCTGTGTTGCTCTAATTCACCTTCAAACCACTCACCCCAGGGAGGCTTCAGCCACCCCCAAACCATGACGTCATTGATGCCACCATCGTATTCAGGACAGCTGTTCATTCCCTCACTGTGGTATGGGTAGGAAAATGATGCCCCCACCTGTGTTAGCCTCACTTCAAGAGGCCCGGTAACAGGATGGATCCCACAGGATTACTCCCTCTGCTTAGAACATGTCCCGCTTTCTCCCCAAGAGGGGCACACATGCTGCAGCAGGGCAGGTCAGGAGGGGCTTGGAGCCTCACTCCTGGTACTGAATCCAACTTTTTCTCCCAGGCCCTCTTCCTAGGGTGCTTCTTTCCCAGGGCCTCTGCTTCCTGGGTTCTTGGCTTGGCTTCCACTGGGCCTCTCTCAATATGCCTGCCCCAAACTGAACGTCCATCCCTGACATCAAGTTTCCATGTTAATGGAGTATTTACAGAGGAAGTGAAAAGAGCCCCAGGACTCCCATGCCCCCATCCACCTTAGTCAGGCTCAGCCAGGACACCTGGTTATGTCCTCAGGTACCTGTCTCTTCACCCAACAGTGAGCCTCTGGGAGATGAGGAACACAGATTCAGGGGCCCAGCAGCATTGTTTTCTAAATCGCCCTTGTTCTCCCTCTGCATTTTACTCACTGGGTGACCTTGAGTGAAGGCCTTCCTCTCTCTTTGCTTCCATCCTCACGTCTGTAAGATGGCAATGCAGCTGTTACATAGAGGTGCCAACAAGGCACCCTTGAAACTCTGAGAGCTAAATTACAAAACTAAGGCATAATAGATTGAGGTTGGATGGAGTCAAGGACATCTAAAGGACAGGCTGCCTTCCAGAGCCCGAGCAAGAGAAGCCATGAGCTCAGCTGGAGCCTAAGGGACAGAGCCATTAACAAACCTAAAGACCATGTCAAAGGTGGGGGTGGGAGCAGCCCTGAGGCACTCTTTGGGCCCTTCCCCAGGTCTGTCCCAGGGGGAGAGGGGTGGGATGTGCCTACATGGTGGAGCCTGATCCCGTGAAATTTTGAAGTCCCTCTAATTCCTCTCGCACTGACTTTATCCCTGCAAATAGACTTCCGATTTCTTTTTCTCCTTTTGGTTTTTGTGGATGAACTAATGCTTTGTAAGCACTTTGAAAACTAGAAATCATTACACAAAGTTAAGAACTCACTATTTTAACATGGAGGATGGAGCCTGACATCAGGCCTTTAGGGCACGTTCACCATGCCAAGAAGAGAAAACTACCAACTTGTAAAACAGCAGAAGCATTTGCTACCAGCTGGCATGTAAAGTCCCCTGAAAACTGAACAATAGAGATATTTTCAAGAAAAGACAAATGATCCCAGTCTTGGGATCCTGACAGCTGCGTTGTCATTGTGGTTTGAGGGCTTCTTGAGCATTGCTACACCCCAAAGATGCCTTGGGACAGTGGTGCTCATCTTTTTGGAAGGCTATTTTACTTAGAGCACTGCTAGCTGTTTAACAAAAAAACCCGGAAATGTCCGTGGCTTACCACAACAGGAGCTCGCTTCTAGCAGGGTGCTACTGTGGCTGTTGTGGGTGAGCAAGCCGCATTCCTCATGTGGAGGTTCAGTGACCGTCTCCTTCCATCTGTGGCTGTACCACCCCTAAGGCCTCAGAGGCTTCTGCAGTCAATCAGCCAAAAGAGAAAGATACAGTGTAGGGGGCGCGCCTGCTCCCTAAAAGCAGTCGGGATGTGACCCATCTTACCGAGGTAGGACATCAGCACTTGTTTCTCAGTCCCAATGAGATGAAGTGAAGAAACCAGCAGAGACCAGCAGATGGCAAGGAAAGGGACCCCTGGCTGCCCTCACTGTGCATTAGCACGAGAGCACAAGGCACTCCCACAACTGCCATGACAATTTATAAATGCATGGTGATAACCAGGAAGCTACTGCCCCTTTCTATGGCAGCGACCTGGAAATTGCCACCCATTTCCTAGAAAGTTCTAAATAACCCACCCCTCAATTTGCATGGAATTAAAGTGGACATAAGAAAGTGTAAATACCATTGCCTGTGGACTCTGGGCGCACTGCCTATGAATTATCCCTGACCCACAAGGAACAGTACTGTTCAATGAAAAATTGCCATCTCACACCACTGGCTCGCCCTTGAGTTTTTTCCTGGGCAAAGCCAAGAACACTGCCAGGCTAAGCCTCAATTCTGGGGCTCACCTGTCCACCTACATCATTACTCTGCTCATGCAGCACTGCCAAAAAACTTTTCACATGGCCACATCTGGAGGTAAAGGGAAACATATCCCTGGCCAGCCAGCTTCACACCACAGAAGGAGGCACAGGCTTTGGGGTACGGCTAGCTGACACTGCCATGGGTCATAATCCCCCTTCAAAAACAGATGAAAACCGAGAGCTGTCTTCCCATGGAAGGAGAAAAAGACATGGCTCCCTAAGGGACCCATTCATTCATCAACATTCCATTGATTAAATCTGCTACTGAAGGTTTTTGAGCAGAGTAAACACATTCATATATTATATTCATATTCCTCCCCCCTCTGTCTCTCTGTCTCCCCACCTCTTCCCCTAAAGAGAGAAAAATGAATTTTAAAAATAGAAAGAAAGGAGGGACAATTCAGAAACAAGATATTTCAACCAATATTTCTGGAACACCAAGTAGAGGGAAAAGTATTTACTGATGTAGAAAGAAGAAAGTTGGTCCCAAGAACTGTGGAAGAGAGGTCAGCTCCTTAAAACAACAGAATGCTTTTTAAAATAAGAAATCAGCCAACAAGGGAGATTAAACATGTAATTACTGAAATTAAAAATAGAATTACTGAAATTACAGTGCAAAAGAAAGTTTTGAGGGTAGGATTGAGTAGAATGACAACAATTTGGAAAATAAAAACAATATGAAAAATAGAAAAAAAAAAAGAATACTGCCAGTTGATACTGTAAGCTCCTGGAGTCACCCCACCGCAAGGGCACTGGTGACTAGTGAGGGGTGCATGTCCTCAGCACTGCCATGCAAGCCCAGGAGCTATTAGAGATTGTACTGAAGTATTGGAGTCACTAGTGGAAATTGGAGCATCTGGAAAAATGGGGGAGGGATTTTTAAAACTGTATTTTAAATATGACTTTTCCTTTGTCTAAATTAAAGTATTCAAGTAGCTAAAACTCTGGGGCAGGGAGGGTGATCCCCTGGTTTGTGACCTCACTCCCCTGCCTTAAGCTCTCTGAGAAAGCGCATGCTGGTTCTGGTCTCAGGAGGATGTATAGCCATGAGCTTGGGGGCACCCCACCTTTTATCCACTCTGTGAATTTCTCTTCCTCTCCCAAGTAGTACATTTCCCCAAGTGGGAGTCAGTCCATCTAGAATAATGCAGTAGGAAGTCTGTGGTTGTGAGTCCACTGTAATCCCCAGGTTACATGCAGAGATGCCCCAAATCCAATCACCTTTAAAGTAGTGTGAGGTTCAAATACACTCTATGTTACAATTATCCAGCAGGTGAATTTTTAAACACACACACACATACACACACACACACACAGCAAACGTTAAGATACACATCCAAAGAGAAAACTTGAAATCTCAGAGAGAGCACAGGCTCTGGGACTGCAAAATCAAATGACTTTTAAGGACCGAGTCCAGGCAGTTAAGCCAGTCACTGTGTGCAGTGGGCAGAGTGGAAACTGGCAGGGCTCATGCCCTCCTCCATCATGTAGAGGAACAGCTGTTATTTCACCCCACTGCACAGCTGCTGTGTGTAAGTTGAACTAGGTTTGTCAGATCATATGACTTTCTGGGAAAGGATAGGAATCTAGATTTTTTTTTTAAATTGGTCAAAGTATTCCCTCCATTAGTCTTACTTCTTTATAAGGCCATAAAAAGAGATGTCCCTCTATGTGAGGGTCTGAATTTTTTTTATTAACTATAAGTTCTAGGGTACATGTGCACAACGTGCAGGTTTGTTACATAGGTATACATGTGCCATGTTGGTGTGCTGTACCCATTAACTTGTCATTTACATTAGGTATTTCTCCTAATGCTATTCCTCCCCCAGCCCCCGCCCCGACCCTACAACAGGCCCTGGTGTGTGATGTTCCCCACCCTGTGTCCAAGTGTTCTCATTGTTCAATTCTCACCAATAAGTGAGAACATGTGTTTGGTTTTCTGTCCTTGTGGTAGTTTGCTCAGAATGATGGTTTTTAGCTTCATCCATGTCCCTGCAAAGGACATGAATTCATCCTTTTTATGGCTGCATAGTATTCCATGGTGTATATGTGCCAGATTTTCTTAATCCAATCTAGATTTTTATATAAAATCTTCAAATATTTGAACTTGTTAAATTCAAACAAAACAGTTTGGCCTACATGTGGATGCCTGTTTACTGTTTCTGGTTTGAATTCATTGTTTTAAAAAGAGACAATGTGTGAAGCCTTCCCTGCCTTGGACAGTGGAGTGGGCTCCTTTGTCAACAATGTTTAGTAGCCTTGCTGCTTTCCTGAGTCACTGCGCCCTTCCATGTGGCACACAGGGGCCGGATTAAACAGTTGGGGGTGGCACAAGGATGTGTCTTTCCGCGGGTCATTTTTTGAAGTAAAATAAAAGACACAGATATATACATCAGACACACAAGCGCAGCACAGCACAAGATGGAAAATGATTCATTCTGTTCTGCAGGTGCTACAGGAATTTGAAGAAGAGAGGTCAGTTCGGACCAGAGACTTTCAGGCTTCCTGGAAGAGGTGGGGTAGAACTCCATGTCACCCCATGAAATGTGGGACGGCTTTCAGGACAAGTTCCTGCCCTGGAAATAAAAAGAAGTGGGGTGTGGGACTGCAAAGAACCTCAAGGGTCTACGCAGTGAAATGTTAATTATAATGCTCATTCATTTATCTCTGGGTCTATAAAAGGAATAAAGTGGAAAAGAAGTTGGACAGGAGCCTCCACACTAGCCAAGGACATGGACAAGGAGAGAGAAAAACACAGTTTAAATTCATGGTGTTCAGCAGAGAAAGGAGATCTTGTAAGCAAATGTTAATTAAGTACAATTTGAAAATGAGTTTATAGCATCAGTGCCACACTGCGGTAGTTCCAATTAATCTCCAACATTCCTTTCATGATCCATGAATGTCTACCTCTTTACCTGTGATGGAAGAGTATAGCTTGAATGGTCATTATGGTTCAAATTAAAATAACTCATCTCTAGCATATGAGATATATGAGTCACCCATTTTCACAACTTAATTTATACTTGATTCTCAACAACAAAAAACAAATAAAGATGTGATTTAGCTCTGCTCTAAACCCAGACTCCAGTCCCTATCTCCTCCAAATCATCTATCTTGCTGTAATCAACATTTTTATTTCATTTTATTTTATTTTTATTTTTATTTTTTGTAGAGATGGAGTCTTACTATATTGCTCAGGCTGGTCTTGAACTCCTGGCTTCAAGTGATCCTCTCACCTCAGCCTCCCCAAATGCTAAAATTACAGGCATGAGCACCACTGCACCTGGCCCTGAATTTTCTTTTTAAATCACAAATCAAATCATGTCACTGCCCTACTTAGCATCCTTCAAAACTGACCCATAGACACTGAAGCTTTGGTTTAGCACAAGGTGGGGCCCTGTCTGAACCAGAAGCATGCACGTTTGAGGAGGAAGTGGTAGCTGACTATAACATTTAATATGTCTCACTACTGTAGTTTTTGACGTGCTTTTTTCACTCCAACCCAACAGAAAATGACACACCCATATTATGGGTGAAAAACAATTGCTGTGCTAGCTAGCCATTATTAATAATGAGCATGTATAAGAGGCTTCTGGCAAATTTGGGGTAGGAGAAACACTTGAGAACAGAGAGATGAGTGATTAAGACAGATAAAGTCCTAGTTCCAAAGATTGGCACATGATGACCTGCTCTGATATTTTCCAGAGTGTGCATGAAATATGGTGTTAGAGGCTAATAGACCCAGCATTAAATCACACTAAATTGTAGAGAAAAAATATTTTTAGCTTTTAAGATTTATTTTGTCCTATTTTATTTTACAAATTAAAAAGAGAAAGTTTCCATTTGGGCAAACATATCGTTAGCAGTATTTTAGCCGAAGCATTTTGACTGCTGTTTAAAAAAAAAATCCTAAAATCTCAGTGAATTTACACAATCCAAAGTCATTTTTTATTCAGTGAGTACGATTATGGGGCAGCCTTTCACACAGTGACTCATGATCCAGTTTCCCAGACTCCCTTGCTGTGGGCTGTGGTTATGTGACTGAGTTCTATCCAACGGAATGAGACAGAAGTGATTGAGTGCCTCCCACACGGTGACCCAAGGACCACATTTTCTGCCATCCTGTGGCTCTGCCATCTGCTAGGGTCTCAGAGATTTTTATCTGGCTCGTTTTTATTCAACTAACAGAGAAGGAGAAGAGAGGGAATGTGAAGGCAGCATGGAAGTTTATTATGAAAGTCCTTGAAGAGGTACTCATCACTTCTGTCTCATTTCATTGGCTAGAGCTCAGTCACATGATCACAGCCCACTGCAAAGAATTCTGGGAAATGCAGTCATGCTGCATGCCCAGAAAGAAGGCTTTGAGTAATCTCCTGGAGATGCTCCATAATATGGCAGGCACTAAGACTTCAGGCGTGGAGCCTTCCCAAGTAGTGCCATTTTCACTAGAGTTTAATAACATTGTTTTGTTTTCATTCTACTTATTTTATGTTTTCCATTTTTAGCAATTGAAACTGGTTTTTCTTCTATGGCAGAAATATAAAATTTTCTTACAAAATGAATTTAAATTAAGAAAAGCGAATCTATTTAAGAAAAAAATGAATAAATAAATAAAAGTAGAATACAGAAATCACAAAATCTACTATGGAAACACATCAATGAACACTTCATTATTTGATCTACTTTTGAATTAGTTTTTCAGTCTAATTTTCAGAGACTCTGCTTCTGCCCACAACTTCTCACAGTAAGTCAACTTGCAAGCTATCCTCTCATTGAGCTCTGGCTGGCCATGAATGAGGAGACCAATTTTCTACTACCAAAATTAAAAACAGTGACCTTTTCCCAATTCTCAGGAGCAAACTATTTATGTAATAAACCAAATATTCTCCTACTTTTAATTTCCCTTTATTAATTTAAAAAAATGCTTTGGCACTTAGCTGCTGGATCTAACATGAGGCTTAGAATGATATCATATATTGACTTATTTGAAATTACATTTAATATATCTCAAGTTCATTATATTCTACAACAACAGCAAAAAAAGAGCAAGGCATCCAGGTGAGCTGTGTTCCAAACAAGTTACAGAATTATGCCACAGCATTTGCTGATTTCATCCGCATGTCTCCCTGTCCCTGCTCCCCCTCCCAAACCCGTTCATGTCTTTCTCCTACCTCCATAAGGTCACTCAAATATGTCTACCTCCCCTTACCGTCCACCACCACTACTGCCTACCATCTTGTAATCCTCAATCTCCTCCTCATTCCTACTGTTTTCAGACCCATCCTCCACCCCTGCGGCCTTTGTGACCTCTCTAAAATCAAAATCTCATCATGCTCTTTCTTGCTTAAAACTTTTAAATGTTGCTCCATTTGTCCACAGAATAAACATCACACTTCTGACCTTGACCCATCTGGCCCATGAGGACTTTTTTCTGCTGACATGGCCAGCCTCACCTCCTCTCAGCTTCCCAGCATCCCCACCGTGCGGGGCCCCAGCCCAAGATTCTCTCTCTACTTAACAAATTACTCCTTTCCTTTCCTGCTGCCAAAGAGCTCACTTTCGCCTGATAAGGCCAGGTGAGGGCTTCTCTTATGAGCTCCCACAGCACACTGTGCTTATCATTTTTATATCAGACATTGTAAACCAGGCTTATTTTGAGCTCCAAGAGGATGCTGATTATGTTTTTTTTTATTTTTATATCCCCAGTGTTAAATTGAACTACTTATAGTAGACACTCAAGTATATGTAAGAAGGTTTCTGTTTTGTTTTGTTTTTGTCTGTCCAGAAACTCTCCTGACATCTGTTTCAAGCACCTCTTGTTTGGGAGAATTGCTCCTTTCCCCTCCAACTGAGGTCTTCAGAGGCTCCTATATGTAGTCTCTGGCCAATCCAAGTCAAGCCAATCACTGTTCTTCCTGGGGATTTTTCAAACTGAAATTCAGGAAAAAGTACTGGTCCTATGATGGTAACAAAGCTGAGAAATGTGAGTGGGCCAAGGGCAGAGCAAGGCATGCAGAAAAGTCATGTATCAATGCAGAAGACGGCCAGCAGCAAAGAGATTATCAGCTCCCCTTTGTTTTAGGTATAAAAATAAAATGTCTAGAAGTGGTTCAATCGCACTTTAACCAAATCCAAGCTACTATTAAGTGAGAAAGCAATTCAGTGCATTAAAGTAAGAATATGCAAGGTTCACCTTTTGAATATTTCAAACTTTCTCATGAGCTTACCTCCCCAATGAGACATTAAATTGCTTGAGGCATAAACTGTCTTTATGTTACACAGAACTTAGTGTAAGGCTGGGCACAAAGTGGGACTTATGAAAAGAATCAGATGGAATGAATGAGTAAAGGAAGGCAGGCATGAATGTAATGTCTCAAGTTATATTACTCTAGAATGTTTAAGAGCTTTATAGCCATAATGCAAATGTATGCTCTGACTCGACCAGGTTGACCTACGAGATCTTGTTCTCAAACCCGAATTCCATGTCCCATGAGATCTGGAGCTGCCACTCCAACACTGGTACAGTGCTGCCACTCTCTTGCCCACGCATTTCTCAGCTTCCTGCAGCCATGTGCATTCTCCAATTCATCCCATATCAACTTGAGTTTCAAAACCTAGAGTCATCACAGGTTTTTAAAAGGAACAGCATCACACTAAGTATCTCATGTTTTTGTTTTTGTTTTTGTTTTTTGTAGACTTCATTGAGATTTATGGGAAAGTTCACAACACACAGTACCTCACTCCCACCCTCTCCCAGCCTCTCTTTCCCTCTCTCTTTTTCTGCCCCCACGCCCTCTGCAGAAGACAACAACAACAACAACAAAAACCTGAATTATTCCCCTTGGGTCATGCAAAACACACCTGCCCACATCCAGGCCCTCTAGGACCCCAGTCCTCTACTTTTAGAAGCTTATCAAAGTTCGTCTTCCAAATGCATCCAGCAGCCTCCCAAGAAAAAATAATGGTCAGTGGCACTTTCTTCATTACACTATATAGTTATTCTAAAATTCCAATAGGAAGTGAGAACTTTCCAATAAAATCTTTGAGGATTTACACAGCCCGTGTGAAAATACTCATGACAGAAAGAGCAACAGAACCCGGCGCGCAGGAACTAAAAATATTTTTAACATTAATTGCAATT
Source organism: Homo sapiens (assembly GCF_000001405.40). Taxonomy (NCBI): domain Eukaryota; kingdom Metazoa; phylum Chordata; class Mammalia; order Primates; family Hominidae; genus Homo; species Homo sapiens. The sequence continues at coordinate 28,216,736 of NC_000019.10, forward strand.
AAAGCAGAACTCTAAGAGATGACAAGTTACCTAACACACATTCATCTGTGTGAAAAGAAACCTTTCAACACATAGAAGCTCCCTGATATGCTGCCTCAAAATACTCAATCAGGGAGAAATTCAGCTCCAAAGAGGTATTTTGATAGATGCTTCCAATCAGTAGACACAAGAACAGGGTGGCATGCCATGTTCGTTTTGGGGCTGCCATCCATCTGTAGGTTATCAAAACAGGCCCGCACTGATGAAGATATCCTGAACCAAGCGGCAGAAACTGCAATCATACTGATTTTCACTCAGAATAAACAAATCAGATTTTCCCTTGGGAGCAGCCAAGAAAGTCTGTGTGGCCAGCTTGAAAATAATATGTTGCTGTCAGCCCAGCATCCATTAGCAGCCGCTTTCTTCTGGTAAAAACAAACAAACAAAAAAAGCAGTGCTGTTGTGTTGTTGGAAAATGGTTATCTGGTGCCCCCTGGTTCTGACACTACTGAATTTCCAAGGAGAGTACTGAATCATTGAGTTTCAAATTTCCCAGTTCTTTGTCTTAAAGAGCTATTTGGCCCATAGGCCCAGTTGGGGGCACAGGTGAGCAGAAGCTGAGGCTACCCAATGGGACAAGGCAGACATTGGGGAGCAGTCAATTCCCAAGCCACCCATAGAGCTACAGGTAAATTGCTGTCCTCACCTGGAGAATGAGTGCTTGCCTCAGCCTTGAGAAGAAGCTGTCATTACACACAGAATGGAACTAATGAAACTTTCTATTCTGAGCTCCCCAAATCTTCCTTAGCATGGGAATTTTTCTGCAGGTGCAGTGTCTGATGCAGAGACACTCCTCTCCCCAGGTGTCAAAAGAATCCTTTGTGCTTCAAGATGCAGGGAGTGATTGATGAGAAGCCCGTGCACAGAAAAGAAATCACTCAACTCTTTCAACAGAAATTATTATCTGCTGAGTGCCAAAGATGACAGCAGGCTTTATGAAATTATGGAGCATATATATATAAAATGCATGTATGTGTGTATATATATGTATACAGACATACATACACACAGAAGTATTGGATACCTTGATATGTGTACCAAGCACTTAAATGCATTGTGTGTAAGCTCCGTGGTGCTTACAGTTTATCAAGTGGATTTATAAAATTATGAATTAAGACAATGCACAATATCTGCCTAAAGAAAGTTCCAAACATGTGGTTCCAGAGGTTCAGGGGACAGAGGAAAAAAACATAAAGGAGAAACCAGACACCCACGGCAGAGAGAGGCTTTCCTCTCTTACGTCAGAGATGGCATCAAAATGTATTTCAGGCCCAGGGCATTGGCTCATGCCTGTAATCCCAGCAGTTAGAGAGGCCAAGGTGGGAGGATCACTTGAGGCCAGAATTTGAGACCAGCCTGGGCAACATAGAAAGATCCCAGTCTCTACAAAAAAAAAAAAAAATTAAAAATCAGCCAGGTTTTGTGGTAGGCACCTGTAGTCCCAGCTACTTGGGAGGCTGAGGTGGGAGGATCACTTGAGTCCAGGGGTTCCAGGCTGCAATGAGCTGTGTCAACAGGGCAGGACCTTGTCTCTCAAAAAAGAACAATTGTGATCTGTTTAGGATGTTTTGCCCGTCTTGCTGTGTCTTTATTGCAAGGGTTCCAATAGCACCTGAGGTAGTTTGTAGACTCTGGTTCTGTCTAATAAATTGGCTTCTTCAGGTGTCTATTTGCATATGTTGATATCACAGAATGAAGAAGGCCTGGAGCAGGACATTTTCCATTCAGATCCCTGAGGACAGTGGAGGCAGAGGCAGAGAGATGCAGAGGGCAATATCCCCACAGGGACGAGTGCAGAGAGCTTCTCTGCAGGAGAAAGATGAGGGCATTGTTTCCACGGGGATTTTTTTGAGGGCTGAGGCACAAGCAGCCACGCTTTGACACAAATCCCGCAAAAAAAAAGCTCTCAGGAAACAAAGCACAAAACCCGGACTTCTTCTCTCCTTTCTTGTGAAAGCTGCTACCTCAGAGGAGCGAGCATGGGAAAGGAGACTCCTGTTCACAGGAGGCTACCAGCAGACTTTGGAAAGAGGGGATAGAACTCCTGGATCCATCCTGGAAGGCGGGTTGTCACCTAGGGCTCTTTGTCAGCAGGAGGGGCACAGCTGAGGTGGAGCCCAGGAGAGGCTGTGGCTCTTATCAGGACCTGCTGGGCCCAGAAAGCAGAGCCACAAAAGATGCAGGGATCGCCATGCAGGCTCCTCCCCGCCTCTCCCAGGAAACCAGACACCCACGGCAGAGGGAGGCTTCTGGAGCTCATGCTCACCCTCTCTCACAATGCTTAAATCCATGGTGGTGCTTAGAATGTTAGGAACCAAGGCAAAAGCCCCAGATTCACAACTGGATGAATGGTGCTAACAGAATCCAAATTTAGTTGGAGACAGATTTTCACACTTATTTGTTTCCCAAAGTTTAATTTTCATAAATTTTCATTTTAGAATACTACTGTTCTTTCCATGGCCACCCTATTTGTCCATCCCAGTTTAATCTGGGGCCATTGTCAACATCAGCCCCAAAAAGTACACCTGAACCCACCACACACCAGTCACTACATTGGCCAGAGGAGGACCAGCCATGGCATAGACCTCCTATCAGGGTGAGGTGGTCACTCAGAGGAGATCCCCGGAAGGCCCTTCCTGGTCAGAGGAGATCCCCAGATCTCTCCTGGCTTCTCCTGGCCTTTGATTAGGAACTCAGGACAGGCAGAAGCCCCTGAACTACCATCACCCTCACTGGCAGAGATGGTGGATTCCACAAGAATCACCTCTGGAGAGCTTTGGCCATGGGCTTCGGAACTCTTCATGGCACCAACCTGCCTTAGCACCTGTTCTCCTAGGTTTTCTTCTCCATCTCTGCCATTTCTGGAACTGTCAGTTACTTCCCTGGAAGAGACATCCAAGTCTTACCATGGGAAACCTAGATCTGCCTTTTTAACTCTGCCCGACTCCCAGGCACTAGAAGAGGGGCTGAGGGAATTGGGCTGATGGCTCATCAGCCACCAGCTCTCCTAGATGTCGTTGCATCCCTGCAGCTAATGCTGGTGGAGATCACCCAGGAGAAGCTCACAGCCTCCCACACCACAGCAGCTTCTCTAACGGGAGCAGGGTCCTCTGGCTTGGCCACTCCCGCAGTATTCTCAAGAGAGAAAGCAAAAAAGAGAAGCATCTTCTGCTCCCGTTTTAAGTTTCTCTTCCCTTCTCACCATGCCACACCAGTGCAATGGTGAATAAATAAAGCAGAATGGGTGTCATCACCCAGAGGAGTCAGCTTCGCATTGTCAGAGAAGTCACTGAGCACCAAGACCTCCTTCTGGGGAGAAACAGAGGCTGGGAGCGGATGCTGTGGGAGGAGTCATGGTGCAGCATCTGGGGCTTGTGGGGAGGAAGCACAGAAAGCAAAGGTCCGAGAACCCCGCATCACATGCCCTTTTCAACACTCAGCCTCTGTCAGTCAGTTTGTTCTTTATGCAGAAAGAGAGATCAGGAGGAAGAATAGGAGAGTTGAAAAGGGCAAGAAGGTTCAGGAAAATGGCTTGGTGGAAAATACCAAGCTGTTGCTTTGATTTGGAGCTTCTTTCTTTCCACAGCTCATCATCTGCTTCCACCCCAGGGTGATTTCAGCTGTCATCCTTCCTTCTGATCCTGCTTCCATTTCAGCTCTGGGATGTCTGCAGCCATGTCTCTTCCAGCCCCAGTCTCTCCATCCCTTCCCCTTTCCCCACTCCGTCTTCACATGAGATGCACACTCTGAGTGCCCTTCTAAACAGCTGCACCTTCTAATTCTCTCTAGAGAACATTAGCTCTTTGGTCTCCTCAGCACCAACCGTCTCGAGTTGTCTCAGCTACGGAGATACAGAGCCTTCCTTTCCTCTTAGGAGCATCACTCCTTCCCTATCTATGCATTTAATCAGAATGGGAGCTGTCACATCTTTCTGAGGGGTGGCATCTATCCTGAGCTAATCTAAATATGTGTACCCACAATGGCAGGAGTGCTTGGTCCAGGGACGGAGCACAAGGCAGATCAGTCGCAATGCTGTCATGAGGATTTCTAACTGAAGCTGAGGCATGAAGTATGGAAATAAACAAAGACCAACAAAATGAGAACTAGGAAAGCCTATGTATTCAGAGCTTTCAATGGAGCCAACCACCATCATTCGCATTTTAGCATCACTCAGGGTCAGACAGAGGAGTGGGAAAGCATTTTAGTAGAAACAAGGGAAGGTTTCATGTGCGCCCTGATTGAAGGCTGTTGGCACAGGGAAGCTGTAGGCCTGCTACCTAGAAGAGGGGGTCCTAGGCAGTAGGTTAGGGGTGCATATTTGGATTTATCTGATTGGCCTTAATTTGGAAGCAGGGACAAACATTAGGAAATCTGTCAATTATAAATCAAGTCTTGACCATTTGGGGTTGATTGTTTTAGAATTTATTGTTGAGCTTCCCCGATTTTCGCTAGAGAAGAGCCATCTGACTTTCTATATGTCTGACATATCAGACTGGCATCCTGGCCTGTTTATTGTATATAAATGGGCCAGTTTCCTGGGTGGGTTTGATGGAGGTTGTGGGTCAAAGTTTCATCTTTCTATGTGGTCTGGCCACTGTCCAGTTGTATGTCCAGTGTCTCTGTAATTAAGATGATGAGGACCTACAGGTGGCCAGGTTTTTCTCCCTTGTAAGAAATAATCACTGTAAGAATGAGGCCAGGCCAGGCACAGTGGCTCACACCTGTAATCCTAGCACTTTGGGAGGCCGAGGTGGGTGGATCACCTGAGGTCAGGAATTTGAGACCAGCATGACCAACATGGCAAAACCCCGTCTCTACTAAAAATACAAAAATTTGTTAGGTGTGGTGGTGCACGCTTGTAATCCTAGCTACTTGGGAGGCTGAGGAATTGCTTGAATCCAGGCAGTAGAGGTTGCAGTGAGCCGAGATCATGCCACTGCAATCCAGCCTGCATGACAGGAGCGAGACTCCATCTCAAAAAATCAGAATGAGGCCAATAAGCAGAGAGAAGTGAGAATGAAAGAGAATGAAAGGCCAACAATAGCCTGGGTGCTGTTTGAGCTCCTGGTCCTAGCCATTCTAAGGATAGCTGCATTTCTGGCATTCTTTGTGGATTTCTGAGTCAATCCTTCCTTTGATGTTAAGAGCCAATAGTTACCATTTATGACTGCTAATTTGAGTTATGTGGCACCAGGGGAGTCCTGCCCTGCCTCCTCACTGGTGGCTTCCCCGCCACTGGCCCAGTGTTCCTTCCCATTCCTCGCCTGCCATGATCCCTGACATCTAATGCTGGTCATCAGAAGCCTGTATGAATCCACACCTTGGCAGCTTTCCTTCTTCCCTCCTTCAGACCCTCCAGCTTCCACTGCCCCTTTTGGGATCCTCTGATCAACCCTGTAAATCTCCTGCAGCCTGACTTTTTGTTCCACTTCCCTGCATGCTTTCCCCTCAGGGGTTGTCCACTCACGGGGCCTCAGTTATCACTTCTAAGTGGCTTCCAGGTTCCTGGGCCCAGCACTGATTCTCTCCTACCTGGGCCCCAGCATTACCGACCCAGTTTCCCATCTTCCCAGCAGCCTCACCAGGTCTCGCAAGGAACTCGGCACCTTCCACAGCAAATGCTGTAGGGTTTCTGTTGGGAAGCAGGCTATAGCTCTGACACTGCTGAGCCGCAAATGTGAAGTCCTGTCTGGGCTTCTTCCCATTTCCTCTTATGTCTCATCCATAGACACAGCAGAAATTGTCATCTTCACAGGAAACAGAGACTTCAAGGGCTTTCCCAAAGTCAGAAGACTCATGAGCAGCAGAGCCAGCACATCTAGAAGCTGCGCTATGGCATTTTCCAAGCCACGCTTCCTTGGAACCCTCTGGAACCACAGCACAGCTCTCAAGGAGACAGGCTGCTGTAGGGGCTTAGGATACATGTCCAGCTGCCCCAGTGACAGCCTCACTGCCCAAGCTGGAGGGCTGAGGCTGAAAAATCTTATAAATGCCATGGACTGAGTCTTGTCTTGGTTTTATCCACACATTCTCCCCAAGAATTTCCCCACAAATAAATTTATGTAACCAGATCATCTCTACAAGGTATGTCCCTGTTCAACCCCAATGTAGAGAATCTGAGTCTTAAAGAGTCAAAAGGAACCCAGAGGCTACCTCATAGAGACCTGTGCACAGCACACACTGCCCCATTCCTCAGCGCAGGCAAATAGCCCTCAAGACTCAGCTCAAACAGCTCTGTGCTGGGAAGCCACCAGAACAGCCTTCAAATTCATGAGTGACTTTGGTGGAAAGACTTCCTGATGCTAAGGTGAATTGGGGCACAGCTTCCGCCCACTGTGAATTCTCCATCCGAAGCCACATGGCAGCCTTCCAGAAGCACCAAGCCTTCCTCAGCCAGTCCCCACTATGCCTCTTTTCTCAGGCTCAGCATCCTCAGTCCTCCAGGTGACCTGATTTCCAGGCACTTTCCCCCTGGCCTTTTCCCACCTAGACTGCCAGTCACCTGTTTAACAGATGCCTCCCTAACTTGCTCTACCACCCCTCTGCAGGCAAGCAGCATCAGGCAAGGTGGGGCTTTCTCCTCTCTTGTTCTGGACTCTCTGTGTTTGTCAGTTCAGCCAAAAGTTCCCCTTAACTACCTCAAAATCATTTCAGATCTTGATAAAATTGAACAGGAGTCTGCCATTGAACCCTTGTCAGTAAGAACAAAAACTGTAGCAGCAGCTGCGTGTCTCTTTCCTGAGAACCGAATAGGGACTCCTTTGGGTGCTGTTTTCAGATAATACAGCTTCTTCAATGTGACACACAGGAGTCCCACCCGGTAGCAGGGGTGCATTTTGAGTTCTTTGACAGTACTGTTATCAGATCTTGGTCACCATCCTAGACCAAGATACCCACATTCTGAAGGCATTGGGGTATCAGAGAAACTCCTTACAGTTTCCGAGTTTGAGGCCATTTTTCTTCCTCTTCACTAATAAATACACGAAGATTGGGATTTGTGTGTGTTGAGCTCATTTTAATAACAGGCAACAATAACTGTCCTGTTTGGCCTCAGCAAAAAGTCCAGAAAGATGCTAGAGTATTCCATGAGTATGATACAGAGGTGAAAGGAGATACGCAAGAATCTCCTTTTCAAGGTTTACATTCTGGAGTATCCCAGGTCACGTTTTCTAACAGCAAGCCTGAGACAGGGATTCTTGTATAAGTAATCATTTGAGAGATGCTCTCAGGTGAGTTTGCTAGAAAATGAGGGAAGGAGAAGCAGCCGCGTGCTATCAGCAGAAGTCTCTTTTCCACCCGATTCTATGGGTTCTCTGGAGCGTGAATTTCACCACAGACATGAGCAAGGTCCATCCTTGTAAGGGGAGAAAAGAGGGGCAGTGCCTAACCCTCAGACATCAACAGCAGATAACTATTCTCCTAAAAAGGTGCAGGTGTGAGCCATTTTCAGCTGACACCCACAGCAGGCGAGAAGTGGTTGCACTGGCCAGATAAAAGGCTCCTGGGTGGGGTACCAACAGTGGCTACTGTAGGGGGAGACCTGTCCCTGAGCTAAGGCAGAGGGAGGAGCAGAGTCCTGCAGCACAGCCATGGCCACTTGGGCCTCCCAGTGTGTACCAGGGCTTCTGCATCCCTCCAACATCCATTCAATACTCATTAATGCACCTGTGCTATGTACCAAGCACTGTGCCAGACTCTGGGGACACAGCACTGTTGGCGCCAGACGTGGTTCCTGCGCCCACGCAGCCTACATCTCACAGAAGTGAAAATCATTGAGCATGGACAACGCCGGCAGGAACTTCAAGGCATGGCAGTGGAGCATCATGGCTAGGAGCATGGACTCTGGACTCTTGGTTCCTTGTGGGTCAGCCATGTGACCTCGGGTGAGTGACTCATCCTTTTTAAGCTTTTGTTTCATCGTGGAGAAGAAAATGGCCCCCACTTACTTTTAAGATTTGGCGTATGCGTGAAGATTAAACCAGATAATGCATGTGAGGTACTTAGCTCAAGACCTGGCCCAGAGCTGCTTCCTAGTAATGTGAAATAATTATAATAATAATGTTATCATTGTTGTTATAACATTGGTTACAACCATTCAGGAAGATGGTTTCTCAATGACTGTTCTCTTTGTATTTCTTTGTGCACTGAATCATGCCCTGTGGCGGGCACTGTGCTGGGCCTGAGGTCATGGTGGAGGGCATAGGCAGTGACACTCTGGCTCAGTGTCCTGGGGGAGGTGTCTGACTCCTCCCCATCTCCTTAAATTCACTTCATCTTTGCACCAGCCAGCTCTCCTTTCCTCACCAGGGCTATTATCAAATTTTGAAAATTTCTAGCAGTTTTCCTTAAATATTAATTTCATTTTTTGCTTTTTCTTTTTTTTCAACTTTTATTTTAGAATCAGGGAGTACATGTGCATAATTGTTACAGAAGTGTTAACATATTGCATAATGCTGATATTTGAGGTATGATGGAACCCTTCACCCAGGTAGTGAGCATAGTACCCAACAGGAAGTTTTCCAGCCCTTCTCCCTCCATCCCTCCTTCTCCCTTTTCATAGTCCCCAGTGTCTACTGTTGCCATCTTTATATCCATGTGTCCGCAGTGTTTAGCTCCCACTTACAGTTGAGAGCATGCAGTATTTGACTTTCTGTTCCTGCATTAATTCACTTAAGATTATGGCCTCTAATTATATTCACGTTGCTGCAAAGGTCATGATTTTGTTCTTATTTATGGCTGCATCATATTTCATGGTGTGTATGTACCACATTTTCTTTAATCCACCATTGATAGGCATCTGGGTTGGGTCCATGCATTTGCTATTGTGACTAGTGCTGTGATGAAGATATGGGTGCATGTGTCCTTTTGGTTGAATGATTTATTCTACTGTGGTTATATGCCCAGTAATGAGGTTGCTGGGTCGAATGATAGTTCAACTTTTAGTTCTTTGAGAAATCTCCAAAGTGCCTTCCACTGTGGCTGGACTAATTTACATTCCCACTCATGGTGCATAAGTGTCTGCTTTTCTCTAACAAAAGCCATTCTGATTGGTGTGAGTTGGTGTCTCACTGTAGTTTCGATTTGCATTTCTCAGATGATTAGTGATCATGAGCATTTTTCATATGTTTTAAGCATTAATTTTAATTTCTGAGAACAAGGCTGGAATATTCATCTCAAGAATAGCTGATCCAATCCAGTGTGTCATAAACATGGAGGCAGAGATAGGCACTATATGTTTCTAAGCAGGTCTGAAACTCTGCTCAGAGACTGCGCTGGACAGGTCTCCCAGATCTTCAAAAAGTATCTGTGGTTCCTCCCCTCTTCACACACAGACAAACACACATACACAAACCCAAGATAACATTTTTTCCTCCAATACCCAGGGAGCTCTGACCGCAGGTTTGGCTGCCCAGTGCTTATGAACCATGTCTCCGATGATTTTATAATCTCCTCCATTAACTGCACTAACATTTTAATGAGTCTTGGCATCAAGTAGTTATCTGCAGATTTTCTGGTAAACATGCAGTAGAAAAGTTAATTTTTTAAAAAATCACATATTTTTCCTACAAAACTCAGTGTAAGAAGAATCTGAATGATCTGTGCTTCTAGAATACTTTTTTTTGTATTAGTTTATTCATATAGCTATTTGCTCTTCTCCTAGGACTTTATTGTGGCAGGGTGGGGTCTTTAAGACCTCTGTATCACATCACTTTCAGGAAGTGGATCTATGGAGAATGCAGCCCCTTTACTCAACACCTCCAAGAGCCGGAGCCTGTAAAATAGGCAGGAACCGACAAACTGCAGCAGGAAAGAAATATAAAACATAAATAGAAAATGATTATCTCATCAAGTAGCCATGCCCGAGTCCACGATGCATTGGCTCAGCTCTGCTCCTACATCCAACAGAAAGTTCCTTGCTTTTCATGAAAGAGCTCCTTGTGCAGTCTGATCATTCACAAGACCATTTAATTCCAAATACAATTCGGCCACTAATTTCAAACTGTTATCAAATGTGACAGACAGGTTTGTTTTTAGCTCCCAGTAGATGAATGGTCTGCTTTAAAATTGAACAGATAACAAAGGAGATCAGGACTGAGAGGCGCTAGAGAAATGAAAACATTTTCTAGCTCCCAGTAGCCAAGCTAAATCTTTGCTTTTTTGGCAGGTTACTCCTCAATTAAACATATAAAGGCAAAAGAGCCAGCAGGACCATCCTGAAGCAAGCTGGATTTGTGCCGTTCAGCTGTGTGTCACAGCCAGCCCCAGGGGCCAGGGATTCCTAATCAACATTCTCCCATGCAGACATGGGCAGGGCTTTTATTTTAGAGGGTCTTAAAGAACTAGAATTACATATTCCTTTTTAGAAATATCAAGTGCATCTTTCCTCAGGTTCTCTGCACCAACATTTTTTCTTTCTGACCGGACATTTTATATATATATATCAGAAAAATAATCAGTCTGCCTAGAATTCCCACCTTTTGACTGACAGGAAGCACCTTATCAATGATAGCCTAGCTTTGTCTGAAATCCCATCTGTTTTCAGACAAACACAATCTCTACATTTTTAAGAGACCTGATGCTAAAATATGAATTACAGCTTTGGGGACAGCCATTCCCAACACACATGAACAAAAGAAACTAATATATAGCATATTCAAAACTGATACTCTTCAACCTTTCTTCCTTGATGCAATGTCAGTGAGCCTCGGCATCCCTCCAGGGTGAGGGCAGATATAATAGGGTAGAGATAGATCGCATTGTGCAATGTCAATATCAATTTGAACCACCTGCTGTTCCTTATTTATTCTTATCATTGATTCTACAACTTTTTGCCCATATCATGCAGTTAAATTCTTCCTAATATGACAAGCCTTAAGGATTTATAGACATTTTCACATGCTATAGCAAATTACCATTCTTGCTAGAGTTCTGGTAACAACCCCCAGTGGGAAATGGTACCAAAAAAATTGAAGATACTATCAAAGTGATCCCCGGCTGCTGAGATGGAAATGAACACGAGTCATTTTTAGTTAACATCAAAATGAAAAACTTAAGTCGCAGCCACATCTCAGAGTGTACGAGAAAAACAAATCATAGTTCTCTTCTATGCTGCTGGCTTTTAAAGATTAACCTTGAAAGGAAAGGGGACAAAACAAAAAGTTGGTTTATGCTATATACAGTATATAGTGCCCTCCATCAACAACGCAGGGACTCACTTATTTCTTGGTGAGTCCGCACTTCCTTCTGGGTCGCTCTATTCCACCTCAATTTTTACTTTAATATTAATATCCATACATTGACAAACACACCGATGTTCTCCCACACAAGACCTAGCATTCAGATAGTGACTTAAACCTGCTTCTTTTTTCTTGCAGATGTTCCCGAGACTGTGGACTTGGGCCTTGCCAAGGCTGACACCAGAAATGACTGCACATATTTAGGAGTAAAGAACACAGGAACAGAAACCAAATACCGTATGTTTTCACTCATAAGTGGGAGCTAAATGATGAGAACACATGGACACACAGAGGGGAACAATGCACACTGGGGCCTATTGGAAGAGTTGCAGGGGGCAGGAGGGAGAGGATCAGGAAAAATACCTAATGGGCACTAGGCTTAATACCTGGGTGATGAAATAATCTGCACAAAAAAACCCCAGGACCCAAGTTTACCTATCCAACAAACCTGCACTTGTACCCCTGAAGTTAAAATAAAAGTTTAAAAATTTTAAAAAAACAAAACAAAAAGAACAGGACTTATAGGAGACCCATCGCCACCATCACCCGGCCCTATACCACATGCCCCTCTTCTTCCTGGCTCCATCCACAGCCTCTCCCTCCAGCCGGCCCACCAGGTGCCCCAGATGAGGTTCACCTCCCTAAGGCCACGTGTGCTGCAGCTTGGTCATGGATCTTTTGTGGCCGGCTTGAGCTTGGTGATTTCTGTGAGCATCTGGAGGGCAGAGCTGAGGTCTGATTAAGTCATGCTTCTTCCCAGGTCACCCTACACCAACATGGCAAAGGCAGCCTTTAGTTATTTACTTCAGTTTTGTTGTTGTTGCTGTTTTTTAATATTAGGTGGAACCACATAAAATCAACAATATTCAGCCATTGTTGACTCAGTCCATTGAGTGTCACTCAGTCCCAGGCTGAAAGCCTGAGAATCTGGGGCCACTGGTGCAAGTCTCAGAGTCTAAAGACTAGTGAACACAGACTGTCAAGGACAGGAGAAGAAGGATGTCCCAGCTCCGAGAGAGAGAGAGAGAAAGGAGAAAGAGAGAGAGAGAGAGACAGAGAGAGAGAATGGCTTTTACTCTGCTTTTTCATCCTATCCAGGTCTCAGCTGACCAGACAGTGCCTTCCCACATTGAGGGCTGATCTGCAAAACTGGCAATTTCATATGACTTATTTTAATGGATGAAACAAATGAGTCCATGGCATCCATTCCTTGTAATGCTAACTTTCTCAAGCGCCTAGAGTCAAGTTTTTTCTAGGCTGTATGAAATTTTACACAGGTCCTAAGATTGTACACATTGTCTTTTATTTGCCTGACTAATAGGTTGCCTGGTAATGAGGACTTATTGGCCCAACAAGCTGCCAGTGAACCAGAATGCTTTAAACACAAGGCAATGGCAGAAGCCCACCCCAGCTCAGAGAGGAGCTTCTACTTAGCCCCCTGGAGCTTCATGATGTTTTCTTCCTCTTAATGGCAAAGGTACAAATCTCCACTCTGCTGTTGCTGCCAAGAAACACAAGTTCCTTAATGACCTTTTATATTTTCACTTTTTCTCTACCTTCTCTCCATTCTTAGAGCTAAAATGAGAAAAGAAAAAGCTTTTTTCGTTGAAGGCAGTTGAAAACTTAAATTAAGACAATAATTTAAATTTTCTTCACTATTTTTATTTTTATTTTTTTTAGATGGAGTCTCACTCTGTCACCAAGGCTGGAGTGCAATGGCGTGATCTCAGCTCAATGCAAACTCCGCCTCCCAGGTTAAAGCAATTCTCCTGCCACAGCCTCCCAAGTAGCTGGGATTACAGGCACCCACCATCATGACCGGCTAATTTTTTATTTTTGTAGAGACGGGGTTTCACCATGTTGGCCAGGCTGGTCTTGAACTCCTGACCTCAGGTGATCTGCCTGCTTTGGCCTCCCAAAGTGCTGGGATTACAGGCATGAGCCACTGTGCCCGGCCTGCAGCTTTTAATATTATCACAACTAATCAGTCACCTGACACATAGCACTTCACAACACTTTTAAATTTGTCATCTCATTTGATCCCTTAGATCATTTGATCCCTACGTGATCTAAGGGATGACTCTTCCCATTTTTCATCTGAAGAGACTGAGGAATTGAGAGTTTCAGCGTCTTTCTAAAGGTCACCCCAGCAAGCAATACAGCAGGAGGCCTTTCAAAGCCAGCGCCCTTTGGGCTGGCCTCACTGTCTCTTCTGGGAAGAGGGTGAACACTCTAGAAAGAGTCTCCACATAAGCATAGACATGTGCCCATGACTCAGGAGCTTACGGGGATCAGCAGGTGCCAATTCAAGAAGACAACACAGAGCAGAGAGCATGGAGGTGAACCAGGGAGTGCATGCCTCGCCTAAAGTACCAATTATCCTTAGGAGTCACCAGATGTACACCTGGTCACTCAGATGCCTAATGTGACACCTGACACATTAAAGAAAAAGAAAAAAGAGCAAGGCAAGCAGCAGTAGAAAAAGAAAAAAAAAGGAAAATCTCTGAGTCACAAGAAAGTGGCTGGAATTCTAGTTTAAAAATCATATCATCAATGTAAGTCTGAGGCCAGCCCCCCTCCCCCCACCTCAAGACTGCACCTCTCCATCACAGACACTGACCCCTAGCTGGTTCCAAATAACTCAATTGCCTGGAGGAAGATACAGTGTAAAGTGCAGAGTTACAACTGTATGTTCATTTTTTTTCTTCTCTGTACAGCTCATCAAACCTACCGGCCCAGGCCTTATGAATGCCTTCTCTCAGACCCAGCAGCCTGCCAGGGAGGGCTTCAAAGGGCTTCACCATCAAACTCATTGCTCATAAAATGAGAAAATCTTGTTATTTTAAAGGCTTGTACATCTACCATGACATGCTTAGGCAAAGCAGACACCAAGAAGCACCCCATGTGCTGAAACTCTAGTGACCGCATAGGGACTATTTCAATTCTTAGTTTGTATTTGTTTAGAGGCTGCAGGGAACTGGCCTTGGTGTGAGTTCTAGAAAATTAAAAAGAGGTTCTAATTGTATTTCATATTGCAGCTTTTATTTCAATCTCAGAAGCTTTCTTAAAGCTCAGAAAGCTTTTAAAAAGCGTAAGAACGGTGAGAAGTAATTTCGATATTTTTGCTCTTTATTTAGTCTATTGAAGCAGGACTCTCCAACTTAGATGCCTATAGAAATGTAATGTGAGTAGATGAAGTGGTCTTGGGATATTCTCTCAACAGATACTTGTGAAAGTAAAGTCTATTTCCACTTGTCCATTAAGCTAAGAAAGGCATGGTTTCATTCTAATTTTCCTGAAACATGTGTTTCTCACAATCTTTCCTTCACTTCTGATAGAAACAAGAGTGTTAGTTTGGGTTTCCTAAACACAAAAATCTGAGACAAGGGTTTGGTAACAAGTCATTTCTCTGAGAAGTGATCCTCTGGTGGAGAGAAGTCAGACAGGACAAGAGGGCAAGGGAGGCAATGAAGAGCGTGCTCCCAAGCACTGTAGGCAGTCAGGCTCCACCTGCTCTCTGGAAGCCGGGGGCTCTATGGGAGAAAGAATGGAGCTTGCTGCAGTTACTTTACCTGGGGGCAAGGCGGTGAGGACTCTTATTTTTACCCACCAACTTCTGTCTGTCATTGTTTGTTGGCTGCTCTGGGTAGCATTAACTTCCCAGCACTTCTGGCCTGCCCCAGTGTGGTCTTGGGCATGAGAGGGGAGCATGGAGCAAACATGTAGGGCACCAAGAGCATGTGCTACAGGGTCAGTGAAGAGTCAATTATCCTATCTCTCTTCTATCAAACCCAAAGCACAGGAACAATGGTTAATGAGCATCTGATGCTCCATTTTCATGTCAGGGATCAACAGGGAGTGGTGTAGGAGGGGACAACCTGGTGAGTGTCTGAACTGTCAAGAAGGGCAGTGACA
Source organism: Homo sapiens (assembly GCF_000001405.40). Taxonomy (NCBI): domain Eukaryota; kingdom Metazoa; phylum Chordata; class Mammalia; order Primates; family Hominidae; genus Homo; species Homo sapiens. Next base: position 28,231,927 of record NC_000019.10, read on the forward strand.
GGTCAGCTCCAGCTGACAGTTTCCATGCAGGAGTGCAGGTGAACTTTCCCAGGTCTTCTCTTTCTCCAGAAAGCTAGGAATCTGGCTCTTTATGCAACATATGTAACTTATAAATGTTAGCAACTAACAAAAACCATGTTAACATCTGCAGGGATATGCATCTCAGGGCTGAATTTTCCTGTGTGTGGCCAGTTTCTATCTTCTGATATAAAGTTTTGTTTTAGTACCTACTCTATGCCCAGCATTTTCTTGGGTGATATGAGGAACTTAGACCTGTTTCAGGTCACTTACAGATGTCCTAGTGGGTGGCAAAGATAGTTGCAGGATGACTTAGAACATAGCACGCATCCATGCAACAGACAGAAAAAAAAGGCTGCTAAGATTGAAGAGGCACAAGATTTTAAAGAAAAACAAAACACAACTAAGCCTTTTATTGTTGAACTTAAAGACATCCATCAATACTGCTTGACATTAAATGCTATTGTTGAACATATATGGGAGCTTACCGTGTGTGGGGTACAGTACCAACAAAGTCAAAACCAAGTCAAAGACCAGAGCATCAGGCAGAAGAAAGAAGGTTTAGCTCACGTGGCAGGGGATAGAATACCTAAAAATATGGAATCAAAATTTTGACGCAGGTGAAGGTTTTTTTTGACACTTTTACATCTCATAAGTTCTTTTCTGAAGCCATGCTCATGTCAGGAATTTTGTAACCTCATGGCCCACTCCCTGCTAATCTCAGAACTCCCTTGACCAACATGTGGTCCCTAAGCCTCTCCCATGTGGTGTGTGTGCAGGGTCCTCAGATCCAGGAAGGGGCTGAGTCAGACATTTTCTCCAAAGGAACTTACATGCACCTCCAGGGATGCACAGGACCATCCACTGGGCGCAGGACAAAAACGTTGAACAAGAAAAGCGTGTTAATACATGATTGTCTCTGGATCTCGCTCTCAGATATTTTATCAGATGAACACATGTCCCATGTGGTTCATGAGGTCCCTTGAGAGAGAGAGGAGTTTCATCAATCAGAAGCAAGTGTGGTTTTTGCAGGTTACTTGGCTTGGTTAGTGGACTTATGGATGGTGACATCTTGTTTTAACCAAACCAACATTCACCAATGGACAGGAGGCTTATGAAGATTCCTACAGAGAAAGCTGCAGACTGGAGATAATATTGTTTCTGAGCTGAACTGAGGTTTGCACAGTAAAGCCAAACATCCACACTGAGGCTTTGCAGCGGGAGAAAGGAGGTCATTTATTTGCAGGGCACCAAACAAAAAAAAAATCAGGCAGCTCACGCTTAACACCTGGCCTCCCCAATGGCTCACAAGCATGGGTTTTTAAAGGCATAAGCTGAGTGGAACTTGAAATGACTTCTCAGAAACAGGACTTTAAATGGGTTTTTAAATTTCAGGAAAGCAGAAGTTGTAGGCAAAAATTATAAATAAATACTGGAGTTAATACATTTATTTGGACTGAAAGATATCTTGAAGTGAGGGCTTACAGGTCTTACGTAGATTCAAAGATTTTCTTATCTGCAATTGGTTAAGGAAGAGAAGCTTTGTTTAAAATGTTGAGGTCAGGGAAAAAAATGTGAAGTCTGGCCCATGGCCATAACTTACTCCAGGAAGAAATTTAGAAGAGAGAAAGGTGGCCAGAGCTCAGTCCTCAGTTTTCCTCTCTCCAAGGTCTAATCCCCGTGGATCTATTTGGTGGGCGTCCTCAGTAGGGAATAGAGTTTTTGAAACACAACTCAGGATCATATAAGATGTTATCTTTAGTTTCTATAGAAACCAAACATCTCCTGATTCTAACTTCCTTGGCTATTGTTTTAAGCTCCTATTTATTACCTTCTTGCTTATCAAGTTGTTTATTTACTTCTCATGGATCACTGGGCTCCTTGAATTTTCCTTGAAGGAACATAGGATTTTTATTTATTCCCATGCTTGGGGTGGTGGGGCTGGCAGGCTCCTCAGAAAGTGTTCCTGCTTCATCTCTTTACTGATGATACGAGCACAATGGAGCAGCAAAACGGGGTGATAGAACTCCATCTCCCAGTTTGAGCTCCTTTTTAGCCACATTATGAGGTTAAAAACCATGATTATCTTATTAGATAACTGGTCCAAAAAGGTCAGCAAAAATGAACAAAACACTCAAGTGATTTTGTATCTGTTGTCATTAATAATGATAGGCCCTAAGTACCAATTGTGCCTTTAAAAATTAGATAAAGATAGTAGTAGTACATATTTATAATTTACAAATAAATAAATATTGATCTACTGGGAGGACAGGCTGAAAAGTCTTTACTAATGGAGTGCATGAAGAAAACTGAACTAGATGAATAAATTAGTTGGAACAAATAAATGAGGAAGGAAAATAAAGTACTATAAAAGGGAAAACTTCTATATCAAGGTTATTTCATCATGAGATTCAAACAACATAATTAATTACACATATTTAACACATCATCCAAAATAGGAAACAAAGGAAAACTTGGACTTGAAATTACCGATCCTCCCCTTATCAGCAGGAAATAAACAAACAAATAAAACCAGAATCGTGTCTGAGCTTTGACACCAGTCTACAGAAGGTATATCATAAAGAAATCGCCGTTCTAGTTCCTGAGCCTCATCCTGACCAAGGCAGATTGGAGAGTTGGGGCAAAAGCAGAGACACCATCCAATGAGGCACTAATTTTCCACAATGTTTTCCCCAAGTCATTCACTGACTTTTCAAAAAACACCGATTCAAGGCAAAGAGGCACTTTTGCTGTAGAACTGGGTCATGCTGCACTGAAATTCTTCTTTGCACCAGGCTCTGGCTGCCTCTCTTGTCCTGCTGATTGGCTTTTTAATAGGCTCTGTGAGGCTGGTTAACTTTTCAGTTTGAGTCATGCACACAAGTTCATCTGGGTGTTGACAGCCGCATTCCTGTGCCCGGCTTCATAGCAGTTCGGAGCTGCACTGTAGAGCATTCTCCACTGAGCTGAGCGGAACTTGAAATGACTTCTCAGAAACAGGACTTCAGGTTTCTTTAACCTATTTGCTACTCTTTCTCAGCTTAACTAACAAATATCTTCCTGTTCCTCTACGTGTGAACTTTTTTGTTGTTGTTGTTGAAATGTATCCAGTAAATCGGAAAAGGCCAAAATAATCTTCAGGAAAAATTATCTGATTTCAGAAAATTGCAACTATCATAAGTGTGTGTGTGTGTGTGTGTGTGTGCGCATGAAAATCTCCATCTCCTCATTCTCAAACAAAAAAGTCAAGGTCAATTATGTGTCAATAAAGCATTTTTAAAAAATTTCATGACTTCCTAAGAGCACAGTTTCAAATAGGACATTTCCCCCAAAGCAACCCAAAAGTGAACAGAGGAGGAGCCAGCTCAGCTGACCTGACCAGGTCCCATTGGTCTCCTCTCCCATCTTTTAATGGATCCACCTGACCGGAACCCACTGAGAGGACGCCCTGATGGCTAGAGGCTCACGAAGGCTTGTGCCATCACTGTGATTCTCCAATTCTCTAAAAGCCTGTTTTCAGGAACGTCTAGGTGTTTGACACAGTTAAGTGTTTGCTAAAATGCAATCGTTTCAGATCAGCTGAATAGAAATTAGCAGGTGGTGACCACATTTTATAATATGATTTTTGAAGAAGTATAACTATTTGCTTTCTTCAATTTAGTTTTTTAAAAACCAACTTCCTTACGAGAAGCAGGTTTCAAAAGATATTCCACACTAAAGTTACTCATTTCTCTAGGATGCTTCCCTCTTCCTGCCACCTTTGAGCTTCTCAGTGCTGTGACTGTGTCCTGCTCCTCTTTATACCCAACTTCCCTGGTGAGTAACAGTTGCCTGAGAAGAGTGCAGTGATTGAAGAAGAAGTAAGTGGGTGGGTGGCTGATTTCCATTTTAACCTATCTCATTAAGAGCTGCATAGTGGGAGAGAGAACAAAGCCTTTGAAGTCAGTCTGAGCCTGGGCTCTGATGCTCACTAACTGCATAACCTCTGGCCGGTAACCTCGAGCCCTACCTCATAGGGCTGTTGTGAGGAGTAAATATAAGCATGCTTGTAATAGCTTTCCCTGAGTCTGCTCAGCTCCCTGGCTACCTCCTGTTCTCCCACGTGAACCCACTGTTTATGGAGGTGACTGCAGGTCTGATCACCTAAACTAATGAAAGGGGTGATGGAGCAGATCCTAGGGAGCCACCACAGGGCAGAGAGGTGTCTGAAGAGAAGACAGTAATGCTCCTCTCTGCTTACCTTTTTTTAAGTTTCTGTCAAATGGGCCTGTTTGCGGGTGGATGCAGTACCTGCCCAAGCCCCTGCCCAGTCCTGTGCTAGGCACTGGGTGCACAGAGTAGTCCCACCCATGGGTGGTTCATGTTCAGCCAGCACAGCAAGCCACCATCTGGCAGTGAACACACCGGTCATGTCCCCTTGCTGGAACTAATCATGGCAGCCAGAGAGACACAAAGCCTGGCTCATTGAACTGAAAGGAGAAGAGTAGCTCCCTCTCACACATCATGTGCTTTTACGAGAAGACAGGCACGCCTGCCGCGTGCCCCATCCAGCTCCAGGGGCCCAGCTGTGTTGTGCAAAGGAAGGCTTTAGACGGAGGCTGACGAGCTGGCTTTAGATGGAGGCTGACGAGCTGGCTTCAGAAGGAGCCCCCTGGGCAGGAAGCGGCCCTGCCTCTGATCTTGAATTTGACCAACTGTGAACCAGAATGGAGAAAGGGGGATGTTCACCAATTAGCTGAAAGTAAAACTCAACTCAAACTTCAGGAGCCCAAAGTGGCGATACCTCGAGCCATCCCCTGGCATTCTTCTTATGGGTATGAACAGTGCTGTGAGGGTGGGCAGCCACTCTTGAGGGGCTCTGACTGCCCTGGAAGAAAAGAAGAAGGAAATTCAAGAGCTGTGAGTGCAGTCAGAAACTCCAGTGAGTTCCAAAAACACAGGAAGTTGAGATTCAAGGTAAAACAGAAGAGGGCAAAGAACATCTGAATCTTTCACTCCACTGTATCAGTAAGTCCACATTTAGATCACGCTTCCTGAGAGGAGGGCTATGCCTTATATATCTTTTCTTATTTCCCCATCGAATAGTTCCCAGGGCCTGGCTGAGTGGTAGTGACTGCAGTGACAGTAACAGCCATTGCTTACTGTGTACAGCTATATGTGAGTGCTTTCTAGACATCACCTCATTCAATCTTCTCCATAATCTAGAAGTAGGTACTATTTATCCCTACTCTGTAGATGCAGAAAGGCAGTCTCAGAATGGCAGAGTGAATGGGCCAGGGGTGAGGGCTCACACCTATAATCCTAGCACTTTGGGAGGCCGAGGCAGGTGGATCACCAGAGGACAGGAATTCGAGACCAGCCTGTCCAACACGGTGAAATCCCATCTCTACTAAAAATACAAAAAAAAAAAATTAGCCGGGTGTGGTGGTGGGCACCTATAATCCCAGCTATTCGGGAGGCTGAGGGAAGAGAATCGCTTGAACCCGGGAGGCAGAGGTTGCAGTGACCTGAGATCATACCACTGCACTCCAGCCTAGGCAACAGACTGAGACTCTGTCTCAAAAGGAAAAAAAAAAACGAATAACAGAGTGAATGGCTCAAGATTACACAGCCAGGAAGAAGCAGGGCCAGCTTCTTCCCAGCGTAGCTCTAGTGACTTAGTCTCTGCCCTTACTCACCATTCTGCCACCTTTGACGTAACTAACCACCTACCATCTCTGACATGACCTCCCCTTCTCTGTGCAGCCTTAAATGATGTCTGCTTCATTTCCAGTGGGTGTGGCCTCCAGAAAAGGAAATTGGAAAGAACGTGGAACTCTCAACAACGAAAGCAATGAAGCTGCCTTGCTTAAGGAGGAAAGGATGGTGGTGACCAAGTTTCCAACCTTGCTGGGTGGGACAAGGGCAGAGAGGAGCACCCAGGACCCTTCACTCATGTGACCAGCCTGAGGCAGAGCAAATGGGGCTGCTTAAGGGCACAGCTCTTCTCCCTACCGAGGCAAACTCACTGTGGAAGGGGCTGTTTCCAAGCACCTATGATGTTGAAACAGCAAAGTTATAACCGGTCAGAAATTGCACCTTTCTAAAAAGAAATTATGACAATTAGCCCACATAAAAACATTATTTCCTTCAACATAGGCTTGAAATTCAAAACCACTATACTATAATAATTTTTCATTTTCATGGGTGCAATAATTATTGCACTAGAGATAATGGGGCCCATACTAGAAAGCAGAAACAATTGCCCTGGTTTAAGAGCTTATTAATGAACAATACAGCCATAGTCAATTAAGGCACAGGAAGGAAACATGGCTGCTGGTGACTGGTGGGTTGGTTGCTAGATTTAATTTTTGTTATTGGGTCAGTAAAGGCAGGAAGAAAATACTTCTCAAGTGGGAGGGAAGGAAATTACAAATTTGATGAAAATAAATCACCTTTTGAGCTTTTGAGTCTTTCCAATTGAGGCTTGGTTAATGTAGGTGACAGCACTTTCTGCCTGTGACTTGGCACAGGGTTATTGGGAGCCATTTGTAACACTCCCATTCTGTCTGTAAAAAGACATTTTAATTGAAAAATCATTTGCCCATAAAATTATTATCATCAATTTACAGTCCACCAAAGGGCTGCATTATGACCATAAAACAATTTGTAGTGGATTCATTTTACTCACTAAATCACTTTACATTATACTGTGAACAGAATGATTAAAGCAAGTTAGCATTTTGTTGGCAAAGTAATTACATTATTATGCATTTCACCCACAGAGATACTTCTACTACTGAGTCCATTTGTCTTGTTGACAGAATATCTATATGCATTGGACAGAATGCATTTTCTTTAGTTGATGCAATTAATTTTATTCACCAGACACTTTTAAACCTAAGCTAAAATGTTTTTGTCACAGAAATAGATTTGATTGGGGAACAAAATTAATCTTGCCTACATGATTTGTGCTCAGAAAGTTTCTTCCAATAACTGTGCAAATTTGCAAACAAGTAAACAGGGAGAAAATAATAAGCAAGAGCAAAACAAAAGCCTCAAAAAGCAATTCTCCTCCTGGGTCTGTTTTTTAAAGTCCTCTATGTACCCAGGCAGGATAAAAATCCAAAGACACCTTGAACAGGTGGAGCAGGAGATGGTGGTGAAAAGAGAGGGGCTTCTCCAACCTGAACAATTTGGCTGGGAAAATAGTGAGCACAGATTAATCTTTTAAAAAGACCCCACACAATTGCTTGAGAAGCGCCTCAGCTAGTGTCTTTTTGTCACCAACTTTGTATCCTAGCGGTAGAAATGACTTTGGACTTTCCTGGGGCCGGTGCCAGGCTCTGAGTGTAGTCAGGCTTGTGAGGCAGAAGTGAAGATCTCAGGCACCCCAACTGTGTCCCATACAAGATGCCTAAATGGGTTGTCTAAAACCAAACACGAGAAGCAGAAAATGGCTTGTCTTGCACAGTGGGCATTGGGCCCACCTGTTTGCCGCTGGAAGTCCCAGGCTTCGAACCGCAGTCCCCTCCTTGCAAGAGGCCCAGGACCTCAGCCACCACCAGAGGGCAGGAAACCACATCTCACTCTCCCTGAAGCCCCCACAGCACAGGGCTTGGCATGCGCAGGTCATTCTGGAAAGACTTCCAGATTCATTCCCTCATTCTTCAACTCCTATTTTCTGAGCACCTACTCTGTGTCCTAAAAAGTTCAGCAGTGAGCAGAACCCTGCTCTGAGCAGGCTGACCACCTGCTGGAGAAGTCAGACAGGTGAAGAGGAAATTAAGACACAGACAGTATGGGGAGGAGGTTCCTTATGGTGTGGGAACAGTTCTGTATCTTGATTGTGGTGATGTCTATACAAATCTCCATACAGGTGACAAAATTTCCTAGAACTGTGCACAAAAACATGCACACACACAAAAAAATGAGTCCATGTAAAAACTGGTGAAATCTGAGTAGACCAGGTCAATTGTTTGAGTCCAGGAGTTTGAGGCAGCAATGAGTTGTGATTGTGCAACTACACTCCGGTCTGGGCCACAGAGCAAGACCCTGTCTCTAAAATTAAAAACAAATTCCAAAGTGTAAACAAAAACTGAACAAATCAGCAACTTATTTGTCCATCGTAGTCTAGTAGTTAAGCACATTGTGCCAATGCCAAGTTCCTGATTTTCATAATGCACTACAGTTATATAAAATATTGCCATAGGTGGAGGCTGGGAGATGGGTATAACTCTGCACTTGTTTTGCAACTGCTCTGATCTATAACTATTTCCTAATAAATGGTTTAAAGAAACACTGATGTGCAAAGCACTGATGGAAAACGCAGGAGGCTGCAGAAGTCCAAAGAAACGCTGGATTCTTGGGGGCAGCAGGGAAGGTTTCCTGGAAAAACTCATATCTTCCCAAAGGCAACCCAGTTAAGTGCCCAGAAGGGTCAGCAGGAGGGGAAAAGTGAAGCTGGGAGTGACAGGCAGCAGAAATGGAGGTAACTGTAGCACAGACCCAGTCCCAAGACATTCAGATTCAAATTGTATTTAAATGCTGGAGAGTTTTGGCTAAGCTGAAATTTAAAAGAGATTTAGGACCCCTAAAGGGGAAGATTGGCTGAGAGGAAAAATAATCCTTCAGGTCTGAGGAGTGTTGGAAGGACACGCTGGAGGCCCCTCCTTTGTAGTCACGTGGCTAGCAGGCACCTGCAAGCTGAAACGTGTGGGCTGGAGGGACTGCGGCAGTGACATGTCTCCGCAGACCTGGCTGCCATTCCTGGTTCACTGGCTACACCCAGCTCCATGGCACCCATGTCTCTGCACATTTTCCCCATAGAACACATGTACCTTATTCTCCCAGGATTCTGCCAGGTAGCTCTGGGCTTCATCAAGACAACTGCCACCTGCTGCCACACACTCCCGCACATCACAATGGTGAAATATGGGGCCCACAGGCAAGGTGGAGGGATGAGTAGTTTGGCTGGAGAGGCTTTATTCCATCAAGCCCCTACTGTTATCCATCCATCTAAATCATACAACTCAGGTTATCAACACTCCATGAAACAACCACTCCAAACTTCCTGCTCCAGGAGTTTTTATTATGAAGACCATCCAAGCCTAAGCAACAAGCAAAACCCTGTTTCTACAAAAAAAAGAAAATAAATTGAAAAATTTTTCTGGCATGATGGCACGTGCCTACAGTCATGACTACTTGGGAGACTGAGATAGGAGAATTGCTTGAGCTCAGTAGTTCAAGGCTGCAATGACTTGTGATTGTGCAACTGCACTTCAGTCTGGGCAACAGAGAAGAACACTGTCTCTAAAAATAATAAATAAATAAAAGTCCAAGTGTAAACAAAAACTGAACAAATCAGCAACTTATTTGTACATTGTAAAAACATCACAGCTGAGCACTTATAAGTTCCACTGGGAAAGAGACACAGGGTCTGCAGCCCCAGATACAATAAGAAAAGTGACTGCTGTCTGACACTGAGCTTTATACAGATTCCCGTGGAGTGCACACAGCAACCCTGTGGAGGCTGATGCTGTATCATCATCATGCACATTTTATAGATCAGTGCATGCACAAAAAGGTTAGATAACTTGCCCAAGGGTGTGCAGTCAGTATGTGCTGGGACCATGACCCAAATGCAGGGTGTTCCGTTTTCTCTTCCACTCAAGCACCAGCTCCTCCACTGTTTCCATGAGCATCTCCACTCACCTTGCACAAGATTGACGCCTTTCCAGCTCCCCAGACTGGAGCTAAGGAAGCTTGGAGTAGCTAAGGACCATTCCCTGCAACACCTCCAGACACACCTCCTGACCTTTATGATACACCTGGAAGACAGGTGCATCCCCTGAAATCCCTTGGACCAAGGACAAGATCCTTCAGTAGCCCTTGGTCTTTCTTGAGATACAGGGAAGCTTTGTAAGATTCCCATTAATGAAATATTTAGGTGATACTTCTCTCACTTCAGAAAACAAATGAGAAAAGGAGTTTTGCTTACAGTACATTAAGTTACTTTAAATTACTGGAAGCCATTTGTAGATAACTTCCTGGAAAATTTGAATATGGATAAGGATATGTTACTCATCAGCCTGACACTTTCATAAAATACCCTCCAAATAGAACAGCAGCAAGGAAAGGAGCATATGTTTTCATCTCCAATATGGGCATTCTATGAAATGTAAGCACTGTATCATTACTGATCCCTGAAAAACTGGGTCATAATGAGTCTTGAACTTAGAAAGTCAAAAATTAGGTTCTAAAAAAAAGTATGCTCCTCTCACCCTATCTCTATCACTGAAAATTAAAAAGATAAATTTCAAAAGCCAAAACACATGACCCAAACTCTTGAGCATTCTGTGAGTCTAATTAGATGTGCTGTTGTCTTGATTTTTGTGGAAATAAAAGCAGCCATCACAGAAAGAATTGAACGGTTATATTATTTGTGAAAGTAGATTTATATAAAGTTAGTGATTAAGGCTTTGTGACATAAAGTCATCTGGTCAATGCATTCAAAGGCCCAGTCAATCACCCACAAGTTGAACAGATGAGACAACAATGGCAAAGACTTTCTTCAAAAGTCACCGCTAGAGGGGGCTCTAGAGACATCCACCCTGGCTACCCATCAGCATCATCTGGGGTGCATGTTAAAAACAAGATGCCTGAGAGCCATCCTCCAAAATTCTGGTTCAGTCACCTTAGGGCGTAACCAAGGAACTGGCATTTTCGTGAAGCACCCAACTCATGCATGTGCAGACATCCCTGAGCCTGCGAACTACTCCCCTATATAGCTAGTCAGTCTACAAAGAGGAAGCTACACTGGAACACCCGCCATAGAGCTGTTTGCCCAAGGCCTATCTTATCCGGGGACAGACTCCTTGATGGCTAACCCTGTCCTAACACACCCTGTCCACTCCATCTATTTTAAATTATTACTGTTTTTGAGTCTATCATTATTAAAGGATTTAAGTTTTTATATTATTTTAGTACTTTGCATTTGAATGATCTTTTCTACAGCCTCTCATCTTTAAAAAGAGATAAAAATACTGCCTATGTTGTAATCTGTAAATAAGAATGAGTGAGGTAGCCCAGGTGGAGTTTTGCACAGGCTTGGGACATAATGTGTGTTTAATAAATGTTGGCTATTACGGTGTCATTCTTGCCTGTGACCCATCATGTATAAGGAGGAATGAATTGTCATCATTGCAGTGGAATACATTTTGGCTGCCTAGGTTAGATAAATTGTTTAACTGTGTGCAATGTCCAGAGATTATAATTTCTGCTATATGGAGGGCTGCTGGGAACCAGAGGGTATGATTGATTCGAACTTTATTTCAGAGACTTTGGTTCCAAGTTCCAATCCTCAACCCTCCTGGCCACCCACAAAGAGTCAAGAAAATATCCAAGCATATTTCCAACATTTATTGGAAACATTTATTTTAAATATATTTATAATAGCCAAAAATTGGAAACAATCCAAATGTTCATCAGCAAGAGAATAAATTTCGTATATTTATACAATGGAATATGACACAGAAATTAAAAATAATAAACTGCTAAGAAACACAATAACATGGATAAATCACACAGACATTGTTCTCACAGCTGAACACAGTAAGCCAGGTTCAAAAGACTACATAATGTATGAGGGTATAATTCAGGACAGTGGCTACTTCTGGGAGATGTTAACTGGGAAGAGGCAAAAGGAACTCTTCTGGGGAGCTGGAAATGCTTTATGTCTTGTCTGGTTGATGATTTTAGACGTAAAAATTAATTGAGCTGTACATTTAAAATTAGTGCACTTTACAAAGTTTGCTGCATGCATTATACCTTAATTAAAAATTTTTTAAAGCATAAGATGCATCTTAATGCTAGTTTCAAGTGAGATTTCTCACCCTTTTAAACTCATCTGTGTGTGAACACAGCTTCTCTTTTACTTGCGGGTGGCCCCAAGTGGATGGTGGGAACAATGCAGAATAAGAAAACTTTTTCTCGTCTTGTCCCTCAATTTCTTATTCTCTCTTCTCTCAGTATTTCTAGCTTCTTTTAAAGCACCAAATGATTATTCTGTGATCGTTAATCAGATCGCCCCACTGCCTGATTTATCTGACAAAACAGTTATTTCTAAACACCTAAACTCAATCTATCCCTTTCCGATGCTAGCCCATTACTCCTCCTCTCCGCACCACTGTCCTGCATACAAGATAAATCGCTCTCAGCTCAGGGCTGAATGCAGTTTCCATCTAGAAGCCAATTAGGGAATTGCATTTGTTTAGTCTCCCAACAACCCAGATCAATGGCAGACCCTTTGATGACTTGTGAAATAACCCAAGTAATGGGCTTGACAATGTTGCCTCAGGAAAGATTTTCAGCTGAAGTTGAGAGAAGCAGTAAAAGTCTCCTTTTATTCACCACCAAGCTCTATCCCTCTTGACTTTATTCAAACCTTGCTTCATCTTAGGCTTTTCTGGAAGAGATATTCTGGGTTTCACTCTTAAAATCTGCCAGCTAAAACAGAGGGAAGGCCCACCTGATTAGCTGCCTCTATAATGGATTTCATTAATTCGCTCACTTAATCGTTCACTAAAAAATCACCTATAGAGCACCCGTTATGCTCAGCAGACAGCAGAAAACAAAACCGAGTCTCTGACCTCATGGAACATATATTCTAGCTGGAGAGACATAAAATAAATGAGGTAATTTTACAGAATAACAAATTACATGAGTAAATAAAATGAGAAAGTATGAACAAGAATGCCCAGGAAAGTAGAGACACTTTATATAGGACTGCCAGAGAAGCCCTCTTTGAGGATGCAACACTTGCGCAGAGACCTGAATAATGAGACACAGTCAGTTATGCACATGCTGGGAAAATCATCCCAAGCAAAAGAATAATCACTTTCAGGGGTCCAAACTCTCTGTGTGAGTTCTAGAAACAGAGGGAAGGGGAAACCATAAAGCAAACCCTAACTTTGTCCTACCGCCTGGTCTCTCTACAAGGACTGCCTCCTCCTTTGCTATTCAGCAGGGGCCCTTCCTAGTGCCATGGCACTGGCTCTTTCTGAAAAAATGCCAACGAAAATATCGGCAACCACCATGATTCATTTTCCAAAGTACTGTTGGGGTAACCCAACTCCCTTGTTCCAACTGAGGCTGAACTGAGATTCCTGAAGCTCTGGGAGACCAACAGCAAGACTCCAATTAGGCCTGACCATGTTCAACATAAAAAGAGCTGTCCCTGGGAAGAAGGTGCTGATGGAGACAAGCTCCAAGGCTGCAGCAAAGACAGCAGTGCAGATCGATAAACACAGCACAAATTAGGATTTCATTTTCAATTCTTTTGTCAAGACTAATTGCATGCTCACTTCGAGTAAGATGCCCTTTCTGTTCAGAAGCATTACTGTCCAGGAGAAGGTAACACGCTGGGGCTTCGAATTGGCATTTCACATAATGAGGATTTCGCAGTTCAAACAATCACTAGATATTTTATTCTGGAAATCGAAGCTGTTAGTCAACTAAAAGTCCTCATCCTGAGCTGTGAACATGGGCAGACATTAAGCAAGCATTCGGTGACATCACTCATTCCATTTCTGTCTTTTCTTCCCAGTTCTCAGGCACCACAGATGATAACAGCCACTGGATCCCTCAAGCACATGGAAATTCCCAGAACTTCACAGATGCTCACAGATGCATCCCATGATCTTGACCTTTGAGTAATGGGATAAGCAGGTACAAAGGAGACAGAAGGGCCAGGCTGGGTGCTTAGAGAATTCCAGGAAGAGAAAGAGGCACTAGAAGTCATGGCAGGCAGCATAGAGCAGTGGGTAAGTGTACAGACCTGAGGACCAGATTCGATTTCCACCGCTCAAGAGCCACTTGGCCTTACTTAAGTCACATTGTATCTCTAAGTCAGCTTCCTGATCTGTGAATAAGCCAGACACAGAAAGAAACATACTGCTTGATCTCACTTATATTATGGAATTTCAAGAAGTCAAACTCACAGAAACAAAGAGCAGACAGTGGTTACCAGGGACTGAAGGGTGGGGAAAATAGGGAGAAGTTGGTCAAATGGCATAAACCATCAGTTATGAGAATAATGGTGACTATAGTTAATAATATTGCATGGTCTACTTGAGATTTAAGAGAGATCTTAAGTGTCTCTCCACAAAAAAAGTAACTAAATGGTTTACTTCACTTAGCAGTCTTTTTGGGGTTCATCCGTGTTATCACACGTGGCAGGATTTCCTTCTTGTGTGGCTGAATAATATTCCATCATATATAAATACCACATTCCCTATATCCATTCACCCATTGCTAGACACTTAGGTTGTTGATTCCATAACGTGGCCATAGTGAATGATGCTGCAATAGCCATGGGAGTGCAGATATATCTTTGATTTTTTTCTTTTGGGTGTATACCCAGAAGTGGGATTGCAGATCATATGGTAGTTCTATTTTTTAGGACCTTCCATACTGTTTTCCATAATAGCTGTACAAATGTACATTCCCATGATCAGTGCGCAAGCGTCCCCTTTTCTCCATGTGCTTGCCCCACATCCTTCTTATCTTTTGTCTTTTTGGTAACAGCCAACTCACCAAGTGTGAGGTGATATTTCATTATGGTTTTTGATTTGCTTTTCCCTGATGGTTAATGATATTGGGTACCTTTTCTTGTACTTGTTGGCCACTTGCATGTCTTCCTTAGAAAAATGTCTGTTGAGGTCATTTGCCCATTTTTAAATCAGATTTGTTTGGTTGGTAGATTGCTATTGAGTTGTATGTGTTTCCAACATATTTTGGATATTAACCCTTTATCAAACATATGTTTTACTTTTGTCTCTCAGATGAGGCATCCAGGCTAGCTGTGTGGCAGAGCCTAGCTGTGTCAGCAGGTATTGAAGCCTCAGGGATGAATGAGAGAAACTGGTAAAAGAATGGAGAAGAAGAGATGAGAGAAACAAGCCAGGACTTAATTCAGAGAAATTCAACATTAGAGGTTCGATTTGATATTTAATGAATATTGCTTGTGTGCAAAGCTTAAATGTCACTGTACAAATTATTTTATCACAACTATTTCATGCATCTTGCTATTTAAACTGTCCAACATTTTTTGGCTACAAATATATTTAAACATGAATGTCTGAATATCTGAAATATCTAGATAACTTCTGGCATCCACACCTTTCATAATGACCATGAATTCTCTTACACTCTTCCAGGAAGTAGCAAACAGATGTGTTGCTCAGTGTGACACAAGAGACCATAGGAATGAGGCTGAGAGGAAGGTCTCTGCCTCCATCCTGAGAGGTATCATTTTCAGAGGGACCCCACTGACCAGATGGTGCGATGTTCTTCTCTGTCTAAATGGACACCCCAGGTATGCAGCTCAGTTTGATAAACCTTGAAACCTAGTACAGGTCAGAGCCTGTGGCTCTCCCCTCATTTACTGCTCCCCTCACCACCAAGTCCCTGCCTGTCTCAGATGCTCACACCATCTGGTTTCTGGAGGTTCCTGTAAGGAAGGCCATCTGCTTCTTGTTACCATGTCATTAGAACAATTATGACAAAGGTGAAACATGAACTTGCATGAATCAGGCCTCTCTGGCTCGGCTTCCCCATGGAGAAATATGTACTGACTTTATGGTAATTTTTCATGGCAAACCTCTATCTCCAAGCTCCTAACTCTGGAAAACAGCTGGAAAATAACTAAGAAACTTCAAAAATTCAATAAATGTCAGAGTTGGACCTAGAGCAGGAGTGACAGGGAGCTACATGGGATCAAAGAGGTTCGTGTTACCCATTCATAGCCTAGAATGAGGCAATCAACTAAAAAAAATAGAATTGCAAATGGAAGACTTTTAAGTATCAATTAGGCAGGGATTTGAGATTAAGCATATTATCTAGGGCTGGGCAAGGTGGCTCATGCCTGTAATCCCAGCACTTTGAGGGGCCAAAGCAGGAAGATCCCTTGAGCCCAGGGTTCAAGATCAGCCTGGGCAACATAGTAAGACCCCATCTCTACAATAATAATATTGTAGAGATAGTAAAACCCCATCTCTACAGCTAATAATGATAATAATAATAATAATAATAATAAATTAGACAGGCATGGTGGTGCATGCCTGTATCCAAGCCACTGGAAAGGCTGAGGTGGGAGGGTCTCTTGAGCACAGGAGTTTAAGGCTGCAGTGAACTGTGATTGTGCCACTGCCCTCCAGCCTGGGCAACAGAGTGAAACTCTGTCTCAGCAAAACAAAACAAAACATTTAATGTCATTAATCCTAAAATTCAGAGACCGCCAACACTCAAATAAAGTTGGGCTCACATGCAAAGACCAACTCTCCAAGAACTGGGCGTAAGATGCATGGAGGAGCCACCCTCCCTGCCCATCTCTCCTGGAACCAGCAGTTTGGAATACAGAAGGGGAAATGCTAGAATAGACAGCTCACCTTTATTTCTTACATACTTATGATTTACAAGACTTCTCTGACCATTCAAGAGGCCTCAGTGCCTTCATTCTACATTGGAGTAGAATAATACGCAAAGAGATTTGCACAAACACTTTGCTAGCATTGCAGCCCTTACTCCCCCATCAATTTAGTTTGAGACCAAATACTAAAATACCCCAGCACCCAGTAGCAACCTGCTTGCCAGCAGAGAAAGATTTGATACAAGGTGTTTTCTTTTATAAGAGATGGTTAATCAAATCAGGCCTGAATTATCTAGATTTCATGCATTTTAGCATAAAATTAATTAGTTTGGAGAATTACGCAGTAGATAAACACACCAAACAGCTAGGCCTCCTTAATTGCATGTTTACATTTTTACATCCAGCTTTTTTCATTATCCCAAGGAGCTGCCTGTAGCATGACATTCCCATTAAGGAGGAGGAATCCACAAAATAATTTCATTTTTCTGTCTGCAGAGCTCCTGATAAACTGACAGTGGCTTCCAAGCTCTCCAAATACATTTTATTTTCATTAAATGGCTAATCTAAAACCAATCAACCAAGACATATATAGAATGTCTGCACAGAATAAGAATGTGTAGCTTCTCCAGAAAGCATGTTAAAACAAATCCACAGCAATTATTCAGGCAGACAGTACCTGATAAAGGGAATCTGACTGCTGCAGTAGACACCACAGCATGGGTATAGTAATGATGGACAGACTGTAAGTTGGGACCTGTCTCACCAATATGGCGGCATTAGAAACGCAGGTGTTGTGCTTACATTGAATTACTCAGTGCAAACAGTCCACATATGGAGAAGATTCACAGTCCTGGAAGTATGAATCAAACCTCATCACCTAACACAGGCCAGCTACTGCTGTTCCTGAATGAACCCAGGCTAAATCTATGGAAGAAATTAGTAACGAGAAGTGAGACATCAAACTGGGTATTGGTGGTGTGAATTGGTAATTGGTTATATCAACACAAAGACCACATGAACAACCACGCTTAGTGACAAGTTTCCAATGATAACTGTTGTCGGCCATCATTTACAAACGGAATTAGATTGTTCCCTTTGACGCGCAAGTGAAACTCTTTGCTGTCAGGGGCTGTGTGCTAGTGAATGGACCTAGCACCCTGACATGGCAGAAGCAAGCACAGGGGGCAAAGTGACCCCATTTCCCACCTAACCGGGCAGCTGTGTTCTGCTTCTCTCAGCTGTGCCCAGTATGAGACCCAGAATTTCTGGAAATGCACTTGTATTTGTGCCAGGAATGGAGGCATTTACTCCATTTCCAAAATTTCTTAGCCCTGAGTAAAAATACATCTACAAAGTCAACCCCATCCACCCTTTTCATGACTGTGTTAACCAAACAGGCACATTTATGGAGCACTTATTCTCTCTGGGAGTCAGTTGTCACTGGGAAGATCACCCAAGAAGAAGGACGAAGGAAGGGCCTGCCTCCCTCATCACGCTGACAGGCCTACACACCTTTCTACTTGGCTTGAGACCCAGCCAACTTCTTTGCTCTTCCTGGCTGTTTTCAGATACAATAAAATCAAAAGAAACCTCAGTGGAACAATTAACTCTCTGGATATATGAAATGCCCTAGGGGAAGCCAGATTTTATATACAAGTCTTCTCTGCATAGGTTGCACTCTCCTGGATTTTGTGCTTCAGTATTTGGAAGGAATTATTTATGCTCTGACATGAAGCTAATGCATGTTATAAACAAAATCTGAATGCACTTTTCTTCCTGTTGTTGGTAGCCTGTGCACCTCCCAGGAGCCCAGGAAGCCTCTTGGCTGAGCTAAGGACAGGCAGGCCTGTGGATGAAACAAGTGGCACACTCACTCCGTGGGGTCTTCTTGTCCCTGTATCACCTGAGATGCCCTGGTTTGAGACATGTGAGATGTTAGCTGACTTATATGTCAGCTTTTGCTGCCTAACAAAGTGGCCTCAAACTTACTGGCTTAAAAGCAACACGCCTTTATTATTTCTCATGACTCTGTGGTCAGCTGGATGGTTCTGGTCCAGATTAGGTTGGCTGATCTCTGCGGGACAATCTCATTGGCAGTGGGTCCATAACAGCTGGATGGTTTAGGATGGCCTCACACAGACAATTGGCAGGCTGGAGGCCAGTTCCCCTCCTTGTGGCCTCTTGTCCTCAACAGACGAGCTCAGGCTCATTCACGCAGTGACCTCAGGGTTCTAACAGCAGCAAGAGAGCGAGCTGCAATGACAAGTGCTTCTCAAGTCTCTGCTTGTGTCATTTTCGGCTGATATCCTATGGCCAACAACAAGCTACGTAATTTGTGACCATTTTTGTGATTTACCATAGACAATTCTAAGATCACCTGCTTAGAATTTAAAGAGAATCGGCTAATTTAAACATGAAATATTAAAACTATATAAGCCAGACATAGAAAAGACTGGCCCAGTCTATGTCTTAGGCTGGGTTTCCCCAGAAGCAGACTCTGAGTCAACGACCTTTGTGCAAATCATTTTCCTGAAAGGAGACCCCAGAAAGTAACTGTAGGGAAGAAGGGAAATGGAGGAGTAGAAGGGGGAAAGTATGCCGGTGATCAGGTTGTTACTGCAGAAAGTGGCTCAGTCCCACTGGGGACCTCTGGGAGGTGACACAGAAAGACACCTTAAAATTCTCCAACCCAGGAGTCCAAGAGAGCTGGGTATCAGTCCACCACCTCCTGTCCATCACTAGTTGAGGGGTGTTCCAGGGCCATGACTCCCCAGAACCTCTGTCCAGGCTGCACATGGCCCAAGCACTGTAGTGGCCAGAGAAAGCCCTCAGGCAGGAGGTACAGGTGAGACACTGACAGCATCTGCCACAGTGGAATGACCTGGACAAGGCCACCTGGGCCCACACCCAGCTTCGGTCATTACGGTGTGACCTCTAACAAGTTTCTTTATCTCTCTGTGCCTGTTTCCTCATAATAGTATTTATCTCATAAAATTGTTAAGACAATTAAATAGATGTTATTCACTTTTTTAAATATCATGATGTCAACACCCACCAGGGTCTGCTCTCCTGGAACAGACCCAGGTTTCTGGAAACTACTTCAGGAGCCCAAAGGAAAAAAAATCCAAAGGTGCTTTTGCTCTCAGAGCTGAAAGAATTTAACTCTTGATTACAGGAACTGTCAGGATTTTTATTAATAAGTATTCTGCAGTGGTGAGAGACAAATCACAGAGCATAGGTAAATAAGTAGGGGAGAAAGCCTAAAGCCAGGGGAAAACCTAAAGTTAGATTGCAGTGGAAATCCTCATCTCAGCACGCCTCCCACACCAGGCACCTTAGCAAATGCTGCATCAGAGCAGAGTGCTACCAGGGAGAGGCAGCCACCTGTGCCCCATCCCCAGCCCATCGTAACTTACCCAGCTTTACCCCTTCTTTCCTTGGTCTCCTCCAGAAAAGTCCTTCTGGGAGATGGATCCATTATCACCCAAGCATCTCAGCACTTCACCCGTTAGCAGCTGAAGCCCCAGAAGCTCTCCACATGCTGTTCAGATTAACTTGGGTTTGCAGGAATTTGTTTGGGATGGATGAGTCTGCAAAACAATCAGCATCAGTCCTGAAATTGGAAGCATGATGGACTGTGAGGAAAACCTGTTTCCAGGGCTTCGCTACTGAAGCCTTTCCTGCTTTCTCCCCACCTCCTCAGCTCCCTGCCGGCCTTTGTAGGGTCAGAAACCCTGAGCCTGGCACACCCCATGGACTCTCTCTTTTCTAGCAACAGTAATCACTAGGATTTAATGAGCACTTTCCTTGTGCGGACCCCTGTGCTGAATGCCCATGTGGTTGTTGGCACTATGGTCTCACTTTACAGATGAGGACTCTGAGGCACAACCAATCAAAGCAGGCAGAAAGTAAAGAGTCAAACCCAGGCAGACAAAAGTCCTGTTGCCACCTCTGCACGATCTGACTGCATTGCACCTTTTTCCATATTAGTGTGTCTGTGCACCTTCCTCATCCCCCTGGCTAGGCTGTAAGTTGCTTCAGGGCAGAGTCCTTGGAATTCTTACGTGTGAGGGACTCAGTGAAATAATTTCATTAAATTAAATCCAGCCTCTTTTACCAAATGAAGGCATCTCTTTTCTGTCATCATTTATTTCTTGCTTGAGTAAAGATAGACTGTCCTGTTGGTAAGCAGACCTCATTGCTGGGAGTTCTCCTATATTCTTAGCTGACAGCCACTCCTCTGGCTCAGAATGATTCCCTCTTCCATGTGATAGGCCTTCCAGTATGAGAAGACAGCAGTCATGGCATCTCATGGTCTTTTCTCCTCTGTTTCAGACACTCTCCTTCTGCCATGAAACGCAGGTCTCCTCTGCCCTGGGCCACTTGTCTCTGAACATCATCCCTATGACCAATGTGACCTTTTCAAAGCTGGGTGCTCAGACCTGGATAAGCCAAATGTGGCTGCCCAGGGCATAAAGTGGTGTCTTGCCAACAGCTCTACCAACATGACTGGCCCTCAAAATATTTTTTGTAGAGTAATAGCCGAATGTGTTGAGTAACTGGGCAAATGACAAGCATGACCTGAACCTCATCATTAACTTTCTGAGATTATGTCCTTATTTGAAAAATGGAGGTGATAATCTCAGTCTTTCCCACTTCAAAGGTTGGCGAAGAGGAACAAATAAAACAGCACATATGGGAATTGCAAAACATAATTAGAAGTCATGTGATGTATCAATTTAATCTCTTCACTATCACAGCCAGGGGAGGACCAAACTTGCCAACCGCTTGAGGGGAAAAAGAAGGTAGGTCCATTCTCTAGCAACAACAACAAAAAAATCTATGATTCAATCGAGACCTAAAGACCTGACAAGCAGTTGGTGGAACCAACAGGGAGCTCATCCTCTATGCCTACAGTTGACATCAGTCGTTTTGGCTGCCCATTATCCTTCCATCCTTCTTTTGGTAAAACAGTGTCTCAGCAATTTTCTGGGTAACCAGCCGTCCCTCACTTTCACACCAAGTTAATGGAAAGGGACTAACTCCATGCCCCAGCCCCAGGGGTGGGCTCTGATTGGCTTTCACCGAATAGCATATTCCACCTTCTTGGTCACAGAGATTGGTTCGTGGATGAACATTTCCACTGACATCTCAGGCCAGTAAAAATCCAGCTGAAAACTTCTTTTCAACAATTGAAAATAGTAACCCTCTCTCTTCTGCTGCATGTGCACAAGGAAGGCTGTAGCCCCTGAAGTACCGATAGCCACCTTGAGACTGAAGAAAGAGCCTGCCAAAGAAATGAGCAAACATTCCTGAAGGTGAGTCAAGAAATAGATAAAGAAAGTAAAACCTGGGTATAGTGTTTGAAGCTGGATCAAGCTGTACCTGAAGTGAGACAAGCCCTGTATTTTTCAATTACAGGAGCCAACGAATTCTCTGTACCGTTTTACCAACTTAGGTCAGATTTTATGTCACCTGATATCAAAAGGATTCTTCTGGGTAAAGTCCTCTCTGTCACTTCCTACGTTTTCTCTGTTTCCTTGTATAACTTCAAGTATTATAATGCAGGAAACAGCCATTCAGCCATCTCCAAACAGTGAGAAAGACTCCATGAACCTGGTGCAAACCATAGAGTGCCCTTTCTGAGAAAATGGAGATGGTAGAATCTGCCTTATAGAGCTGTTTTGAGGATTAAAGAAGGTAATGTGTGTAAGTTGCTTTGCACATTGCACAGCACATGTTAAGTATGCAGCCTATTTTTCTTTTATTATCCAAAGGCACTCTTCTACTGTGTCCCCAGCCCTTCACAAAAGCTTCTAACTTTAATCACAAGAGTCATGGATGCACAAACACGCTAAGTTACAAGTGTAAAATGAGAATTAAAGTCGGACCACAAAGAAGCAACCTGCAGGGAGGGGCCAATGAGGAAAGGCCCCTGAGCCCCTGTGAGTGTCAGTCCTGGCTCCTTGAAGCTGGTCCAATCTCCATAAAGGCTGCCATGCACCATGGAACAGCTGCTTTTGAGGATGTGTTAGGGTTTCCCAGAGAAGCAAAACCAATACGCACACACAAACACACACACTCACTTACACACAAGTGTAAGATGAGAATTAACATCTGACCACACACACACACACACACATTAATTGGCTCACAAGATCATGGAGACTGGGAAGTCCCATGACATGCTGTCACAAGCTTGGGAGCCAGGAAATCTGGGGTGTCATTCAGTCCAAGTTTGAAGACCTGAGAACCAGGGGGGCCGATGGTGTAATGTCTGAGCACAGGGCAAGATGAGATAAGACATCCCAGCTCAACAGTGAAGCAGAAAAATAAATGTACTTCACTAAGTCCACCAACTCCAACCCCCCACAGACACACCAAAAATAATGTTTAACCAGACATCTAGGCATCCCCAGATCCAGTCAGATTGACACATAAAATTATCACAGGCAGTCTTTGAAAGACTCGGCAAATTTCCAGAATTTTGGTTTTACCAGCTTCAAACAGAGAGAGTAAAATCTTCCTCATCAGAGTGCCCTGGAATGGAGGAGCCTGTGCACCCCTGGGCCAAGAAACTAACACCCATCTGCCCATCCTTCTTTTACACTAGCTCCACCCCAACCTAGGAGATGCTCCAAGTCTAAAGATGTCTTCATCATACTTCCTCCCCATCCCAAGAGTCCTCCTTTTCTCCAGAGGCTGCTTCTGGTACCCAGACAGACAGTAATAGCCCCTGCATGGATGACGGACATATCACTAGATACCCCCCTGGCAGAGTGCATTTATAGAGGTGTCTAACCCTCCTCTTAGGTACAGAGAGCCATATCCTTTATGCATTTGTAAAAATGTTCAACATCGTAGGTACTTAAATGATAAATTTTAAATGTATCTTAACATCCTCAAGTCACCATAGTTTCAGGGTCTCAGCAAATTCTCTATCATCATCATCAATAAAGCCACATGCATCGGGTTTCCCAGAACTGCTTCTCAGTTTCCAAAAACTGCTTTTTTCCAGCTCTGTCTGAAAACATCTCCTTTAGTTTTCACTTGCTTTAACCTGCTATGCAAAAGGTATAGATTTACTTAACCAATTTACTTAAATACTTGACCAAATCTAACTTTTACTCTCCTACAAAAGATGTTCAGATTTGTCATTTCATTTACATCTTTTCTGGGTCCTTAGAAAATAGGGTCACATTCAGTAATGAAATTTGTTTTCTCTATCTATGGAAATTTGCTCCTGAAGTCTGCAGCCAAAGGTGTAGGAGACAGGGAGAAAAAAAAAAAAAGGAGAAGAAAGGAAGAAAAAGAGGAGAGGAATACAGAGAAATTATTTTCTTGAACACTATTGTTTGATGAAAGGTTTATAAATGCGCATAATTTTTGAGACTATATTTTATCAGACACACTCTTACATAGTCAATTGTAACAATTTAAATGTTGCTTGCTTTCATGGGGACAAATAATAAATTTAACAATTTAAAAAGTTATCAAGCAAGAGGATAACAATGCAGATAAGGCCGGGCATGGTGGCTCATGCCTGTAATCCTAACACTTTGGGAGGCTGAGGCGGGTGGATCACCTGAGGGCAGGAGTTCAAGACCAGCCTGACCAATGTGATGAAACCCCGTCTCTACTAAAAGTACAAAAATTACCCAGATGTGGTGACAGATGTCTGTAATCCCAGCTACTTGGGAGGCTGAAGCAGGAGAATCGCTTGAACCTTGGAGGCAGAGGTTGCAGTGAGCCGAGATGGCACCATTGCACTCCAGCCTTGGCGACAGAGCGAGACTCCGTCTCAAATAAATAAATAAATAACGAAGATAAAAGAACATATTCTGGAATGTCATTATCCAGTGACTTCAATCTCAGAAATTTCACCGTTAGGCAAATTGAGTAGCAGATTTTTAGGTCTTAATGGAAAAAAAAAGAGAAAAAATTTGCTACTTTTGGGGGACTATGCTTCTACCCGTCCATGCACTACTTACCTTCCAAGACCTGAAATTTAGACCCACATGACCAACCCAATGGTCCACACTTGCCTTGAGCTCAAGGTTCTCCTGGTGAAAGAAACTTCTTATAGAAATATGTAATTGAGGTAAAGCAAAGAAGCCTTACTCTTTACAGGGACTGGTTCTCAGCTCTTGAAAGCAAATGTCCAAGGGCCTCCCCATTTCCAAGCTGGGGTTGGCAGGGACAGGCCCACAGCCAGTGCAGCCTGATGAGCCCACTCTATAGCACCAGCCACCTGGAAACTCCCCACAGAGGATTCACTTTCCAACCTCATTGTACAGTGAAGACATCTGTGCACTCAGAGCATCTGAAGGCAAGCCTGATAAGCATTTGTGGATTTTGTGGGTTTTTTTGGGCTTTTTTGTTTGTTTGTTTGTTTGTTTGTTTGTTGTGAGACAGAGTTTTGCTTTTGTTGCCCAGGCTGGGGTGCAATGGCATGATCTCAGCTCACCACAACCTCCACCTCCCGAGTTCAAGCGATTCTTCGGCCTCAGCCTCCCGAGTAGCTGGGATTACAGGCATGCACCACCACACCCAGCTAACTTTGTATTTTTAGTAGAGACGGGGTTTCTCCATGTTGGTCAGGCTGGTGTCGAACTCCCGACCTTAGGTGATCCGCCCGCCTCAGCCTCCCAAAGTGCTGGGATTACAGGCGTGAGCCACCATGCTCAGCCTGCATTTTGTTTTTTAACGAAAAGTTTTGGATTGTTTGTGTTTTGTTTTTTAAGCAACTCAGGATGAGAAAGTTCCAACTCTATTTTAAGCCTTTAAATACCTCTTAACTAAAGAATGAAGTAAATGGAAACCACAGGCACCTGTTAACAGCCCAACGATCAGCTATTTTGTATTACCCGAAGCCAGAAACAGCAGGCAGATGGGGAAACCAAGGTGTACAGCAAGGTGCAGGGAATTGTTTAGGTTCCCAAAATTGTGGCTGGCATCAGCAGGATTGGAATCTAGGTCCACGACTTCTACCCTGAGAGACAAGAGCAGGCAGGCAGTGTGGCACCATGAAGAGAGCTGGATTCTAAAGAGGCAGTCAGTAAAAATCCAGCACAGGGCAGCCAATGTCACCAGAAATGCAATCTCCTCTTTAGAAGAGGCACGAGCTCCCTGCTGTCACAGAGAGCATTTTCCATCCAATAAGCAGTTATGGAGCTGCATTTATTCCCTTGTGGAAACACATAAGGAAGAACATCCTATTGTGAGCTTACAGATGCCAGGACCCAAGCCAACTTTATGAACAATGACAGCTCATGGCATGTGAATATTGGTGCATGTTCCAGGAAGGAGACAAATGCTATGGTTTCTCTGGAAAAAGAAAACATGGCAGCATTCCACAGAGAAAAAACAATAATGACAAATACCCTGTCCAAAGTATTACAGTTATGGTCATTTCAATGGCATAGTATTGACATTGAAATCAATAAAAGAAATCAGTTGAATACAATTAGGAATCCAGAAACAGACCTGTGTGGAATTTAGAGTGTGACAAACATGACATTTTGAATTGGTGGCAAGAAAGAGTAAATTCACATGACAATATTCTATCCACTTTGGAAAAGTTAAATTAGATCAATTAGATTATATACCCAACACCATGAACAAAAATATTCTCTGGATGGCTTAATGAACTAAATGCACAAAAACCATATAAGTAATAGAAGAAACTATTTTTTAAATATTTTGTAATCATTTATGTTGGTGTAGGGAAAGGCATGGCATGAAAGCCAG
Organism: Homo sapiens; assembly: GCF_000001405.40. Taxonomy (NCBI): domain Eukaryota; kingdom Metazoa; phylum Chordata; class Mammalia; order Primates; family Hominidae; genus Homo; species Homo sapiens. The sequence continues at coordinate 28,258,103 of NC_000019.10, forward strand.
AAGCCATAATAGGACAAAACAGAGTGTTTATTTACACTTTTTAATCTTGCATATAGCAAGTATATTAATAGAAGTCAGCTTTTTTTTTTTTTTTTTTTTTTTTTTTTTGAGAAGGAGTCTCACTCTTTCGCCCAGGCTGGAGTGCAGTGGCGCAATCTCGGCTCACTGCAAGCTCCACCTCCCGGGTTCATGCCATTCTCCTGCCTCAGCCTTCCGAGTAGCTGGGACTACAGGTGCCCGCCACCATGCCTGGCTAATTTTTTGTATTTTTAGTAGAGACGGGGTTTCACCGTGTTAGCCAGGATGATCTTGATCTCCTGACCTCCCCCACCTCGGCCTCCCAAAGTGCTGGCATTACAGGCGTGAGCCACTGCTCCCAGCTGAAGTCAGCTCTTACTATTGGTATTAAATTCTGAAAACAAGTCTGTTTGGAACAGGCTCACTGATATCCAATAGCTGCTGTTACTGATGAAGGATCTGAGGCTTGGAGAGACTGGTGTCTCAGCCAGGGCATTTCAGGAGAAGGCAGGCAGGCAGGAAAGAACCCAGGCTCTGCTCCCTCACTCCTCCACTCCTCTTGGTCAAAATAACTCTGAAGTTAGGGTTAAATAGTAGGGATGAAGGCTCGTGTTTCACTCTGTACTTTTCAAAGCAGTTTCTCTCCCATTACCTCACTTGGTCAGCAGAACAGCCTGTGCAATGGGAGAGCAGGGTAGCTTCGATCATCTCCATTTCTCAGACAAAGAAATTGAGGTATGACAGTGAGTGGCTGGCCCTGGTCACAAGCTCCTGGAGCAGGGGTGTGGCTGGACTCCACAGCCCTCTGTTCCTGGTCAGAAGTGTTCTTCTTTCCATCCTGCTGTCTCTTGGGATGCTCGCCAATGTTTTGGTGCCTTCAGCAGTGAACAGCAAAATGCTTACCGTTCCCAGACATTTCAAAGTAAACTTGTCCATCTGACAGGAGAATAAGAATCAAAGCCTCCTTGGAGGAAATCCAGATGGCAAGCTTCTTACCTCCACCTTTCAGCTCTCCACTTAATTCTGTGGATGGTGCTGCCAATAAGCCAGGCTTCATTTAACTGTCAAAAGGACAATGTTTCAGCAGCGTTCCTGGGAATAGGTGGGAGGGAGGAGAGGGCTCTGGGCCGTGGGTGGGAGCAAAAAGAATGCAGGACCCCACATCCGTGCTCACTGTTCATCTGCATCTCAACCCGTTTCATTCCCTGGTATTTTCTCTTCCTGTATTCATTCCTGCCATGATGCATGCATACATTCTAACAGGCATAAATGTAACAACCCAGTCAACTGTGTATATAGATTCCCCGTGAGGGTACAGGCAGCTCGGCTTAGTTTGTGATCATTTTTATTTCATTGAAAGCCTCAGAGTGTCATCAGGTACTGTTAATTTAACTGCTCTATGGAATAGACCCAGTTTATTGGAGATAATGGGGAGAGACAGTCTCAGAAAATTCAACACTGCAGAGGGCCCTTTCCTCTGGAGTAATGATCGGACACAGTGTCAGGACGTGGCCTCCTATAATGCACCGCAATCGCAATGTAATGATGCCTTATGAACTTTAAAGTTATTTCCTTCCGTGGAGCCTGCCCTTGGTGCTTTCTGAAGGTGCTTGATCATGAGAGAGAAGAGTGATTCACTACCGGCTTTTGTAAAACTTGTGAGATGGCTGAGCCAGAGCCCTCTGGCCACAGAGCTAGAAAGGCCAGGCCCAAGGTGGGGCTACACAGAGGCCACCAACTCAAGTCCCAGGTCATACAGGTTGCTGTCAGACCCCAATCTGCCACTGATGTTGGTCAAGTGTCATAACTGTGCTGAGACAATTCACTTGCAAATAGGGACAAATCAAAGTAACTACCTCCTTGAGTTGTGGGAGGATTGAGTAAGAAAGTGCTTATGGCACATAAGAAGTATTCAGTAAGTATTGAGCATTACATTATCAATATTTACTCTCTATTTTTTTAAATAATTTCAACTTCTATTTTAGATTTAGGGCTTACATATGCAGATTTATTACAAACTATGCATCCAACAATGGTCTAATATCCAGGCTCTATCAGGAACTTAACTCCACAAGCAAAAACCAAATAACCCCAATAAAAAGTAGGCAAAGGACATGAACAGATATTTCTCAAAAAGAAGACATGCAAGTGGCCAAGAAACATTTAAAAATGCTCAACATCACTAATCATCAGATAAATGCAAATCAAAACCACAATGAGATACCATCTCATACCAATCAGAGGTCTATTATTAAAAAGTCATACAATAACAGAAGCCAGCAAGGCTGTGGAGCAAAAGGATTGCTTATGCATTGTTGGTAAAAATGTAAATTATTTCAGTCCCTGCGAAAAACAATTTGGAGATTTCTCGAAGAATATAAAACAGAAATACCATTTGACCCAGCAATCTCATTACTAGGTATATGCCAAAGGACAATAAATCATTTTACTTTCTATGTTTTAGACTGCAAATGTCAGCATACTTGACTGGTTAAAAAGAAAAGACAGTTAATTCACATGCCATATTCTTCCTCCATGGTGAAACCATGGCTAATGCATTTCACCTTACAAGTTTTTATGGAAAGAGACATACATCTGAACATTTGTACAATATTTTTTTTCACTTAACCAGACAGCGCAATGAAATATTTGAGAATGTTTCATGCTAACTGTTCATAAATCAGATCCGCACACTTTTTTTGTGATTTTACTTCACTGTTTTTGCCTTGTCTGTGCAATGCACATCACACTCGGGGCCATTGTTCCCCTGCCTCTTTTGCAGGTTTACATGTGGCCTGGAACATCTTCCATGGGTTCCTCAAGAGCTCTCCCTCCTCTCCTCCCTGCTTTGATGTGCTGTAGGCTCCCAGCCTTCTGCTTCTCCAGCCAAAGAACACCGCTAAGAAGGAAACTGTGGCCCTGTAGGAGCCCTTGACTCCTTCACCGAGGCTGATGCATCCCTCATTAGGGGCCCTGCTCCTATTCAAGGAGATCTTCCCTACATCTTTCTTCTTCCAAGTTTCTATCCACTGCTGTCCCCTTCTCCCTTAGGCTCTGAGGGTGATAGGCACATAGCCATAGCAAGACTCAACAAAAAGAACAAATCTGGTAGCATCACATTACCCTACGTCAAACTATACTACAAGGTTATAGTCACCAAAACAGCATGGTACCGGCAGAAAGCAAAAAAAAATGCCCTTGAAATTTTTATTTTTTCTGTGGTTTTGTTTTATTATATAAGCATGAGCAAAATTATAATCAACTTATGTAATTTAGAAATGTTCAAGGGGTCTTTTAGTTCTATCATTTTATGAATTATTATTTAATATCTTGGTCTCACTATTTTAAAAAAATGCCATATGTATACAGTTTTAAAAACCTATATAATTGGCCAGGCAAGGTGGCTCATGCCTGTAATCCCAGCACTTTGAGCGGCCAAGGCAGGTGGATCACCTGAGGTCAGGAGTTCAAGACCAGCTCGGTCAACATGGCAAAACCCCGTCTCTATTAAAAACAAAAAATTGGCCAGGCATGGTGGCAGGCACCTGTAATCCCAGCTACTCAGGAGGCTGAGGCAGGGAGAATTGCTTGAACCTATGAGGTGGAGGTTGCAGTGAGTCAAGATCACGCCATTGCACTCCAGCCTGGGCGACAGAGCGAGACTCCATCTCAAAAAAAAAAAAAAATCTATATAATGAATCATCATAAAAGAAATGAAAAATACAGCTGAACAAGAAGAAAATTAAATCACTCACAATCATGCCACGTATGTATGATGTCTTTGAAATCAAACTGTCTATACTCACAAACTCATATTTCCTTTTCATTTATTTTAAAAAATTGTAAAAAACATTTTGTGGGTACATTTAGGTGCATATACTTATGGAGCACAAGAAATGTTTTGACACAGACATGCAAAGCAAAATAATTACATCATGGAGAATGGGGTATCTATCCCCTCAATCATTTGTTTTTGTGTGTGTGTTACAAGGAATCCAATTATAGTCTGTTATTTTTAAATGTACAATTAGATTATCACTGACTATAGTCACCCTGTTGTACTATTAAATAATAGATCTCACTCCTATAATTTTCATCCCTACTTCTCCTCCAAAATTGTTGTTCTCAAGCTTGCCACTGATTTTCACTCTAATAAAGGTAGACACAATTACTTAGATCTCATTTTATTTAACCTGTCAGCAATGTGTGACCCAGCTGAAAACCCTCTCCTCCATAATACTTTCTTCACTTGGCTCTCAGGGTCTCCTGGTTTTTCCTCCTGCTATCCCATCCATGTACCATCATCTATTTTGCTTGCTTCTTCTTGTCCCCAACCTGTCACACATTGAAGTGTTGCAGGACCCAGGCCAGGATCTTTCTCATGACTTTCAGCACCTTGTACATGCTAATGACTTCCCAACGTGTATTTCCAGTCCAGGTTTCTTTCTTGAGTTCCAGACATCTATATCAAACTGCCTACTTGATACCTCTTTTTACTTAGCTGCTGGGTATTGCAATGTTATCAGGTCCAAAATTGGGCTGCTGATGTTTTTTGTTTTGTTTTTGTTTGTGTGTTTGTTTGTTTTGTTTTTGTTGTTTCTGTTTGTTTTTGTTTTTGTTTTTTGTTTGTTTTGTGTTTGTTTTGTGTTTGTTTTTGTTTGTTTTTTGTTTGGTTGGTTGTTTTTTGTTTGTTTTGTTTGTGTGTTCGTTTTTTTGTGTGTTTTTTGTTTTGTTTGTTTTTTGTTTGTTTGTTTTTGAGACGGAGTCTCACCCTGTCACCCAGGCTGGAGTGCAGTGGCGCGATCTTGGCTCACTGCAAGCTCCGCTTCCCGGTTCACGCCATTCTTCTGTCTCAGCCTCCAGAGTAGCTGGGACTACAGATTCCCACCACCACGCCCGACTAATTTTTGTATTTTTAAGTAGAGACAGGGTTTCACCATGTTAGCCAGGATGGTCTTAGTCTCCTGACCTCGTGATCTGCCTGCCTCAGCCTCCCAAAGTCCTGGGATTACAGGCGTGAGCTATCGCACCTGGCCAATGTTTTTTTTTATACCTACTGCTCATGTAGTCTTCTTGCATTCATGGTAACTCTCCCAGCAGCTCTGCCTAAAGCCTTCAGGTCATCCTTGACTTCTTTCTCTCTGACACCTCACACCTAATTCATCAGCCAATAGGGTTAGGTCTACCTTCAAAATACAACCAGAAGCCAGTCAGATCTTCCAGGTCCCAGCCACCACCATCTGTTGCCTAGATGAGTGATGAGTGACTAGACTGCTAATTGGTCTTGTTTATTTTTAATCCTCTTCCCATTTATTCTTAAAAGAGGGTCCTATTAAAACATGCCAGATTGTGTCATTCCTCTGCTCAAAACCTTTTTATTATTATTATACTTTAAGTTCTAAGGTACAGGTGCACAGCGTGCAGGTTTGTTACATAGGTGTACATGTGCCATGTTGGTTTGCTGCACCCATCAACTCATCATTTACATTAGGTATTTCTCCTAATGCTATTCCTCCCCCAGTGACCCACCCCCTGACAGGCCCCGGTGTGTGATGTTCCCTGTCCTGTGTCCATGTGTTCTTGTTGTTCAACTCCATCGATTCCCATTTCAAATTTCTTTCTAATACCCAAAAGGCAGCACATGCTCTAACCTGTTTTCTCTTTGACTTAAACGTCTACTGTTCCGTTCCTTTTGCTCTAATCCAGCCACACTGAGCTTCTTGGAAACTTTAAAGCATGCTCAGCATGTTTCCCTTTGTACCTGGCAGCTCACTCTGTACGGAGGGCTTTTCCCGCAGATCTGCTCTCAGCTCGCTGCCTCCATTTCTTCAGTTCTTCGATGGAAAGTCACTTTCTCAGCAAGGCCATATCTGGCCATTCTAATATTTCCACCATCTCTCTCCTCCAACACACATTTCATTTTCCTGCTTTAATTTTTCTCCTTTAACATATACATTTTGTTTATGCTGTTTATTGTTATTGTATGTTCACTTCATTCTCATGATCAGGATTTTGTCTGTTCATTACCATATCCTTAGTGCAACTCAATACATATTTATTAAATAAGTGAATAGAGTTTACCGTGGTATATTATTTTAAACATAAATTCTCACTTAAGGAACAGTATGACATGGGCTAATTCTGACAATTTTACTTGGCATTATGCACATTTGTGGGATTATTTTAGTTATTTTTAATACTCTATTTTCTCTATATTTATATTCTTCCATTTAGGAAGGAAAGTCCAATATTGCGGTTAATATTTTTTCTTTTACTGGTTGTTATGATAGTTTTAATTATGGTAAAATGAGTCGAAGGAGTTGCAAACTTCATTTGTATTTTATTAGAAATAATAAAATATAAGGGTGATGAATGCAATAAATGTAAAATTTGTTTTCAAAAGATTATGAGCCTTCAATATCTGATATAAAAAGACACAGTTTGAATTTCTTGCTTTTCATAGTAAGAAAGCTATTCTTGTCAGGCACAGTCTCTTCTGGTTAAGCAGCTGCTGATGTTATACAGATTTGGGGGAAGAGTGGAATTAAAAGCTTGGCCAGCTCTCACAGGCGTCAGTGGGTTGATGCCACCTGCCTGGTGCAGCGTAATTATCTGAGGGAGACTGCTATGGAATGGTTGGCATTCCCAGGCATGCTGATTAAGGTGAGTTTGTCTCTGACTGGCTATCTTTCAGATGCAAGCAGCTGACATTGATTGGTTAGGGAAAGAGTCTAGTGGTCACTGATTATGTGTCTGGATTTAAAACGACTTCTGTGTGGCTGCTTGTTATTGGGGCTACAGATCAGACTTTCCTTAAGTTTGAGGCAACTTTCATCAGATGTTTTCTGTTTCAAAGTTGCCTTCCATCAACTAGGTTCAAAACAAAAATTTTTTATATTCCAGAAATGTAGATGTATTTTTGAAGTTTGGATTAAAGAGGAATTATTTAATAACCGCTCTCAAAAAGATTCCCCCCTCACCTTCTTTAAGACACTTATTCTCAATTGAGAGAGTTATCTATATAGTTATTTTTCGATAAATAATTATTAGTTTTACATGTGTGTGCGTGTGTGTGTGTGTGTGTGTGTGTGTGTGTGTGTGTTTTAGGGGCTGAGGCTGAACTCCTAACATCATAATCTCCAGTAGAAAGTTTTAGTCTCCTTGCAAATTAATGTAGGTTATATAATAGTGATACAATTATGCATGTGTTTATTTTATAAAAATATAATTACAATTTTTTTCCAAAAATCTACATTTTTATATTAGGATCAGATACAGGGCTAAAACTGTACAAAGGCTTCAAAATTACTTTATTTTCAAATAATCATAAGTAATCAGAATAGTGCTATTTTTGAACTACACATAATGACATATAAATATTTTTAAAGTTCTCCCCACACTGTATATTTCATTTTTTCCTTTCAGGTTATATGTTTTAGCTTATTTTTAAGAACTTGATTTAAATAAAACATTATTATATTTTAAAACAAAACAAAAAACATAACAAAAATCCAATTAGGACTCTCACGCCTGTGAGTCCTTGCTTGTGGGCAGTGAGCTCCAGCCTTTGAGCGTGGTATTCAAGTTTAGGGTAGCATTCGTCTTGCAGTATTTGCTTTCATGTGTTTTACAGTTTTTTGAGTTCCTAGGAAACTCCTAGATGCCTCGTGCCTAACCTTTGTGCTCACATTCTATTCTCTATGTAGAATGGTTTTCTCACGCTTTTTTTTTTGGCATCCTAACTCTTACGTATCACATTGTATCATAATTGTATATTTACCTGTTTTTAAAGCAGATAATATTCATTTTCTTGTATATCGTTGGAACTACATATATATATATATATATATATATATATATATATATATATATATATATATAGTTCATAACAGGTTTTAGAATAGTAAGTTAATTGAAATTGGGAACATTTTGAATTTTACAAAAAAAAGTTTTTAAAATTCTTTGTCATAGAGTTATTTTTAAAAGATTGCCTTTTTAATGGATTTTTTTTTAAGAATACTGATACTTCTTTGCATGTGAATGAGGTAGAGAAACATGAAAATAAAAACTGTACCTCAAAACACCCTGGGATTAAACAAATGTTTGAGAAGGCCAACTTACTCACTGGTGGTCTGCTACAAGTGAATGATGACAGCAGTTTAAGTAAAATAATTGAAGATGAAGGAAGGTAAAACTTGCAAGCTTATTTCCCTGTGAAAGAATGTTAGCAATAGTTACTTTCTCTGGAAATAGAATAGTTTAGTCAGCCAAGGCTGGAGGATCCTCAACTGTATCAAAGCTGCTGAAAGATTAAAAATTCTAATGTAATTGAACATGAAAATGATGACCTACATGTTAAACTATCATACATAGATTATTAAAACTTATAATAAACATACAAACACTTATGTATGTCAATAAATGTGATACATTACATCAACAGAATTTTTAAAAATATATATATATATAACCATCTCAATAGATGCAGAAAAAGCATTTGACAAAATCTGGCATTCTTTATGATAAAATTGTCTTATTTCATTTAAGTTTCCTTCATGTCTTTTAATGGCTTGAGAGCTCATTTATTTTTAGCACTAATATTCCATTGTATGGCTGTAGCACATGTTATTCCTTCACCTACTGGAAGATTAGCTTCGTTGCTTCACAAATTGATTGAATTTTTATATCTATGCTTATGAGAATTTTTTTGTTTAAAATATCTTTGTCTGCTTTTGGTTCGTGGTGATGCTAGCATTATAGAAGTTTGAATATACTCCTTTTTATTTTGAAGGGCAAAGTTTGTGTAGAATTTTATTATTTTTTCCTACAATGTTTGGAAGGATTCACCAGCCTAGCTGATTGGGCCTGAAATTTTATCTGTAAAAAGGTTTTCAACTGTTATTTTATTTTATTTTATGGATATGGGGGAATGTAGGTTATCTATTCTTGATTTATGTTTGGTAATTTAACCTTTTTCAAGGAATTTTTCAATTTTACCTAACTTGTCATGTTTATTCACATAAATTTAACAATATTACCTTTTTTATAGTATCTGTAGAATCTGTAATAATGTCACATTACTCAATTCTAAGTTACTAATTTGTATCTTCTTTTTTTCCTGAGTAACCTAGTTAGACAAAGGTTTATTGCTTTTATTGATCTCCTCAAAGTGTGTAGTGTTGACTTCCTCTACTGTTTTTCTTCTCTATTAATTTCATCTTTGATGATTTGGTCCTTTAGGCTCATTATTTTAAAAAAATCATAGCCTGAGTAGCTTATTAACAAAATGAATTGATTTCTTATGGTTCTGGAAGTTGCAAAGTCCAAGATCAAGGTGCTGTTAGATTTGATGTCTGATGAGGGACTAGTTCATGGTTCATAGATGCATTATTTTTTCCTGTGTCCTCAAAAGGCAAAAGGGGTGAAGGGGCTTTCTGGGGTCTCACATGTAAGGGCATTAATTTATTCATAAGAACTTGGCCTCCATTACCTAATCACTTCCAAAAAGCCCCACCTCTAATAACATCAGCTCTGTGATTTGGTTTTAGTATATAAATTTTGAAAGGATCCAACATTCAGATCACCAGAGATATTTATTTATTTTTGTCTGCATGCTTTAAGTTTAGTTTTATCTCCTTTTTACTGGTTTCTTAAAGTAGAAGTGAAAGTTATTTGTTTGAGACTCTTCTAATATAGACATTCAGTGCTATATTTGTATTTAAGTATAGTTGTAGCTGTATTCCACAAGTTTTGATATATTATGTTTTCATTTTTACTTAGTGCAAAATATTTTCTAATTTATTTTCCCTTACCTCTTTGACTCAGGATGGGTATTTGGGTATGTATTACTTAGTTTCCAAATATTTGAGTATTTCCTAGAGCTATTTTTGTTACTGATTTCTGATTTGATTGATATGCTTGTCAGGGCACATACTTTGTATGACTTATCCTTTTGACTTAATCCTTTTTTTGAGAGTAATTGTATGGCCTAGAGTATGATCTATCTTGGTAAGTGTTCCACAGGTACTTGAAAAGCACAGTGTTGCTCAAGACTATTCTATTCTTGTTGATTTTCTGTCTCCTTGTTCAGTCACTTATTGACTACAGGGTATTAAAACCTCAGGTTACTTTAAAATTGTCTGTCTGTAGTTCTAGATATTTATGTCTCATATATTTTGAAGCTGTTATGTTAATAGGGGCATAAACATTTTGGATTATGTCTTCTTGATTGATTGAATGCTTTGTCATTGTGACATGATCTTGTTTATTGATGGGAATATTTTTTGCTATGAAATGTGCTTTGGTATTAAGGCAGCCACACCTGCTCAGCCTTCTTCTAAGTGTTAGCATTCTCTTTTTTCAACCTTTTATCCAATTTGTGTCTTCAAATTTAAAGCGCATTTCTTATTGGCAGCATCTGGTTGGGTCCTGTTTTGTTTTGTTTTTTTTTAATGGAGTCTGACAGTCTATATTTTAACTGAGGTTCTTAGACCAGTGTCATGTGTGATGTAATTATTGACATACTTAGGCTTACCTGTCATCATGCTGTTTGATTACTATTAGCCCCAGCTGTTCTTTATTCCCTTTTTCTTTTCTGCTCTCTTAAAGATTAGTCAAGTAACTTTTCTTAATGATTTAGTTTTACATTTCTGTTATGGCATATTAGGTATAACTCTTTTTTATTTTTATTTTTGCTTTCTTAGTATTTGTTTTAGAATTTACATAATTTTAACTTATCGAAGTCCACCTTCAAGTAATATTATACAACATCATACATGGTATAGGAAAAGTATAATAGTATAGTTTCATTTCTTTTCTCCTAGCATATGTACATGTGCTCAGCAATTTTTTTAGATTTCAGTGTAAAGATCTTTCAAATAATTTGTTCAATTTATCCCTAAGTATTTTATATTTTTAATTCTATTGTAAATAGTATTATATTTAAAAATTTATTCCTAATTATTTCTAACATGTGAAAATACCATTGATTTGTGCATATTTATCTTATATCCTACAACATTGCAAAACTAACTTACTATCTTCAGTAGTAGGCTTTTAAAGGATTTAATTGGGATTTCTACATAAATGATTATATCTGTGATTAAAGACATTTTTACTTACTTCTTTTCTATTTAGATGCCTTTTATTTCCCCCCTTTCTTGTTTTCCTTCCTTCTTTCTCTTCTCTTTTCTTTTTTTTAAGTTTTTTTGCAATAGGTAGACCTTCCAGGACAATGTTGAATAGAAGTGGTAAGACCTGATATCCCTGTCTTCTTGATTGTAAGAGAAAGCATTCAGTCTTTCATCATTATATAGGATGTTAGTTGTAGGTATTTTAAAGATGCCCTTTGAAATGTTGAGAAAAATCTTATGTATCCTTTATTTGATGAGATTATTTTTTAATAAGAATGGATATTAAATTTTGTCAAATGCTCTTTCTGCATATACTACACATAAGTGTATGCTTTTCCTTTCATTTTATTAATATAGTAATAACATTAATTGATTTTGAAAGAGGGTTAAATATTCAACTTATTAAAATAAGTGTTTAAATGCATTTTTTATTTCCTTAAAAATGTTTAAATTTGGGGGAGGAGCCGAGATGTCCGAATAGGAAAAGCTCCGGTCTACAGCACCCAGCATGAGCGATGCAGAAGATGGGTGATTTCTGCATTTCCATCTGAGGTACCGGGTTCATCTCACTAGGGAGTGCCAGACAGTGGGCGCGGGTCAGTGGGTGAGCACACCGTGTGTGAGCCGAAGCAGGGCGAGGCATTGCCTCACTCGGGAAGCTCAAGGGGTCAGGGAGTTCCCTTTCCTAGTCAAAGAAAGGGGTGACAGAGGGCACCTGGAAAATCGGGTCACTCCCACCCGAATACTGCGCTTTTCCGACGAGCTTAAAAGAGGGCGCACCCGGAGATTATATCCCGCACCTGGCTCGGAGGGACCTACGCCCACAGAGTCTCGCTGATTGCTAGCACAGCAGTCTGAGATCAAACTGCAAGGTGGCAGCGAGGCTGGGGGAGGGGCGCCCACCATTGCCCAGGCTTGCTTAGGTAAACAAAGCAGCCAGGAAGCTCGAACTGGGTGGAGCCCACCACAGCTCAAGGAGGCCTTCCTGCCTCTGTAGGCTCCACCTCTGGGGGCAGGGCACAGACAAACAAAAAGACAGCAGTAACCTCTGCAGACTTAAATGTCCCTGTCTGACAGCTTTGGAGAGAGCAGTGGTTCTCCTAGCATGCAGCTGGAGATCTGAGAATGGGCAGACTGCCTCCTCAAGTGGCTCCCTGACCCCTGACCCCTGAGCAGCCTAACTGGGAGGCACCCCCCAGCAGGGGCAGACTGACACCTCACATGGCTGGGTACGCCAACAGACCTGCAACTGAGACTCCTGTCTGTTAGAAGGAAAACTAACAAACAGAAAGGACATCCACACCAAAAACCCATCTGTACATCACCATCATCAAAGACCAAAAGTAGATAAAACCACAAAGATGGGGAAAAAACAGAGCAGAAAAACTGGAAACTCTAAAAAGCAGAGCACTTCTCCCCCTCCAAAGGAACACAGTTCCTCACCAGCAACGGAACAAAGCTGGACGGAGAATGACTTTAACGAGCTGAGAGAAGAAGGCTTCAGATGATCAAATTACTCTGAGCTATGGGAGGAAATTCAAACCAAAGGCAAAGAAGTTGAAAACTTTGACAAAAATTTAGAAGAATGTACAACTAGAATAACCAATACAGAGAAGTGCTTAAAGGAGCTGATGGAGCTGAAAACCAAGGCTCGAGAACTACATGAAGAATGCGGAAGCCTCAGGAGCCGATGCGATTAACTGGAAGTAAGGGTATCAGGGATGGAAGATGAAGTGAATGAAATGAAGCGAGAAGGGAAGTTTAGAGAAAAAAGAATAAAAAGAAACGAGCAAAGCCTCCAAGAAATATGGGACTATGTGAAAAGACCAAATCTACGTCTGATTGGTGTACCTGAAAGTGACGGGGAGAATGGAACCAAGCTGGAAAACACTCTGCAGGATATTATCCAGGAGAACTTCCCCAATCTGGCAAGGCAGGCCAACATTCAGATTCAGGAAATACAGAGAATGCCACAAAGATACTCCTGGAGAAGAGCAACTCCAAGACACATAATTGTCAGATTCACCAAAGTTGAAATGAAGGAAAAAATGTTAAGGGCAGCCAGAGAGAAAGGTCGGGTTACCCACAAAGGGAAGCCCATCAGACTAACAGTGGATCTCTCGGCAGAAACTCTACAAGCCAGAAGAGAGTGGGGGCCAATATTCAACATTCTTAAAGAAAAGAATTTTCAACCCAGAATTTCATATCCAGCCAAACTAAGCTTCATAAGTGAAGGAGAAATAAAATACTTTATAGACAAGCAAATGCTGAGAGATTTTGTCACCACCAGGCCTGCCCTAAAAGAGCTCCTGAAGGAAGCGCTAAACATGGAAAAGAACAACCGGTATCAGCCACTGCAAAATCATGCCAAAATGTAAAGACCATAGAGACTAGGAAGAAACTGCATCAACTAACGAGCAAAATAGCCAGCTAACATCATAATGACAGGATCAAATTCACACATAACAATATTAACTTTAAATGTAAATGGACTAAATGCTCCAATTAAAAGACACAGACTGGCAAATTGGATAAAGAGTCAAGATCCATCAGTGTGCTGTATTCAGGAAACCCATCACACATGCAGAGACACACATAGGCTCAAAATAAAAGGATGGAGGAAGATCTACCAAGCAAATGGAAAACAAAAAAAGGCAGGGGTTGCAATCCTAGTCTCTGATAAAACAGACTTTAAACCAACAAAGATCAAAAGAGACAAAGAAGGCCATTACATAATGGTAAAGGGATCAATTTAACAAGAAGAGCTAACTCTCCTAAATATATACGCAGCCAATACAGGAGCACCTGGATTCATAAAGCAAGTCCTGAGTGACCTACAAAGAGACTTAGACTCCCACGCATTAATAATGGGAGATTTTAACACCCCACTGTCAACATTAGAAAGATCAATGAGACAGAAAGTCAACAAGGATACCCAGGAATTGAACTCAGCTCTGCACCAAGTGGACCTAATAGACATCTACAGAAACCTCCACCCCAAATCAACAGATTATACATTTTTTTCAGCATCACACCACACCTATTCCAAAATTGACCACATACTTGGAAGTAAAGCTCTCCTCAGCAAATGTAAAAGAACAGAAATTATAACAAACTATCTCTCAGGCCACAGTGCAATCAAACTAGAACTCAGGATTAAGAATCTCACTCAAAACCACTCAACTACATGGAAACTGAACAACCTGCTCCTGAATGACTACTGGGTACATAATGAAATGAAGGCAGAAATAAAGATGTTCTTTGAAACCAACGAGAACAAAGATACAAACCAGAATTTCTGGGTTGCATTCAAGCAGTGTGTAGAGGGAAATTTATAGCACTAAATGCCCACAAGAGAAAGCAGGAAAGATCCAAAATTGACACCCTAACATCACAATTTAAATAACTAGAAAAGCAAGAGCAAACACATTCAAAAGCTAGCAGAAGGCAAGAAATAACTAAAATCAGAGTTGAACTGAAGGAAATAGAGACACAAAAAACCCTACAAAAAATTAATGAATCCAGGAGCTGGTTTTTTGAAAGGATCAACAAAATTGATAGACCACTAGCAAGACTAATAAAGAAAAAAAGAGAGAAGAATCAAATAGATGCAATAAGAAATGATAAAGGGGATATCACCACCAATCCCACAGAAATGCAAACTACCATCAGAGAATACTACAAACACCTCTACGCAAATAAACTAGAAAATCTAGAAGAAATGGATAAATTCCTCGACACATACACTCTCCTAAGACTAAACTAGGAAGAAGTTGAATCTCTGAATAGACCAATAACAGGAGCTGAAATTGTGGCAATAATCAATAGCTTACCAACCAAAAAGAGTCCAGGACCAGGTGGATTCACAGCCGAATTCTACCAGAGGTACAAGGAGGAACTGGTACCATTCCTTCTGAAACTATTCCAATCAATAGAAAAAGAGGGAATCCTCCCTAACTCATTTTATGAGGCCAGCATCATCCTGATACCAAAGCCGGGCAGAGACACAACCAAAAATAGAATTTTAGACCAATATCCTTGATGAACATTGATGCAAAAATCCTCAATAAAATACTGGCAAACTGAATCCAGCAGCACATCAAAAAGCTTATCCACCATGATCAAGTGGGCTTCATCCCTGGGATGCAAGGCTGGTTCAATATACACAAATCAATAAATGTAATCCAGCATATAAACAGAACCAAAGACGAAAACCACATGATTATCTCAATAGATGCAGAAAAGGCCTTTGACAAAATTCAACAACCCTTCATGCTAAAAACTCTCAATAAATTAGGTATTGATGGGACGTATCTCAAAATAAGAGCTATCTATGACAAACCCACAGTCAATATCATACTGAATGGGCAAAAACTGGAAGCATTCCCTTTGAAAATTGGCACGAGACAGGGATGCCCTCTCTCACCACTCCTATTCAACATAGTGTTGGAAGTTCTGGCCAGGGCAATTAGGCAGGAGAAGGAAATAAAGTGTATTAAATTAGGAAAAGAGGAAGTCAAATTGCCCTGTTTGCAGACGACATGATTGTATATCTAGAAAACCCCATTGTCTCAGCCCAAAATCTCCTTAAGCTGATAAGCAACTTCAGCAAAGCCTCAGGATACAAAATCAATGTACAAAAATCACAAGCATGCTTATACACCAACAATAAACAAACAGAGAACCAAATCATGAGTGAACTCCCATTCACAATTGCTTCAAAGAGAATAAAATACCTAGGAATCCAACTTACAAGGGACATGAAGGACCTCTTCAAGGACAGCTACAAACCACTGCTCAAGGAAATAAAAGAGGATACAAACAAATGGAAGAACATTCCATGCTCATGGGTAGGAAGAATCATTATCGTGAAAATGGCCATACTGCCCAAGGTAATTTACAGATTCAATGCCATCCCCATCAAGCTACCAATGACTTTCTTCACAGAATTGGAAAAAACTACTTTAAAGTTCATATGGAACCAAAAAAGAGCCCGCATCGCCAAGTCAATCCTAAGCCAAAAGAACAAAGCTGGAGGCATCAGGCTACCTGACTTGAAACTATACTACAAGGCTACAGTAACCAAAACAGCAGGGTACTGGTACCAAAACAGAGACATAGATCAATGGAACAGAACAGAGCCCTCAGAAATAACGCCACATATCTACAACTCCCTGATCTTTGACAAACCTGAGAAAAACACGCAATGGGGAAAGGATTCCCTATTTAATAAATGGTGCTAGGAAAACTGGCTAGCCATATGTAGAAAGCTGAAACTGGATCCCTTCCTTACACCTTATACAAAAATTAATTCAAGATGGATTAAAGACTTAAACATTAGACCTAAAACCATAAAAACCCTGGAGAAAACCTAGGCCTTACCATTCAGGACATAGGCATGGGCAAGGACTTCATGTCTAAAACACCAAAAGCAATGGCAACCAAAGCCAAAATTGACAAATGGGATCTAATTAAACTGAAGAGCTTCTGCACAGCAAAAGAAACTACCATCAGAGTGAATGGGCAACCTACAAAATGGGAGAAAATTTTCACAACCTACTCATCTGACAAAGGGCTAATATCCAGAATCTACAATAAACTCCAACAAATTTACAAGAAAAAAACAAACAACCCCATCAAAAAGTGGGTGAAGGACATGAACAGACACTTCTCAAAAGAAGACATTTATGCAGCCAAAAAACACATGAAAAAATGCTCACCATCACTGGCCATCAGAGAAATGCAAATCAAAACCACAATGAGATACCGTCTCACACCAGTTAGAATGGCAATCATTAAAAAGTCAGGAAAGAAGAGGTGCTGGAGAGGATGTGGAGAAATAGGAACACTTTTACACTGTTGGTGGGACTGTAAACTAGTTCAACCATTGTGGAAGTCAGTCAGTGTGGCGATTCCTCAGGGATCTAGAACTAGAAATACCATTTGACCCAGCCATCCCATTACTGGGTAGATACCCAAAGGACTATAAATCATGCTGCTATAAAGACACATGCACACGTATGTTTATTGAGGCACTATTCACAATAGCAAAGACTTGGAACCAACCCAAATGTCCAACAATGATAGACTGAATTAAGAAAATGTGGCACATATACACCATGGAATACTATGCAGCCATAAGAAATGATGAGTTCATGTCTTTTGTAGAGACATGGATGAAATTGGAGATCATCATTCTCAGTAAACTATCACAAGAACAAAAAACCAAACACCGCATATTCTCACTCATAGGTGGGAATTGAACAATGAGAACACATAGACACAGGAAGGGGAACTTCACACTCTGGGGACTGTTGTGGAGTAGGGGAGGGGGGAGGGATAGCACTGGGAGATATACCTAATGCTAGATGACGAGTTAGTGGGTGCAGTGCACCAGCATGGCACATGTATACATATGTAACTAACCTGCACACTGTGCACATGTACCCTAAAACTTAAAGTATAATAATAATAAATTTTTAAAAAATGTTTAAATTTGAGTTTAACTTTAAATCTTATATTCTGTTAAAAATTTTCCAAGTTTTATCAATTCTTTTTAACATTCTAAAATATATATGACATAAACTTTAACATTTTAACAATTTTTAAGTGCACAGTTTAGTTTCATCAAGTGCATTTACAATGTAATGCAACAGTTACTACTATCCATTTCTAGAACGCTTTTATTATCCCAAACAGAAACTCTGTACCCATTAGATATTAACTTCCTGTAAGTTCTACCCCAGCCCATGGAACCCTCTATTCTAATCTCTTTCTCTGTAACTTTACCTATTCCAGGTACCTCATTTAAGTGGAATCATACAACATTTTTTTGTCTGTGTGTCTATTTCACTTAGTATAATGTTTTCAAAGTTCATTTATATTGTTTCAAGTATCATTACATTATTTCTTTTTATTCCCAGGTAATATTCTACCTCATAAATATCATATTTAATGTATCAGATAATAGACATGTGGATTGTTTCTAGGTTTTAACTATTATGAATAATGCTGCTACGAATGTGCACATAGGCATATGTCTCTCTTGAGAAAATACTGGGGAGTGGAATTTCTGGGTCACATGATAACTGCATTTAATCTTGAGGGACTGGGGACCATCAAGTTGTTTCCCAAATCAGCTGCACAATTTTACATTATCACCAGCAATGTAGGAGGGCTCCCATTTTTTCAGATACTTTCCAGTCTTTATTTTTAATCTTTTTGACTGTATGTATCCTAGTGATGTGAAGTGCTATCTCATTGTAGCTTTGACTTGCCTTTCTCTAATGATGAATGATGTTGAGCATCTTTTCATGTGGTTAATGGCCATTTGTCAATCTTATTTTATAAAATATGTAGTCAGATCCTTTGAGCATATTTTAATTGATTGGGTTTTTGTTGTTGAATTGTAAGAATGCTTTATATATTCTGAACAAAATGTATATTACTGTTTTCTCATAAACTTTGTTCTAACTCTTAATGTCCTTTGTTTCTGTATTTTGAACTTTTGTTTCATAAACCACTTTTTTCTCAAGAATTTGCCAATAGCACCACAATATTTCTTTATGTCCATCTTTTTTTATAATTTACTTCCTCACCCAAAAGGAAAAAATCTATATGCATTTTTATTATTCGCCCAAAATTCCCACCCCACTCACATCCACTGTATTGCTATAACCTACATTCTCTCCTGGAACAAGATATGGGGAAGATTAAACTTTATCTTGCTGAGGTAACCTCCTTTATATTATGCATGCATTGCTTTCATGAAGTTTTCCACAGTTGGGAAAACCAGGCACGTTGCTGCTTTGCTCAGGAGCGCAGGCTTACATGCCTTGAAAGGATGTAGTAAACCAACAGATGGTCTAAGTTACTAACAACTATCATCTCATTAATTGTCAGGGTTACTTATAAATAAAGAAATAATTTAGAACTTAAATGTCAAAATATTCTACTACAAAGATGGCAAATATTTGATGAAACCTGCAATGTTTGTTCCAGATGGCCAAACTATAATCTAGTCCCTGCCTTTCTCATTCAATTTTTTATTTTTGATTTTTTTTACATCTTTATTTGACAAATACATATTTCCTTGTTATACTATGCTTCCAGGTGACACTCTGATATATATCTCAAATGACCATACACAGAATTGTGAAAGTAGTTGAGGACACTCATATCACAAATGAGGAAAGTCAGATCACCTCAGCAGTTGGCTCTGGAAATAGGAGGAAAGAGAACTATCATCTTCCTTTCATACTGAGATTCACCAATTATTCAATGTACACAATAGAAACCACAAATCAACATTAGTTATTTAATACAAAAACACTCAGTATAAAGCCATTGTGAGGGAAATCATCTTTTCGAAAGTCAATTATTCTAGGGGGAATCTTCAGCAAGAACTACATAAATCAAAAGAAGTTGACGCTGAGAGAAACTCGCTTTGCCCCTCATCACATTACTATCTACTCGTTGACAAGAACTTTAATCTTCTCACAAGTATTAAGTAAAAACAGTGCTAACTCTTCTTCATGAACTGGTTTATTCCCAGAGCTAAGACAAGGTGTAACTTATTTGGTGTAAGGGAAACCTCACATCCATTGGTCCATGTTTTTGTCAGTAAGGTTAATAGGTCATCAATGAGTATATCTAGTCTCCTTTTCTCCTCTGGACTCTGCAGAGAAGTGTAGGGCAGGTGAAGACCCTTCCTGCATTGGCTGGGTAAATGTTCTGTAGATGAACATTTCTTTTGTTCAGGTTCCAAAATCAAGACAAAGAGAAAACATAAGAAAATCTTTTTTGTCAAGGCAAAAAGCCCTATTTTCTAAATGAGCTTTTAACAGGAATAACATCTTTGAATATTGATCTGACCTCTTGGTTTTATTTCTAAATTGGTTTAGAACTAAAAGGGGAGAGGTGTGTTATCAATTTATACATGAAAAGCCCCAACATCCAAGAATCCATCTTAATGTGATCTAGATATCTGAGAAGCAGACATAAAATGTATAGCCCTGTTTAATGGTGATTGATACATTTCCAACTGTGTTGCTGTCCATAAGCAAAGTCTATGTGCATGTGGCTGGTTCATACATTTCTGTCATAGACACCAAGGATGCCAGACAGGACCAGGCAGAAGATACAACAGGCAATGGTTTTCTTTTCTTTTTCTTTCTTTTTTTTTTTTTTTTGTTCACTTAAAAATGTCCTTAATGGAGCATTAAAAATAATAATTTTATTACTTGAAAGACCAACTGACAAACTATGGTTATTCATACTTGGGTATATGTCATAGGTTTTTTCAAAAAATCAATGAAAAGAGCCTGTCCCTCCAAGTAAAACAACTCACGGCATTCTCTGCCGATGATTAAACTCACGCTTTCGAGCAAAAAATAAAATCTTGGAAAATTTGTATCTGCCTTCACGAGCTTAATATACTAATACTTACAGATTTTTCTGGTGAGACTGATTACTCGTGATACTAAGTAATGTGATTTTTTTTAATTTTTATTTTATTTTAAGTTCTGGGATATATGTGCTGAATACGCAAGTTTGTTATATAGGTATAAATGTGCTGTGGTGGTTTCCTGCACCTATCAACCGTCATCTAGGTTTTAAGCCCCGCATGCATTAGGTATTTGTCCTAATGCTCTCCCTCCCCTTGCCCCTCACCCCCCGACAGGCCCCGGTGTGTGAGATCCCCCTCCCTGTGTTTATGTGTTCTCATTGTTCAACTCTTTCTTATGAGTGAGAACATGTGGCGTTTGGTTTTCTGTTCCTGTGTTAGTTTGCTAAGGATCATGGTTTCCAGCTTCATCCATGTCCCTGCAAAGGACACGAACTCATTCACTTTTATGGCTGCATAGTATTCCATGGTGTATATGTGCCACATTTTCTTTCTCCAGTCTATCATTGATGGGGATTTGGGTTAATTCCAAGTCTTTGCTATTGTAAATAGTGCTACAATAAACATACATGTTCACGTGTCTTTATAGTAGAACGATTGATAATCCTTTGGGTATATAGCCAGTAATGGGATTGCTGGGTCAAATGGTATTTCTGGTTCTAGATCCTTGAGGAATTGCCACACTGTCTTCCATAATGGTTGAACTAATTTACACTCCCACCAACAGTGTAAAAGCATTCCTATTCCACCACATCCTTACCAGCATCTGTTGTTTCCAGACTTTTAATGCTCGGCATTCTAACTAGCATGAGATGATATCTCATTGTGATTTTGACTTGCATTTCTCTAATGACGAGTGATGATGAGCTTTTTTTCATATGTTTGTTGGCCGCATAAAATGTCTTCTTTCGGGAAGTGTCTCTTCATATTCTTCACCCATTTTTCGATGAGGTTGTTTTATTCTTGTAAATTTGTTTAAGTTCCTTGTAGATTCTGGATATTAGACTTTTGTCAGATGGGTAGCTTGCAAAAATTTTCTCCCGTTCTCTAGGTTGCCTGTTCACTCTGAGGATATTTTCTTTTCCTTTTTTTTTTTTTTTTTTTTTTTTTTGAGATGAGTTGCGCTCTGTCGCCCAGGCTGGAGTGCAGTGGCGCGATCTCGGCTCACTGCAAGCTCTGTCTCCCGGGTTCACGCCATTCTCCTGCCTCAGCCTCCCGAGTAGCTGGGACTACAGGCGCCAACCACCATGCCCGGCTAATTTTTGTCTATTTTTTAGTAGAGACGGGGTTTCACGGTGTTAGCCAGGATGGTCTTGATCTCCTCACCTCGTGATTCGCCCACCTCAGCCTCCCAAAGTGCTGGGATTACAGGTGTGAGCCACTGAGCATAGCTCAGCAGAAGCTCTTTAGTTTAATTAGATCCCATTTGTCAATTTTGGCTTTTGTTGCAATTGCTTTTATTCATTAAGTGTTTACCTATGCCTATGCCTATGTCCTGAATGTTATTGACAACAGAAAATGATTTTCACATTCTGCAGGCAAGAAGGTGGACCTACGTCTTGGCTGGGCTGCTACTTGTAATTGTGAAGTGCCAGAAAGCAATTACCAGCTTGAGTAATGACCAGAAATCCAAAGCATGGAGACTAACAACAAATGTGTCCATTTTCGCTTTTGTTGACTATGCTATCAAGGTCATATCAAAAACAGTATTGCTCAGAGCAATGTCATGGAGCTTTAGCCCTATGCTATGCTTTCTTCTATCAGTTTTACAGTTCGACTATTATATTCATCTTTATTTGGAGTTGGTATTTTTATGTGGTGTAAGGGTCAAATTTTACTTTTCATATGGATATCCAGTTATCCCAACAACACTTATTTAAGAGACTGTCTTTTTTCCATACTGTGTAGCTTTGCAAAAATAAGTTGGCTGTAAATGTGGAGATTTATGTCCAGGTTTTCCGTCCAGTGCAATTGACCAATGTGTCTTTTTATATGCTGTACTACGCTGTTTTGATTACAATTCTTTTAAAATTTGTATTGAAATCAATATTTCCAGCTTTGCTACTTTTGCTGAAGATTCATTTGGTTATTTGGGGTCTTTTGTGGTTCCATACAAATTTAAGCATTATTTTTTCAGTTCTGTAAAAAAAAATGGCATTGGACTTTTGATAGTGATTGCATTAAATCTCTTAATGGTATTATGTACATTTTCACAATATTAATTCTTCCAATTCACAAACATGCAATGCCTTTTTATTTACTTCTGTTTTTGAAATTCCTTTCGTTGGTGTTTTATAGTTTTTAGTATAAAGGCCTTTTACCATTTAGATTACATTTACACCTAAATATTTAAATTTTTATAATATTCTACATTAGAT
The DNA here is from genome assembly GCF_000001405.40 of Homo sapiens. Classification (NCBI taxonomy): domain Eukaryota; kingdom Metazoa; phylum Chordata; class Mammalia; order Primates; family Hominidae; genus Homo; species Homo sapiens. Next base: position 28,281,037 of record NC_000019.10, read on the forward strand.
TTTTAAATATTTCTTCAGATTACTTTATTGGTATATAGAAACATTACCAACATAGAAACACTACTGATTTTTGTAAGTTGATTTTGTACCCTGCAACTTCACTGAATGTGTGCATCTGTTCCCACGGTTTTTTGTGAAGAAGCATTTAGGTTTTTTTCATATGTAAGAGCATGTCATCAGCAATTAGAGATAAATTCACTTATATATTTTCATAAGTTTCAGATGTTTTTTATTTCTTGTTTTGCCCGATTATTCTGGCTAGGAATTCCACTACCATGTTTAAAATAAGTGATGAGAGTGAGTATCGTTGTTTTGATCTTGATTTTAGGCAAAAAGCTTTCAACTTTTCAGTGTACATAATACTGTTTACTGAGGGCTTGTCATATACGGCCTTTCTGTGGTGAGACACATTTCCACTATACTTGATTTGTTGAGCATTTTCTCCCCATCATCTTGTTCTCTAGTCCCCACTCTTATTCTCCACTGTCTTCTTCCCACTGTTCTTCCCTAACTCCCCCTCTACTCCTACTCTCTCTCCCCAAAGCCTTCTTCCCACTGTGTTCTGCTTAACAACTTCTTCCCTACCGCCTTCCTTCCCCACACCCTCCTTCACCTTCCATCTCCCTTAGCCCCCACCCTCTTCTTTTTTATTCCCCCACCCTCTTCTCCCTCTTCATTCCTGATGCTCTTCTTCCCCTTCCCTGACCCTCTTCTTTCACTTTTTTCTTCCCTGACCCTCTTCTCTTCTTCTCCAACCCTCTTTCCCTTCTTCCTTGACCGCTTTCTTCTTCTACCCTTTTCTTCCCCTTCTTCCCTGACACTCTTCTCCTCTCCCTTCTACTCCCACCTTCTTTTTCTTTTTTCTTTACCCTCTTCTTCCCCTTCTCTCCCTTCTTCCTTGACCTTCTTCCCCTTTCTCCCTAACTCCCTTTTTTACCTTCTTCCCTTACCCTCTTTTTCCCTCTCTTTCCTTTTTTTCCCTTTTCTTCCCCCTCTTGTTCCATCTTCTTCCCAGACCCCCTTCTCCCCTCTCCTCTTCCCCTTCTTTCTTCTTCTTCCCCGACCCTCTTCCCGGCTGTCTTCTCCCCCACCCCACCGTCTTCTCCCACACTCCCTCTCGTGTCTCCTCCCCTCACTCCCTCTCCCCACAGTCCCTCTGCCCAAAGTCTTCTTATAACTGTGTTCTACCCAACAACTTCTCCCCAAGGTCTTCCTCCTGACCCTCTTTTTCCCACCCCCTCTTTTTCAGACCATCTTCTTTCTGACTCCCCTGCCCCTCTTCACCATTTTCTGTCTAACTGCCTTCTTCCCTGCCATTTTCTCCCCATTCTCTCTTCCCACCATCATCCTCACCCCCTTCTCTGTGACCACCTTCTCCCCAGAATTTTTCCCCCAGTGTTTTCTCCCCCACGATGTCTTCTTCTCCACAGTCTTTCTCCTGACCCTCTTCTTCCCAATCATCTCCCTTGTTGACTCCTTCCCAACCCCTCATCACAGTCTTCCCCCCACTGTCTTCTTCCCAACATTTTCTCCCCAGAATTTTATCTCCAGCTCCCCCTCCACCATCTTCCCTGTACAGTGTTTTATCCCCACCCTCTCTTCCCGACCCACCCCCTTCTCCCCAGCCATCTTCTCCTGAACCACTTTCTCCTCACCCCCTCACGCCACTGTCTACCCCAACACTCCCTCTCCACTTTCTCTCCATCCCTCTCCCCAGTCTTCTCTCCAATAAGTTCTGCTCAACATCTTTCAAAATTTTCTCCCATACTATCTTCTCCAACCCCACCATCTTCTTCCCATCCCACCGCCACCATCTTCTCCCCACCTCCCCCTCCACCATCCTCTTCTTCCCACTGTCCCCTTTTGCACCATCTTCCCCACTCATTCCACCCAGATTTTTATCCCCACTCCCTCACCCCACCATTATTTTCCTTCTGGGCTACCTTTTCCCAGACCACTTTTTTCCCAACTGTTTGTCCTTAACCCCTCACCCCACTGTCTTCCTCCCCACAAGCCCTCTCCCTAAACTCTTCTCCCCACTGAGTGCTGCCCAACATCTCCTCCCCATTGTCTTCTCCCCACCTTCATCTTCCCCATTTCCATTTCCCACCCTACTCTCTTCTTCTTCTTCACCATTTTTTCTTCATCTTCTTCTTTGCCATTTCCTTTTCCCACCCCACCTTCTTCTTCCAGACTGCCCCCTCTCCACCTCCACTGTATTTTTCCCACTGTGTTCCACCCAATATCTTTCTCTCCCCAGAATCTTTTCTCCAGAAGCTTCTCTTCAGTGTCTTCTCCCCACTCCCCCCACCATCATCTTTCCCACTCCCTCTCCCCACACAACCCTCTTTCTGACCCTTTTCTCCCTGACCACATTCTCCCAACCTCCTTCTCCCCACTCCTTCACCCTACAATCTTCTTCCCACACTCCCTCTCCCCAGAGTCTTCTCCCCACTGTGTTGTGTCCAACATCGTCTTTCCAGAGTTTCCTCTCTAGCATGTTCTCTTTACATCTCCACCCCACCATCTTCTTCCAGATCCTCTTTCTCCCTGAACCTCTTCTCCCTGATCACCTTCTCCCCACCACCTTTTTCCACCTGCTCACCCCACCATCTCTTCCCTACCTCCTCCTCACTCTTTCTCCCCAATGTTTTATCCCCACTTTCACTCCTCACCTTACTTCTCCAACTCCCTCTTCTCCCTATTTTCTTCCCCCACCGTCTTGTCTTCTTCTCCCACTGTCTTCTTCCCCAACCATCTTCTTCCCCATTCCCTTTCTCCACCTTCTTCTCCACCCCATCCCCAACCTTCTTCCTATCCCACCCTCTTTTTCTGATCGTCCTCTTCCCCACCACCTTCTTCACAACTGCCTTCTCCCCAACTTCTCACCCCACCATCTTCTCCCCCCTCATACCCACAGTTCCACTCCCAAAAGTCTTCTCTCCACTGTGTTTTGCACATCTTCTCCCCAGAATCGTCTCCCCATTTCCTCTCCCCAAAATCTTCCTTCAACCCTCTCTCACCACCATTCCATATTTTTGAAATTGTTAATTGTGCTGCTATAAACATGTGTATGCATCTGTCTTTTTAATGCTTCTTTTTAATAACTTCTTTTACTCACAGTGGTGAGATCACTGGATAAGAAGGAAGTTCTACTTTTAGTTTCTTTTTTTTTTTAAAAAAAAAAAACCTCCATCATTCTTCCCACCATCTTCTGCCCAAACTCCTTCTTCCCAAAGTCTTCTCCCGATCTGCCCAAAATCATTTCCCCACCATCTTCTCCCCACACTTCTTCTCCCCATCTTGGAAGAGAAGAAGAAGGAGGAGGAAAAGGAGTGGGGAAAGGTGGAGGAGAAGAAGGAAAAGAGGAGAAAGAGAAAAGAAGGGAAGGAGGGTGGAAGGGAAGGAGAGGGGGAGGAAAAGGAGGGTGGAGGGGAAGGAGGAAAAGGAGCATAAAGGGGAAAGAGGAGGTGGAGGGGGTGAAGAAGAAAGAGGAGAAGAAGGGTGAAGGGAGAAGGAAGGTATAGGAGAAGGAGGGTATAGGGGAAGGAGAGTAGAGGGAAATGTGGATGAAGGAAAAAAGGGTGAGGGGGAAGGAAGGTAGAGGGAAAAGAGGGTGGAGGGGAAAAAGAGTGGAAAGGGAAGAGGCTAGAGGAAAAAGGGGGGAGGAGTGTGGAGAGGAAGGAGGGTGAAGGGGAAGGAGGGTGTAGAAGAAGGAAGGTAGAGGGGAAGGAGGGTGGGAGGAAAGGAGGGTGGAAGGGAAGGAGTGTGGAGGGGAAGGAGGGTGGAGGGGAAGGAGGGTGGAGGGGAAGGAGGGTGGAGGGGAAGGAGGGTGGAGAGAAGGAGGGTGGAGGGAAGGGGGGTGGAGGGGAAGGAGGGTGGAAGGGAAGGGTAGTGGATGGGAAGGAGGGTGGATAGGAAGGAGGGTAGATAGGAAGGAGGGTGGAGATGAAGGAGAAGAAGGAGGATGGAGAGAAAGGTGGGTGGAGGGGAAGGAGGGTGGAGGGGAAGGAGGGCAGAGAGGAAGGAGGGTGGAGGGGAAGGAGGGTGAAGGAGAAGGAGTGTGGAAGGGAAGGAGTGGAAGATGGGTAGAGGGGAAGAAGGAGAAGGAGGGTGGAGGGGAAGAAGGATGGAGGGGAAAGAGGATGGGAGGGAAGGGAGAAAGAAAGGTAGAGGGGAAGAAGGGTGCAGGGGAAGGAGCTGGAGGGGAAGGAGGGTGGAAGGGAAGGATGGTGGAGAGAAAGGAGGGGAAGGATAGTGGAGGGGAAGAAGGGTGGAGGGGAAAGAGGTGGAGGGGAAGGAGGGTGGAAGGGAAGGATGGTGGAGGGGAAGCAGGTTGGAGGGGAAGAAGAGGCTAGAAAAATGGAGGAGGTGAGGGGTGAATGGGGAAGAAAAGGTTGGAGGGTGGAAGGGAAGAAGAGGGTGGAGGATGACAGGTAATGGGCTAGAACAAGTGGTTGTATTAGTATAAATTCCCACCAGCAGTGTAAAAGCCTTCTCTATTCACCACATCTTTGACACTATTTATTGTTTTTGATTTTTTAATTATGGCCATTGTAGCTGGAGTAAAGGGTATCTCATTGTGATGTTAATTTGCATTTCCCTGATAATTAGTGATGTTGAGCATTTTCTATATGTTTGTTGGCTGTTTTCATGTATTCTTTTGAGAATGGTTTATTTATTTCCTTTGTTCACTTTTTGATGGGATTATTTGTCTTTTTCTTGCTGATCTGTTTGAGTACCTTGTAGATTCTGGATATTAGTCCTTTGTCAAAAGCATAGTTTGCAAATATTTTCTCCCCCTCTGTGGGTTGTCCATTTACTCTGCTGATTATTTGTTTTGCTGTGCAGAAGCTTTTTGGTTTGATTAGGTCCCATTTATCTATTTTTGTTTATGTTGCCTTTGCTTTTCGGTTCTTGGTTATAAGCCAATGTTTAGGAGAGATTATCTGATGTTATCTTCTAGAATTTTTATGGTTCCACACCTTAGGTTTAAGTCTTTGATCCATCTTGAGTTGATTTTTGTATAAGGTGAGAGATGAGGATCCAGTTTTATTCTTCTACATGTGGCTTACCTATTATCGCAGCTCCACTTGTTGAATAGGGCATCTTTTCCCCACTTTGTTTTTGTTTGCTTTATGGAAGATCAGTTGTCTGTAAGTATTTGACTTTATTTCTGGGTTCTCTATTCTGTTCCATTGGTCTGTGTGGCTGTTTTTATACCAATGCCATGCTGTTTTGGTCACTATAGCCTTGTAGTATAGTTTGAAATCAGGTAATGTGATGCCTCCAGATGTGTTGTTTTTACTTAGTCTTGCTTTGGCTATGAGGGCTCTTTTTGTGTTCCATATGAATTTGTGTACATTGATTTTGTATCCTAAAACAACCTCATCCTTCTTCTAGTAATATTGCTCCAGATATCTCATTAAATTTGATCATTGCACAACATATGTATGCCCTGAAACATAATATTTAACCCCATAATTGTGTACAATGATTATGTGTCAATTAAAAAGAAAAAGAAAGGGGCAGGAGTGGTGATGAGAGAGGAACTGGGCCGGGGCTGACGTTTTGCTGCAGGCAGGGGCAGTGATACCCTTCAGGCTTTAAGCAAGTGTGTTGTCATCTCTGTAAGTCGAGCCCCATGTCTCTTCTAGTGACATGAAAGACCAGGAAGTGCACTTAGCACCTAGGAACCTGCCAGATAGTTCATGTGGGTTTGCATTTGGGGGCACAGTATAAAGGCTGGGTCTTTTTAATGTCTCCACCTCCACCCCCACAAACAGGATGGCAGAGTTTCATTCTCCTGCAAGACACAAATGACCCTACTTTCCTACTTAACCTCCCCCGGGAAACAGCAGGAAAAAGATCATGCCCAGTAAGCTGCTTGAAGAAATGGGTAATGCTCCTATGCTAATTTCATGTTTCAATCCTTTATTGTATTTTCTTTAACAATCGAATTTCGCTTTCAAAATTAATGCATTAATTAAACACTATATCCTGTTCCCAGCAGCCTAATTATCTTTGCCATGTAATCTGTTAAAAGAGCTGGATTAAAATATTTGATTTTAACACATGATTTTCTAAGACAGTTTTCTAAGTGTCCAATATTTGCTAATTGAAGAAAAAATTACTGCTAATTCTGGCCTAAATATTGCCAGTAATAAGCAGCCACATCACCCCATCTCCTGCTGCTTCCGCCACCATTTCCACAGAATCCAACTTCCACCAACCTGAGGATCTGAAGAGTTTGTTGGGAAACTCCCCCGCACCGACAACCCCAAGCCTGATTCTAGCTATCAGGCGGATTTATGCCTTGCATTGTATAGAGGTTAAAGACATATGCAAATTCAAGTCTTGGTACTGCTACTGACCTCTCTGGGCTTTAATGACCACAAGGCATTAGTGTATTTTGTGAATTAACTCTTATATACACCACTTTTATTTACACACTTAGAACAGCGCCCAGCACACAGCTAGAGCTATGGAAGCATTTGCGACGATCATCATTGTCATCATCATCATCATCATCATCGTCATCATCATCATCATCATCGTCAACATCATCATCGCCATCATCGTCGTCATCATTATCATCATCATCATTGCTTCTACTACAATCAAAGGCTTTTTCAGGAGAGGTTCTAATGGGTCATTTACTCTGTGGTGTAAATTTAAGACACTGGGGGAATCTGCAATAACGTCCTAGCCTTAACGGTAAAACAAAAGACATTGCTTCCATGTTAAAATTATTTCACAGAAAGACAAATATCGCATGTTCTCACTCATAAGTGGATGATAAATGTGTTCATGTGGACATAGAGAATGGAATGAGAGAGAAGGGGACTGGGAAGGGTGCCAGGTGGGAGGGGTAAGGATGATGAAAAATCAGTTAATGGGTACAATGTATGTTATTCAGGTAACAGATACCCTAAAAGCCCTGACTTGACCACTATGAAGTCTATGCACATAATTACACATGTACTCCACAAATAAAAATAAGTGAAAATTTAATATCTATATGTTTTAGGCTAAAGGGAGGTGAAGGCCCCACAGGGTGAGTTTTCCTGCCTGAAGAAAACTTCCCAGGGGAGCTCTGTCTGCCTGGACCCCAGCACGCAGCAAGCCTGGCCAGCTTTCCCCTACCCACCTCCCCAGTAGAGGAGTCACCCAGAGCCCATCCTGCTTCAGCCCAGGCACCCGCAGAGCAGGCACTCCTGGGGGAAAGTGAGAGTGAGACAGGCTGGAGTCTCATCAATTTCACACTCAGCAGATCCAGAAGGAGTTTATTTCAGTATACGTGTGTACTTTGTGAAATTGAAGAGGAAAATATCTACATGCATGTGCACACACACCACACACAAATATATACAAATACACACACACATACACACACACAATTTTGATCCAGTTCTGAGCAAATGCATCTAGAGGAGGAAAAATGTTTGTGGGCTGAAAATAGACAAGGGTACCTCCTATTCTCCCAACAGCTCAGAGTTGAGCAGTGTTAACTTAAAAATCACAAGATGTATAAATTAGAAAAGGAGGCTTTCTTATAAAAGGGTACAGCCTACAAGGTGGCTGTCCGCAGGCTGGGAAGCATAGCCTTTGGCCAAGACCAGAGACAGGCACTCTGAAAGAGAAGGGGTTTGGGACAGGAGCTCTATGCTGAGCAGGTTGGCCAAACATACATATTCAACAGATTGCAGGAGAATCCATGAATATTCATGAAGGTGGTCCTGATATATGCATGTGACTATATATGATGCATATTCACTTTGGGGATGAGACAACATTTAACTGTATTAGCCCATCCAAAGGCCTTTTCAGAACACAAGGCACATGACTGTAGAACTTCCAAAAACCAGCCAGAACTAGTCCATGGTCAGCAGTCTCTGATCGGGAGAAAGTTACTGAAATCAGCCTCTTATCTAGTACAGGCTGCAGTTATGGCTGGTGGGACAGGGGTCAGTTAGCCTGCGTCTGTGAGCTGGGTAACTTGTAACTGTTTTAACATTGCTTATCTCCAGGCCAGTGCTTGCTCAGCTGCTGGAGTTTTGAAAAGAAACACCTGTGACAGAGCACAGTTTCTCCTTTAAGTGTGGGAGTGTGGGGCAGGATCTTAGGTCCAGGTTACAATTTGGTATCTATTGCCACAAAAGTCCATTCTGCCAGTCTTACGATCTCTATTTTAACATGAACGCTGGTCACTTGCTGTGTCTGAACCAGAAAGGAGAGGGGTATAAAGAGGCATGTCTGACCGCCCATCCTGTCATGGCAGGAACTCAACTTCTCTGGGTCCCCTTCACCACAAGGCATGTCTGTTTAGTTGATGAGGCTTAGGATTTTATTTTTAGTTTACAGCAGAGAGAGTTTTTCCACCCTGGGTACTGGCAAAGTTTGCTCCCTCCCTCCTCCTGGGGTCTGCAGGGGGTGGGGAGGGGCAGTGCAGGGGGCTCCAGCCCTCAGCTGCAGGCCAGGCGGACAGGGCAGGACACAGCTGCCTGATTCCAGCCCAGCATCAAAGCACCCACATAGCCCAGATCAGAGCAGAAAAAAATGTAAAATGACAGAAAGTTGCTTTTATGTGAATGCACCCAAGCCATGTTGGATCACTGTTTAGAATGATTTGGTATTTCTTTTATTGTTTTTTTTTTTTATTTAGTCAGTGATTTAATTATGAGAACAGCAAATAGTGTTAAAGCTTCATGAGGCGCCAATAGTCCGGGAGGCCTGAAAGAGTAAATACAATGATACTCTGTCATGAAATCTACTGAGTGCCTTGCAGCCACCGGCTCATAGCATTTGGCTCTGCTCCCAGAGAGGCATAAACAATGCAAAAACCCATAATTACTGTGTCAGTCACAACATCCCTGCAGAATACCGAGTTCCACCCCCGGCTGCTGGCTTCCTGGCATTGGACAAGGTGCACAGCCACACCGTCCTCTGCTGGAGAGACCCCAGCGACTAGGCAGCCATGGACACCCAGCATTCTTAGGACTCCTGCCCAGGCCTCCATCTCCCCCCACCCAGAGATGACAGCAAGCACAGCCCAGCCTGCCCCATTTCTTGCTATTCACAGACTTCCAGGGAACTGGGGCTGTGGGCAGGTCTTCCTTCCTCAACTTCACCCAGGGGGCTCCAACTGTAAAAGAAAATAAAACTTAGGACCCTCTGAATGTATTATGCCGAGGAGGAAGGCAAGCCCTGGGGAATGAGTCATGTAGCATATTTGCAGTTTTTCTTCTTAGATGAGAGTTTAACTCTTCCTTGTTGTTGTTCTGTAAATGACTAATCATGGGTTATTATAGATTAAATGATTATAGAGCAAATGTTATATATTAAATTATATAGATTAAATGATTACCATAAAGTCTTGTACCCAACTCAGACCAGATGGTGTCCAAGACCTCAGCACGGTTACAGCCTTAATGTGGAAGGTTAAATATACGTTTTCTGAAAGAAAAAGACCACCTCGTCTAATCAGATCACTATGACTATGCAGTAAGCCTCTCATAGAAAGATGTTTAAATTCTGTTAAACTTTTTTAGGCTTTGTCTGTATACGTGATGTCCTGGGTGGGCCTGTCCTCAACTTTGCGCTTGAATAAACTTTCTTTAAACTAGATTCAGATCCTTTTGATTATTTTAGGTCATCACGACCACTGGGTTCCTAGATATCCTTCTCCCTAGAGCAGTGCTGTCCAATTAAATATAATGCAAGCCACATACGTAGCTTTAGATTTTCTAGTTTAAAAAAATTAACTCAAAAAAATTAATTGCAGTCATGTATCTTATCTATCCCAATATGTCCATAATATTAGTATTTCAATGTGTAAGCCATATTAAAAAATATGAAACAGATATTTTACATTCTTTGGCACTAAACTTTTGAAATCAGGTGTGTACTTGCCACAGCTCATCCCAGTCTAGCCACATTTCAGGTGCCAATAGCCACGTGCAGGTAATGGCACCATATAGCCCAGGGAACCAAAATGGTCTCCCTGAGCCACAGCCTGCCCTGGGCCCTGTGAGCCTGGAACAGCCCCACCATCACCCCACTGTGGCTTTGGAGATAAAGGCAGGGAGGGATTCCATCACAGGGAGACTGCACCTCCATCTGCCCCTAGGAGGTTCTGCCCCAAACATTTTAGTCCCCATGTACACATTCCCAAAGGAGCCTGGACAGCCTGCCTAGCAGCCCCTGCCTCCAGCAACTGCTGCTGCAGTGGAGGAAGACACTAGCTGCCCTCTGCCCCCTCCCTCCCTGCCAGTCAACAGAGAATCTTTGCCAGCCCAACCTGCCCCTCCAGTCCCCTACTTCCCTGCCCCACTCCCTCCACCCAAGCGTTTCTTGAAATGCTGCTCAGCCTGTCCTCTGCTCCCCTGTAGATACCTCACAAAGAGGCCCTGCTGAGCAGTTCAGTTTCCAGTGGTGCAAATAAATAAAGTGGTTGGTGTTTCAGATAAAAGAGGAGAGATTCCCAGCCTCCCCACTCCCAGGGGAGCGCTGAAATCTCCTGCACTGCTGCTTCTCACTGGGGGATGGCTTACAGAACAGCCCCTTCTGGAAGACCCCCACCCCTCCTGCCTTTAACTCCAAGGACCCTGAGGTCACATTCCCTCCTCTTGTCTGCTCAAATATTCTGATTCTCCCTTCAACTTCTGTTCCTTTCCTCCTATATTCAAGGAAAAAGTGTCTTTTTTTTTCTGGTTCCAAGCAAATCCTACCTCTTGAAGCCCTGGTCCTGTCTTTACTCCTCTACTCAGGCCTCAGTCACTCAGTCTCTAGTCTCTTGCACCTTCAGTCTCTGCTTCTCCCTAGTCTCTTTCTGCAGCCCCAAAACAAGTCTCTTCCCTCAGCCATCACCACCAGCTCCCACTGCAACATACCTCAACCTCCTGGTTATATCTATTTCCTTCACACTCCTTTCTCCCTAAGCCTTTGCAACCTGACTTTCTTCTCCATCCATCCTAACTCTCAGAGGTCATCAGGACCCTGGTCACACACATTCTCACTGTCTACCTCTCAGAGTCACCTGTAGCATGGGCCAACACTTTCTCTTCCTGTCACCTTTGCACAGCACGTGGGCCTGTAGGTCTTCTCCAGGCAGCCGCAGCACGGTCTTTGCCCCTCTGTGATAGTACCCAGGCTCTGGAAGGGGTTGCCACTTGCTAAGGCCATGGGGTTCTTGATTTTGGAAACCATGACACTCATCCATTCAGTTAGTCGTTCAATGAGTATTTTTTGAACAACTGCCACAGTAGGTGACCAGCCTGAGTCAGATACTGGGGATCCAGCAGTGAACAAAACAGAAAGGCCTCTGAGCTCATGGAGCTTGTGTTCTACTTGGAGAGACATGATGTAGGCAAAAAACAACAAATTAAAAAATTCAAGATAATTGCAGATAGTGGCAAGTGCTATGAAGATATAGAAGCAGAGTGATATGATGAGAAAGAGAGGTTTATGGGGGGTCATTTTTTAAATTTAATTTAATTTTATTTTTTAGAGACAGAGTCTCACTCTGTCACCCAGGCTAGAGTGCTGTGGTGCAATCATAGCTTACTGCAACCTCGAACTCCTGGGCTTAAGCGATCTGCCCACCTCAGCCTCTCAAGGAGCTGAAACTACAGGCATGCACCACCATGCCCGGGGAGGGCAATTTATAATAGATTGACCAGCCAGGGAAGGCCTAGCTCAGGAGGAAACACCTAATCTGAGGCCTGAGTAAAATAACGGCTTCAGCCAGGCTGACATGTGCGGATGGCAGCGTCACAGATGTCCACGCTGTTCACAACTGGCATCCTTTCTAATGGGTCAGTGGTCACGACTGGCTGCTTAGTCTCTATCTCTTCTGGTCCCAGTTATGATAAAATAAACAGTCAGAGCACAAGTTGCAAAGACCTCGCGACAGCCAGGCATGGGGGTGGGGGGCAGGAATGTGACAAGTGTGGAGGGTCCCATACCTTACCTGCATTCCTTACCTGCCTCAGTAAGGTGTTTGGATTTTACTCTCAGGGCCTGGGAGGGTGTTGAGCAGATTTCAGCAGGAGAGCTACATTCTCTGATTTGCATTTTAACAGGCCACTCCAGCTGCTGTGGAGTGTGTATTTTAGGAAGATGGGAGTGAAAGCAGAGGGTCTGGATGGGAGGCTGTCATTGTCCGGGTTCCTAGAAACAGACGCTGGTCCAGTATAAGTAGTTTGTTTAGGAAGTGTTGCCGGAAGACTGGTAGGGGCAAAGGGAAATGAGATCTGGAAGGGAGGGCAGCCAGCCCAGGGTGTCCGCAAGCAGGTTCCCACTGTCAGCAGCTGGAGTTTGATCCCGCTGGGCCCTAAGGACCGCAGTGGAGAACACATGTCTCAGATCTGTCTTGCCCCAGGGCTGAGGGCATTTGAGAGTTATCACACCAGCCCAGCACTCCTGGCCTGATTTGTGTGGGCAGAGAGGCTCTGACAAAGAGACACAGGGGCTGGCAGGGGCAAGTCAGGGCATGGGGCAGGGCCCTGATAGCATCTGCCACCCAGAGGAGAGACCATGCTGGCCCGGAATGGAGTGGCAGAAACAGTGATTAAAAGAGAAGTCAGAGGCCTGTAATCCCAGCACGTTGGGAGACTAAGGTAGGAAGATTGCTTGAGGCCAGGAGTTTGAGACCAGCCTGGGCAACATAGTGAGAACCCCATCTCTATCAAAATAAAAATAAAAATAAAAATAAAAGTGAGCAGGTTGTAGAGGCAGAAACTTGTAGTCCCAGATACTGAGGAGGCTGAGGTGGAATGATCGCTTGAGCCCAGCAGTTTGAGGCTGCAGAGCTATGATTGATTGCACCACTGCACTCCAGCCTGGGCAATATAGTAAAGCCCTCTTTCTAAAACAAACAAAAAAATTTAAGAAACATGAGGAATGAAGTTGTAATAAAAGCTACAACGCAGATGAACCTTGAAAAAATAACAATATTTAAGCACATTTTAAAAAACTAATAATACCAAAAACTATTTAACTGAACACGCTAATGAGTGAATTGTATGGTATGTGAATTATATCTCAGTAAAGCTGTTTTTTTAAAACCAGAGGGAACAGTAAAGAGAATCAGAATACGAGTTAACCCACAAGACTGGCTGATGAACTGGATGTCCTGGGTGAGCTGATGACTGAGAGACTTCAAGACCTGCAGCTGGGCACAGATGGGGGTGCTCTGCCTTGCCAACCACTTATGCCAAGCTGGTTGGAAGCTGCCATTGGTCTTGGTTTCTCCAGCCTAGGAGGTCACAGGGAACTGGCCAGGGAAGGGCTGGAGAGCTTGCAGCTTTATGCAGTCTTAGGCAAAGCCTGTTTTTGAATCTCACGTCCTTGGTTTCTCTTCCCAGGCACACTCTTAGCACAGCTCACTGTAGCTCCTCAGCCCACTGTAACGTGCCCTATTCCAGGGAGCTGGGCATCTTTGGGTCACAGTCCTTCCTTTTCAGCCAATTTTTCGCGAGTCCACAAAGAGCTGCCACTAGGAAGCAATCAGATGCTGCAGTTAGAGAGGCCGGGGAGGAGGACACACACACCCAACCTGGGAACAGCATGAGTCATTTCCCTCTGTGCCTGTGGATGGACGCCCGGCCAGACAAGGCTTTTATCTTTAACTGACTCTCAGAAAGTTGGATTCATTTTGTTTTTAATTTTTATGGGTACATAGTAGGTGTATATGCTTATGGGGTATGTGAGATATTTTGACACAAGCATGAAATGTGTAATAATCACATCAGGGTAAATGGGGTACTCATCCCCTCAAGCATTTATCATTGTTTTGTGTTATAAATATTCCAATTATACTCTTTTAGTTATTTTTAAATGTATAATAAATAATCATTGACTGTAGTCACCCTGTTGTGCTATCAGATACTAGATCTTATGTATTCCTTCTAATGATATTTTCGTATTCATTAACATCTCCACTTTCCCCTCTGCTCTCCTCCGCATTACCCTTCCCAGCCTCTGGTAACCATTCTTCCATTCTCTATCCCCATGAGTTCAATTGTTTTAATTTTTAACTCCAACAAGTAAGTGACAATATATAAAGTTTTTCTTTCTGTGCCTGGCTTATTTTAGTTAACATAATGGCCTCCAGTTCCATTCATGTTGTTGCAAATGACAGGATCTCATTATTTTTTATGGCTGCATAGTACTCCATTGTGTATAAGTACATTTTCTTTATCCATTCATCTGTTGATGGACACTTAGGTTGCTTCCAAATCTTGGCTATTGTGAACAGTGCTGCAATAAACATGGGAGTGCAGACATCTCTTCAATAGCCTGATTTCCTTCCTTTCAGGTATATACCCAGCAGTAGGATTGCTTAATCATATGGTAGCTCAATTTTCAGTTTTTTGAGAAACCTCCAAACTAATCTCCATAGTGGTTGTACTAATCTACATTCCCACCAACAGTGTACAAATGTTCCCTCTTCTCCACATCCTCGCCAGCTTTTGTTATTGCCTGCCTTTCGGATAAAAGTCATTTTAGCTGGAGTGAGATGATATTTCAATGTAGTTTGAATTTGCATTTCTCTGATGATCAGTGATGTTGAACACCTTTTCATATACCTGTGTGTCACTTGTATATCTTCTTTTGAGAAATGTCTATTCAGATCTTATATTGGGTTATTAGGATTTTTTTTTTCTATAGAGTTGTTAGAGCTCCTTTTATATTCTGGTTATTTTTCCCTTGTCAATGAGTAGTTTGTAAATATTTTCTCCTATTGTGTGGGTTGTCTCTTCACTTTGTTTATTTTTTTCTGTGCAGAAGCTTTTTAACTTGATGTGGTCCCATTTGTCCATCTTGCTTTAGTTGCCTGTGCTTCTAGGGTATTGCTCAGGTATTAGCCCAGGCTAATGTCCTGGTGAGTTTCTTCAATGTTTTCTTTTAGTAGTTTCATAGTTTTAGGTCTTAGAGTTAAGTCTTTAATCCATTTTGATTTGATTTTTGTATATGGCAAGAGATGGGGTCTAGTTTCATGTTTCTGCAAACAGATATCTGGTTTTCCCAGCAACATTTATTGAAGATACTGTCCTTTTAGTAAGTCTGCTATAGTTCATTACAGTTGGTTAAATCAATAAGGCTACATATAATTTAATCTTCTTTTAACCAGCTGAACTTGTAAAGCTATATGTGAGCCAAGCTAAAAACTTCTCTGGTCGCATGCCCTTCAATTGTATCTCATTTAACCAATAAAATTTTCTCCATTGACTTATTTCTTTGACAAAGATTGCTAATCAGTTTAAAGAATGGTGCACCAATTTAATCACAGGTCTAGGCCATGGCAATGCTCCAGAGAGTACCAAATGGTAAAACTGTGATGGGACAGACGGTGCGTAGGTGACCTAGCTAGAAACTAGCCCAAATTAGGTCCAGAGGAGATGCTGAGGACTTCTAGTTCCAGCATCTCCATTTCTCTTATAAGGAATGTTATTCCTTATAAGAGGAATAACCTCAGCCTCTCGGCTGAGAGAGGCTTGGTGATTTGCTCAAGGTCACACAGCCAGTAAATGTGATCAGACGGATGATCTCTTATTTCTCAGTCCCTGTCTTGTTCCTCACCTCCCACTGACTTTTATTACCAAAAAAATTTTTTTCCAGTTGACCACAGGATTACGAAACCTTAATGAACTTCAGCAGGATGAGTAAAATGTGACACCGGAAATACTCACCCACAGTATGGAGTAGCTATTCCATGACAGGCAGGGATCCTCTCACTCTACCACTCTGCCAGCTAAGCCTGTGCATGGAGGTAGTGGGGGGTGTACAAGTTGGCCCTCTGTGTTTGCATGTTACACTCATCCAGAAGAGCAGACAAGAGAGGATTGAGGACATGAATCTGATTGGGATGGAAGCCAAGAAAGAGCAAAAAAGAAACTGGCTGGTCTAAGAGTTAAACTACCATTCAACCCAGCAATTTCATTCCTGGGTATGGATCCAAAGGAAAAGAAATTCTACAAGAAAGACCTATGCACCCTTATGTTCATTGCAGCACTGTTCACAATAGCAGAAACATGGAGTCAACCCAGGTGCTCACCAATGATGGACTGGATGAAGCAAATGTGGAACATATACACCATGGAATACTATGCAGCCATAGAAAGAATGAAATCATGTCATGATTCCAGCAACATGAATGCAGCTGGAAGTCATTATCCTAAGTGAACTCATGCAGAAGTGGAAAACCAAATGCCTCACGTATTAAGTGGCAGCTGAACATTGGGTACTCATGGACATAAAGTTGGGAACAACAGACACTGGGGAATACAAGAAGGTGAAGGGTGGGGTAAGGGCCGAAAAACTACCTATTGGGTACTGTGCTCACTACCTGGGTGATGGGTTCAATCACTCTCCAAACCTCAACACCATGTAATATACCTTTGTAACAAAACTGCACAGGTACCCCTTGATTGTAAGGTAAAAGTTTAAAATAATTAAAGACACCCAAATAGCTAAATGAATTCAAACAAATGTACATTTGAATAAAAACACTCAATGTGGCAAAATCCTCACATAATTAGAGATACCCTTGTACAGGTCCCAGTATCTAGTAAATGCTCAAAAAATGAAGGGAAAAATAAACAAAACAAACAAACTGGCGGGCAAATGTGAGCAGGAAGATGGCCTGAGCCTATGTCTGCAGGCTGCCTCCACACGGCTGACTCCACAGGGCTGCACTCAGGACTGTGAGCCACCTCCGCCAAGTTGGGCTTCCGTACGCCCCTGAGCAGTGGCAGCTGAGCAACGCTGTGCAGGAAGCAGGCTGACAATGTGCACAAGTTCAACTCGCCCAAGCACGTTCTTCATTTCAGTGTTTTAAAACCTCATGCATTCCTGCCACCTCTCTTCATTATAGACACTGCTGCACATAATCCGTGCAGTGAGGGGTGAGCCACTCGGCTGGTCTCCCATCTCTGGGCCCTCCCCCCTCCCCATTGCCCTGGCAGGCAGACTGGATGGCAGAGGAGAGGCCTTTTGATTGAGACTGGAATGAATCTGCACTGTTTTCAGAAGTAGGTGGACACGGGGAAGCCTGCATATTTCTCTACCACCCAGTGAGAATTTCTCATCCACCTGCAGAATTGCTAGGCCTCATTCTTTTGTCATCACAGCTTTCTATTTCTAGAGACAGGGTCTCACGCTGTCACCCAGACTGGAGTGCAGCAGCATGATCATAGCTCACTGCAGCCTCAACTTCGGGGGCTCAAGTGATCCTCCCACCTCAGCTCCCAAGAAACTGGAACTACAGGCATGTGCCAATTTTTATTTTTTAGAGATGGAGTCTTGCTATGTTGCCCAGGCTGTTCTGAAACTCCTGGCTTCAAATGATCCTCCTTCCTTGGCCTCCCAAAGTGCTGGAATTACAAGTGTGAGCAACCAAGCCTGGCCTTGTCATCATAGCTTAATGCAATTGAGAGTGGGTCAGTTCTCCAGGCTGGTTAACACCAGCATCTGTAGTCAAGGCTGCTAAAACAATTTAATTTGAGGGTCCAGGGAGGACTGAGAGAAGTCCTGGAACCAGTGTTGGGAGAACCAATAGGCAGTGACCCTAAACTTGCTGAGCCTCAAGGCACAGAGCAGAGAACACAGGGAAGGGCAGGAGCCCAGCCTTCCCCCGACATCCCCCCCAACCTCAGCTCTGCCCACTCTTGAAGGTACAGCTCATGCCTCCTCTTCCAGGAACCCTTTCCTGACTATCCAGCCACAGGGCTGACCACTTCTTAAAATTCCTATGCACTCAGGGCTCAAAACTCACAGTCAAATTAAATCCAGCAAATATGTATCAGTTTCTGGACACTAACAACATGGTATTTGTCTCTAGGGTAGCTCATCCCATGCTGGAGGTGGGGACTGACGGAGAGCAAACCTGCAAAATGCACCAACCAGCTCCACGTGTTGCTGGCACATCAGAGGGTGGAATGGATTGGGAAGGATCCATAGAGGATGGCCTCCCAGATGCTGTGATGGTAAATGAGAGGCCTCCTGGATTCCCCTTATAGTTGGGTTCTAAAGTTGACACAAAAAGCAAGGCCATGGATGGTCAAGATGATTCTTGAAACTCTCTTAGAAAGATGCCATGCTGGAGATAAACACACTTGCTCATAGTGACTCCATTCAACCAGCCTTCCCTCCAGCATTAGGGTAGACCTGCTCACTCAGTTGGCTTGTACTGCAGGGCCATGGTATAAGGAAAACCAGTGTCTTCAATGACTGAAGTCACAATCAGTGATGTGAGATGCTTAGGTCTGGAGGTTCCGGGACCAATCTGAGCTAAAAAGCGGTGATAGTGATTTCTGCTCTGTCCTCTCTGGGGCAGACACATGCAGCATATCATGGGCACAATTGTCAGTGCTGTTTAAATTGTATCCTCTCTCTCTCTTAATTGAACTTTTGTCACTGACATGTTGTGTGCTGGGCTTCTCTGCCTAGCTTCCTATGTGCTCTACAGGTGCATATCTGTCCCATCCCTCAGTTTTATTTATGCAGAATCTGCTGCATCTCTGGAAGATTTGTGAGCTGACTGCAAACACACCAAGAGTAAGGGGAGCAGATGTTTTCTCTCAGCCCCGAATCCCACTCAGAGTGCACACAAGCCATGGCACAGAGCAGGGGCCCAGAGCCTGCTTGCTAGAAGGATCCTCTTTCTCCTTCCCCAGAGACTGCACAGAAAGCACCCCGGCCCCTTCTGGGGATGTGTGCCATACTCATGGTGCAGCTCTGCAGCCTCCTCCTGAAAGCACTTCCTCCAGAGGTGAGCAGGAGTGCCTGTCCCGGGCGTGGGAGGTGGCTGGGTGCATGGCAGGAGTGCCTGTCCTGGGCGTGGGAGGCTGCTGCGTGCACCACAGGCGTGCCTGTCCCAGGTGTGGGAGGCTGCTGGGTGCACCCCTCCTGCAGCACCAGGGCCGCTTGGTGCAATGCCTGCAGGTGCTCAGGAGACTTGCCTGTCTGGGCTCCTTCCTGCCTGCTGGATTTCCTGAAGAAAGGGTCTAGGGAATAATGCAGGGCTTGGATAGTCATTGTACCATTGGCCCCCTGCTAGGGAACCCAGGGATGAGAAGGGGAGGCTGCAGGATTTAAGGGGAAGTATTCTGGACAGATTTTCCTAGCTTGCTTTTAAACAGGTTTGAATAGTTCACCCTGAGTTGGTGACATTTCAGCTTCCTTCATCTCTCACATTAGGGGCAAACTAAAATATAAAGCAAAAAAGTCATTGAATCATCAGGGCCTCCTTTTTCTCTTCTGTAAAATGGGAGCAATACCACTAATCTCACAGGATGGTTTTGAGGATTGAACAAAATAAGTTAAATGTGTGGTGAATAAAAGAGAAGGAAATAGTGTCTTTCACAGCAACTTGGGTGGTGCTGGGGGCCATTATCCTAAGTAAAGAAACTCAAGAACAGAAAACCAAATACTGCACTTTCTCACTTATAAGTGGGAGCCAAGCTATGGGTATGCAAAGTCATGTACAGGGGTGTGATGGACACTGGAGACTCAGAAGGGGGAAGGTTAGGAGGGGGAAAGGGATAAAAAGTCACCTCTGGGGTGCAATGTACACTATTGTGGTGACGGGTGCACTAAAATGCCACACTCCACCACTATACTATTCATCCGTGTAGCCAAAACCACTGGAACCCCCAAAGCTAGTGAAATTTAGATAAATAAATAAATCAACAAATAATTTTACTTAGTACAAAATGTGTGGCAAGCTGTAAAGTCTACAAATGCTAAGTGCTGGCAGAAAAAGCTTTGCCTTTCAGGGGAGACAGGAAGGAGAGCAATCAGGGGCCTCCGGAGGCCATGTGCGCAGTCCCAGGAGAGTGGACCTGGGGGTTGGAGGAGCCCAACCCAGCAGGAAGAGCTCGGAGCACCTGCTCCTGCCTGAGCAGCATCCGTTCCTCTCCCGGGGGCTTTCCTGTGCGGCACCCCCTCATCTGTTTCCAGCTCATGGGTGTGGGGTTGGGGGGACATTGTGAGCTGACCCCACGCCCAGCCCTAGGACTTTCCAGGCATGTAAGGGGTAAGTTCTCTTTGTGATGAAGCCAGCTGGTGACAGGCTCGAGTAACAGGTGATCAGGAGTCCTCTTCACCATGGCACATTTTGAAAAGCCATGGCATGCAGGGAGGGGCCAGATAAGCCAAGGCCTTTGCTGTCAAGAGGACGAAGCACAGAGAACTTCTTTCCATGAACTTATCTACAGCCGTCTCCAAACTCGTCTCAAGCTTACTGGAAGGCACAGATGCAGGGCAGCCCTTGCCGACAAGAGTACCCACTGCCTCTGGCTTCTGTCTTGCTCTCAGCCCAGAAACAGCAGTAAACATCCAGGGAAAGGTGAACTCCGCATGTTCTCAGGGGATTCACATTGGACCTCCAGAGTCAAGACGCCTCTGACAAAGGGACGCAGTGTTCTGAGGCTCTTGTCTTCCTCAGAGAAGAAAGACAGCCTCTTGTTTTAGCAGTTGCCAAAATTCCACTGGCATGCCAAGTGGTGGCAGGTGAAAATTTGGACAACCACAAAGCACTTCTGACTGTGAAATGTTCTGCCACAGCTGCAAGACAGAGAGACTGTTTCAGAGACTGTAATGACCCACAAAACAGATTGTCTCATTACCTCCTGGGAACCTGGTCCATTCCAGGCAAAAACCTCTTCCATTTGCAACTCCAGATGTTGGATCTCCAGTGCCACTGTTGCCAATCACAGTAGTTCTGGGTCTTAATATAACAGGTGCCAGCTGCATTAGATTTTTCTCTGCTGCCTCTGCTGGGTTTCATTTTCAACCTGCTACAAATTAGAGGGACTTCTAGCAAGTCATGTTTTATAACCATTTGTGGGATTGGAGTAAAATCCAGCATGGTCACCTCACTGTTTCATCTGCTGTTGCTTTGTCTTTCTGTCTGGAAGAGCTGGATCCTTTAAGTAAGGGAGTCTTAGAGGCCGTATCATCATGTTTCAATGATTTATACATTTACTGGACTCACTCCCCTTCAGCCCAGTCTAAACAGATGGTAGGGAGAAAACTGAGCCTCCTGCACCAAACTGTTCTGACTCTTGGAGCTTTCTTTGCAGTCGCATTTATTGTGCATTATTCCTGTTGTCAGGGAGGCAGGTTTGAAAGCTGCAGCTAATTAAGAAGCCCACACAAAACCACAGACACACAGCCTTCACTTCAGGGTGGCCTAGAAGCACAGCCACCAACTGAACCCTGCACGGTTTGATGCCATGCCAGAGAAAGTGAACCCTTGGTTACACGGGATTACCCGGCCCATGGAATATCCACACTCAAAGCTCTATCCAAAGAGGTAACTCAGAAGTGAATGTTCTCAAGCTTTTGGCTGAGCCAATCTCTAAATAAGTCAGTCTAGGAGAATGTTATCATTGGACCAACCAAACCACACATACTTGGACCCCATGGAAATGCTGATGCTTTCATTGACTGTCGCCTTTAAGTCATTTTGCACCTTGGATTCTGTCCAGGCCATGTTTAGGAGACTGTAAGGTTCATTGTTGCAGCAAAAGCTCTGAAGGCCAAGTGTCCTATTCCAACTCTAGCTGTGTTTTTTACTAACTGTGAGGCTTTAGGTGCATCTCTTAACTTCCCTAAGCTCTGGTTTCTGCATCTGCAAAAGTCCCTCTCTGAAAGTGATGGTGTATGTCAAAGACATGGAGTCAACCTAGGTGTCCATCAGTGGACTGGATAAACAAAATGTGGTACATCTACACCATGGAATACTATTCAGCCATAAAGGAGAGCAAGGCCACAAACTTTGCAGCAACATGGATGCAGCCGGAGGCCATTATCCTAAGCAAACTGACACAGGAAAAGAAAACCAAATACCACATGTTCTTACTTATAAGTAGGAGCTAAACACTGGGAACACATGGACATAAAGGTGAGAACAATAAACACTGGGGGCTACTATGAGGGGGAGGGAGGAGGCAAAGGTCGAAAACTACCTATTGGGTATGATGTTCACTACCTGAGTGATGGGATCATTTGTACCCCAAACCTCAGCATCAGGCAAATTACCCATGTAACAAACCTGCACCTATACCCTCAAATCTAAAATAAAAGCTGAAATTATAAAAAAAGACATAAAATAAAAATGATGGCACATATGCATCTACCAGATAAGTGGGTATCAATAGCTTTTGCCTCCTAAGCCTCAATTTTCCCTCTCCTAGCAGCCATACCTCAGTTTTTTTGGGGGGGAAATTATGCCTCTCTACTCTCAGTTTTCTGGGTAAAAGTGAAGGCAGAGGGTGATCCTGCCAGTAATTTCAGACTTGAACACGACACTTAGACCTGGCCAATTGGGGTTTCTACCGACCTGGATGTGTGGTTGGCACAGGATGTATGCACAACTCA
Source organism: Homo sapiens (assembly GCF_000001405.40). Lineage (NCBI taxonomy): Eukaryota > Metazoa > Chordata > Mammalia > Primates > Hominidae > Homo > Homo sapiens. Next base: position 28,303,426 of record NC_000019.10, read on the forward strand.
AAGGGTCTAATGAGAGAGCCCCAAGCTCTTTCTTCCTTATTATGTAGGGTTAGGCTCACAGGAGGTGCTTTATCAGAGGGATGGCGGTCCAGGTCATTCTTAATCTTTCCTGCTGCTGACATCGCTGTTCCAACATGGCCTTTGGACATTCCATTTCAGATCCTGTGCTGATGAAACAGACTTGTGAATATGGCTCCTGATCCACAGGATGCAACCTGAACCACAGAAAATGCTGAGTTCTCCAGAGGCTGTCTTCGTGCCCTGCCTGTTTCCCTTAAGTGTTCAATGTGTGCTGATGGCTTCCTGCTGTGAGGGCCTGAGACTGTCCCTGGAGAGCTTCCTAAGAAACATCAGGGTTCTCACTCAGGGCGGGCAGGAAGCGCTGAGGAGCTGATGCCTTAAGAACGACCTTCAGCCAATGATGGGAAGGACTGAAGGTTGAGCGCAGCAGACTCCTTCCCTCAGGAGGCACAGCTCTGTGGCCTGGGCTCCACAGGGTCCTCTGGAGTTCTGCCTGAGCCCCGCTGTCCACAGCAGTGATTGGCTCTTTAATAAGCAGTGTCTTCTCTCTCCTCCCTCTGCCTCTTCACCCTTCTCAACTGCGCTTTCTGGGTTCATCTCCTGAATAAACACTTGTTCTAAAATCTTTGTCTCAGGGTTGTTTCTAAGGGAAAACTCAGCCTAAGGTAAGTCCTTTCAGACTCAAGATAATGGGTCTATCCCTGGATTGAAACAGAAGGTAGAGGTAGGATGTGGTGGCTCAAGCCTGGAATCCAAGGCACAGGATTGGGAGATCAAGACAGAAAGATAGTTTTAGGCCAGGAGTTTGAGACCAGCCTGGGCAGCATAGCTAAATGCTGTCTCTGCTAAAAATAATTTTTAGTAGACAAATTAGTTGGGCATGGTGTTGCACACCTGCAGTCCCAGCTACTCAGGAGGCTGAGGCAGGAGGATCACGTGAGCCCTGGAGGCTGAAGCTGCACTGAGCTATGATCACACCAACTGCACTCCAGCCTGGGTGACAGAGTGAGACTCTGCCAAAAAGAAAAAAGAAAAAAAAGGAAAGAAAAGGAAATACGAGGTGGAAGCTAGCCTGGTGCAGTACAGAGGGAGGGATACATCTGATGTGTCATCTCAATAGAGTTGTTTCACAAATTGATTCCAGGACCCAAACATGAAAATCTGTTTTTGAATAGACTGAAATTTTTTTACTGACATATGTTGTACTTTAACATCACAGAATCATACCGCTGGAAAATTAGCTCATTCTTTGAGTTTTAAGCTCTTTTTCTCTAGCAGTGAGTTTTCTTCCCCAATGAAACATTAATAGGAGGAAATATTGATTGAGCGCTTTCCCTGTACCGTATTTGAGCACTTTCTGTACTCATTTTTTACTTAGTTTTCTCAATATTACTGTGATGTAGTTTTCATTATTTTATACAAAAGAGAATTAAAATCTCACATAGACACTCCTCGCCATCATATGAAATGGATAGATGCAAGAGTTCTTTTGTAGATGTGACTGGTAGCCATAGAGTCCACAATGTGAAGGGCATTCTTAGACAGGATTGTGCATTGGGAGACTGCAGGGACATGAGATAATCCTCCCCCTGGGAGTAGGGACACAGCAGCACACAGCTTTCCTTTGAGATTTTAGAACATACCCCTTGGTGAGTCATCTGCAACTCCTCTCTCTCTCCCTCACTCAGCCTCACCTTCTCACCAGCATTCCCCAAGACTTGTTTCTAAAGCTCAGCACAGATATCTATATAGACACACAATGGCATGGCCCTGCCACTATACACATCCAGATGTTACACTCACCGTGAATTTGTAATTAATAGCATAGCCCCTCTTTTCAAGGGAAAAAAGAAGTATTCAAGGAATACTTCTCCAACCATTAGAGGGATGTCTTTCTCCCCTAATAACCCTCTGTTCTTTGCAATCTTAAACTGAGTCTTCCATGCTTACTCTTACCAACCAATGTGGCAATGAATATGGCCAATCCCAGGCCTCCCTGCTGATGAAAGTCCACCCAATCACCAACTTTATACTGACTGATATGTGCCCAGAAACTCTTCTGAAGGACACATCTTCAGTTTTGCACAGGTTGTGAAGTGTACCCAAGTAAACTGAGGGGGTCTTCAGGTCAGGGTCTAGACATCAAGGTCATGTGCTGCTGTCAACACCCCAAACTGCACTTAGGGGCTGTATATGGAACCAGTGAGGACTCTGTGGCAATTGTGAGAGGGTGCAGCTTGAAGCAAGGTTCAGGCCCCTGCCGCAGTCACCACAACGTGGGCCTCTTTGCTGATGTTCATAAAAGACTCGTGGTTAAGCACTGTTGCTCAATCTTGCTGCTAGTTATCTACTCAGAAAAGAAATCATTTTATAAAAAGACACCTGCACTTGTATGTTTTTTTGCAGCACTATTCACAATAGCAAAGTCATGAAACCAACCCGAGTGCCCTGCAATGATTGGCTGAATAAACAAAATGTGGTAAATATACACCATGGAATACTACATAGTCATAAAAAATTATAAAATCCTATCTTTTGCAGCAAGCTAGGTGGAGCTGGAGGCCATTATCCTTAGTGAACTAACTCAGAAACAGAAAACCAAATACTGCGTGGTCTCACAGAACTAAACAGAGCTCCCCACTTAGTGGGAGCTAAACAATGGGCACACATAGACATAAAGACAAAAACAATAGACACGGGGGACCCAAAAGTTGGGGAGGGAGGGTTGAAAAATTACCTATTAGGTACAATGTTCACTATTTGGGTGATCAGTTCACTAGAAGCCCAATTCCTACCATTATATAATATAGACATGTAACAAACAAGCACATATATTCCTGAATCTAGAATAAAATATATATATATATGTTTAAATAAAGGGCTTCTGTAGCTGGGCGTGGTGGCTCATAACTACAATCCCAGCACTTTAGGAGGCCGAGGTGGGTGGAGCACTCGAGGTCAGGAGTTCTAGAGCAGCCTGACCAACATGGTGAAACCCCATCTACACTAAAAATACAAAAATTAGCCAGGCATGTTGGCACATGCCTGTAATCCCAGCTACTTGGGAGGCTGAGGCAGGACAATCACTTGAATCTGGGATGTGGAGGTTGCAATGAGCCGAGACCGTGCCATTACAATCCAGCCTGGGCAACAAGAGCAAAACTTTGTCTCACAAAAAAAAAAAAGAAAAAAGAAAAAGCCTGGGGGGTGGCTTTTGCTTAGAAGTGATAGTCATCCTCCTGAACCAGTGTCTAGGATTGTTAATTTTGCTGTTGAAAATCCCGTAAAGGAAATATGAGCATGTCTTCATTATTTTAGACAATATATACTGAATTCTGTCAAGTACTATTATATGTGCCATGGGGAACCACTCGTGGAGTTTTTGTCTTTTGTGTTGCTTTTTTTTTTTTTTTGAGACAGGTTAGATTGTGGCTTATTGCAGCCTCAACTTTCCAGGCTCAGGTGATTCTCCTGCCTCAGCCTCCCAAGTAGCTGGGACTACAGGCCCATGCCACCATGCCCAGCTAATGGCTAATTTTTGTTTTTATTTTTTGTAGAGATGGAGTCTCACCATGTTTCCCAGGCTGGTCGCAAACTTCTGGGCTCAACCTATCCTCCTGCCTTGGCCTCCCAAAGTGCTAGGATTACAGGTGTGAGCCACTGTGCCCAGCCTCACATGGAGTTCAAAAGCTAGGAGAAGATGGAAATAAGGTCAACAAAAAAATATATTTTACATAGTAATAAAAGCTCTGAAGAAAATTGAACAGGTTAATGAGGAATAGGGTAGCACAGTGGACGGGGGATGTGAATTTGGATGGGGTGACCAGGAACCTCCCTCTGAACTGGCCATTCTGGAGGGGAGACCTGAAGGATGAGGAGCCAGCCATGAAAGCTAGAGAGAGGCCGGGTGCCATGGCTCAGGCCTGGAATCCTAGCACTTTGAGAGTGCCAAGATTGGAGAATCGCCTGGGCCCAGGATATCAAGACCAGCCTGGGCAGCATAGCCAGTTCCTATGTCTACAAAAAAATAACAAATTAAAAAATTAGCTGTATGTGGTGGTGCGTGACTGTAGTCCCAGCTACTGGAGAGGCTGAGGCATCAGGACTGCTTAAGCCCAGAGGCTGAAGCTGCAGTGAATTATGATTGCATCACTGCATTTCAGCCTGGATGAAAGAGTGAGACTGGGAAGGGAAGGGGAGGGGAGGGGAGGGAAGGGAAGGGAAGGGAAACAAAGGGAAGGGAAGGGAAGGGAAAGCAGGGCAGAAGAAAGAAGAAAAAGTGCAGCCAACTGTTCTGGGGTGGAATGAGCTGGGCATATTCAAAAATCAGTGAGAAGACTGCTGTGCAGGGGATGGGGAGAGAGGAATCCCACATGTAGGAAAGTGCAAACACTTAATGTTTGACGGCTCCCCCTGCTCCAGAGAGTGCTGAATCCATGGATCCAGGCCTGTTCATGAATCCTCCAGAACCAAGAACAGCGCCTATAACCAGTTACCAGCTCCTGTCACCTTCCCTTCCAGGAGGTCTCTCTAACATTGGTTGCTGTTAAGTCCAGGCTGTCACTCTCTCCCCCCTGGACACTTGCCCCACATTCTCCACAGTTCTTCCAGCCTCCAGCCTCATCCTGCCCAGGCCACCAAACTCATTTTCCAGAAGCACAGTTTAGCATAGGCCATGCCTGTTCAGAAAACTTTCCTGGCCTCCTGCCAGCTGCAGGACCAAGTCCAGGTGCCTCCACCTGGCCCTTGGGGCCCAGCCCCACAGACCCACCCTGTCCACATCCTCTTCCCATGACTTTCCCGTGCCTGTGCTCAGCCAATCTGTGCTCACTGCTCCCATCCCTGAGCTCCTCTTCCCCAGCTTCAGGGCCTTGGTCCAAGCTGTAGCCTCCTCCTGAAATGATACTTATGATGGAAATAATAATGAAAATGTAGATATCGCCTTGATATTCACAAAGCCCTTTCTCACATGTTATTTTCTTCATCTTCACAACTTTCTAGACAGCGTCTTGCCTCCCCTGTACAAATATAGCTCACCCTTCCAGGCCTAGCTCTAGCGGCACCTCTTCCAAGGAGATCACTCAGATCTCTCCTCCCTTTGTACCATCTTGGTCCATCATCTGCCCTCTAATGGCCATCATCATGTTCAGTCGTGAATGCTGTCACTAGTCACTCATGCTGGTTCCCCCCACACTAGGCCATCTCTTTGAGGGCAAGAACTGAGTCCAGACTCTCTCCATGGCACCCGAGACAAGACAGCAGAGGGTCAACGAAAGAACAAATAATGATGGTTCAAATGTGTTTCTACCTGAAAGAGTGAATGAATGCATGAAGAAAGTCCCAATCCTTAGTGTCTCCATACATAGGAGACAAAAATAATGCAAAACCTTTTCTATAACATGAAATCAGCTTAAGTTTCAACGGACATTTGTGCTGTAAATAGTGAGAAAGGGGATCAAGAAAGAAGTAAAAGATCCAGTCACTTTAAAACAGTGACTGGAACAATCCCAAGACAAAATCCAAGAAAGGCCAGGCTCTCTCCCTCTGATACATCCAAAGCAGGTTCATAGACTGCATGTGGAAATGGCAATGTGGTTGCTGTGAGAGGTGTGACGGGAGCCCCCACCCCAGCACCCATGGAACACCAACGGCACTCAGCTGCTGCACATATATGTGTACTTGAGCTTATACATATGGGTCTCTACCCTATTGAGGATTTCAGTGGCTTTTTAGCCCGAGGACAAAGTTCCCTCCCCTCACATCATCTCTGCAGGGCCCAGCGCACCATCTGTGAGCAGCTGACAATATCTGCCCTCCACACTGCCTCAGGAGCTTGCCAAAAGCTACTCAGAATCAGAAGTGCAGTATTACAGCCAGATGCACTGAGGAAGTGTGCCTCCACTCCTGACATTAGCCTCTGTGTGCTCACATCAGCCTGGGATACTGGGGGCTCCATGCCCGGGGTAGAAGGAACGCTATAGATGGCCAACTAGTGTTGCACCAACCAGGATCTAAGCAGGAGTTGCCTCCTCGATTAGGAGTCTGGAGGAAAAGCCAATCATGTTTCTGGATCATACTCTCCAGTTGCAGCTGGAGTTATTGAGACTTAGTGGAATTTATTTTATTTCTTTGACAAACACTGCCATATTGCATACCAAATACTGTTTTTAACACTTGATAGGTATTAATTCATTAAATTATCATAACAACCCTATGGGATAGGTACTATTAGTATCATTTTACATATGGGGAAATGAGTCCTGCAAATTTCCGTAACTTACCCATGGTCATACAGCTCGTAGGTGGCAGACCCTGGATTTGAACCCAGGAAGTCTGTGTTCTTAACATCATATGATACTGTCTGTGTAAGTTAAGGGCAAAACATTTGGGTGCAAGACCTAACACCCAAAAGTTTACTGTCTCTCCTCCTCTGCCGCCTCCAAAAGCCTCAGACTAAGCAAGACCATCTTCACTGTTGGTTTGGAACATTCTGAAGCTCATCAGAACACTAAGAAACTGTGTTATAGTGAATCAGCACAGAGGCCACATAATGTAGCACCATTTAGCTTTGGAGCAGGCTGCTTTCCCATGGACCTTTCTGAGTCCATGTCTCCTTGTTAGTACAAGAGAGATATCTACAGTATCCCACAGAGGTGTTTATGGAATTTCACTGAAATAACACATGTGAAGCACACAGGGCAAGGTCAAGGATCTAGTAAATTCTCTAGTAAAACATTTGGGTGCAAGACCTAAGACACAAAAGTCTCTGTGCTGAACTAAATGCTCTTAGCTGATGTGGTTGCCTGCATCTTACAAACACAGGTTCTTAACCTGGTAGTCCATGAACCTTACTATGCAGAAGAATAATGAGGAAAGTTTAATAAATACAGACTCCTCAGTCCCACTATGCAAAATTCTGATTCATTAGCTTTCAAAGGAGCCCAGGAATTCATGAGGGATCCCAATACAAGAGTTCTCAGATTCTGAGGCATCCATGACTGCAAAGAACATCACAAACAACTGCATTCAATTCTCTGAAATTATAAGAAATATCCATTGTTGAAGTAATTGATGACCTTTGGCCTCCTTATAATGAACACAAATGGTAATGGGAGTTGGTGACAGAGTGAATGTGGTGGCCCTGCCAACTGTCCATTCTGCTCTCTCTGTAAGGACAGACACTTCCCAGACATCCTCTGCCTTGTAAGGAGCTGGGTTATCTGTAATAAGAACTGATATTTATTGAGTGCCTACCAGGGGAAAGCCACCCTTCCAATGCTTTCTATACGTTTTGTACCCAGTTCTCTGACTAAAATTACTATCTTATTTTATAGATGAGAGAAATGAGGCTTTAAGGGTTGCCAAAGTCACCTAATAAAGTTAGAATTTCTGCTCTGTCACCAAACACCTATTCAAAGCCTAATGCCTTCCATTACTATTCCACTAGGAATTAAAATTGGTGCATAAGGCACGTTATGTTTATTGCAGTACTATTCACAATAGCAAAGACTTGGAACCAACCCAAATGTCCATCAATGATAGACTGGATTAAGAAAATGTGGCACATATACACCATGGAATTCTATGCAGCCATAAAAAAGGATGAGTTCATGTCCTTTGTAGGGACATGGATGAAGTTGGAAACCATCATTCTCAGCAAACTATCGCAAGGACAAAAAACCAAACACCACATGTTCTCACTCATAGGTGGGAATTGAACAATGAGAACACATGGACACAGGAAGGGGAACATCACACACTGGGGCCTGTTGTGGGGTGGGGGGAGGGGGGAGGGATAGCATTAGGAGATATACCTAATGTAAATAACAAGTTAATGGGTGCACTACACCAACATGGCACATATATACATATGTAACAAACCTGCACATTGTGCACATGTACCCTAGAACTTAAAGTACAATAAATATAAATAAATAAGCAAAAATAAAAATAAAGTCATTCAGAGTGATAAATAAATAAATAAATACTGGTGCATGAGGATCCAAAATTTCTAGCCATGCTATATATCTATGAGACATGACCTTCAAATGACCTGATATGGACTGTTGACATAAATATCAGTTATAGTCTCAAAGGCCTCATAATAACTTAGGTTTTTGCATAAATGAAGGAACATGACATATAATAAAGGGTGTATATACAGAGTCTATTAATGTGTTTAGTTTTTAACAAATATATATAAGAGTAGATAACAAATGAATGTTGTCTTTCAAGAATGCCACCTTGTAAATCTGTGCACTTTTTTCCAGCGATATGGCCTTTGTGCATAATATTCTTGGACCTCTTCTTTTAACATAGCTTCCAGACCTGCTTTTTAACCTCACGAAGAAACCAAAACGTTATTTTAGAGTTGATTTATCTGTTAGATTAAACATTGTATTATCCAGTTTGAATGCTCTTTGAACACATTTTGAATACTTCCCAATATTATCCCCTCTCAAAAGATGCATATTTATCTCCCTGAGGAAGAGTCAAAAAAAATGCTTGTAGACAATCATGGTACTTCCCAAATTCAATGCAAAAATTTTTGTGAACAAAGATCATATGCTGGCTGGAAAACTCTGGACTACACATTACACAAAACCCAACCCATGTGACTTAAACAGTAAAAGAAATACTGTCTTATGTGGCAAGAGAATGGAGTAGGGAAATTGAGGCCTTTGGATGCACAGAAGTGTTATCAAGGACAATTTTGGATATTAAGTTCCTGGGGAGTTTCTATTAAAATCAGCCAAATTACTTTATGGTCACAGTACAAAGAAGTCTCAGTAATCATAGAAATGAAAGACACTAATTCAGTCAGAATTAAAAAGTTATAAAGAATAGAAACTAACTCTGGCCAATTTAGGTAGGAAAATAAAAATCTACTGGAAGAACATGGCGGAGCTCCCAAAAATGAAAGCTGAAAATCCAGGATCAAAAACGGACAAGCACCGGAGTAGTCCAACATTTCTGCAGAGGAATCTGATTGGCTGAGCTTCTACTCGAAGCCTGCTCATTGGCCAGGGGAGGGCTGTGCACCCTGATTAATAGCCCCACCAAAATGGTCCTCAAGGGCGACCAAATGATTCCTCGTAAGGAAGATGTCATATCGCGGCAGAGAGGGACTTGGAGGCCAGGAGGCCCCACACAACAAATACTCAGTACAAGCCTCATCAAGGCAGATCTTGCAGACACTGACTTAGCAGATCTAATCTTGGGGCTTGCAAAGATGACAATGTCAGCGCTGACTGTCAATCTTCAGGAAACCTTGTGTGATGGCTGCTGTCAGCACCCAAGTCACTCCCCCATTCCCCTCGCAAAGCCAGTGCATCTACACCATCACTCACAGCCGGCCACTTCTTTGGAGAGCTTTTCTTGTTCAGTAGGATTCACCTTACCCAGAAATTCCTGAGCAGCTATCCTCTGTCCCTGGGTGTGTTTATCTGCATTATGTGGAAAAACAGAAGCAAAAAGACATTTTAAACATTTGCTCCCAATGAAGAAGAAAATAGCCTATCATTTTATTTAACAATAAATGAAGTAAAAAAAAATATTTACAACCCCATAGAGATGTTTTTGCATTCTAAATTACATGAAAGAGGCCAAAAGCTAACATTTTGACCTATTTGTCCAGCACTAAGTGGAGTAATCAGGTAACCACCACTTCAGGAGCCTGCCCAGAAGGTGGTCGCACAGAACTAATCACATAACCACAGCAGCCTGTGTACATCTCACCCCAACTCTGACCATTTGAATAAGATCAGAAGAAAGTAATTATAGGATTCACTTTAATGTCAAGCAACAAAGAGAACTATATAAACTTGGAAAATCGACCTTCAAGATATAGTCATTTTTATTTTTAAAAAAAGCTTAAGAAAAGACACAAATAATTGGCTCATTTTTATGAGATTGAACTTCAAGGACAGACATTTTTTGGAAGTAAAAGTCGTCTAGCAGCATTACCTGGTGCCTGACCCATAGCATCCCGAAAGTGCCAAGCATGTTGGCACACACTGGGAGAGCCTCGTTTCTAGTTCCCCAAGAAACCAACAGGGTCCCCACTTCCACTCTCTCTCTTCAGGGTAAAAATGTAACCACTTTGGCATCAAAAAAAATTCTGAATTATCCACTTGGCTCATTGAAGATATTAATTTTCTGGAGGAAAAATAATTCCCAACACTTACTACAATGATAAAGGAGACTGTTGTTTCAGCTGGAATGGATTCCGTAAAAGCTTGATGTTTCTGACTTGGCTAATGGAGTGAGAGGGCACGGGTTCTGTCTGCGGGTAACGCAAATCAGTGCCGCCACCATCATTCAGTGGGTGTCAGAGCTGGCCAGTGCAGTCCCCGAAGGCTGCTTGCCAATGCTGGGAATAAATGATTTCCCCTCTTTATTTGCTATGTCAAGGAATGATAATGGAGCACATTCCATGACCATTTGTCACGGAAGCGCAGTCCCCTCCATGGGGAATGTGTGGGAGTAGCAAGGACCTAGTGTTTTCAATTAATCAGGGCCAGGATTACTCACGCAGGAAATGAAAGAGAAAATTTAATACTTGGAAATCGGGTGAAAGCAGCAACCAAGTCTAATTAAAATACACTTTCTGCTTCGAATTTACATGGCAGGATCCATTTTATGAGTCACCTTTATTCTTGTTGCATTTCTCTTGCCCCTGGAAACTGCCTTAGGCAAAAGCACCCAGGAGTTTACACCTGTGCAGGTGGTTTCTTTCCAATGACCTCACGTGAAGGCAAGACTGGTCAAAGCAGATGGGTTGTGTGGCCATGTTCTTCCTCCTGGGTTTTGGCGTGGCCTTGAATTATTCCTCCTTGCCCTAGACTGTGCCCAATGGTCATGTATGTCGAGCACAGCTCCTTATTCCCAATTGCAGCACCTAGAATTCTGCTATTGGCTTCAAGGTGCAAGCCCGACAAAGCCCTTTGGCTGGCGCACAGCTCTGTGTGTAATTAATGGGTGATTTGTAGCAGGCTTGTGCCTCGAATGCATTGTTTCTCTCATTTTCCTTTCTGGTGGGGGTTGAAGCAGCCCCAGGGGACTGCAGCACTGTCATGCCACAGCAAAGAGGCTCCTACCAAAAGGCAAACTAATATACACTGTGTAGTCCTGAGCAAACTAAGCACAGACAGGATTTGTTGTGGCTAATTAGTTTTATCACTTCACAAAAACCTAGGTTCCTAGTTTCCAGAGAAATAATTACAATTGCAAATGAAGAGGCACCACTGAAGAAGAAGGTCTTCAGCACAAAAGTAACCACAGACCCCCACAGCATCTCCCCTGCAGTTTGAGCCCTGCCAGGGATCAGCTCTAGGGGTTTGGAAGCCCTGTTGTCTCCCTAGGTGTGGATGACACACACACATCCACTAGCATCTGTTTCTCTGTTAGTTCACAAAAGATGTGTTCAGGGGTCAGATCTTTACACACACCTGCACCCGATAACATGATGTATCCTGGCAGATTCGCGAAAGACTCACAATGCCATGAGTATCCATGAATCAGTGCAAATGGAAGACCTCAGCTTTGAGAAGGCCACAGGAATTTCAGTCAGTCACAAACCAAGGCTGGGGTCAGGGTCATTTCCAGTGGGACCAATGAAGGTCCTGTACTTAAGGGGTGAAGAAAGACAAACAAGAAGGAAAGAAGAGGCTCCCTTTGAGTTGCTGAGTAAAATCAGAAATTAAAAAATACTCTGACTGTAGGTACATGGAGTACATAAAGTTGAATAACTAGTTTAAAATGAGCTTTACTTTTCAACTGATGGTCTTAATATCTTTTAGACTCAACCATGACTGTGAAGCGAAGGAAGAAAGGAGTGAATAGTACAGAATCTGTCGATACATGGATATAGATCCAGATCTATGCATAGATGTCTATATATCTAAATGTATGTAGATATATCCATTTCCATCCCTATATATCTGTGTGAAACCACTTCTCAATTAAAACTACTCTTGCTGCTGCCAGACACATCTCCCTTAATGACACCTGCATTGGAGAATGTATAGGCACTGTCGAATGCTCAAATGTGAGCTCATTACCACATTGGGTTCTAGTTTAAAATGAGTCATTGTCACTATTTCTCTGCAAGTCTTAAGAGTAGCTCCTTTTTTGTTCGTTCTGACTTAGCCCCAACCCAGTTTCACCTCTGGTTTTAAGTGATAATATTAAACCCTTGGCCCATGCCTTTGCTCCTGCGAAGACTCACATGCTAAAGACTGCAGTTCTCACAACCCAGCAGAAAGGGGAGTCTAGGCCTGCCCTGACTGAATCCAGGAACAACTGGCTGGGTGGAGAAGATCAGCCAGGGGCCTGCAAGTCTCCATGCCTGATAGAAAGAGCTGCATAGACCAGGCTCTGCCCTCCATACAGAAAATGCTTCATTATTTATCTGGATGTAGAAAGGTGGGAAATAGAGATGTTGGCATTCAGCATCCCCACATATGGGAAAATGCCACGACCTTGCATGTGACCTTCACCTTGTCACCTGTCCTCCCCAGGCAAAAAGCAACTATCTTATTGCCCTTTTTGTGATTAGAAGCACCTCTTCCAGCACAAGATTGCATAGGCTGCCTGTGCCCATCACCAAAAGTCTCAGACCTAACTATTTCCCAAAGCAAAAGACTCATGGCCCTTCCCTGTCCCCTGCTGCTGAGCTCCTAGGCCTAGTCCCCCGTGGCTGCTGTGTCCTAACGCCTTTGGAACCATTGTCTCCTTGGCCTGTTTGCTCCACCCAGAGAGAGGGTCAGGGTGGTGACCTCCCCAGGATGTGTCTGCAGGGTGCAGACTCTCAGGGCTGAGCTCTGGGATTCATCCCCAACCTCTACCAAATCCTGCCTGCTCCTAGAGCAGTGGAGAGGCAGAGTGGATGAGCTGTACCAGAATTTGCCCTTGGCCTGTATCTCAGAAAACTCCCCATGAAATAACACATTTTAGAGGGAAGAAGAAAGACCATAGACTTAGAGATAGGAGATTAAATCTGACTATGGTAAAAAATGTTTGAAAAATTCGTTATCTCTGTTTGTTCACAACACTCACTCCAGTTACACCCGTCACCCCAGAGCAGCAGACTTTTGCCTTCTTAACTTGTCAGAACCAGTGCCCAGTTCTCCTGGGGCGTTTTAGATGCTGATCTCAAGCTCGCCAGGTGGTGTGAGTGGGCAGCCAGGTCTCTCATCCACATGAGTGATCTCAGCATCTGTTCTGCCTGTGCCATGAAGCTCCGCAGGGGCCCTTCCAACCCTGGGAATGTGTTGCCAACAAGATCCCTTCTGTCCCTGTCAGGCAGAGGTGGCAGAGCACTCCTTGGCAGTAAGCTTTGTACCCGAACCATTTCTTTTTTCACAGTCTTTAGATAAGGCAGTTTGAGTTCATTTCAATAGCTGGTACTTCCCGGGTTCTGCCAACTGCCTGTGTGCTGTGAGGAGAGGAGAGAGCTTTTGTGAAATTAAGATGAATTTCCTCCATGGTTTCACCTTTGTTTACACATTAATAATACACTCCCCACACCTGACCGCACGGGCTGCATTGCAGCCTTCACTACTGCTGGCAGCTGTGCCACTGTCCCCTCCATCCACAGCCACGTCTCACGTCTTGCCTTTGCAGGATGCCCCCAACTTCCCCCAAGCACTGCCTCCACATGCTGTCCCTTAGAAAGCGGCTTCCTGAGGGCTGGTGTTTCCCAGAAGCCTCTCTCTCTGGCTTTGCAATTTCCCTCTTCCTGCAAGCAGGTTTCATCTCTCAGACTGAGATGCATGGCAGCCCTCGCCAGCCTGGAGCCCTTCCCAGGGTCACTTCACTCACCTGGACCCCTTCTAGAGAGCCCCGTGGTAACTGGTTATCTCCACACATTCACCTCCGGGGGTGGGGCCTGCGTCTTGGAACACGCTGAGCGTATCTAGTAATGACAAGGGAGAGTGGAACCATGGGGGATGTAGGTGGAACCATGACTTCTGAGATATTATAGCTATTACATACACACAAACATGCATGACCATGCACATGCAACCCCCCCACACACACAGAAACACACACACCACAGAAACACACGCACAGAGAAAGACACACACACACCACAGAAACACACACACCACAGAAACGCACGCAGATCCCACTGACTAGTTGGGAAATGTTGGTTTTTTTCCTTTCTTTTTTTTTTTTTTTTAGAGGGAGTCTCACTCTGTTGCCCAGGCTGGAGTGCAGTGGCGCGATCTCTGTTCACTGTAACCTCCGCCTCCTGGGGTCAAGTGATTCTCCTCCCTCAGCCTCCCGAGTAGCTGGCATTACAGGCATCAGCCACCATGCCTGGCTATTTTTTTTTATATTTTAGTAGAGATGGGGTTTCACCATGTTGGCCAGGCTGGTCTCATACTCCTGACCTGAAGTGATCTGCCCACCTCAGCCTCCCAAAGTGCTGGGATTACAGGCATGAGCCACCATAACAGGCCAGGAAATGTTGCTTTTGTGATAAGAATTTGGCATTGCTCGGCTCTGCCTGGTCTCTCTATAAGAGATGTATGTCTACACTCAGGAATCAACCTGGTGCTCATTTTTAGCCAGGTAGGTTAAAAAAATAGTAGACCTTCCCCATGCATATTTTTATGTCTTCATTGATCTACAATGATTGCACATATTTCTGGGGAACATGTGCGATTTTGATAATGCTTCCTGTGTGTGTTTGTATTGTTTCACTCATGTGCCTTCTAGGGCACCCCTTTTCCAACCATTCACAATCTGGCAGCTCTTCTATTATTTGGTTAATGTAAAGAAAAATAATAGTAACACTACATTGACATTTTGAAAATAGAAAAATGAGTGGTTGGCTTTTTGCTCTAGAACTCTGCTTCGAGGGGCTGTGTAAGCAAACAGGATGGTCTCCCCAGATCATAGGAATTTAGTCAACGTGAGCCCTCAGCCTGGCGCACAGCCTCCTGCCCTGCAGCCTGTTTCTCTTAAGCTCTGTGTGGAATGTGGTCATCTCCTTGGTTAAAACCAGCTCCTGACCGAGCCTGGTAATTTATAGTGAGCTTTCCTCATGACCATGCTGAAGTGTCAATCCCAGGAGGAGCCACAGCTTCATCACCATAACACGCGACCCATGTGCTGGCAGGGACTCACTGCATCTGCACCACTGGGACCCCTCCTCTCCATGCAATGGCGCACCCTATCCCCCTCCATCACCTCATAAAACCCTCCCTTCCCTTTCCCACACTGCTTTGGAGAATATGCCCGTGTCCTCCTTACATGTGCCAAGTAATAAAACTCCTGTTAATCAACACCTGCCTTCTCTGCCTTCTCGTGGAGAGTCGCTTGTCTCTCACCAGGTAGACAGATTCTGGTTATTTTTGGGAAACAGCTGGCCCATATCCAGATCCCCCAGAGAAGAGGAGCTGAGAACATTTCTGTTCAGGGCTCACTGGGCCCTCTCCTCACCTCCAGGACTAGGCAATGACCATCTGGGTGCTAGAAGGAAGTGCTTCTACAAACTTGCTCCAGCCAGATAAAAGAGAACAAGCCCTTCATTTGCTCACTTCCTTTGCAAGCAGAGTGTTGCTCTGCAGTGTGCTCCTGAGAGGAAAAAACTGCCCTGTTGGTTCAGGTCAGTCAAGCCAAGCTCAGTCACAGAATAAGCAGGCGCAGTGGGGGCAGAAGGTAGGGAGGGCATGGGGAATGTGGTACCACTGGGGCGGAGAGCAAAGCAATGGGGAGTCAGTCTCCCACATGTGTCTTCTATCAGTTTATTTATTCACTCAACAGACATTTATTGAGGACCAACCATGTGCAGGACTGATCTGAGTCCTGGGGTAGAGGCGTAAGTAAGACAGATGAGGTGCCTGGTCTTAAGGGGTTTGTATTCAAGTGGGAGCCAGGGAACAAGAGACATACAATAAAGATGTAAGTAACTAAGTTATTTTCAGATAACCACTAGTCCTGGGAAGATAATTAAAAGGCAGTGGGAGGGAGGGTAATAATGTTTTAGAACCCAACTGGGGAGTACTAGCTTGGTGCAATAAAACCAGATACCCACAAGGAGGTTTTTCAGCAATAGAAAGAAAAGCTTTTATTGCAGTTGCCAAGCAAAGACGACCAGGCAGCTATTGCTCAGATCCTGACCTTCCCAATGGCTTGCAGGAAAGGATTTTTAAAGGCAGGGGTAAATTACAGGAAAACAGAAGCCACAGGCAAAATCATCAATCAATACCTGGAGGTTACACATTGGTTTAGACCTAAAAGGGTGTGATATCTTGAAGTGGGGACTTACAGGTTATAAGCAAATTCAAAAACTTTGCAATTTGCAATTGGTGATAAAAGAGCAGCTTTATTTAAAAATCTGGGGTAAGTAGAAAAAATGTCCTTTTTTTGAGATAGTGTCTCACTCTGTCATCCAGGCTGGAGTGCAGTGGCATGACCATAGCTCACTGCAGCCTCCTGCCTCAGCCTCTTGAGCAGCTGGGACTACAGGCGTGCACCCCAGTGCCTAACCAATTTTTTAATGTTTTTTTTTAAATAGTGAGATGGAATGTCACTATGTTGCCCAGCTGATCTCAAGCTCCTGGCCTCAAACAATCATCCCACCTTGGCCTCCCAAAGTGCTAGAATTACAGGCATAGCTACCTTACCAGGCAGGAAAAGAATGTCAACTGGCTAGGGTGAGTGACTTTCTCCAAGACCCCCAGGAAGAAATTTATAACAAAAGATGATGGTTAAAGTTCAGTCTTCACTTCCCACTTACCTGAGGTCTGCATATTGGCTGATCCCTTCAGTGTGGGTCCCCAGTGGGGGTCTGAGTTTCTGAAAGACAACTCAGAAGTACAGGTTAAGATGTTCTCCTTGGATTCTTTAGGAAAAACAAACATCCCTAGGACTCTAATTTCCTCAGGTGTCCTTTAGGCTACTATTGCCTTCTTTTTTAATAAGTTACTTATTGACTTCTGGAGCTAGCTAGGTGCCTGGAACTTCCCTTGAAGGCAATCATGATTCTCCTTGATTTCCATGTTTGGGGTCTGCAGGCCCCTAATAAAGGGGGCTCCTGCTCCATCTCAATAGGGAAAGAGAAACTAGATCAGGTCCTCAGGGAAGACCTTGGCATTGAGACCTGAATGAGAGGAGAGACCCAGGTAAGTGAAGTAAGAACATTCCAGGAAGAAACAAAAGCAAGGATAAAATCCTTGAGTTGAATGAATACACATTTCTCAAAATAAGACACACAGAAAGCCACCAGACAGATGAAAAAATGCTCAACATCACTAATCAGGGAAATACAAATTAGAACCACAATGAGGCACCACTTTATCCTAGTCAGAACGGCTATTTTTTAAAAGTCAAAAAGCAATAGATGTTGGTGTGGATGTAGTGAAAATGGAACGCTTATACGCAGCTGGTGGGATTGTAAATTAGCACAACCTCTGTGGAAAAAGATGTGGATATTTGTCAAAGAACTAAAAGTAGATCTACCATTCTACCCAGAAATTCCACTACTGGGTATCTACCTCCCAAAAACAGTCACTAAATCAAAAAAACACTTGCATGCATATGTTTATTACAGCACAATTCACAATTGCAAAGACATAGAATCAACCTAAGTGCCCATCAACTGATAGGCCAACACACAATCATGAAATACTACTCAGCCATAAAAAGGAACAAAATAATGTCTTTTGCAACAACTTAGATGGAGCTGGAGGCCATTATGCTAAGTGAAGTAAGTCAGGAATGGAAAACCAAATATTGAACATTCTCACTTATAAGTGGGAGCTAAGCTATGGGTACGCAAAGACATACAGAGTAATATAATGAAGTGTGGAGATTCAAAAGCAGGAGGGTGGGAGGAAGGTGAGAGAAAATAAACTACTTATTGAGTACAATGTACACTACTTAGGTGACGGGCGCACTAAAATCTCCGTCTTCACCACTGTACAATTCATCTGTGTAATCAAAAACAACTTGTACCCCCAAAGCCATTGAAATTTTACAAAATAGAAATAAAAAATTTAAAAGATCTTTAAGTCAAGAATATTTATGAGGATAAATACTTTTGCCCAAACCCATTGAACCCAAATGCCACCTTATTCAGGAGGTCTGTTGGGGCCATTGCACACCCCTTCCTCAGAGCCCTTGAGCCAGGAGCTGCTGGGTCTGGCTGTCTCCTTCACCTCCTTTAGGAGGTGACTACATCTTATTCAGCTCTGCCTCTTCCAGGCCACCAGGTTCAATTGATACCAGCTGTTCAACAGAGACTGAGTGAATGGGCCAATGACAATATCGGACTGGAGTGACATGTCTGTACCGAATTGAGAATTATGACAATTTTAACATTGCAGCATTCTCCCACTTGGAGTTTAATTTGAGGTTGTATTTTTTCTTAGTAATCAACTGTGAGGTAAAAATCAACTGTTTTTGGAGAGTTCTCTGCACTTTAGGGGACAATAATACAGACAGCTGTATGTCGTAGCTTACGGCAGTGTTACCTCAGTCTCATTGACATAAACTGATGGGCTGTCTGATGCTATGCAGATGTGGCTTCAACATGGCTAGACAGGTTCATCCCAGCTCCAAAAGGAAAGGAGCAGATAAGCATCAGGAAGGCAGCAGAGTACAGAACCTCTGAAAGTTCACTCCTCCATAAAAGCCATAAAAAAAACTGGCAAAAATGGCCAGAAACAACTTTTTCAGAACTCTGAAAATTCACCAACTGCTTGCAACACCCCAGGGAGTGTTTATGTAAGAAAAGCAGCTGAATCCCAGTAAGAACCGAGGGCTTTGTAGCATTTTGACTTGCCCTAGTCTCATCCTCTTGCTCCAGCTCAGCAGCAGCCTTGGAAATCACCTGCACTCCCTGTACTGAAAGGGATAGAATAGATCTCATTCCCAAAGAGAGTCATTATTTGACCTGTCTAGTGCTTCCCTGAAAGACCTTGTCTTTATTAGTGGCCCAGTACTAAAAGCCTTGGGGGAGGGAGGAGCATTTGCCTGTAGCATTTACTAGTGTTTCAACGGGTACAGCTGCCCGAGGTAATGGATAGCATTTGGGGCAAACAATAGACTAATGAAAAGCTTAAAGGAAAAGCTGAGGAATGAGATGTCCATAAGGACCCTGAAAAGCTTTGTCACATTCCTGGGAATCTATAAGACCCTGAGAATCTGTCCAGTAGGGCTTTGCACATGTCCAGGAACCGGAGAAGGCCCTAAGCACTCACCACTGACTGAAGTTGAGGCCCTGCAGGAGCGGGAAGGAAAGTTGAGACAGAGTTGCCAATTTCCTGGCAGAGTGCTGACCATGTGCCCCAACAGACGCAGAAAACCCATCTGCAAAGACTGAGAGATATTTCATTCCAGGCATTTAAAGAAACCTCTGTCCAGTTATTAGCTGGCCACTAAGCTAAATAAGTAGAGACTTTGTTACCAAAAAGGGGTCCCGATCCAGACCCCAAGACAGGGTTCTTAGATCTCACACAAGAAACAATTTGGGGTGAGTTCATAAAGTGAAAGCAGGTTTATTAGAGAAAGTGAAGGAATAAAAAATGGCCACTCTAAAGGCAGAGAGCCGCTTCAGCTGCTAATGATACTTATTGTTACTTCTTGATTATGTGCTAACCAAGGGGTGGATTTTTCATGAGCTTTCCAGGAAACGAGTGGGAAACTCCCTGAACTGAGGATTCTTTCCCTTTTTAGACCATATAGGGTAACTTCTTAACATGGCAATGGCATTTGTAAACTGTCATGGCAATGGTGGGAGTGTCTTTTAGCATGCTAAAATATTATAATGAGCATATAATAAGCCATGAGGATGACTAGAGGTCAATTCCATCACCATCTTTTGGCGGGTTTTAGCCAGCTTCTTTACTACAACCTGTTTTATCAGCAAGTTTTTGTTTTGTTTTGTTTTGTTTTTTTGAGACAGTCTTGCTCTGTCACCCAGGCTGGAGTGCAGCGGCATGATCTCGGCTCACTACAACCTCCGCCTCCTGGGTTCAAGCAATTCTCTGCCTCAGCCTCCCAAGTAGTTTGGATTACAGGCACCTGCCACCATGCCCAGCTACTTTTTTTTTGTTTTGTATTTTTAGTAGAGATAGATTTTCACCATCTTGGCCAGGCTGGTCTTGAACTCCTCACCTCGTGATCCACCCACCTCGGCCTCCCAAAGTGCTGGGATTACGGGTGTGAGCCACTGTGTCCCACCTTTATCGCAAGGTTTTTATGACCTGTATCTTGTGCCAACCTCCTATCTCATCCTCTGACTTAGAACTCCTAACCTCCTAAGAATGCAGCCCAATAGGTCTCAGCCTTATTTTACCCAGCCTCTATTGAAAATGGAGTTGCTCTGGTTCAAATGCCTCTGACAGCTTCAGTGGCCACTAGGAACCTATTTTGATAAGTAAAGGTAAAGAGGTAAAGAGGTTAAGCTGCTTTTCAAGAAACAGCAGGCTGTGCCAACAATGCTGGTTTTAGAGCTGTAGGAACGCAAAAGTTACACCCAAACAGAAGGAAATGTTGACAGTGTCTGTAGGGTGCAGTGTGGGCCACAGAGGAAGGTTGGTCTCCAGGAGAATGGGACTCGAGGTTGAAAATGGGACTCACCTTGGCTTACAGGTTTGCACTAGCAGCCGTGTGTATCCACTCCATCACTCGTCCTCTCTGCAGGATACAAGGCTTTCCAATGCAAAATGGCACAGTGTTATGCAGAGTATTAAGTGACTTGATAAGCTTCTCATCAGGGGATGGAATTTCCTCCATTCCTCACAGCAACCAGTTCCCAAGGTTTATTGAGGGAGCGTCTTGCTAATTGTGTGGCTGTTATGCCGGCTTTCCCAGATGAACATTTTTTTTTAGCATCTCTCACTCCCTAGAAATCCCACTCTGCCTCAGGGATGTAAACTAAAACTAAAATTCTAAGCTCCCCAACCATCTGAATGGACCCTTCCTCTTGGCCAAGAGCATTCATTCCAGAGTTTACCTGAAAAACGAGTTCAGGCCATGATGAGGAGGCAAGGGCCGGATACCCTTCACCATACATACGCTCCCCCTATTGGAATTCAGGCACAACTGACCAGCATCAACATTAAAACAGAGATCTTAAGACTTTTTGTAGCAATAAGACACCAAATTCCAGCCTGAATGTAGTGTAGCATCACATGAAAGGTATCAGGCCCTGAAAGAAATCAAAATATTTTACCCTAAAATAGATTTCTTTACACATTTTAAAATGGCCCTGCAAAGCTGTCTCCTGTGGGAAAAATTTACATTCTGTAGCGAATCCCCTTTTCCTTCCAGATCTTTTCTCTGATCCAGGAGAGAATTAACTAAGAGTCTGGCACTTTTTAAAAGTCAGATAAGAAACATTCACAATCTATTCTTTCTGAAGTCTGCAACCTGGAGGCTTCATCTGCACAATAAGAATCTTGGTCTCCACAGCCCCTTATCTGAACTTGGGCACTCCCTTCTGTTGATTCTAGATCTTAACTCTTTCAACCAATTGCCAATAGAAACATCTCTGAATTCACCTATAACCTCGAAGCCTCCCCAACCCCACTGCCTTCAAGTTGTCCCACCTTTCTGGGATGAACTAATGTACATCTTACAGCTATTGATTGATGTCTTATGTCTCCCTAAAATGTATTAAACCAAGCTGTAGCCTGACCACCTTGGGCACATGTCGTCAGGATGTCCCGAGGCTGTGCCAAGGTTATTTTAACCTTGGCAAAATAAACCTCTAAATTGATTGAGACTTGCCTCAGATACCTTTTGGTTTACAAGGGTGAGGTGAGTCACTGGGCAGTTTTATTGAGACTGAGAATTTGGTGGTTCTTGGGGTTCCAAAATCCATAAAGACTTTTTTTAGACCTATGTCTACAGAAATAGCCACCCTCTTCTAGGTTTTGGGTGAAAGCAGCCCTTCCTGGTGGAAAAGAATTTCAGCAGTAGCAAATTGTTTCTTAACATGGTAAAAAAAAAAAAAAAAAAAAAAAAAAAAAAAAAAAAAGTCTGTCTCAGGAAGACACAATGTCATTATTTCCAACACCATCCTCAACAGGGACCTAGCAAAATTATACGGGCAACAGTGCCATCAAGTGGCCAAGCAGGAAAATAACCAATACCTGAAAAAGCGTTTTTTCCAAGAGTGAAATTCTGGTGGAAGCGCTTGGAGGAGAATCATCTGCATTCCCCTGGTTCCCCTCTTTGTCCTGGGAGGCACAGACAAGCTCCACATTTTCAACTCAGGACTTTCTCAGGTTTTTAACCTTTTCCCAGGAGGCAGTGCGCAGCCTCAGGTCAGGGCTGCCTGACTTGTCCTCTATGTGCAGCTCCCCTTCCTCAGCCCCTCTGATAGGCGGCGTCCTCTTCACCCGGGTACTGGCTGAGAGGTCACCTCCTCTGAAAACTCTACTCACTGCATCTAAAGGAGCCACTGCACTCCACACATCACTCTCTACAAGACACAAGTTTCATTTTTCTTCATAGCCCTTTTCGCATTGAAAATACTTTCTTTATTCATCTATTTACCTGCATATTTCCTGCCTTTCCCACACCCTCACGCCCTATGTTGAAATTTGATGAGAGTAGAGTCTTACCTGCCTTCCTCACTGCCATGTCCCACCATTGGGAACAGTGGCCGGAGTAGAGCCTCCAATGCAACACGTGCGCTTGCATGAATGGATAAACGGGAGGAAGGAAAGAGGAGAGACGCAAAGGCCAGTGTTTTACCAGGAGGCCCAAGTGACATTGTCTCCATTAGCAACTTCGGGACCAACATCTTACTTCCCTTTTTTATTTTTAAGATTCAGTGACTTCAAATGCAAAGGGAGTTCATATTATCAACTCTTATTTAGAGTGAACCGAGAATCAGTTAATCTGGCTTTAAATATCCCTCAAAGGTGCAGAATTACTCCAGGTATTGCACGCAGACTGTACCTTCCTTTAAAATCCCTCTGTCCTCATAAAGCTGCTATGGACCCAGGAAATCTCTAAGTGAGTCTTCCCTGTGTAACTGAGGAGCACTTGTGTTAAAATACAGAGGATCTCCAGCAACAGAAAAAGAGTGAACCTTTGCCTACGGAACATGACAATTTCCTGGAATCAAAGGCCTCTCTGCAGTAGCTGATCATGTTTTACATCTGTGGGTTGATCTTGAAGACGTGGGCTTATCAATATATCTTGTCAACAGTGGGCATTCATTTAAATAAAATCAAAAACTGCAGGCAAAGTTGCCAGAACTGGCAATTTATAGGGGCATTTTCACTCCAGGAGAACTAAAAATAAGCTACTGTTGAGTTTGGATTGCATTTTTATCCACATATAAATAGCTTTGGTAGGTCACAGTCGAGGCAACATTGCTAAGGAACTCTGCAGTGTCTCCTCAAATTGTCAGGCCACTATCTTAAAAGACAGGCAGCTAGTCTATAGCAATTGTGTGGAAACCCTCCAGCTTTTACTTAGATCCCCAGCTGCTGCTTCAGATAATTAGATGGGAAAACTTGCCCTCTGAGACAGGTAAGGATGATGGAGTTTTCCGGCAGCGAATTGCATGGCAAATCTGGGCAAGAGCTCCCTTCCAAAGTATCTGGTAACTGAGAGGAAACTCATTTAGAATTTCTGTCATGCAGAGTTTTCAAAAAAGACTTGGGGAAAGCCGTGCAAACCTGCAAAGATGATATTTGTATCTCCAGGCTGGAAAAGTACCCTTTTATCTAGTGATGGCCATGCTGGCTTCTCTGTAAGCACTCACGAATTGCTTTTCGATTTTCATCCAGAATTATAACATCTGCGTACCGTGCCCCACCAACCCAAGTAAATATGAACTGTGAATACATCCCACCTTCATATCACAGTTCAGCCGTTCTTAGCATTCATTCTTTTACTCGTTAAACACTTGCTAAGCCCTTACTAATGCTTCCCTCCCACTGTGCCTGGGCGGGAGGCACGCTGAGATGATGCCCTGCCCTCCAGGTCTGAAGGAGGTGTGGCATAAGGAAGAGTATAACTGAAAAAGAAGATTCAAAGCACAGCAAGTAAGAGCTTCACCAACTACTTGCTTCGTGCACTTGGCCAGTGACTTAAACTCCCTGAGCTTCAGTTTCCTCACTTCTACAGTAGAGGTGATGGCAGAACCTGCCACTTAGAGATGCTACAATCTATGTAAATTCTTCAGGATCTAGCCACACTATTGTAAGCAGTTAGGGAAACCAAATATTTTACCCCAAAATATATTTTTGAAATAATTTGAGATGGCTGTTCAGAGATCTGGCAAACAGAAGTCTCCCTGCAAAGCTGTCTTCTGTGGGGGGAGATTTGCATCTGTAGGGAAGCTGCACTGATACTGCGAGTTTTTCTCTGAGGCCTCCCCTTGTCCTTGTCTGGATCTAGGAAAGATTCACTGAGATCATGACACCTTTTAAGGTCTAAAAAAGACATCTACCACCTACCCTCTCTGAGGGCAGCCACCTGTGAGGTTTTAGCTACTTAACAAGCCTACCTATGCTAGCCAGGCCTCATCTTCTCCCCCTCCCATCACCTGTTTTACCACCATAATTTGTTTTGCCGCAATCCAAGCCCCAATTATTTTTATTTAATTTCAATTTTCATTTTAGATTCAGGGGATGTAGCATGATTGAACCCATCACCCAGGTAGTGAGCATAGTTCCCAATATACAGTGTTTCAACCCTTGCCCCCCTTCCCTTCCCTTCCCTTGTAACGTCCCCAGTGTCTGTCGTTCCCATCTTTATGTCAATGAGTGCCTGATGTTCAGCTCCCACTTATAAGTGAGAATATGCAGTATTTGGTTTTCTGTTCCTGCATTAATAGGCTTAGGATAATGGCCTCCAGCTGCATCCATGTTGCTGCAAAGAACATGACTTTCGTCTTTTTTATGGCTGTGTAGTATTCTACGGTATATATGTACAACATGTAAATCCACAAATGTAGATTTCTTTATCCAATCCACAGTTGATGGCAAGTCCCATTTTTTTCTGTAGCCTCAAGATGGCATGTAAGCTTCTGAACCCCTTTGGGAGGTAGGAGTCCTTACTCTGTGTTTTTCTCCCTGTGTGCACATTAACACATTTATATGCCTTTTCTCCAATTAGTCTGACTTTTGTGGGTTGATTTTTTTCTTTGCAAACCTTCCGATATAGCTGTGTCCCCAACTAAATCTCATCTTGAATTCCCAGGTGTTGTGGGAGGGACCCGGTGGGAGGTAAATGAATCATGGGGGCAAGTCTTTCCTGTGCTGTCTTCATGATAGTGAATAAGTCTCATGAGATCTGATGGTTTTAAAAATGAGAGTTTTTTTGTGCAAGCTCTCTCTTTGCCTGCTGCCATCCACGTAAGACGTTACTTGCTCCTCCTTGCCTTCCACCATGATTGTGAGGCTTCCCCAGCCATGTGGAACTGTAAGTCTAATTAAACCTCTTTCTTTTGTAAATTTCCCAGTCTCAAGTGTGCCTTTATCAGCAGCATGAAAACAGACTAATGAGCATTAGACAGACTAATGTTCATTAGAACAGTAAATAGGCACCAGTGCAGTGGAGCACTGCTGAGAAGATACCCGAAAATGTGGAAGTGACTTTGGAACTGGGTAACAGGCAGAGGTTATAACAGTTTGGAGGATTCAGAAGACAGGAAGATGTGGGAAAGTTTAGAACTTCCAAGAGACTTGTTCGATGGGTTTGACAAAAACGCGGATAATGATATGAACAATAAGTTCAAAGTTGAAGTGGTCTCAGATGCAGATGAGGAACTTGTGGGGAACTGAAGCAAAAATGACTCTTGCTATGTTTTAGCAAAGAGACTGGCAGCATTTTGCACCTGCCCTAGAGATTTTTGGAACTTTGAACTTGAGAGAGATGATTAGGGTATCTGGCAGAAGAAATTTCTAAGCAGCAAAGAATTCAAGAGGTGACTTGGGTGCTGTTAAAGGCATTCAGTTTCAAAAGGGACACAAAGCATAAAAGTTTGGAAAATTTGCAGCCTGACAATGCAATATAAAAGAAAATCTTTTTTTCTGAAGAGAAATTCAAGCCATCTGCAGAAATTTGCATAAGGAGGAGCTGAATGTCAATCCCCAAGACAATAGGGAAAATGTCTCCAGGGCATGTCAGAGGTCTTCACATCAGCCCCTCCCATCACAGGCCTGAAGGCCTAGGAGGAAACAGTGGTTTCATGGGATGGGCCCAGGGTTCCTATGCTGTATGAAGCATAGGGACTTGGTGTTTGTGTCCTCGCCACTCCAGCCATGACTGAAACGGGCCAATGAAGAGCCTGGGCCATGGCTTCAGAGGGTGCAAGCCTCAAGCCTTGGCAACTGTCAAGAATTGGGGTTTGGGAACCTCTGCCTAGATTTCAGAGGATGTACGGAAACGCCTGGATGTCCAGTCAGAAGTTTGCTGCAGGGGTGGGTCCCTCATATAGAACCTCTGCCAGGGCAGTGTGGAAGGAAAATATGGGGTCAGAGTCACCACACAGTGTTTTAACTAGGGCACTTCCTACTGGAGCTGTGAAAAGAGGGCCACTGTCCTCCAGAACCCAGAATGGTAGATCCACTGACAGCTTACACTGTGGGCCTGGAAAAGCCAAAGACACTCAACACCAGCCTGTGAAAGCAGTTGTGAGGGAGGCTGTACCCTGCAAAGCCACAGAGGCAGAGCTGCTCAAGGCCATGTGAGCCCACCTCTTGCATCAGCATGACCTGGATGTGAGACATGGAGTCAAAGGAGATCATTCTGGAGCTGTAAGACTTAACTGCCCCACTGGATTTTGGACTTGCATGAGGCCTGTGTCCCCTTTGTTTTGGCCACTTTTTCCCATTTGGAATGGCTGTATTTACCTAATCCCTGTACCCACATTGTATCTAGGAAGTAACTAACTTGCTTTTGATTTTACAGGCTCATAGTCAGAAAAGACTTACCTTTTCTCAGATGAGAATTTGGACTGTGGACTTTTG
The DNA here is from genome assembly GCF_000001405.40 of Homo sapiens. Taxonomy (NCBI): domain Eukaryota; kingdom Metazoa; phylum Chordata; class Mammalia; order Primates; family Hominidae; genus Homo; species Homo sapiens. The sequence goes on from NC_000019.10 coordinate 28,330,404, forward strand.
AGTTAATGCTGAAATGAGTAAAGGCTTTGAGGGACTATTGGGAAGCCATGATTCATTTTGAAATGTGAGGACATGAGATTTGGGAGGGGCTGGGGTGAAATGATACAGCTTGGTTGTGTTCCCATCCAAATCTCATCTTGAATTTCCAGGTGTTGTGGGAGGGACCAGGTGAAAGGTAATTGAATCATGGGGGCAAGTCTTTCCCATGCTGTTCTCATGATAGTGAATAAGTCTCACTAGATCTGATGGTTTTAAAAATGGGAACTTTTCTGCACAAGCTCTCTCTTTTCCTGATGCCATACATGTAAGACATAACTTGCTCTTCCTTGCCTTCCACCCTGATTGTGAGGCTTCCCCAGCCACATGGAACTGTAAGTCCAATCAAACCTCTATCTTTTGTAAATTGTCCAGTCTTGGGTATGTCTATTTCAGCAGTGTGAAAACGGACTAACACACCTTCAGAAGTGGAGTTTTTCTCTTGGCCCCTAATAAACTGGAACTTCAAGGATTCAGCTGGGAAGGGGAATATTTCCAGGCACCCATGGTTACACAGCTGGTGAGAAAATTCCCAAAGGCTTTATGGAGTTCTGGCACTTTGGGTGAATCACTTCCTGGCCTCAGGACTCATTTCCTTATTATTTAGTTGTGGAAGTTGAATTAAAGTTGATTCCATCCAGCTCTTACTTTCTATTGTTTGACCTGAGTCATAAAAAATAGGATTTGGACTTGCAGAGATAAAAGAGAAAAGGATATTCCCAGAGGAGACTAGCAGGGAGTATTCTTTAATCAGAAACATCACCCTTGTTGACCACCATCTATAGAACATTTAATTCAGCAGTTGCTTCCTGAGCATCTACCATATACCCAGGAGAGATGTTCAAAATACTTAACAGCTAGGCGTGGGCCCCAATGGCCTAAGGAATGGATGCTGGCCAAGGTGCTGGGGCAGGGTCTAGGGACCTCTGCTGGGCCAGTGTTACCTAACAGGGGATCTTGATGAGGTCCTGGGATAGGAGCAGAGTGGCCAGGAAAAGAAGGGGGAGTATTACCATGGTAGCTCGGTGCAGTGACTTGTTACTAATAACATGTAAATTCTCACACTCCAATGTGTCAAAGTTGAGTAAAATTCAGCCCCTTTCCTCAGTCTCTCAAGCAAGCAATGCTCCCATGAGCCAGCAACTTCATCAGTGGGAATGACAATGAGTGACAAGGCCCAGTAGAGGCAGCCAGCCCACGAGAGGCAGGGGATTGACTCCCTCCAACTGCCAGGGAGGTGAGATCAGGCACAGTCTTCCTCTCAGGGGTCATTCCTAACCCAGACAGTGCTCAGGGGAAAGGACAGACATTTCCCTCTGTGCAGATCCAAGCGGTAGGCCGATTACCAGGGGCAGCTACCACAAATGTAAATACAGAGTGAAAAATGGAGGCAAGGCCAAATGAACGCTGGCAGGTCTAGGGTGATGGGCCTCCTGTGTCAGGAATCTTGCAACCGCCACCGGGGAGGGGTGTAATATAATAACAACAGTCAGAAGTGACATTGGCCATAAACCTCCAACACATGCCAGCTGAAAACCGGGCCTTAACAAGTCCAGTATTGATGCCCTGGACCTGACACTGTGTTAATACATTATCCAAATGCACTCTCTCATTTGATTATCAAACCACTCTGTGAGGAAGGTACTTTATTTTGTACTTTTTTTAGATGGAGATTTGCTCTTATCGCCCAGGCTGGAGTGCAATGGCACAATTTCGGCTCACTTGCAACCTCCGCCTCCCAGGTTCAAGCGATTCTCCCACCTCAGCCTCCCAAGTAGCTGGGATTACAGGTGCCCGCCACCATGCCCGACTAATTTCTGTATTTTTAGTAGAGACAAGGTTTCACCATGTTAGCCAGGCTGGTCTGGAACACCTGACCTCAGGTGATCTGCTCACTTTGGCCTCCCAAAGTGCTGGGATTACAGGCATCAGCCACCGCACCTGGCCGATGAAGGTACTTTATTATTTTCATATTAGAGAAGGAGAAACTAGGCCTTTGTAAGGCCAAAGCTTACAAAGCAAGTTAGAAGCTAAGCCAGAGCTTGCACTAAGGCCTGACTGACCCTGGGGTCTAGTCCTTAACCACAGTGCTGAGCCATCTTCTTAAACTTGCACAGTTAATGTGTAACTGAAACCACACCTACCCACGTGCTGGCTGACAAATTCCAGGTCCTTCAGGCAGCATGAATACTTCATCCTTGAAAATTTTTCTGGATCCTTAAATCAGACAAATGAACCCACAGTCCTCCTGCCCATGGAAGACACCATTAGCCTTCCCAATAAGGAAAATTACTGGGATGCTATTTTGACATACTGAGAGTTTTTCCCCCAGAATTTCATTGCATCTCATTCCTTTCTTCCTTTCCAACCATCAGGCCATTTCTTGTTAACTGCGTGGGAGAAAGTATAGAAGAATAAGAAAAAGCAAGGGAGCTGAAGTAGGCCCTACTGATGCTGCATCCATGCCCCTTCAGTCCTCGCCACTTCTGGGCATCCCTGTGCAACATCCAGCTGCCATGTCTGCATTCCTTTACCTTAGAACTTTCTCCTCCCAGACCCAAGGGAGGCCAATGTGCCAGAGAAATAACTTCTATAAGCAGCTGTCATCCAATAACTAATGCAAACTGGTAGATAAATACCCCAGCTCCCTCACCTGTCAGGTGAAATAACTTAGGGGCTTGTATTCCCCCTTTTTATAGAACAATGTTCTAAATTTGTTTCAAGTTTTAGATTCAAGGGGTACATGTACAGATGTATTACATGGGTATACTGCATGATGATGCGGTTTGGGCTTCTAGTGATCCCATTGTCCAAGTAGTGGGCCTAGCACTCAATAGGTAGTTTTCCAGCCCTTGCCTCCCTTCCTTCCTCCCCAGTGTCTATTGTTCTGCTCTTTGTGTCTCTGTGTACCCAATGCTCACCTCCCACTTATAAGTGAGAACGTGCAGTATTTGGTTTTCTGTTTCTGCCTTAATTCTCTTAGGATAATGGCCTGCAGCTGCACCCATGTCACTGGACAGGAAATGATTTTGTTCTTTTTCATGGCTGCAGGAGGCTTGCATTCTATGCCAGCTCTCAGAACTCCCCAGCAGGATTAAGCAGCCACTCACAGTGATTACTGGTTTGATGACACACATTTTGCTGGCTGCTTTCTCTGCCCTTCCCTACTTCTCTACCAGCACTTCCCAGAACCACCTCCCAAATAAACCTTCTCAGAGTCTGCTCCTAGGAGGAAGCCAGCCTAAGGCAGGAGTGATTTCTTCATTCTAAGTCTTAAAGTTTAAGCCCCAAGGAACTCAAAGCATAGAATAATGGCAATCAGAAACAACAGTGTTTCATTCTCAGAACTAGAAAAGATTCCTTGATTTTGGAGAAAGAAAGCCAGGATGCCAGGACCTTCAGACTTTCTGACAAAGTGATGCTTGTACTCTGCCACCACTTCCCCACCCCCTGTTCTGAGCCAAGTAGGGAGAAAAGCAGAAACTGCAGAGAGTTTGGGGGTCTCTAAGAGCAGATTGACCTGGCTTGGCCTCTCTAGTGGGAGCCAGGCAGGGGCCAGGAAACTGGAAAAAACATCAAGCTGCATGGGACGTCTAGGCTGACCATGCCAGGCAACCTCATGGAGCGCTCATGAGCACAAAAACTCCAAACACACAGAGGCTCAGAAGCAGGGCGCCCTCCAACCCATGGTGGAGGGATATGTTTCCCCATCTGCCCCAGATGGCAGGGGCTTGGCACAGGGCTTCCAAACAGATGACCAGATAGGTCACACATGTCTCATATCCTGGAGAGGACACCTGTGTGCCCGCCTCACACCTCGGCTGCACTCCTGAATTTGCAGTGGTTTTGATCCTCATCAGACTGACAGTATCCTGCCTAAGTGCACACTGAGCTTTTTCCTTTTCTGCACCGCAGCTTCTCCAACACTGCCAGCAGGGGAGGAGACAGGCAGGTGGGAACTCAGCCACAGGAACACAGGAGCAGCAGAGAAGTGCTGGGGAGATGTCCCATCCTCTAGACAAGCTTCCACCAACGGGAAAGAGAGCAGCTGGGAACATCGACCTCACATAAACAACTCCAAGAGGCCTTCGCCATATTCCTCAGAGCATCCTGGTTGGACTGAACTCCAGCTGTCTCTAGCATGACCAACTCAATAACCCACCATGTTCTGAACCTTCCCAGTGACTCATTTCCTGGAGTCAGCTCCCAAATAAACCACCTGCACACAAGTTCTTACCTCAGGTCTGCTTTCACGGGAAACCCAGGTCAAATACATGCTCAGAAGTTACCAAATACACAAGGATGATGGGGAGGACCTGTTCCCCCACACCATAGAAGCCCCACAGAACTAGATGCAACCTCTTTGAAACTGCAAAAACCCTCATCAGCTGCAATTTCCATAACCCCTAAGAATGGGACCTCACAAAAGAAATTAAGTTCAGCTATTAAAAAAAATAGGCAGAACTACTCTTGCATTTCTTGAACACATAGAAACATTACCTTTGACCCAAGGATGAGATAAGAAAGCAGGGTGCTCATGCTCCTCTGTCCCTGCAGGCCAGGTGGACAGGCTTCATGGAGAACTGAGGTGCTGCCGCAACTCTTTGCTCACAAGTGACCATGACCCTGATGAGATGGGCAGCCCGAGACTCCAAGTAGACAATCAAGAGGGCCTTTAAGGACATCCTCCAGGCAGTTCTGGATAGACGAGGCTTTAGTGAAACAGGCAGGTCAAAGGGTATTGCTACTTCCACAGTGTAAAAAGCCAACCAGGTGCTCCATTTCTCTTGGCTCCTGTCCAGAGTCTAAAGCATGAGCTCATCTCAGAAGCCCACGTTCCACATGCAAGGGGTCAGGGGTGCCTGGGTTCTGTTCCTGAGTAGCTGGGACCACAGGCACTTTCCACCATGCCAGGGTAATTATTCTATTTTTTTGTAGAGATGAAGTTTCCCTATGTTGCCCAGGCTGGTCTGAACTACTGGTCTCAGGGAATCCTCTTGCCTCAGCCTCTCAAAGTGCTGGGATTATAGGCATTAACCACAGCACCCGTCCTGAGCCTGCATCCTTGAAGACATTGTTAAGCCACTGACTTAATTCTGTCATTTTCTTATATCTGACTGTCTTGTTATAGGATAATCGGCCCTGTTTTTAAAGATTTTTATTGAGATTTCACTTTTATCTGTGATCAGTAAGTGAAAATGGTGTTTTAAGTAAATAGAGCTTTTGCAACTACTAGAGTTTTCATAAACTAAGTATTAAGAACAACTGTATGCCATTTCAATCTTTAAGAATGAAATATACCATAAAAATTCAGTAATCTGGCCTCTTCTAGCCTGGGAGGATGCTAGGTTACTGGGTTTTCCAGGTCAGTGAAAGATACTGTCTTGATTCTCCCAAACACCCTAATTTCACAGTTATAAATTTAAAGAAAAAACAAAATCTGTAATATACTTGAACAGAAATTCCCAGTTTTCATGGAAAGTTTTCTGTGTAACATTTATTATAACTACATAATTCTATTTATTTTGAAGCCCTAAAAGTTTAATTATTTTTTAATATAAAAATTATTTTAATATAAAAGACATTCAATTGCTAAAAAATGTTACTTTAAAACAACTTTCAAGCCTGTGGCTAAACCAATCATTTGAAGTGCTCTTCCTGGCACATCCTAGCAAAAGCCAGGATCACGATGTTGATTATGACAAGACTTTGACCCAAGTTGTCACAGGAGTAGCTGAGGATGAAGCAGTAGATGAGGTCACTGGGCTTTGACTCTGCCATGACAATCTGGGTGGCTTTAACCTCTCTGAGCTGACTGTGCATTTGCAAAATGGTCTCATTAGCACCACCTCTTACAGCTACAGGAGAGAGAGAGAGCACGCATGGAAGATGCAAAGTGGTCAGTAGTTTCATGGCACACAGTGAGGGCACAGCCCATGGTGAATGCAATTGATTTTTAACCATCTCTCCATCCATCCCCTGTGGGGCCTTCCTTTGCACCTCCAGTAACCATTGCTTCCTCCTTTCTCAAGTACACAGCACTCTTTGCAAATCACATACCTAATTACGTCTAACATCTTCCTGATGGTCTCTATCCATTTCCTGTGTTTCAATTTCATCTCCAATAACACTAGAATCTCCCAGGGCAAGGCCCATTGCACACCCCGCCTCCAACATCCTCCACAGCACCTCAGTCAGTGCCAGGTGTGCAAAGTCTGCCTGGATAAATTCTCCCCTGACTCCTTCCCCGGTGGGCGGGGGGATGTGGGAGAGGTGTCATGGGAAGACATTTCTGTCTCCTGAATAACAGTTACTGGGTCTACGTGAATTCTTCTTGGGATAGTTTCCAATGTACACTGCAGGAAACTACAGAATGAATAGTATCTTTAAAAAAATTCTTTCTTCATATGGTATATATACACCATAGAATATTATGCAGCCATAAAAAGAATGAAACCATGCCCTTTGCAGCAACATGGATGAAGCTGGAGGCCATTATCCTAAGCAAACTAACACAGGGAAAGAAAACCAAATGCCACTTGTTCTCACTTATAAGTGGGAGCTAAACATTGTGTACCCATGGGCATAAAGATGAAAATAGTAAACACTAGGGACTCCAAAAGGCGGGAGGAAGGGAGGGAGTTGAGGGTTGAAAGATTATCTATTGGATACAAAGCTCAATATTTGGGTGATGGATACAATAGAAGCCCAATCCCCACCAATATGCAATATGCCCATGTAACAAACATGCACAGGCACATGTACCTCCTGAATCTAAAATTAAACATAAAATGCATTCTTACAGTTCAACAACAAAGAAGGTGCCCTTTTCTGCCTTCTCACCATGTCTCATAGTTCCAGCTGTGTGGCTGCATCTGTGGAGGGAAGGTCCCTGAGGCTTCCTGAAGACCCTTGAGCCCTGGCTATAACAGAGACTGTGGCTGAAATGTTAACAGTGCTACCTGTCAGGCTCCAATGCCAGGCTGCTGGGGGTGGCAATTGGCCTCTTCAAAGCTCAGGACTCAAAAAGAAAGGTAGAAGGATGCTCTCACCTGCTGTGGAGGACATCTGCTTGTTTTGGTCATTCAGCCTGATTAGGGCACTTTGATTTTCTTTTTGGGATCCACATCTCCCCTTCTCACCCATGTGGTGGGGTCTTCTCTCCTTACATGTCCAGAAAGCCCAGAAATACATACATTACCCAATACAAGCCAGCTGAACTCAATGCCAGGGCTTTAGTATAGAGAAACATTCCTTATTCTGTGACCTGGAGCTTGCAGAGGTCACCACATGGACAGAGGCAGCCTGTGAATAAAGCCAGAATGCAGGAAGCACAGGAGAGAGAAAGAACCAAAGTAGCATCAGACTTCCTGGAGTTTTTAGTTAAGTTGGCAATCAGATTCTCTTTCATGCTTTATTTTTCTTTTCAATTTCAACTTTTGTTTCAGATACAGGGGGTACATGTGCAGGGAATATTGCATGATGCTGAGGTTTGGGTATGGATCCCATCACGCGGGTAGTGAACATAGTACCCAATAGGTAGCCTTTCAACCCATATTCTCCTCCCTTCCTTCCCCCCAAGTGGTCCCCAGTGTCCATTGTTGCCATGTTTATGTCCAAACGTGTTCAATGTTTAGCTCCCACTTACAAGTGAAAACATGCAGTGTTTGGGTTTTCTGTTTCTCTGTTATTTTGCTTAGGATTATGGCCTCTAGCTGAATCCATGTTGCTGCAAAGGGCATGATTTTATTCTTTTTTATGGCTGTATAGTATTCCATGGTATATATATATATACCACATTTTCTTTACCCAGTCTACCATTGATGGGCCCTTGGGTGGATTCCTTGTCTTTGCTATTGTGAATAGTGCAGCAGTGAACCCACCAAGGCATGTGTCTTTTTGGTAGAATGATTTATTTTCCTTTGGATATATACCCAGCAATGGGATTGCTGGGTAAAATGGTAGGTCTGTTTTAAGTGTTTTGAGAAATCTCCAGAAAACTTTCCACAGTAGCTACACTAATTTATATTCCTGCCAAAAGTGCATAAGTGTTCCCTTTTCTCCAAAGGCTCATCAGCATTTGTTCTTTTTTGACTTTTCATTTTTTTCAATTTTTTTGACAGAGTCTCGCTCTCTCACCAGGCTGGAGTACAGTGGCACGATCTTGGCTCACTGCAACCTCCGCTTCCCAGATTCAAGCGATTCTCCTGCCTCAGCCTCCCGAATAGCTGGGACTACAGGCATGCACCACCATGCCCAGCTAATGTTTGTATTTTTAGTAGAGACAGGGGTTTCACCATGTTGGCCAGGATGGTCTCGATCTCTTGACCTCGTGATCTGCCCACCTTGGCCTCCCAAGGTGCTGGGATTACACACATGAGCCACCACACCCGGCAGTTTTTTGACTTTTAGTAATAGCCATACTGACTAGTGTGAGATGGTAACAAACTGTGGTTTTGATTTGCATTTCTCTGATTACTAGTGATGCCAACTCTTTTTTCATACATTTGTTGTCTGCCTTCATGTCTTCTTTTGAGGAGCATCTGTTCATGTCCTTTGCCCATTTCTTAAGGGGTTTATTTGTTACATGCTTATTGGTTTCATTTCCATATAGATTCTGGATAGGGGTGCCTTGTTTGCAAGTATCTCCTCCCACTCTGTAAGTTGTCTGTTTACATTATTGATAGTTTCTTTTGCTGTGCAGAAGCTTTTTAGTTTCATTAGGTCCAAGTTGTCAATTCTTGTTTTTGTTGCAATTGCTTTTGGGGACTTAGCCAAAAAAATTTTGCCAAGGCCTATGTCAGGAAGAGTAATTTCTAGGTTTTCTGTTAGGATTTTCATAATTGTAGGTCTTGAATTTAAATGTTTGATCTATTTTGAGTTAACTTTTTATATGGTGAAAGGTAGGAGTCCAGCTTCAATCTTCTGCATATGGCTAGTCAGTTATCTTAGCACCATTTATTGAATGAGGAGTCCTTTCCCCCATTGCTTGTTTTTGTTGGCCTTGCCAAAAATCAGATGGTTGTAGGTGTGCAGCTTAATTTCCGAGTTTTCTTTTTCGTTCCATTATTTTATGTGTCTGTTTTTATACCAGTGCCACGCTGTTTTGGTTACTGTAGCTTTATAGTAGAATTGAAAGTCAGGTAGTGCAATGCCTCTGGGTTTATTCTTTTTGCTTAGGATTGTTTATGTTATTTGGGCTTCTTTTTGCTTCCATATTAATTTTATAATAGTTTCTCTAATTCTGTGAAGAATAATGATATAGTTTGAATTTTAATCCCCCATGTTGAAGGTAGGGCCTGGTGGGAGATGTTTGGGTCATGGGGGCAGATCTCTCATGGCTTGGTGCTGTACTCAGATAGCGAGTGAGTTCTCATGAAATCTGGTTGCTATAAAGTGTGGCATCTCCTCTCCCACTCTCTCTCTTGCTCCTGCTTTCACCATTTGTCACACAAGCTCCCACTTTACATTCTGCCATGACCAAAAGCTCCCTGAGGCCTCCCCAGAAGCCAAGCAGATGCCAGTGCCACAGTTTTATAGCCTGCAGATCCATGAGCCAATTAAACCTCCTTTCTTTACAAATTATCCAGTCTCAGGTATTCTTTATAGTGATGCAAGAATAGCCTAATACAAATGACACTGGTAGTTTGATAGAAATAGCATTGAATCTGCAAATTGGGCAGTGTGACCATTTTTATGATATTGATTCTTCCAGTCCATTAGCATAGCATGTTTTTCCATTTATTTGTGTCATCCCTGATTTCTTTCAGCAGTGTTTTGTGGTTCTCCTTGAAGATATCTTTCACCTCCTTGGTTAGCTGTATTCTTAGGTATTTCATTTTCTTTGTGGCTATTGTAGGTGGGATTGTGTTCTGGACTTGACTCAGTCTGGACGTTGTTGTTGTATTGAAATGCTACTGATTTTCAAAACTTTATTTTGTATTTTGAACTTTGCTAAATTGTTTATCAGCTCTAGGAGTCTTTAGGATTTTCTGGGTGTAGAACCATATTGTCAGTGAAGAGAGATAGTTTGAATTTTTCTTTTTCTTTTTTGGATGTCTTTTATTTATTTTTCTTAACTGATTGCTCTGGCTAGGACTTCCAGTACTATGTTGATAGGAGTGGTGAGAGTGGACATCCTTTTCTTGTTCCAGTTCTCAAAGGGAATAGTTTCAGCTTTTGACCATTCAGTATGATACTGGCTGTGGGTTTGTCATAGATGGCTCTTATTATTGCTAGATATGTTCCTTCGATACTTGTCTGTTGAGGGTTTTTACCATGAAGAGTTGTTGGATTAAATGTTTTTATAGACAGTTTTAAATGTATTATACACTATTGGAAAGGGCTTCCTGACACTTGCTGCTTAAAGCATCTGAGTAACAGACTTCCAAACAAATTGAATAGAGACTTCAGCTAATACCAACTCATTACAAAATTATCCTTTTTTTGTTTTTATAGTAATCTTCTATACATCATCTCATTTCACCCTTGAAGCAGTAAGTCAGGAACTTGAGCCCTTATTTTACAGATGGGGAACCTGGGGCCAAGAAAGTGCTATGAGTTGTGCAGGATCCCTTGGTGTAGGTCAAAAAACCAGCTCCACTGCAGAGCTGCCTGTACCAGGCTATGTTCACCTTTGTAACTTCTACAAAACATCACCTTCAAGCTTTATAAGGTCAGGATAAATTTATTTCCTATCAGTAACACTACTTAAAGCACTGCTTTTGTATTATGGCTACTGTGTCAGTAAAGCACAGGTGAAATCTTTTTGCAAACCAGCTCCCTTCCCCAACATACTGTTCTCATAACTGTATATGCTCTGCAATGCTTAATTCACTGATTTCATGAACTCGCTGGAAGAATAAGAGGATTAGTAAGAGATTAGTTTAGATAACTTGAATCTCTGTAGAAAAAAAAAATCACAGTCATTCTTTAAGCTCCTGAAGATTCAGCATTTGGGGAGGGAGAGAAAAGCCGAATATCTGACCAACACTATGTTTCACTAACATTCTTGGCTTTAAATCTGCAAAACAAAAGGTTTTACAAATGTTAGGCTAATTGTTAAATGTGTTTTGAACTTTCCAGTTCAAAAGCAGTCTTCAGATAATCATTTTTCCTAGGTTTTGGAAGCTCTGCATGCTTCAAAAACTCTAGAAGTTTAATCAATAATGTGGATGTCAATGTTAATTACCCTCACACACACTAGACTAGTCAGGATAGGCTAGGTTTTGCTGTAATAACAAACAACCCTAATATCTCAGGGCTCACCACAGCAAAGCTTTAGTTTTTGATTACTCTCCAGGATGGTTTGGTTATGCCAGGATCTCTGCTAATACTGACCACTCTTAAACCCATGCTGACTGGAAGTGAGTTTTGAGATGTGCCTCTACAGTTGCTCCAGGAGGAGAAAGAACAAAGTGAATCAAGCACGAGTTCTTAAAACTTCCCCCCGGAAATGACACACATCATCTCCACAGGCGCATCATTGGCTAGCAAATCACATGGCCAAGTCCAACTCCAAAAGGGCAGGGAAGTTAACCTGCCATGTGCCTGGAAAGGGGAAAAGACAGCATACAGAGCTTAACACGTGTGATCCTCACAACTCTACAAGACAGGAGAGCCAGAGGTGATTATTTCTATATTAAATGGGGACACCAACAACAGAAAGACCCCCATGTTATAGGTAGAGAACTTGGGTGTCCTGGCTCTGTGCCAAGTTTTCTTTTCACCATATCATCAGAATCTGGAGTTCCCAGATACCAACTGCTTGAGAGCAAGCTAGCAAAGAGACACGAAAGTCAGTTTAAAATATATCCTGGAAAGTTTGAGTTGTGATAACTGATGGAATATCAAAGTTGGATAAGATGATGGAAGTGCTGCCTGGAAACCACTTGGACTAGGTGATATCTAAGTATTTCAAGGAGACACAATAAGAATGGAGATTTTGCAGAAAAAAAAAAAAGAATGGAGATTTTGAAAGAGAAAAGGAGGTGACCGGGGCCTCCAGTCCCCTTGCCAATCAACTCAGAGGTGTTTTGCATTCACAGTTTTCTATACTGGGTTTCAGCACAACATTCATTTGAAGAAAATTTCCTTCAATTTAATTATATTAAAAATGAAAACCACTGACTGCAGTCCAAGCACTTTGTTTTGCAGATGGAGAGAGTGAGGCTTAAAGAAAGGAGATAACTTCCGCACGAGGACAGAGTGGCAGGGCTGGAGCCAGTCATCAAATAGACGGGGTCTGGACTGAGAGTTGGAAGCCCAAGGACCTGGTTTCAACACTCTGCTGTGCTGCCACAGGCAAGCCACTCCACGTCTCTGAACCTGTGTCCTTTTCTGTCCAGTGAGCACAGAATGTCTGTCCTGTCAAATGCGGCTAGAAAGCAGACATAGAAAGATAATTTTACATTGAGAAGACTTCAAATGAGAATACCAACAAATATTTGTTTCTCACTATTAAATTAGTAACTTAAACATCTCATTTCTGATTTCTAGCCAGCACGTGGAGAATTGGTTCATGTGAAGCAGCATGTGTGCTGCTTACTCAGCCTCTTTGAAGAACAATTTAAAAATAAAAATTAAAAGCCAGCTGGGCGCGGTGGCTCACGCCTGTAATCCCATCACTTTGGGAGGCCGAGGCGGGCAGATCGTGAGTTCAGAAGATCGAGACCATCCTGGCTAACATGGTGAAAACCCGTCTCTACTAAAAATACAAAAAAAAAAAAAAATAGCGGGGCATGGTGGTGGGCGCCTGTAGTCTCAGCTACTCAGGAGGCTGAGGCAGGAGAATGGCGTGAACCCGGGAGGCAGAGCTTACAGTGAGCCCAGATTGTGCCACTGCACTCCAGCCTGGGCGACAGAGTGAGATTCCATCTCCAAAAAAAAAAAAAATCAAAAGCCACTAGAAATGTTCATAGCTTTTGATCTAATAATTACAGTTCCAGGAATTCAGTCTTTGGGGGAAATCTTAAACACCAGAACCTATGTATACTAAAATGTCCCTCTTAATATTATTTAGAATGACAAATATTGAAAAATGAATGAAATGTGGAGTAAAATGTGATAAATCCATTGAAAGTTAGACTATGGAGAATATAGGAAAACATAGGCAAATGCTTAGGATACAATCAATATTAAGTGAAGAAACCAAGGTTCAAATTGATTGTAGCTATATAATAAGAAAGGGATACACATTTAAAAGACAACACAGACTAGGTGTGGTGACTCATGCCTGTAATTTTAGCACTTTTGGAAGCCGAGGCAGGAGGATCCCTTGAGTTTGAGACCAGCCTGGGCAACATGGTGAGATCTTGTCTCTATAATAAATAAAAATGAAAAAGACTACATGGATATAATGGGTTATTGTTTTATTTTCTCCTTTTCTCTATTTTATAAACTTTCTGGTATGCAAATATATTGATTTTATTTTAAAAAATAAGTACAATAAAAATATTTCCAATATCTGCCCTGCTGTGAGGGTTACCAGCAGAAACAAATTGTACAACTGGTGTGAAAGTATTTTGTCCTCATTAAAGGTAGTCTGTGGTTAAGTGATCACTATGATCAGTGTTAAATTATGTTTGGTTCCAACCCACTCACTTTCAGTTGAACACTGCTATTCTATTCCTTATTTTTCTGGAATTGAACTAAGAGAACAAGAGGGCAGATTCTCACCCAATTTCATATTTAATTAAGCTTTTAGGACACATTTCTCTCTTGTAGGTTTGATCAACTGAAATATACTAGAAGCTTATCCTTCTGTAGAACGAAATACAGGAGATAATTCTTTATGGTTACAATGTCTTTGAGTAAACGGACTTGAGTGAGAAACATAGGCATTCACAGCTCTGTGAAGAAGCACCTCCAAGAACTTTCCCCATCAGGGCCAGTGTATTCATCCGCACTCAGCAGTTGCTTCCTGAAATTTGAAATGAGTCAAGATGCTCAGAATGGCCTCCATAGTGTGGGGCAAACAGAAGGAGTTTAGCAGCAAGCTTGTTACAGCTCACTGGCTCCCAGAGCACGGCTGCCCATCCTTCCCCGGAGCCGCCTCACTCCAGACATGGGCTCTGCTTTTCCTCCCTGACCCGCCAATCACTCTTCCTTTTGCTTGCAAGCAGCTGAACAGCTTTATTTGTGTTTCTCATCACAGTTTTATTTTCACTTCAATAATTCTGTTCAAAAATTATCCAAATACTTGGTTTTTGCCATATGAATAGGCGAGCCCAGAAAAGAGGAAAGGCATAAACAAGTGTCCGCTTGTCATTTACACCAAGGTACAGTTCACACTGTTTCAAATACTTTACCCAAACACAGTCTAAGAGATTGAAGCACTGATTTTCACACACCTACTTAAAATTTTTAGGAAAATGGAGCAGATAGCACACAAACCAGTAAGTCAGCTAACTAGTCCACAAATATGCACCAACCTACATGCCCGGTGCTGTGCCACAGGCTGTGTGACAATGCATGCTCTTCACCTGCTGACAGTTTGTAGTTCAGCAAAAAAATGAAAAAGTCCATATAAGATAAAAAATAATAATACAGTAGCACTGGCATCCAAGGACAAGTCAAAGTGTCAGAAAAGATGGGGCTGGAAGGATGGTGGAAGGCTTTCTGAAAGAGGTGGGAATGGAGGGGTGTGGGCAGATGGGAAGAGTTTGGCTGAACAGAGAGGATGGGGAACGGATAAAATGTAAGGACACCCTGCAGAAACAGAGGTGGGTGTAAGCACAGGAAGTGGAAGGAGCTGCTGGGGATAGTATGCAAGTTAAATGAAGAAGCTCAGGAGAGTGGAACGGGGCCTAAATACCCTTGGGAATCTCTTTTTCAGATGAAATCCCTGACCTCAGCTTATGTTTGATGCTAGGAGCTGATTCGTCATACCAAGAAGCAGTGGGAGGATAGAGGCACTCCAGCCTTAAAAGCCAAGAGACAAGGAGCACCCAGGACGAAGAGAAGCGTGACTACCAAAACGCTTGCTGGTGCAATGAGAATCTGTGTCCTTCACCAGAGCTGTCTCGAATTATCTTGAAATTGCATCCATCATCCAGGCCATCTTCCTGCAGGCAAAGGGGATAGAAGCTTTCTGTAGCCCTCACCCTCTCCAGCCTCCCAGACTCCTGTCTTCCTCAGGGGGAATTAAGCTCGCCAGACACAGCAGAACTAGGGAGACTTCAGAGAAGTGAGGTCTCTCAACCAAAGAAAGCCCTCTGAAAAATGCCTCTTACTCTGACTTAAATGAAGAGCGAGTCGCATAAAACCAAAGCTGAAATCAGGGATTTCATCTCTGAAAGAAGTGCTCAGGACTATTTTGACCCACATTTCTATTAAGCCCAGTCTCCTTTTTGTTTAAATTTACACAGCAAAACAAATCCATTAATTTTGCTAGTGATGACCAACAGATCCTCAAAACAGAAAGTGTTTACTGCAGAAGTTTTAGAGAGAATTTGTATAACATGTTTAAAACAGTAGGGATTAAATCTAAGTTATCTAGAACTCCAGACATTTGGAAAGCTCATTCCTACGTCTGACTCAGGGTTAAAGTGTGGTTCCTTCATGCCAAGCTCGGTGTCTGCTACAAATAGTAAGTCCCATGAGCTATGAAAGCTTGGGGGTGAGAAATGCGGGTGATGGCAATAGGAAATATCTTGGATCCTATTGTTCTTTCTGGCTACATAGGTCAGAGTCCCAGCAGGAAATCATTTATCCCAAATTTTCCTAATAAATAAATCACTACTTACAGAGATGTGGAGACAGTGGAGAGAACAAATAAGGAACATTGAGGTACCCAGAGACTAGAAACAGCTGGGAGCTGTTGCCAGCCCAAGGACTTCAGAGGCCAAGGGGAGGAATTGGTGTTACCTGAGGGCAAGGGACATAGAAGAGGGACTGCCCAGAAGATGCTGTAGATGTGGGGGGCACAGCTGCTGCCAAAGATATGCACTGGTCAAGGAGGAGGCTGGGTAATTATACTGGTCCTTTCTCTCTCACACCCTTTGATTCTTTGCTAGTAGCTTCCACTGGTCAAATCTAACTAGAAGCCAGAAAGAAGGGGACTCTCAGGTAATAATGTCCACGAGAGTCAGCCTCCAGGGCACAGAACAGGCAGAGACTGGAGAAGGATAGGTGTGCGGGTGCTAAGAGAATAAGCACATCACTGTTAGGAAAGCTATTTTTAACTCAGATTCTACAAAGATTAGTATTCTTATTGCCAAGGAGTCAGCAGAATTTTGCTCAGCAGAACTTTGCTCAGAAGCAGGACACAGAAGACAAGACTCAGACTCCAGCATTCTCTCAAAGAGACGAGCGTGCACACATGCACATGGGTCTGCACACACAGTTTCAAGATGGATTTTCATAATGAAAGCAGAAGGAATATAAAAGTTAGCATTCTAAATATGGAAGACCTTAGCATTCTTTTTTCACCCCACCCCAGAAAATTGGCCACTACAATAATACCCTCAGTCAGAAGATCCAAACAGCTTTTCTGGGAAATCCAACCATCCAAAGAGAAAGACCTTAAGATATAGACATAGAGATGCCCAACCAAAATGACCCAGCCTTTAATGGAAGCCACTGCTGTTCACTAAAGTCTAAGCGCAGAAAGTATACCTACACATAGGTTTAGAGCTCTCTATCACCATTTTGGTCCCCCAACTATTAAACATAAACAGACAGCCAAAGCTCACCAGACTTTTGAGAGAATACTTCTAATATTCATGAAAAAGACCAAAACAGAAAAAGGCAACTGAGATAAAATAGTACGAAAGGAGAGGAAACTTCCAAAAAACTATAATTAAACACAAACAGATCAAGAGGAGAGAAACCCTTAGAGAGCAAAAGAGGTATCTTCAGAAAGAGAAAATATGACTGCAGGGGAAAAAACTCAAAAGATAGAATAAAGGAGAAACTTGAGGAAATTGTCCAGGAAATAGAACATAAAGAAATGGGAAGAAAAGAGAAAAAAATTCAACAGACCAAATAATAAGAATCCTCAAAGGAAAAACAGATAATACAGTGAAAGTCATAAGTAAAATCAAGCAAATCTTAGATCTAAAGGACTCAAGATTCTAATTTGAAAAGGTGCTACCAACAGCCCAGCACGGCAGATAAAATTAGCCCACATGAATGCACATCATTATGAAATTTCAGAACACTGAGGCAAAAGATCAAAAATTTTTCCAGAAAGGGAGTAAAACAATAAAAGTCATATACAAAGATCAAGTCTCAGAATAGTAAAGACCTTCTCAAAGCCACACTGAAGAGGAAGACATTGGAGAAATGCCTTCAAAACATGGAAGGTAAGTTATTACTTTTTTTTTTTTTTTTTTTTTGAGATGGAATCTCACTCTGTTGCCCAGGCTGGAGTGCAGTGGCGCCATCTCGGCTCACTCCAACCTCCACCTACCGGGTTCAAGTGATTCTCCTGCCTCCGCCTCCCAAGTAGCTGGGATTACAGGTACCCGTCACTACGCCTGGCTAATTCTTGTATTTTTAGTAGAGACAGGGTTTCACTATGTTGGCTAGGCTGGTCTCAAACTCCTGACCTCAAGTGATCCGCCCACCTTGGCCTTCCAAAGTGCTGGGATTACAGTCATGGGCCACTGCGCCTGGCCGAGGGTAAATTATTTTTAACCTAGAATTCTACGCTTGGCTAAATTATTATTAAAACATAGAATAAAGCTATTTTAATTCATGCAAGTTCTCAAAATTTTTACATTTGATGCACTCATTCTCAGGACATGCTCTGATAAAATGAAGTTAATTGAGAAAAATGGAAGCCTTTGTAAACAGAAGATGCAGGCCTGGTGTGGTGGCTCACGCCTGTAATCCCAGCACTTTGGGAGGCTGAGGCAGGTGCATCACCTGAGGTCAGGAGTTTGAGACCAGCCTGGCCAACATGGTGAAACCCTGTGTCTACTGAAAATACAAAAACTAGCCAAGTGTGGTGGTGGGCACCTGTAATCCTAGCTACTCAGGAGGCAGAGGCAGGAGAACCTGGGAGGCGGAGGTTGCAGTGAACCGAGATTGTGCCATCCCACTCCAGCCTGAGCGATAAGAGCGAAACTCCATCTCAAAACAAACAAACAAAAAACAAAATATGCAACACAAAGGGGAAGCGGAGGAAATCCCCGAGGTGTCAGATCCACTCCAAGAGTGCACTGGCAGGAGAGGCAGCTCATCCAGAGGAAAGCAGGTGGAGGGCTCAGGAAGAGATGCCTCATAAAGATGGAATGGATAGACTCTCCACTGTGTTAAACATACCAAGAGGAGACTATACAACTAAAAGTGAGTTGGGGGATAATTTGGTTATAACCAAATTATAGCTTAAAAAATGTTAAAAAGTAGTATTAATTCTAGAAAATTAATGAGTTATGTACCAAAAGAAAAATAATCAAGATGCCACATAGTTTAGCTGTGCACCAGGCTTAATCGTCATTTAATGTAAACACTGAATGGCGACAAACCAAAAATTAGATCTCCATAGCGACAGAATGGAAAATAAGACATATGCAAAGATACAGTGATAAAAAGGAAACACGTGGAAGACAGCTGAATTATCATCTTTGATAGTGAGAATTAAATAGATAATACTAAGTCTGAGAAATTAATATAAGCATTTTATTTAGAGATAGGGAGTTAAACACTCAAAGAGTCCATGAAAAGAGTTACCAGGTCTTGCCTCTGTGTAACAGGAGTAAAAATGAGATGTCTGGTGAATTTCTTATTTAAAAACAAGCCTCGTAGAACTATTTGACTCTAAACATTGTGCAGAAACACCTTGGAAAAAAATTAAACCTACTTTTTAAAAATGGGTTTAAGTAAATAGTCAGACAAACCCCAATTAAGGGACATTCCACAAAAAGATTGGTCTGGACTCCTCAAAAATACCAGTTGTACAATTATTATGCCTGAATTGTAAACTATTTCCTTTAAATATCAATTAATAAAACTCAAAGAAAGGCTGAAAAATTGCTCCAGATTAAAGTAAACTAAAGAAACATGAGAACTAAATGTCATATATGATCCTGGACTAGATCCTGGAATAGAAAAAAAAGGTGATTTAAAAAACATAATTGAGACAATTCAATGTGACATTTTCTGAATTTTATAACTTTACAGGAATTAGGTAAAAGAATGTTCTTGCTAAAAAAAAAATACACACTAAAGGTGAAGAATGATGTTATATGAATTTACTCACCGTTTAAATATATATGGCATATGTCAGGCACTGTATGGTTTATATCCCATGCATTGCCTCTGTAAAGTATTACAGCAACTGCATTAAGTACTTTCTACAGCTACTTCTATTTCACAGAAGGGGAAAATGAATCTTAGAGAAGCTCAGAGAAACAGGAAGTGACAGAGCCAAGACTAGAAGGTGAATCTATTTCCCCATTTTCTCCATTATCCTTTTTCATTTTTAATGAACTTTCGTTTTTAAAACAATTTTAGATTTACAGAAAAATTGAGAAGATAGGGATGATAAACCAAGTTACATTAGCAAAAATGGTGAAATAGGAGTTCCAAGCACTCCATCTCACAGAAATGTAAATTTAAACAACCATGCGAATGAGAAAATAACTTCACAAAAATGAAGGAATTCAAGTGTAAAGATTATAGCACCTGGGTGAAGCAAAGACATAAGAAAAGATGCATGAAGGTGAGAAGGATAGGTTCATATCACTTGTGTCAACCCTCCCCAAAGCCTGAACAGCACAACACAGAGATGGACGCCATCCAAATGGGAAAGAAGTGAGCATCTGACTTCACCTCCACATCAGGCCCGCCCAGTAGACCCGAGGACCAGGTCAGCTGCCTCCACATCAGGCCTGCCCAGTGGACCCTGGGACCAGGTCAGCTTCCGTGGAACTAGGCTACAGGCCAGCCCCAGGAGAACCAACCTCCAAGCCCATCCTAGCACCAAACCAAACCCTGCAAAGCCAGGCTATACCATGCCCTGTGAACCCTGCACCAGGCCAGCCCTCAGATCCAGTCTCCAAGCCTGTCACTATGGACTCAGGCCCCAGATCCACCCCAGCACCAGGCCACCATTGTCCCCGGACCCAGGCCAGCCCCATAGACCCAGGTTCCAAGTGCACCTTCTCAGATCAAGGCTCCAGACTCACCCGCACTGACTCTGGCACCAGGCTAGGCCCCAGAGACCTTGGATACAGGACCACTCCAATAGATTCCCATGCTGAGCTGGCTTCTGAAGACCCAGGCCCTAGGTCTACCCTGCAGACTCAGGATCCAGGCCCACCCGAATTCCAGGCCAGTCCCCACAGACCCAAGCTCCAGGCCAACCCCAGCAGACCCAGGCTTCAGGCTGCCCCACCCCAACAGTCCCAGACACCAGGCTAGTACCTACAGACCCAGGCTTTAAGGCCTGCTTCTATAGTCCCAGGCACCAAGCCCACTGCCACAGATTCAGGATCCAGACTCAATCCTGCAGACCCGGTAGCCAGGCCCATCCCAGTGTACTCTAGCACTAGGCCAAATACCGAGAACACAGACCAACACCTAAAAACCGAGGCACCGTTACTGCTCACATGCTGACCCAGGCACTAGGGCAGACTGCTCAAGGACTCCATCAGCAAGCCCAACCATGGACCACATCAACTGTCCTATCCAGAACTCTGGACAGGCTGATTAGTGAAGAACTTTTCCTGCTGAAGCCAGTCTGTAAACACTGGAAGAGGTGACTTCTTGAAATGTGCAGATACCAATGCAAGGCCACAACAATCACAAATAATCAAGAAAACATGACACCACCAAAGCAACAAAATAGAGCAAGAGTAACCAAACCTAAAGAAATGAAGACATATGAACTGCTAGAAAAGTTTCAAAATTATCACATTTTAGAAGCTTGGTAAGCTACAAGAATAACAGACAACTAAACAAAGTCACACAAACAATACATGAAAAAATTTCTAATTTCAACAAGAGACAGAAACAAAAAAATACTTTGGAACTGAAGATCACAATGACTAAACTTTTGCTGTCAAGAATCCCACAGTTGGCCAGGCACAATGGCTCACGCCTGTAATCCCAGCACTTTAGGAGGCCAAGGCGGGTGGATCATGAGGTCAGGAGGTCAAGACCAGCCTGGACAAGATGGTGA
Organism: Homo sapiens; assembly: GCF_000001405.40. Lineage (NCBI taxonomy): Eukaryota > Metazoa > Chordata > Mammalia > Primates > Hominidae > Homo > Homo sapiens. Next base: position 28,351,570 of record NC_000019.10, read on the forward strand.
AACACAGTCTCTACTAAAACTACAAAAATTAGCCAGGCACAGTGGCAGGTGCCTGTAATCCCAGCTGCTCGGGAGGCTGAAGCAGGAGAATCGCTTGAACCTGGGCGGCAGAGGTCGTAGTGAGCCAAGATCACACCACTGCACTCCAGCCTGGGCCACAGAGTGAGACTCTGTCTCAAAAATGAAAAGAAAAAGAAAAAGAATCCCACAGTCATCACAAATGCCGAGCCCAGCTGACATAGCTGCCTGGAATGTACACTGCACACTGCAGTGTTCCTTCCAAAGATGGAGCCACTTCTGTGTCTCTTCCCTGGGCCTGGAGCTGCTACTGTGTTGAATCCCCACCCCCAGCTACTACTGTGTTGAATCACCACCCCCAAGTCATTACCACACCCAATGATCTGGAATGAAAACACCACAGCGCCTCACCATATGTGACCAAGTTGTGCTGCCCTGCACCTCACTCTGGGGCCTGTCTCTCGGCTGCTGTCTGCCATCACTGGTCCATGCTACTGCTGCTCTACCCATCCCCTGGAAACTGAATCATAACTTTGAACTACCATTATGAAGCCCCCTGGGTCATGAGTCACAGCTCTGACTAGCCATCACTAGGACCTTGCTGCAGCTTCTCTGCATCCCATGCCCACGGGTCAGAGTTGTGACTGCAACCTGCCATCCACTCGGCTGCACTACTGCTGTGCCTTACCCTTCGGTCCCAGACCACCACTAAGCCCTGTCACCCCATGGCCTGTGACACTGCTACATCTTGGTTCACCAGTGCTGAGTCACCATGGCATGCTTTGGAGACAAAGACTCCATGGACAATCTTCACGCACCTATGCATCAGACACTGTTCCCAGTTCCACAGAAAATATGCCACTGCCACAGGCCCTGGGTGCCAGGGTAGTTCTGTATGTCTCTGAGCAGTAAACCCAAGAAAGAGTGGGATGATATATTCAAACACTGAAGGAAAAATTGCCAACCACAAATACTTTATATGGCAAAATTATCCTTCAGAAATGAAAGAAAGGTAGACTTTCCTAGACAAACAAATGTGATATTGAGAGATTATGACCACTAGATGTACCTTTCAAGAAAGTCTAGAGTTTTCAAGCTAAAACAAAAGGACACAAATTAGTAACTTGAAAACATATGAAAGTATAAAGTTTACTGGTAAATGTAAATTTATTGTAAAAATAAGAATAATACTGTAATAGAAGCATGAAATTCACTTTTAATTATTTTCTTAAAAGACAAAAATATTTAAAATAACTGTAGCCACAATATTCTGATAACAGATACACAATATAAAATGATGTAAATTGTAACATCAACAACATAAAATATAATGGAGACTAGTAAAAACATAGAGCTTTGTATGCAACTGAGGTTAAATTATCAACTTAAAATAGACTGTTACAACTATAAGATGTTTTATGTAAGCGTTATTGTAATCCAAAGAAGATACTGTACTAGATACACAAAAGATAAAGGAATCAAAACCATAAGGGATAATGTCATCAAACGACAAAGACAGCAAAAAAGTATGAAAGAAACTACAAAACAGTCAGAAAACAATTAAAAAAATGGCAACAGTAAGTCCTTACCTATCAATAATTATCTTTAAATTAAGTGCATTAAATTCTCCAATTAAATGACATAGAGTGGCTGAATGGATAAACTAACAAGATCCAACTATATGCTCTCTACAGGAGACACAATTTATCATTAAGGATACATACAGGCTGAAAGCAAAGGGATGATAAAACATACTATGCAAGTAGAAATTTTAAAAGAGCAGAGGTGGTTATATAAGACAAAATAGACTTTAACTCAAAAACGGTCACAACAGACCTAGAAGATCATTATATAATGATAGCATGGTCAGTTCATCAACAGGATATAACAATTGTAAATATTTAAGCACTCAACATTGGAGCACCTAAATCAATAAATCAAATATTAACAGAACTGAAAGTAGGAATAGAAAACAATACAATAATCAAAGGAGAACTCAATACCCCACTCTCAACAATGGATAGATCATCCAGACAGAAAATCAATAAAGAACTTCAACAACACTATAGATCAAATATACCTAACAGACATACTCAGAACTTCCCACCCAACAGTAGCAGAATACATTCTTGTTGAGCACACATGGAACATTCTCCAGGACAGATCATATGTTAGGCCACAAAACAAATCTTACCAAATTTAATAAGTCTGAATTCACACTAAGTATCTTTTCTGAAGTAATGGTATGAAACCAGAACACAATAACAGAAGAAAAACTGGAAAATTTACAAATCTGTGGAAATTAAGTAACATACTTCTGAAAATCAGTGAGTCAAAGGAGAAATTAAAAGAAAATGCAAAAACTATCTTGAGATAAGTGAAAATGGAAACACAACATGCCAAAATATACAAGGGACACAGCAACGGCACTTAGAGGGAAGTTTACGGTGACTAACACCCACTTGAAGAAAGAAGATACATTTCAAATTAACAACCCAACGTTATACCTCAAGGAATTAGAGAACAAAGAAAAGCTAAGCCCAAGGTAAGCAAAAGGAAAGAAATAATAAAAGTCAAAGCAGAAATAAAGGAAATGAAGACTAGAAAAATAACAGGCCAATGAAAGTAAGAGATCGGTTTTTGAAAAGATAAACACAATTGACAAAACGTTAGCTAGACTGAGGAAAAAAAGACAAAATTATAAATAAATATAAGCATATATAATATAAATATAAATATATATAATTTATTTTATATAAAATATATATTTATATGTATATATATTTATATATAATATATTTATATTTTACATGTTATATAAATATATTTATATTTTATAAATATATAATATATAATATAAATTTATATAAATATATAAAACTGATACGACAGAAATACAAAGGATCAAAACAGGCTGCTATGAATAATTATATGTCAACAAATTGGATAACCTAAAACAATGGATAAATTCCCAGAAACATATAAGTAATCAAGACTGAATCATGAAAAAAAAAATCAGAACAGACCAACAGTAAGTAAAAGATAAATCAGTAATTAATACGTTTCCAGCACAGAAAAGCCCAGGACCAGATGACTTCACTGCAGAATTCTACCAAACACTTAAAGAATAATTAACACCAATCTTTCTCAAACTTTTCCAAAACACTGGGGAGGTGGGAACACTTACGTATACTTTTAATGAGGCCAGCATTACCTTGATAGCAATGCCAGACAAGGACATTACAAAAAAAAAGAAAATTAGAAGCCAATATTCCTGCAAGAAAAAGGGGGGGAGTTTGTCTGTCCCTTCCATCACGTAAAAACACAGGGAAAAAGCACCATGTATGAGGAAGAAGGCCCTTAGGAGACAACAAATTCTTCTGGTACCTTGGTCTTGGACTTCCCATCCTCTAGAACAAGGGTCCCCAACCTCCAGGCCATAGACCAGTACTGGTCACAAAGCAGGAGGTGAGTGGAGGGCAATTGAGCAAAGCTGAGCTCTGCCTCCTGTCAGATCAATGGCAGCATTAGATTCTCATAGGAGTGTGAACCCTATCGTGAACTGTGCATGTGCGGGATTTAGGTTGCATGCTCCTAATGAGAATCTAATGCCTGATGACCTGTCACTGTCTCCCATCACCTCTAGATGGGACCATCTAGTTGCAGGAAAATAAGCTCAAGGCTCCCACTGATTCTACATTATGGTGACTATGTAATAATAACAGAAATAGAATGCACTATAAATGTAATGCACTTGAATTATCCCAAAACCTTCCCCTCCCTAGTCTGTGGAAAAATCGTCTTCCACGAAACCAGTCCCTGGTGCCAAAAAGGTTTGGGGACTACTGCTCCAGAACTGTAGGAAATAAATTTCTGATGTTTATAAGTTGCCCAGTCTCAAATATTTTGTTATAGCAGCCCAAATGAACTAAGATAGACTTCAATCAACATTTCTTCAAAAAAGACATACAAATGGCAGCAGATATGTGAAAAGATAACCAACATCACTAATCATCAAGGAAATGTAAATCAAAACCACAATGATATGTCACCACACACCTGTTTAAATGACTATTATCAAAAAGACAAGTATTGGTTAACCCCAGGCACATTGCCTATGAGTTAGCCCTACTTTGGAAAAAAAAAAAAAGAAAAGATAAGTGTTGATGAGGATATCGAGAAAAAAGGAACCTTTGTGCACTGTTGGTAGAAATGTAAATTGGCACAGACACAAGGGAAAATGATATGGAGTTTCCACAAAAAAAAAAAATTGCTAATAGAACTACCATATGATCCAGCAATCCCATGTCTAGGTACATATACTAAGGCATTGATCAGAATCTTGAAGATATATTAGCACTTATAGGTTCTTTGCAGCACTCTTCACAATAGCTGAGACATGAAAACAATGTAAATTTTCATCAATGGAAGAATGAATAAAGAAAAAATGTGGTATTTACATTCAATGAAATATTATTCAGTCTTAACAAAGAAAGAAATCTTGCCATTGGTAATACATGGGCAAACCTGAAGCACATTATGCTATTTGAAATAAGCCAGGCAAAAAAGGACAAACACTACATGATCCCACTTATATAAGTAATCTAAAATAGCCAAGCTCACAGAAGTAGAGAGTAGAATGACGGTTGCCAGGTTGGGGTGGAGGGGAAATGGGGAAGTGTTGGTCAAAGGATACAAAGTTGCAGTTATGCATCATGAGTAAGTCTTGGATTTCTATTGCACAGCATCGTACCTATAGGTTAACAATTCTGGGCCGGGCACGGTGGCTCACACCTGTAATCCCAACACTTTAGGAGGCTGAGGTGGACGGATCATGAGGTCAGGAGCTCGAGACCAGCCTGGCCAACATGGTGAAACCCCGTCTCTACTAAAAATACAAAAAGTAGCCAGGTGTGGTGGCACATGCCTGTAATCCCAGCTACTCGGGAGGCTGAGGCAGGAGAATAGCTTGAACCTGGGAGGCAGAGATTGCAGTGAGCCAAGATCCCACCACTGCACTCCAGCCTGGGACAGAGCTAGACTCCATCTCAAAAAAAAAAAAAAATCTGTATTATATAGCTAAAAGTTTGCTAAGAGTTTAGATTTCAATTCCAGCGTTCTTATTACCAAAAATGAATAAAGAAAGAGAGAGGGAGATATGTTTTGGAGGTGATGTGTATATTTATGACCACTGATTGTATCAATAGTTTCATGGGTATATACTTATCAAAAAAAAAACTTGCATACATTAAATGTGTGTGGCTTTTTGTATGTCAGTAATAATAAAGTAGTTTGTTTTTAATGTAGCAAACAAAATCCAGCAGCATATTAAAAGATTATATACCATGACCAAGTGGGATTTATCCCAGGAATGCAAGGTTAGTGGTTTGATGTATTAAAATCAAACAATGTAACGCACCAGTAGGAGGAAGGCAAAACACATGATCATCTCAATGGATGTATGCATTAGTCTGCTTGCACTGCTGTAACAGAGCACCACAGCCTGGGTGGCTTAAGCAGCAGAAACATGTTTCCCACAACTCTAGAGGCTGGAAGTCCCAGGATGACAGGGCTGGCAGAGTTGGTTTCCGGTGAGGCCTTTCTTCCTGGCCTGCATTTGCCACTTTCTCACTGAATCCTCATGTGGCCTTTCCTCAGAGCATGTGCACTTCCGGTGTCTTCTCTGCTTTTTATAAAGACACAAATCCTATTGGAGTAGGGCCCCATTCTTATGACCTCATTTAACCTTACTTACTCTCTTAAAGGCTCTACCTCCAAATATGGTTGCATTGAGGGTTAGAGCTTCAGACTATACATTGTGGGCGTGAGGGGGAGAGCAACTAAATCCATAGTGATGCAGAAAAAATGTTTGATGAAAGTCAGTCTCCTTCACTATGAGAATCTTTCACAAGCCAGAAACAAAAGGAAACTTCCTCAACCATATAAAGGGAATCTATGAGAAACTCACAGCTAACATCATACTTAATGGTAAAAGACTGTAAAAGATTCTGTGATCAGGAATAAGACAAAGCTATGTGTTCTTGCCACTTCTATTCAGCATTGTGCTATAAGTTCTAGCCAAGGCAAGAAGGAAATGAAATAAAAAAAAGAAAGGCATTCAAATTGGAAAGGAGGAAGTAAAGTATCTATGTTAACCGATGATATAATTTTATATGTAGAAAATTCTAGAGACTCCATATGAAAACTATTAGAGCCAATAAACTCAGCAAAGCACCCAAGTTGCAACATCAACATCCAAAATCCAGCTTATTTCTACACACTTGCAATGAATAAGCCAAAATTTAAGGTAAGAAGACAATTCCATTCATTATGATAGCATCCAAAAGAGTAAAATACTAGAAATAAATTTAACCAAGAAACTGCGAGATTTATACACTGAAAACATTCAAAACATTATTAAAATAATCAAAGAAAATCCTTTAAAACTGGAAAGACATCCCTTCTTCACAGATTGAAAGAGCTATTGTCAAGATGGCAATACTACTCGAGTCTATCGATGCAATTTCTATCAAAATTTCAACTTTTGTTTGCAGAAATAGACAAGCTGATTCTTAAAAGTATATGAAACTGACAGTAAGCCCAAATAGTCAAAATAATCTTGCAAAAGAAGAAAAAAATTGGAGGACTCATACATTCCAATTTCAGAACTTACCTTAAGGCTATAATAATTAAAAAGCATGTAGAATAAAGAATAAAATTGTTATTTTACCTCACAGAAATGTATGTTTAAAAATTAATTCAAAATGGATCAAAGATCTAAATATAAGCTAAAACTCTGAAACCCCTAGAATAAAATATAGGAGTACATTTTCATGACCTTGAATTTAGTGATAAATTTTTAGGCATGATACCAAAAATACAACAACAAAAGCAAAGCAGATAAATCTGGCATGTTAAAAATTAAAGATTTTTGTACATTGAAAAATAATATCAATAAAATGAAATGAAAACCTACAGAATTAAGCAAAATATTTACAAATCATGTGTCTGATAAGGAATTAGTACACAGAATAAAGAGCTCTTACAACTCAATGACAACAAAAAAACAACCCAATTTTTAAATGGCCAACAAACTTGAATAGATATTTCTCCAAAGAAAATACACATGTGGTCAATAAGCACATGAAGAGATGTCTCACTTAACACCATGAGGCATGAGGAAAATGCATATCAAAACCACAAGACACCACTTTCCACCCACTAGGTTGGCTCTAATCCAGAAAAGAAAGGAAAGGAAAGGCAAGGGGAGGCTAGGGGAGGGGAGGGGAGGGGGAACAATTGCTGGGAAGGTTGTGGAGAAACTGGAGCCTTCATACACTGCTGGTGGGAATGTAAAATGCTGCAGCTGCTGTGAACGGCTTGGCAGTTCTTCACAAAGTGGAACATGGAATTACCATTTGACCGAACAATTCCACTCTTAGGTGTACACCAAAGAGAACTAAAAACGTATGATCACACAATAACTTGTACATGAATGCTCATTCATAGCAGCATTATTCAGATTATACTAAATGTGGAAATCACCCAAATGTCCATGAACTGAGGAATGGGTAAACAAAATGCGGTGTATCTATACAATGGAATATTATTTAAGCATTATACAATGTTTAAAATAAGCAAGGTATTAAATTCTCATGTATATTACAACACAAATAAGCCTCACTGAAAGAAGCCAGATATTAAAAAGCCACATATTTACAATTCCATATATATGAAATATCCAAAATATGCAAACCCGTTGAACCAGAAGGCATATTAGTGGTTGTCAGGACTCTGATGGTTGTTTCCTTGGAAGATGACGTGGGAGATGAGATGAACTCTTACACATTGTCATTCACCACTTTTTGCAGTAAGGACCATTTGTTTTTTCTTCCTTTTTTACAAAGAGACTCAGGAGAAGGCTATAAACCAGGCAGCGAATCATGCCTCAGCCTCCTGTCACTATTTTAAACAACAGCTTTGCAAACAAAACTAGAGGTTGAGGGTCCACTCACTCCACAGCAGCCCACATAAATGCCTGGGATGCACCATCTCACTCCTGCAGATGATTTATTGACTTTTTTCATCATTTGAATAAATGACTATATCACAAGGGCTCCTGAAAGGTTGCTGATTAAAGTACCCTCTATTGTTAAAAACATAATTAAATAATGTTTGGATTTATCACTTTCTTTGTAAAGATGAGACATAAAAGATATTAGAATCTCAAATGACACAGTTAGAAAGTCATCCAGTTAATAGTACTCTTTAATTATCACAGCTAGCCAGCACTGCAGCATGTCTGCAATGCTTTGTTATTTATGGACATTAAACTGCAAATCAAGTTGTGAAGCTCTCCCCTCTTATAAGTAGTACAAAGACTGTTAAACAAAACAGAATTTAAAACAGCATGGAGTTATAAATAGCCTGCTGTTTGGTATAGTTTGTCAATCTGTTACCACTTAACAGCTCTCTAATTAGCACTCACTTTTGATACTACTGTTCCTAAAATGTTTATGTTGGAAGTTACAAATTACTGTCTAATTATACCGGCTACTTTGTTTTGCATAAACAATAAATAAAATCCCATTTATGCCATAAAAATACATGCACTGTCATCACTTTTTCTATAGGATGAGTAATAAACTTTGCTAGCTTTACACTGAAAATCAGCAGTGAACAACTTTAATTAAATTTGACAGTGTGAGGATTCATGACTTTACTTCTTTAAGGGGTGAATTGCTTGCAAGCAGGAAAAGTTTGCACAGAATCAAAAGATACCATCCCAGTAGAATAACAAACTCAGCATCTAAATTGCACATTCCAGAAAAAAACTTTTTTTCAAATTTTCAGCTTTTTATCTTTTGCCCTGCACCAAGGAAATTGGAATATTTGTGCTTCTACAGACTCAGTCTGGGTGAATCCTAAAAATCAGTGCTAGGGAGAATCAGAGCATGGGAGAAACCTCTATTTGAGGAAAAAATAATCAAGGCAATGCTTTTGATAAAATTCATTTCTTGGTAGATTTACTTAAGTTCTTCCCATGTCATGATGTCTCCTTGTGAAATAAGCCAAATTAATCATCAAAACCAATCATTCTATCATTGAGAATTCCTCATTCAAACTCTCCTGTTGTTTATGTGAATGTGGATCATATTATTTGTTCAAAAAATTCACTGTTTTTACTATGAAAGAGAGGGAGTCGTCATAGGAGGCTTATACATCTTACTTCACTGACAGCTAGCATGGTGGCATGATTTGCTTTAACCAGTGGAATGTGAGCAGCCACGTCTGAACAAAATTTTGAGAGCCATCACGTGGTCTGTCATGGCACATGAAGCCATGCATGTACTAGATAAAGGTTGCTCCTTCTGTCGTGGTCCTGGAATGAATTGAACAGAGCCACATCAACCCATGATACATGTGAGCTTACAATGATGAAATGGTGGAAGTTATTTGTGCCTATAGCATAACTTAGCCTAGGCTGACTGATACATTCACTTAACTGCTATGGGCTACGTTAGCATTTAGTAAACATCCAATAAATAATAGATGAATAAACTAATAGATAGATGGAATGAAAGCTGTAAAAATTATTACTTAAATTATATCTGCATATGCAAATGCAGGTTCTCCATGTAACAGAAAATTATTTTACATTACATTGAGACCAGCTATATTGTCTAAACACAAGGCCTACACATCTATATTTTACCCAAAAAGTGAAAGTTGATCCACACCTGTATTCTCTGATTACAGATACAAAATTTCAGCTTTTTATCTTTTGCCCTGCACCAAGGAAATTGGAATATTTGTGCTTCTACAAACTCAGTCTGGGTGAACCCTAAAAATCAGTGCTAGGGAGAATCAGAGCATGGGAGAAACCTCTATTTCAGGAAAAAATAATCAAGGCAATGCTTTTGATGAAATTCATTTCAATACAAAAAATTGTATCCTATGTCAGAGGCCGGCTTGTTAGTTTCCTTTATAACCTGGTCAGTGGTGACAGTCTTTTCCTAACACCCTGTACAATCGTTGCAATACATCTCCAACACAACAGCACTGTGCAGTCTCATCAATGTGTTTCACACACTCTCTTATGTTGGAGACAGGGCCAAGTGGCAGCTCCAACACATCTGCACAATGAGGGTCATTTGAATTTGGAAAATAATCAGGGCATAATATAGGGCATAGCTGCCTCCCACATAAGCAGTCTCCTGGTTCAGCCTGAAAACACACCATTTTGGATTTGCTTGTATCCTAATCGCACTGACTTATGTAAGTACATAAAATATTCATACCCCATATAAAATCTCAAATCGCAATGTCCCTAGCAATCTTCACTAAGTGTCACATGTTGTGGAAATTATTCACTCTGGTCTGTCAGTGTTGGCGAACTCTACCTTGCTGGTAGAGTTTTGCTGGAATATTAAATTTCATAACTGATATGATTTCATATACTCCAAGTCTGCCACACAAGCCATAACTGAGACCAATTTCTCATGAAACCAAAAGCCCTCAGCAAAGCAAAGCACTGATCAACACTGCATCTCTGGCTGGACTTGTCTCAGCATTCTCTGCACGGTGGGCATAGAGCACTGTAGAAACAAGGAGCCCTTTCTTGCTGGTAGCAGGATGTGCAGACAGGCAAGACCAGCTGTGAGCCATGATCTGTCATTCTCCCTAAAACAAGTTTCAATATTTCACAGGGAAGGGACAACATTTTTTTTCTATCCAAAATAGTCATCCTTTCTTCTATTACTCCCTTACTTATAAACCACAATTACTGTGGTTGAAGGGATGAAGTCACAGTCAGTCCTGGCCAATAGAAACTTAAAGGTCAAGGTTTCCATGAGTGCAGGGCAAGTACAGCTGGAGGTACCCACAAAATGTTTAAACAGTCAAATTGCCCCTTGTGAAGGAACTAACCTTCCTTTTCTCCCTTCAACAGATGCACAGTGAGCTCCCACTATGTTCCAGGCCTCTGTGAGGTGCTCAGGTAAAGCAAGGAGCAAAGCTGACATCGTTCCTGATGTCACAAACCTGCAAGTTGAGCTTTTTCTTTACTGCAAGAGGCAAGTAAAGAAATCTTCACAACCACGAGTGAACAGCATTGCAATAGAGAAATCACAGGGTGCTGTGGAAGTGAGAGAGCAGCTCTTCACCTTGTCTATAGGACGGGTCAGGAAAGGAAGGCTTCCTTGGATTAGTCTAAAACATAACGGATGGCTCCAAGGTAGCCAGGTAAAGAGAAAAATGAAAGGAAGCTTCCAGCAGGAGAAAGAGCAAGTGTGATGGACTAGAGATGAGAATGACCACGAGGCCAGGAGAAACTGCAGAAGACTGATGGAGAACGAAACCAAGAAGAGAAATCGGGGAACTGAGCCTGCAGGGCAGTCAACAAAGATCTTTGACCAAATGTTGAAGACTTTGGGGTATATCCTGAAGGCGATGAGGAGCCATGGAAGGAGTTTCAGCAATAATCAGATTTACATGTTAATCACATACCTTTGGCTACAGTGTGAGGGACAGCAGGTGTGAGTGTGGAAAGTCTAGTTAGGGTGCTGTATTAGTTGTCATTGCCATGTGAGGAATTATTCCAAAACGTAGTGCCTTAGAACAGCAGCATTTATTGTCTGTCTCACGGCTTCTATGGGTCAGGAATCCGGGGGCAAATTTCCTGGATCCTCCGGCTCAGTCACCCTCAAGGCTGCCAAGTGTCATCCAGGACTGCAGTCACCTCAAGGCTCCACTGGAAAAGGATTTGCTTCTAAATTCAATCATGGCAGTTTGCAGCTGTTGGGCTAAAGGCCTCAGTATCTCACTGACTGCTGATCAGAGGCCATATGGGAGCTGACAGCACAGCTGCCTATGACCTCAGATTAAACAAGGAGAGGAGCCAGAGGGAGAGTTGGTGAGCAAGATGGAAGTCATGGTCTTTCATAGTCTAGCTTCAGAAGTTGCATCTTGTTACTTTTGCCGTATTCTGTTCGTCAGGAACAAGTCACCACACCCAAACCAAACTCAAGGGGGAGAATATGTCATGTGGGCATGAATTCCAGGAGACAGGGATCAAAGTGAGCCATCTAAAATGCTGCAAACCATAAGAGCTATTAAAATAACTCATGCATGAGATGCTGATGGCCTATATGAGGGTAGCAATAGTAGAAAGACAGAAGTGAACAAATGATAAATGAATCAAAAGGATTTGGACACTGGAGTTAGAAGACGGTAGAAGTCAAGAATGATTCTCAGGTTCTGGTTTGAGAAAGTAGGAGGATGATTATGCTACTTGCTGAAATGTAAACACTCAAGGAGAAATAAATTTTTGGAAAGAAATTTTATGCATCTTGTTTTGTAAATATTCACTTTGTGGTGCTTGTGAAACACTGAAGCAGAATTGTCAAATAAGTTGTTATCTTTCCAGGTCTGATTTGGAACAAGAGAACTATTTGTTTAAATGTATATATTAAAATGAATTCTACTCACTTGTTAATCTGGTTGTACAAAGCCATGGATGAATGAATGGATAGATGGATGGATGGATGGATGGATGGATGGATGGATGGACGGACAGATGGACAGACGGATGGATGGATAAATGGATGGATAGATGGATGGATAGATGAATAGATGGACAAATGGATGGATGGATGAGGTGATGGGTGGCCCATCTGGTCCAAATATGAAAAGAAGATCATAGCAGTAGTATCCATCATTCCGTAATTATCTAGTCAGAAAAGATATAGATCAGCCCAGAAAAATTTTTCTCCGGTTGCAATGTATTGAGATTGTACAAATCCTTCTGTCCTTCCTTTGGATATGACACATTGACTATGACAACCACGTTATGGAGCTGGTGCTCAAGCCAAATTTTAAGTTGTCAAGAATGTGAAAGCACCTGAAATGCAAAGGACTTGTATGACAGCTTTCAGTTGCAGATGTCTCTGACCAATAAGAGTAAACAGGATAGGCTCAGAGGATTGGAGTTGCAAAATCAAGGGCCATTTGCCTTCCGAGATCCAGAAAGGTCTCTCAGGATTAATTGATTTTGGGATATGAAGTCTGGTCTCACTAAAAAAATGCAGGTGTATGACGGGAATCAGTTAACTGTGTTTTAGTTTTATTGTTCAATGACATCTGTTTGTTGTAGCCTCCCATGAATGTTCATGAGACATAACTCTGAAACTTTATTTTATGACAAAGCCAAAAGATGGCAAGGCTTTTCAGAAAAGCCTTCTGCGAAAACAGGTAGAATTATCTTGAGCGAACAGATCAGTCCTAGCAAATCCTGGTCTTATTCATATTAATGATGGTAGGCCAGGCGTGGCGACTCATACTTGTAACCCCAGTGCTTTGGGAGGCTGAGGCAGGCAGAATACATGAGGCCAGGAGTTCCAGGCCAGCCTGTAAACATGGTGAAGCCCCATCTCTACTAAAAATACAAATATTAGCCAGATGTGGTGGTGCACATCTGTAGTCCCAGCTACTCAGGAGGCTGAGGCAGGAAAATCGATTGAACTTGGGAGGAAAAGTTTACAGTGAGCTGAGATCGTGCCACTGCAGTCCAGCCTGGGTGACAGAGTGCGACTCTGTCTCAAAAAAACAAAACAACAACCAACCAACCAAATTAATGATGGGGGGATAAAAAAGGAACAGCATGTTGGAAACAAATGTTCCTGGGTATCCCTCCACTAATTCACACATAGACCAAAATCCTGGATGTCATTAATGTGCAAGATGGTAGCAGCTTCTTTGGCCACACTCCTCCTTTCAGGAGCTCTGGAAACAAAGCCACATCCTTTTATTCCCATCTACAAAACCAAACCAACAGTCCTCCTTTAGTTTTTTCATTTCAAGGTTGTCTATAAATCTTTGCTAAGGAGAATTCTGGTGAAACTGTCAATGAAGGCCTGACTGAAAATCACAATAATTTCTTCTATTAACTAGGGGAAAACCAGCTATTCATTACGGATGGTTGCTAATTAATTTTCTAGGTGCAATTGTTAATTATAACAAGAATATATTATACCTGCTGAAGGTCTGGTTGAAGATAAAGTAGTCACCAGAATCCTATGAAGAACAGCAAAATATTAATAATTATTAATTATTAATTAATTTAGTTAAGTGATCAACTAAAAATCAGTATTACATGTCTATTGAGAATTTACAATGTGCCAGGCATGGCTCTAAGCAGTTTACATTGAACTTTACAACCCCACCATAGGGGTGGGTATTTTGTACACAAGGAAGCAGATGTACTAAAGGATGAAGCAGCTTGCCCAAGGTGACAGAAAGAGAAACTGATTTATTATGGGAGGTAGGGTAGAACACTTCAGAGCACTGTATTTTAACCTTTGTGTTCATTACAAAACTCATTCCATACAACAGTCCTGCAAGGCAGGCAGTGGAACCATCTCGTCTTATAGATTTGAAGCTGAGGCTCTGAGAAAAGAAATGACTTTCCTAAAGTCATGCCGCAGCAAGAGTGGGATGCAACTCAAACCCAGCATGAAATAATTCACAGTCCATGACCCCAGCTGCTGGGGATAGTACATGAATGGCAAAATAACCATTTTCCAACATAAGAGGATAAGTTCTGTTTAAGGAAGTTTCAAACATTCCACAAAACTCAGCAGTGAAAGATGAGCAAGTAAAGGGAAAACTAAAGTCACTCTACATGAAGAATCCTTTAAGAAGAGAAAGACGTATCACAGTGGTGTGAGCACCTCATCACTGATAGAGTTGGGCCCAGCCTGACTGGCCTTATGTGGAGGCTGATGAAGGAGGGATTCTTACATCAAGAAGAGGTTCAGCCATGAACCTGAGGTCCTCTCCAACCCCAGGACTCCATAATTCACATAGATAAAGCTCCTGTTTCTTTAATTCCTGGGAGTTTTGTTCTTTGTATTTTGCATTTCTTACTGTAAAGCGAAAAAAAAAAAGCAGATTGGGAACACAAATTTTCTTAATTTTCTAATTTTTTATTTTTCAGGGACGGGGTCTTGCTCTGTCACTCAAGCTGCAGTACAGTGGCACGATCACAGCTCACTGCAGCCTGGAATTTCTGGACTCAAGAAATCCTCCTGCCTCAGCCTCCAGAGTAGTTGGGGGTACAGGTACATGTTACCATACCAGAGTAATTTTTATTTTTTAATTTTTTTGTAGAGACGGGGTCTGGCTATGTTACCCAGGCTGGTCTTGAAGTCCTGGCCCCAAGCAATCCTGCTGCTTTGACCTCCCAAACTACTGAGATTACAGGAATGAGCCACCATGCATGGCAAATTTTTTTTTTCCATTTCAATCATCCAACAGAATTAGAGATCAGGTTAGGTGATATGAAAAATATAAAGAACTAAACTTCAGTGGTTGAATCTCTAAGAAGAAAAACAAGCCCTAACATTAGTAAGAGTCACATTTGAATTTAGCAGGGATATTTTATTTTTCACCTGCCACTGAAGTGATCTGTGTGGCAGAGACAGACACATTGAGCTGTGAGCAGCATGGGTGGATGGTTCAATGCAGACTGGATGTCCTTGGGTTTTAGGTTCGGTACTTGCTTTAGATAAATTTCTTTAAAGATTTTTGTAAATTTGACTCAAGGAGATCATGCAATAGGAATTCTTTTGCTGAGACCTTGGATGTTAGACACTTGGCTCACAGATCCTAATTCAGAATGTAAACCACCCAAGTGCTGTCAGCCTATTCAGTTCTGTGACATGAGAATGCTGTGCTTTGAACACCATGCTTCTTTCTTTTCTAAGAGCAAGCTTCTTTAGCCTGCCAAACTCATGAAACAGATTTTCAGCAAAGAATAAAAGCAGAAAATAAAAGAAGTTGGCAATTTGCACGTGTTCAGCTCAGTCTCCCTCTCTTACCCTATGCAGGCTGAACTTCCATGTTTCTGGACACATTGGCTCAGGGACATAACACTGCACTTGAGAAAGATGCAATCCTCAGAAGCCACTAAATAGAGACCCTTGTCATCCATCTACCAAGTCTATCAACCTTGCAGCATCACTGCCTCCTCTCTTTCTGTCCTCGTACAATTGAGGAAGGTCCTTCCACATCTGTGCGAAAGGCCCACTGCTCTGCTTGAGCTGTGCACCTCAACCCCTTCATCCTCATGAGGGACCCCACTGACTCTCTTGTTCTCTGCCCCTCCTGTATCTTCACCAACCCCTTCATCTTTGTATATATTCTGTTAACCTGCAAAATACTTCAGTATCTTCTACCTTTAAAAGAAGAAACTGTCTACCTCACACACTCCTTCAGAGTCTGTTCTATCCTTTCCCTCCTCTTCACAGCCAGTCTTCAAAAATATTTGAGTTGTCTACCTACCCACCTCTACCTCCTCCCACTCCCATTCTCTCCTGAATCCACCCTGAATTGGCTTCATCCTCATGTCTCCATCCAAAGAGCTCTTATCATGGGCACAAGAAGACCATGTTTCTAACTCCTATGACCTTTTCTTTTTTCTTTCTTTCTTCTTTCTTTCTTTTTCTTTCTTTCTTTCTTTCTTTCTTTCTTTCTTTCTTTCTTTCTTTCTTTCTTTCTTTCTTTCTTTCTTATTTCTTTCTTTCTTTCTTTCTCTCTTTCTCTCTTTCTTCTCTTTCTTCTTTCTTCTCTTTCTCTCTTTCTTTCTTTCATTATTTTTTTTTGACAGAGTCTTGCTCTGTCCACCAGGCTGGAGTGTGTGATCATGGCTTACTGCAGCCTCAACCTCCTCATCTCAAGCAATTCTCCCATCTCAGTCTCCTGAGTAGCTGAGACTACAGGCATGAGCCACCATGCTCGGTTGATTTTTTATCTGTTGTACAGAAGGTGTCTTTCCATGTTTCCCAGGCTGGTCTGGAACTCGTGAGCTCAAGTGAGCCTTCCAAAGCGTTGGGATTACAGGCATGAGTTACCACTCCTAGACCAGTGGCAAGATTTCAATCCCCGCTTCACCTGGTCTCTTGAAAGCATTTGCCATTTTTATTCAAATGCCTTCTATTCCTGGCTTCTGGCTTTCCTTGGACCTTTCAGTCTGTGTTCCTGGAACACCACCTTCCTCACCCTCCTTTACATATAGAAGTGCCTCCCACACGTAGACTCTCTAGTATCTTTGCTGAATTAATTGACTTGAGGCCATCCTGGAGAATGGTGCAGCCAGTGATGGAGCAAAACACAAAACTCACTAGTGTAAGCTTGGGAGTCAGATCTGGGTTCACGGCCCAGCTTTCTTCTTACCAATTCTGTGACCTTGAGCCGCTACTCTCTTTCCTTATCTCTGAAAGAGAGCTAAATGATAACTATAATAGGATTTTTCTGAGAATTTAATTAACACTAGAATTAAAATTTCATAAGGGCAGAGATCTTCATCTTTTTTACTCAATCAATAATCCATATCACCTGCATTCTAGAGGTGTTCAGCAAATAATACCTGCACACCAAATCTAGCTCTCTGCCTGTTTTTGTGTGGCCCCAAAGCTAAGAATGGTTTTTACATTTTTAAACAGTTGGTGAGGAAATGAAGATTATGTGATAGAGTCAGTGTGTAGCCCACAAAGTCTAAGATATTTACTACCCACCCTTCACAGAAAAAGTTGCTGTAAATCCTGACAGAAGTTAGATATTCAAAAACTATTAAATGAATGAGTGAATGAATAAAGTATGTGCGCATCTGAAGCACTGAGCAGTGAATGCATGGAGTGTATGCCACTAGCTAATGTATTGAGTGCTTTCCCAAAGGACATGCTGCCATCATCATCACTATCGCACACGTGGAACTTCTCCAGAGGAAGACCACTCCACGGCTCCCGATACTTGATACTTGTCAGACAACCTGCTGGAAGATGAAATATTCGGAATACCTCTTGGTCTTTCTAATATCAAACCACTCACTTGATGCTGCTTTAAAAAAAAACTGTTTACTAAATTGAGAGGTTGTTGTAGTTATTTTATATATTTGACGAAAAAATATATTTTATGAATAATTTATTTCAATTTCACTGCTAGTGACTCAAGCATGATGATGCCTTCTTTTTTTTTTTTTTTTTTTTTTTTTTGAGATGGAGTCTCACTCTGTTGCCCAGGCTAGAGTGCAGTGGCATGATCTCGGCTCATTGAAACCTCTGCCTCCCAGGTTCAAGTGATTTTCCTGCCTCAGCCTCCCGAGTAGCTGTGATTACAGACATGCACCACCACACCCAGATAATTTTTGTATTTTTAGTAGAGACAGCTTTTCACCATGTTGGTCAGGCTGCTCTCGAACTCCTGACCTCAGGTGATCCACAGGCCTTGGACCTCCAAAGTGCTGGGATTACAGGGGTGGATGTCCTTACTCTTAAGAACAATGGTTTCTATGCACTCAGGACCTTCTGATAACTTGTTTCAGGCAAAAGAAACCCAAATGTGATGGATGGACATATATGATTTTTGATACACTGCATCCATTCTCTGTTCTTTGGATAATTTTTCCCTGTTCTCTTGTAGGAAATCACCCTTTCCCACTCCCAGTCCATGAATGTCTGGTGGGACTGACTCTACCCTTGACTGCAGGAGAGGGCATGGGACACAGGACTGACCAGCCAGTAAGTCCCATTCCTATGGACATGAAAATTGGTTAAAGAACAGGCATGGCACGTTCGGAGTCAGAGAGAGACAATGAGACTTTAGTGGGCCCTTTGGGAAGAAAAGCATACTCTCTTTTCCACCAGGCTTAAACTGGAAACAATGAGGGATTTGAGCTACTGGCAGTCATCTAACAAGTGGAGTTTGTTCTTAGAGCCAAAAGAGAAGATAATAGCCACTGAATGAAGAGAACTTGAGCCCAGTGCCTTCATGGGAGCCCCTGGATCAAGAGTTCACCTAACTCTAGTCTTTTCAGTCATCATGTGACCAATAGATTTCAACTTCAGCCAAAGCCAGGGTGAGTTAGAGCTGTTTGCTTTAGAGGAATAAAAACCAAATGATGCACCTGTCCAGTTCATCACTTTCCATTCCATGCTTCAAGTTAGTCACCCAAATAAGAGAAGCAGGTAGCTTTTGATGAAGCACCATCAGGAAGCAGCCATTCCCTCAAGAAACATGGTACTGAAATCATCATGTCAGACACTCCATGTCTGTAAGAGGCCTGCTGCATGATCTTTTGAGACAGAATGGCAGAATTTTAAAGACAGATGGAACCTTAAAGAAGACCATATATTTAGGAGATTGAAAATCCAAAAGCACGCAAAGCCAAGAAGGAAATGTGATTGAGTGAAGGGATCAGGAATGAGAGAGCAGCAACACAGGTACCGTGAAAAATGGCAAATGACACTCAGCCTCAGGGACCAGGAGCGGGAGGCGGTGGTGGGCACAGGGCTGCCTGGGGGGCACCCATTCGCCTACCTGAGCAGCCTCTGTTCAGTGACAGCTGACCATGTCGAGGCTCAAAGATGCAAGATTCTATGTGAAAGCTATCTTTATTTTCTCATATTTTAAGCAATTTTTATTTGGTTCTATTATTTGTTTATTCATTTCAATAGCTTTAGAGGTACAAGTGGTTTTTTTGTCACGTGGATGAATTCTATAGCAGTGAAGTCTGAGCTTATAGTATACTGCACCCATCACCCAAATAGTGTACATTGTACCCAATAGGTGATTTTTCATCCCTCATCCTCCTCCCATGATCCCTCTTTTCTGAGTCTCCAATGTTCATTATACCTCTCTGTTTGCCTTTGCATACCCATAGCTTAGTTCCTTCATATAAGTGAAAAATGTGGTATTTGTTATTTTTATTCCAGAGTAAATTTACTTAAAATAATGGCCTCCAGCTTCACCCAAGTTGCTACAAAAGACATTATTTTGTTATATTTAATGGCTGAACAGTATTCCATGGTGTATATGTGCCATGTGTTCTTGATCCACTCATCAGTTGATGGGCACTTAGGTTGGTTCTGTATCTTTGTGGTTGTAAATTGTGCAGTGGTAAACATACAACTGCAGGTGTCTTTTTCACACAATGACTTATTTTCCTTTTTGAGATGAGGGTGAAATGAGAGAATCTCTAAACTCAGTTTCTCTGAAACTCAGGTCTCCTCAGGCTCATGGCATGCACTGTTGTGACATTATAAAATATGCAGGGTTGGTCTTTGATATGTCTTGTTTATGGTTTGTTTTGCCCCACCAAGTCTCAAGTTAAAATTTGATCCCCAGTGTTGGAGGTGAGGCCTGGTGGGAGGGTTTGGGCAGTGGAGATGGATTCCTCATGAATGGCTTGATGCCCTTCTTGCAGGAGTAAATGGGTCCTCACTCTTCATTCCCAAGAGCACTGGTTGTTGACAAGAGCTGGCCCCTCCTGCTAGCCCTCTTACTTCCTTCTCTCACCATGTGATCGCTCCACACACCACCTCCCCTCCATCTTCCACTGTTTTCATCTGAGGCCCTCATAGAAGCAGATGCTGGCACCATGCTTGTACAGCCTGCAGAATCATGAACCAAATAAACCTCTTTTCTTTATAAATTACCCATCCTCATGTATTCCCTTATGGCAACACAATCAGACTAAGAAAAATCTTCAACCCTGTTTCCTAGCATATGACCCCTAAATCCTTAATATTTCCAAAGTGATGTCTCTTGTATACCAATGAATTTGCTGATGGCTGGCAGCCCTAGGTAGCTTCAGGATGGGTGTGGTCAATGGAAAGACCGAGGCACGACTAGACAGTTTGGGATTTTCAGCCCCACTCCCAACCTCCAGGGAGGAGAGAGAGGCTGAAGAATAAGTTGATCACCAATAATTTCTTCAATCATGCCTCTGTAATGAAGCATCCATAAAAAACCAAAAAGACTAAGTTCAGAGAGCTTCCAGAGAGTTGAACATGTGAAGGTTCTTAGAGAGTGGTGCACTAGTGAGGGAATGGGAGCTCCATGCCCCTTCCCCCATGTATCCCATATGAATCTGTTTAGCTGCATCTTCTGTAATATTCTTTAAAATAAGCTGATAAACGAGTGTTTCCCTGACTTCTGCAAGTCACTCTAGCAAACTAATCAAACCCAAAGAGGGGTCCACAAAAACCCTGACTTATAGCTGGGCTGTCAGAAGCACAGGCAAAATAACCTGGGGCTTGTACCTGGGTTTGGAGGCAGGGGCTGTCTTGTGGTACAGAGCCCTCCTCACCCTGTGGAACCTGATGCTCTCTTCAGCTAGGCTGTGTCAGAACTGAATTGAATCAGAGGATACCCAGCTGGTGTCTACTGCAAACTGACTGCTTGCGTGGTATGTATGGTGAGGGAACCTTCACATATTTGGTCGTAGAAATCTTCTGTGTTGATTGTTGTGAGTGGGATAAGAGCACAGGAAAAACAGTTGGTGTTTTTAACACTCAACTGTTAAAAAGTCATGCACCTAAATGAAGGATTCAACTTCTTCAAAGATGAGTCATAATTTCCTATTTCCAAACATAGTCATTGCAAATTAAGAGCATTTGATCTAATTTCAAAGACCTCAGCACCACCCTGGGTAAATATGTTAAGTGAGTCCTAGAGAAAATGTGGACACTCCGAAACATGAGCTTGCCTCTGATTTTAAAACAAGCAGCACAGCACCAGCACAGCTTAGCTGGGATCTGTTCATCTGTGCATAGACAAGCAGGCATAAATGACCTTGGTTTTTTTCGAGCTGTTCTTCCCAGGGGTTCAAACCTCTAATTAACTTAGCTTCTCATTGTTTATCCAGGAAAAAATCCAGAAACATCTCCTTTATGTCCATTAAACCATCCAGTCTTAGGAAGCATCCAAAACCAGATTTTAGCCCTCCTGAGATGCCCATGTCCAGAAAGGGATTTATTTTAACTATGAAACATAACATTCCATTTGGTCCTAATTCTCTGGCACTATAATTTTTTGGACACATTGTTACTGAATATATTTGTTGCAGATGGTTATGTAATAGCAACATTGGAGCTCGGCACATAATCAGTCATGAAAATTGTGTCCAGCTCATGAAATAAAAATCAGCAATGCTTGGAAGTGGGGCCAGATACTTCTATTAACTTCCTAGACATTGGAGGGCTGGGAATTTGCTCTAGGTGTTAATGAAAAGGCAGAGAGGCCAAAAAAAAAAAAAAAAAAGATTTCCTCTCCCTTGGGGGTAGTTTGGCTCTTCTTCACCTCTTGGAATATGCAGAGCTACCAAAAAATATATACAATTACAGGAATACAGAGATAGCTGCCTGTTTACACAGTTAAAGAAAGGCTTCCCTCAGGGTGCAGCAACATTGTTCTTTAATTTTCTCTGGCCACAGCTGCCTGCTGTTTTACTCTGTATATAGTCAAGAATAGATTATTTCATTTCTGGAAAAAGTAGGATGATAGACTAAGCAGGGGTTCCACCTTGGGACCCTGGGTTCAAGTCCTGGCTCTGCCTCTAACTGGCAAGTCACCGAATCTCATGGAGTTTTGAAATATCTGATAAACTACATATGGACAGCTTTTATTCAAATAAATATGACCAGGAAAAATCTCCCTACTAAATGCATCTCTCCTTAGAAATCTTATCACGGTTGTCATTTTATAGGTTTTTCTGGGTTAATCTTTGATGAATGTTGGTCCCTATGGCAGACGTTGTTAGTGCCTCCCCTACAGCCTCTCATTTTAGGGGGTTCAACCAGTTTCTGTGTCTCTGGTTCTGAGACCTTTTATTGGAATCCCGGAAGGCGATTGTCTTGCAGGCTATAAATGCTAAAGAATTAACAGCCAGTGGCAGCAGCAGTAGACCAGTTATTCTCTGGAGTTGATGTATAAACACCCCAATCTCTTACCCTTTGGGAGGAATGATTCTGAAGTATGTATTTTTAAATATTTTTAGCTTCCCATGGGTTTAAGCTTCAGTAGTTCACTGTGGCATCTGGCTTAATAGCACCCCCTTTATTGACTACCTTCTCTTTCCTGTGTCACTACACCACTTCTCTACCAGTGTCACCTGAACCTACAAAGTAAACTACTTGCACTGGAATCCTTGCCTCAGGATCTGCTTCTGAGGCATCCCAGCCTAATATAGGCTTTTTCATAAGACTTTAAGCCTCAAAATCACTGTGTATGACTTATTCACCATCATCCAAAGCCTACCACAGCATATGGTAATAGGACCTCAGAAATAATTGAGGAAAAATGGAGGAAATGTTTATTATTGCTGCTGTTGCTGCTGCTGTTATTCAGTGTGTAACACACAATCAACCCTTCACTGAGCAGAGTCAACAATTCATCTCTGATTCTTGGAAAAAATCAGGTTTAGGGATTCCTGTTTTTCATTAGTGAAAATGAGAACAGGGTTGGGAATCCAGGTCTTTGGGGAAAGGCTGTCAGGCAAAAGGTCAGAATCCCAGAGGCAGAGGGGATTTGATCTTTAGTGTGAGAGCCTCTGCTGACAGATACTTACCGTCTAAAGGAGGTAATCCAGAATTAAAGTCAAATTGACAAGCCATTCCTGTAATTGAGGCTAAAAGCAAGATAAGCGAGAAGCTGTAGATATAGTTAGTGGCATGAAGGACAGGCATGTCACCTCTGGAAAAAGTACGAGTTAAGCCGGCACACCACCTCCTAGTGCCAGTGACTCAGAGGTTTCAGTGAAACATGCTTGGGATTAGTCTGCACCGAAGGCCGGCCTCACCCAGCTCCTGACAAGGGGTCATTTTTAGCTTAAAGAGGTGCCATCAGCTTTAATAGGCTTCAAATCTTACCTTAAAGTCACTGACTCTTCACAGGGCCCAGTTTTCCAGTATAGTTCCCACCTGCTGGCCCATTTCACCTCATTCAGGAATAAGCTTGAAAAGCAAAAGAATCCAAAGACTGTGCTTCAAGATCAAAAGAATCACATTAGCCCAGGAATCACAGATTGAAATGTCTACAGTCACCTGGCCAGGACCTGCTAAGTCCAAATGAATAACTGCTCTTCAGTTACAAGGCAGAAGTTCAGATCCAGTGTGGCCAGACTTTTTCATGAGAAGCTATATATCCGGGTTTATGAGTAAAAATTCTTCTGTTCTTCAATATTAACAAGTAATTACTATTTTAAAAGTAATAAAACCAAATAATAATAATAAAATTACTATTTAGGCAAAATTGGTAGTCAGTTGGTACTCACCAGCTCAGCTGTCAGGATTGTTAAATATTAAAATCATTCCACTTAAATTGGTAAACAGGCCAGGTGCAGTGGCTCATGCCTGTAATTTCAGCACTTTGGGAGGCCAAGGCAGGAGGATCACTTGAGCCTGTAAGTTTGAGACCAGACTGTGCAACATAACAAGGTCCCGTCTTTACAAAAATATAAATAAAAAATTAGCCAGGCATGGTGATGCATGCCTGTAGTCCCAGCTAGTCAGGAGGCTGAGGTGGGAGGATTGCAGGAGCCCAGGAGTTCAAGTCTGCAGTGAGCCGTGACGGTGCCACCCCATTCTAGTCCGGGCAACAGAGTGAGATCCCCCCTCATGATAAATAAATAGGTAAATAGTCATTATCCTAAACCCCCTAAATAACCTCCCCACCATCCTGGCTCCTGTGGTCTGCCCAAGAACCTGTCAGACTGCTCCATCATTCAGCAACTAAAGGGCAAACAACTAACCAAAGGATCCCCTCAAGAATCCTGTTTCATAAATCAACAAGCAAGAGGAAAATCCATTAAAAAGTGGGAAAAGAACATGAACAGACACTTCTCAAGAGAAGACATACAAGCAGCCAACAAGCATATTTTAAGAAAGCACATCATTACTAATCATCACAGAAATGCAAATCAGAACCATAATTAGATACCATTTCACACCAGTTAAAATGGCTATTAAAAGTCAAAAAATAAATATTGATGAGATTGTGGAGAAAAGAAAATTCTTATACATTATTGATGGCAATGTAAATTAGTACAGTCTCTATGGAAAAGAGTATGGAGATTTTTCAAAGAGTTAAAATAGAACTACCATAAATCATTCTACCAAAAAGACACCTGTACTATTATGTGTATTGCAACACCATTAACAATAGCAAAGACACGGAATCAACCCAGGTGCCCATCAATGGTAGACTGACTAAAGAAAATGTGATATATATATGTATATTATATATATATTATATATATTTTATATATATATATCCCAGCTATATATATATATATTTATATATATATATATATATCCCAGCTATATATATCCCATATGTATATATGCATGCTATGGAATACTACACAGCCATAAAAAAGAATAAAATCATGTCCTCTGCAGCAACATGGATGGAGCTGAAGGCCATTATCCTCAGTAAATTAATGCAGGAACAAAAACCAAATACCACATACTCTCCCTTATATGTGGACACTAAACATTAGGTGCACATAGACATAAAGATGAAAACAATAGACACTGGGGGCTACTTCAGGGGGGACAGGAGTGATACATGCTTTGAAAAACTTTTTATTGAGTACTATGCTTACTATCTGGGTGATGAGATCAGTCATACCCCAAACCTCAGCATCACACAGTATAACCATGTAACACACCTGCACATGTACCCCACCACATTTAAAATAAAAGTTGAAATTTAAAAAGAAAGAAAAAAGAAAAATTAATAAATATAAAAATCTCTCCACGTTAATTTAAAAAAAAAAAGGAATCCTGTTTCAGCACCATGGCCAGCGTCGCTTAGTCAGTGCCTGCACTACTCTTTTTTGTTTTTTGTTTTTTGTTTTTGACAGTCTCGCTCTGTCACCCGGGCTGGAGTGCAGTGACGAGATCTCGGCTCACCGCAACCTCCACCTCAGCCTCCTCAGTAGCTGGGACTACAGGCACTCACCACCACACCCAGCTAATTTCTGTATTTTTAGTACACAGGGTTTCACCATATTGGTCAGGCTGGTTTTCAACTCCTGACCTTGTGTTCCGCCTGCCTCGGCCTCTCAAAGTTCTGGGATTACAGGCGTGAGGCACTGCTCCCAGCCTCTTTTTTCTTTTCTTTTCTTTCTTTTCTTTTCCCTTTTTTTTTTTTTTTTTTTTAAGATGGAGTCTTGCTCTGTTGCCCAGGCTGTAGTGCAGTGGTGTGATCTCGGCTCACTGCAACCTCTGCATCCTAGATTCAAGCGATTCTCCTGCCTCAGCCTCCCAAGTAGCTGGGATTACAGGTACCCACCACCACGCCAGCTAATTTTTGTATTTTTAGTAGAGACAGGGTTTCACCATGTTGGCCAGGCTGGTCTCGAAATCCTGACCTGACCTGATCTGCCTGCCTTGGCCTCCCAAAGTGCTGGGACTACAGGTGTGAGCAACCGCACCCAGCCTTCTTTTTCTCTTTAAAAAAAACTTTATGGAGATGTGGTTGACATGTAAAAAGCTGTGCATATTTAATGTATACATCTCAATAAGTTGGTTGGATATGTATACACCTGTGAAACCATCACCACCATCAAGGCCACAAACACATCCATCACCTCCCAAAGATTCCTCCCACCCCCTTTATTATTATTAGTGTTAATTGTTGGGGGGGAGGTGGTAAGAACATTTAACATAACATACACCCTCTTAGCAAATTATAAACATAAAACACAGTATTGTTAGATACAGGCATTGTGCTCTTAGGTAAATCCCCAGAACTTACTCATCTTGCATACCTGAAACTTTGTTCCTTTTACCCATCACCTTCTCCTTTTCCCCTCCTTTAGCCCTGCCTGCACTATTCTTTGGAATTATCTTTAATATCATCTCTGGGCACAAGTCATGAATTGAAACACATATGATCCTACAGGAATCCAGTTTGAGATTCCTAATTTATTCCAATTCCCTTCATTTTATAGTCGGAGAAACAAAGTCCAGCACAGAGGAGGGTACTTACCAAAGTCATGAAGCAAGTCACTGACAGAGCCCTGACAGGAGCCCAAGACCCTGAGCTCCCAGGCCAGGGCGCTGTCTTTTAAATCAATGGCTACCAAACCTGTGGAGGGATATGGTTTGTTAAAAACAGATTCCTTCTCTACCCCACTGCTGCCAAAACTATGGGGTGGGACCCAGCCCACGCTGTTTTTAAGAGCTCCCTAGATAATTCTGATGATCAGAAGATTTGCAGAACATTGTTGCAAACTGTGCCATTGTCACGCCAGCGACACGTTAGCCACCCTCATCCCTATGCGGGAGAAATTTTGAAATAAGAGGAGAATCTCTGAACATATTATTCATATAATTTTTAACAGATTTTTACACAGAAGACATGCGTGTGTATATGTATGTGTGTGGATGTGTGTATGTGTGTGTGTTAGGATGGTAAAACGGTTTCTCCCAAGCCCCTGAAATGTGTCTTATTGCTATACTAAATAAATAAAATTAAAAAGGAAAGTTTCAAAGACTGATAGTGATGGATCTGCAGAGAAATGGAGATGTCATGTTATCAGAATGGGACAGGTCCTGGTTTAAACCCTAGCGCCACTGCTTAGACGATGTTGTCCTTCCTCAGGCATCTCACTTAAGGTTCTGCACTTTACATCTCCATCTATAAACTATGGCACCAACTCCTACCAGGCGAAGTAATTGTAGGTTTTGGAAATAAAGTTGTCAGTTCTGGATTACGCTAGCAGTGGATTCATCAGGAACAACAGGAGCCTCATCACAGAGCCGGGTGAACATGTGGCATCTGCTCTGCTCACAGCGATGGCAGAAGAGCCTTAGCAGCCTGTGTCCAAGCCCAGCTACAAAAGTGAGGGCATCCCAGGCCCCTGTGATCCCTTTGCCACCTCTGACGCTCACACTGATGAGGCCCAACTCACCCGCCAACAACTGATTCTGGGTTTCCTTTTTCTTTCTTTTTCCTTTTAGCAGTGATTTGGAGTTACCTATATATTTCTACTGTCACACCCTCCATGTAACTTTAGAACCAACCTTAGTCATAAAGCATTTTGCACAGTACTGGCATATAGGGGCAGCCACAATGAACATGACTATGGCTGGAAGGTGTGGTATGTTGATTGAGAATCCCACTGTAGACCAGACAGACCAAGGTGCAGCTACACAACTGTGGATGTTATTTTTAAACAATGTCTTTGAGTCTTAAATTCACTATCAGTGAAATGAAGACAATAATGGTAGCTCCTACATCACATTATTGCAAAAGCTAAATGAGCAAATCTAGGAAAGGGCTTAGCATAGTGCCTGGCATGTAATACATATTCAATAAATGTTGCTATTGGTGATATTACCATTAATGTCATCATTAATTTCATCATTCAACCTCAAATTTGAGGGAGGCTTGACAATAGCTTGTAAGATTTGGTGATAGGACTAGCAGCCTAACGATGGCTACCAAACCTAAGATAGACCCCCTCAAGTCTCTGAGTCCAGGAGAAGGGTGTTTGCACTATGGCTTCAGGCCACAGCCAGCTGAGGAAAATAGTTCCAGAAGAAGGCATCTCTAAGTCTGAAGGCTTGCTCCAGAAGGACTGCTGGAAAGCCATCAACCACTGTGAGCCTTGTTCCTGGGGCTCAGCTGAGGGATGCCAAGGAGGAGTTCTGGGAGATCTTGAGCTTCTGGTGGCCCACGGGTGTCTGGGAAATCTCAGATCTCCCAGATCTCAGATCTCCACCAGTTTTTATGTACAACGTGTAAGTTAGACAGGCAGGCCATCAACCCAGGATTCGAAGACAGGCTTCATGTTTCTTGATCTAAATGTTGACTCTTCCCTGAACACTCCAGGATGCAGCACAGAGCCCAGCAACAAAGAGACAAACTTCCAGACATAACAGCTGTATTCGGAGTCCAGCTCTCCAGCAGCCTCAGGGTGTCATTGTAAGGATCAGACACCATTATGTAAAGTTACTATAGAGTGTAAATCAGGATAATTATTATTAACATCATCACTACATGGGCTAAAGTTTTCATCACAATACTCAGTGTGCAAAAATGTAACTTTCTGTAACTGAACTCAATTTTTTACAGTTCACATTTTTGTCCGACGCAAAAGTGTCATATAGTTACCTCCAGATAAACTCATTTTCTTCTGGGTAAATGCAGAAGTTTCAGGATTAAAAGTGTTTCCTCCTCCCCCACCTTCTTCTTCTGGATGGGGGATCTCAGATAGCCCAGGTGGCGGTGGGGGACAGGGCAACTCCTCATCTGAGTCTTGGTATCAGGGAGGCGTCAGGTCCACAGTCATTCTGACATCCGTGTCTCCTTCAGATCCAGGAGCCTTCTCCTGGCCACTTCCAAACTGGCCTCAGGTGCAGAAAACTTTTGCCTGCTTCCTCCTGTCTCTACTTTGGGGGACTGTCTCAGGCCCTTTGGTACCTAGACACACAGAGCACCGTTTGTTTGCCTTGACTAGGGTAGAGGTGCTTTGGGGCTCCCTTTAAAGGCACTATAAAGGCACTCGTTTATAGCCGGTCCCCTGAAATACATGCGGGTCTCTAAGCGTTCAGCCACCAGCTGTCTTCAGGTCTCAGCAAGGCACAGACCCATGAGCAGAACAGATGCTGTATCTGCCCTTATGGGGCCAGCAACAGAAGACAAATAATAAACCAGTGTGCAAATCAATATACCTGGGATTGCAAATCAAGAAAGCTCAATCGAGGTAAAGTGGGAGGAAGTGGTAAAATAAACCAGGGTGGGGGGCCTCTTCTATAGTTATCGGGACCAGGGAGGGCTGCAGAGAAGGTGTTCGCCGCGCTGGGGCCTGCAGAGAGGAGAAGCCTCTGCGTGGAGAGGAGGGTGCAGGAGGAGGCAGGGTGGACACTCAGGTGGGAAAACAGCCTGTGGGGGAAAGGCCTTAGGAGGCCTGGGCCTGAGCTGGGCTTGGAAGCAAGGTCAGCATGGCTGGAACACAGTCAGTGGAAAGGCAGAGCCAGGCCTGAGGGGCACGGCCACAAGTGGAGTTTATCCTGAGAAAAATGCAAAGTCACAGAAACTTCCATTTTAGGGATTATTTTTAATTATTGAAGGATTTTAACCAAGGATGACATATATATTTTTGCCGGTAAAAATATTCTGTTAGCAACAGATCTCAACAGAGGCAGTCCGGCCACTCCCAGAAGACATGACAAAACTGTAGGGACATTTGTGGCTGTCACAATGCTTTGAGCACACTATCAGCATTGGGGATGTCCAGCGATGCTAAACATCCTTCAATGGATAGTAAAGTCCTGCACAGTGAAGACTGTTCCCCCCCAGATGCCACAAATGTGTTTGTGATGAGATTCACTGGGGATCTAGTAGCTGCTTGGAAACAAAGAGTAGAGGGAGGCTGGGCACAGTGACATGAGCCTGTGGTCTCAGCCACTCAAGAGCCTGAGGCTGGAGGATCACTTGAGCCCAGGAGGTCAAGGCTGCAGTGAGCTCTGATCTCCCTTCTGCACTCTAGCTTGGGGGACAGAGATCCTATTTAAAAAAAAAAAAGAGTAGTACCACACAAGTGGTAGCAGGGACAGAATTAGGACAGTACTGGAGTTTTCCAGGTGGGAAAAGATGATGCTGAGATGGGGCTGGAGCCTCAGAGACAGAGAACAGTGGGAAAGTAGGCAGACACTGTGAGCTGAGCACACGGTGTTTTGTGTTAGTGAGATGTGGTCCCAGAGTCAGCAGTGCTCCTGGTGGCCAGGAGCAATTGTCTAGAGGTGGCAGCTAAAGAGAACCTATGTGAAAAGCACGTGGCTCAGGCAGTCACTCAGAGGTGGCATAAAGAGGGTTTAGAAGGAAGCAATGGGAAGTTCATCTGGAAAAGGACCCTGTGGGCAAGTTTTTGCTGAAGGGCATGGTATCTATTCAGGAATGCTCCAGTGAGCTTCCTGAATATAAAGACACTAGCTCCTTCCTCTATGAGGGGATTCCCCCTAGAAGCCCACCAGACTTGCCACCTCCCTTCCTTCCCCACACCCCAAACTAAGCCTCACAACTGTAATTTGAGTGTTCTCCACAATGTTTTAAAGCCTCTGAATACTTGCCTATTACTCCGAAAATTAGCTGCCATACATAATTAGGCTAATTTGGTATAATATTCATCCGAAATGTGAACATGTTATTAATAATGAAAGCAAACATATGGAGCAGGTGTCCTTGCTCTGTCGAGAGATGGTGGCTAAGTCATGAGCTCTGCCCACGAATCCTTGCTGTGCCTCCCCCAGTCAAGAAGGCAGCATGACTAGGAAAGACCTTGCAGAGCCCCAGGACCTTGTGGGAGTCCTCACTGGTGGTTATTTACTGGGGCCCCATACTCTGAATGTAGCGTTAGCATTTATTCCAGTAGATTCTCCTCGCTTCGGGCAAATTCAAAAAACAATCCCATTCAGAAAACACTTATTGTGTCTCCTCTCTGCCTCTCAATCAGCCTTAGTCTGTATCCTCTTGTGGATTGACAAAGATTGCAGAAGAGACCCTAGAATGAGGACAACCCAAGGTTCATGGGGTGGACTGAAATATACTAGGTGAGAAATAGGAGGTGCAAATGATTGGGAATAATTAGGGTCTCTGCCCAGCTGCCCTGTCATGTTACAAATGTGCCCACACCTCATGACGCTTCCTGTGGGCCTGCTGCCCTTTTCCACAGGTGGCATGGCACTGAGCTGGACACCCACATGTACAAGTGTCCATGTGAGCTTCCAGACATCAAGGACAGTGTTTAAAACAAGCATACCTAAAGCCACGGTATTGAAACTAGGCTACGGTGGGGAAACAAACCATGCTCTCTCTCTCTCTCCCTCTCTCTCTCTCTCTACTCCCTGATTAACTCACTATAGCCAATTTGAATTTGGAAATTAGAATTTTTTTAAAAGTTTTCTAAGTTTTTAGGTCAGTTTATTCTGTCTGTCACATTAAATCACCAGAGAGAATGTATTTGCCATAGATCAGACTTTCTTTTCATTTAAGAGCATTCTCATCAAGAAGGCTTCCCTAATTATGTTCAATCATAACAACATGGAATGGGGAATCCGTGCATTAAAAGGCAGTCTCACAATGACACGTGGCTAGTAGGAACTAGAGATGTGCTGTCAGACGTTTCTGAACCATGCTGAAACATTAGATCTGAAATTGACCCTTGCCTTATCCATGCCACCATACCAGACTGGCTTGGGGAAAATTAGGTAAATCACTTTTCCATTCCAAATACATTTGGAGACCTGTGACTTTTTAGAATCATTTATATGGTTATAGCAGACACTGTTGATGGGACCAATCCCCTCAGTTCGCCTGAGGTCATGTGAAGATGTAATAGCTGGTTCCCAGCTTGGTGACAGCCTCCTGCCTCAAGTATTTGCACCTGTCTGCTTCTCTGCTGAACTTTCTCCAGCACCACAAGTATTTGCTCCACTAAGTGGGGACATATGCCAGAATTTCAGGGGCAGGGTACCAGGGAAAACCCTCAACCAACAGAGGTGGGAGTCAGTGAATAAATGCCTCCACCTCCCCACCTTCTGGTGAGACAATTCTAGGTGTGTTCCATGGAGTTTCTTAAAGGGCCTCCAGCCAGGTGGATTCCCAGTGACCACTCATATGCACAACCCTCATCAGCTTTCTCCGTCCCTGTCTCATTTCCCCACTCCCTCACTTGTGCTTCCTGAATTTGTCTACAAGAAGATAGAATCACATGTCCTCGAATCTGAGTCTGCTTCTGCAGGAACCCAAAATAAGATAGAGACAGAGATAGTTTCATAGACAAAATAATCCCCCCTCAACTGATAGGTTTTAGAACATGATGTTGCAGTAAACTCAGGCCAAGCTGCTCACCACCTGTCATGCTGAATACAAGAGGTGAGGTATGGGGAGAGGGAAGTAACTTTTATTCCAAATGCCAGCAGCTGGGGAGATGTCAGGGCTCAAGTCATGAAGAAACCATCTTCAATTGCAGGCTGGGTGAAGGGTGTAAGAAGGGAAACTTAGTATGAGAAACATGTGGGGTCCTGCTGGGTAAGGGCCTGCATGTCTCGTTCTGAGGGCTGTCTTGGGCGTCTGGAGGTCTGGTCGTCATTATCTTGACTGCAGCCCTAGTGGTGGTGAACACATTGTTCATGACTCCCCCTAAGTGGGAGGATTTCATAACAGGGGCCCATGCCTGGTTTAAGATGAGCCTCTGGGAGTGTTAAGTAACCATGCAGTTAGATAAGCATGCATGGGACAAGGGAGTGTCTGGTGGGAAAGAGAGAGGAACATGAATTTCAAAGCACACTTCAAGGCTATATTTCTAAGCTTAGGAAAAAGAGTTCTGAATGCATTTTGAAGATATTTGGTTATAGTATTTTATTGTAAGCTTTTGGAAATGTATGTGTACTTATTTTTATATGCAGATACATGCATAAACATTTTAAATAAATGAGATCAAATTATGCAATAAACAGAAAGATACACCACCAAGACCCCCTTACTTAGCAGGAAGCTTTCTGTCCCAGATGCTGAGAGTGCTGTGGAGGTCTCCTCCGAGACTGCCTACCCCAGAGTGCATGCAGCCCCTGAGTCGGTCCCCATATTGGGTTCTTGGCATTTGGAGGAGAAGCTGTAATGGGGAAGACCACGTGGAAGCTGCATCACTGGCCAAACTAATGAGTCTGAAACAATACCATATTCTAAGGGTAGGTGGGGAGGTGGGATTAGTGCCACCCTTAAAGGTCTTAGGAATGCAAGGGTAATGGTCCCTATTATATATTCATTTAACTCACTCATATGGCCCCTGAAGAACTAAATGAATTCTGAAAAATGGCTTTAGACTACTGAAGACATAACCAAGTAGTAGCCCATTTATAACTGAAATAAACTCATAAATAAGTATGTGGGACATTTGTAAAATAAGCAAAAAAAAAGTACTAAAGAGCAGAAAAGAAGACTTGAATAAATGGAGAGCCATACTAATGTTCCTGAAACTGAATATTTAATCAAAACCCCAGAGACTGTAATTCTTCCCATATGAATCCATCCTTTTAAGGGTCTTAATCAAATATCAAAAGATTTATTTTCAGAATATGAAGGCAGTATTCCAAAATTAACTTTGAAAAACAAATGAACAATAATAGTAAAAACTACATTCAAAAATATATTATTAATAAGAAGATAAATGGCAGGATGATTCTATTATTATTATATATAATACACTGTAAACTAAAATAATTTATACAGAGATAACAGAATTTTTTAAATTTAAAAATAGAATACAGAGTGACACATCCAAAATCTCAAAGACCTCTAAAACTCAATTCCTTCTTAAAAGCAATGAGAACACTGGGAAAAAATACCAAAATAACTCTTCCAGAACTCTAAAAATTAACTGAAGACCTGCAAAAATGTGAGCCATGTTTATTCAAGAACAGCAGGTGAGTCTTGGTAGGTCGGTGAGCTTTGTGGTTCTGACTTGTCCCATATCACCCCTCCCTGGCCCGCAGCAGCCTTCAAAACCAGAAACCCCACAACCATGTTTGTTCCCAAAACCAGCAGTCTTGTAGCAACTGGAGAGTCCCAGTTTAGGGAGCTGCAAAAAGCCCCAACCCCAGAGAACTGACCCTATTTCATCTGTTGGGCAGCACCTTGGAAAAGCCCCATGCACAGGTCTTGTTATCATCTCACCTGATCCAGAAACTCCTCAGGGAAAGTCTTCAGCCAGGGTGGGTGTGGAAAATGGTAAGTGACAGTTGTTTAACCTCACAGCTGCCTGAGAAAGTGATAGCAGTTGCAGCATGTAAAAGACTGTGCAGAAAACGTAACAGGAAGTCTTGAAAAAGAGATGTTTACAGGGGACTTCAAACACTCTGAGATATTCCTGTGACCCCACAGGTCGTGGGCATGAGCAAGGCTCTGGCCCACCCAGGAAAAGACCTGAGAAGCCCCAATCTCTCACTTCTGGCGGACCTCAAGTTCCTGCACCAACAGGCAGCAAAGGCTGAAGCTGAGCTCTAAACTGCCAGAGTGCTGGAGGCATCAAACCCTGACACAGAGAGAGCCCTCAGAAAGGTGTAGAAGATTCACTGGAGACATCACACCCAACACAGAGGAGAGAGAACCCTCGGCGAGGTGTAGAAGACTCACTGGAGACATCATACCCAACACAGAGGAGAGAGAGCCCTTGGTGAGGTGTAGAAGGCTCACTGGAGGCATCACACCCCAACACAGAGACAGAGAGCTCTCGGTGAGGTGTAGAAGGCTCACCGGAAGCATCAGACCCCAACACAGAGAGAGAGAGAGCCCTCAGCAAGGTGAAGAAGGCTCACTGGAGATATCACACCCCAACACAGAGACAGAGAGAGCCCTCGGTGAGGTGTATAAGGCTCATTGGAGGCATCACACCCCATCACAGAGGAGAGCGAGCCCTTGGCAAAGTGTAGAACACTCACTGGAGACATCACACCCTGACACAGAAAGACAGAGAGAGAGCCCTCGGCAAGGTGTAGAAGGCTCACTAGAGGCACGACACCCCAACATAGAGGGAGAGCACCTTTGGCAAGGTGCAGAAGGCTCACTGGAGGCATCCCACCCCAACACAGAGAGTGAGAGCCCTCAGCGAGGTATACAAGGCCCACTGGAGTCATCACATCCCAAAACAGACAAAGCTCTTGGCAAGGTGTGGAAGGCTCACTGGAGTCATCACACCCAAACACAGAGAGAAAGCTCTCAGTGAGGTGTAGAAGGCTCACTGGACACAGAGAGAGAGAGAGAGAGAGCCCTCAGCGAGGTATACAAGGCCCACTGGAGTCATCACATCCCAAAACAGACAAAGCTCTTGGCAAGGTGTGGAAGGCTCACTGGAGTCATCACACCCAAACACAGAGAGAAAGCTCTCAGTGAGGTGTAGAAGGCTCACTGGACACAGAGAGAGAGAGAGAGAGAGCCCTCGGCAAGGTGTGGAAGGCTCACTGGTTCAAGACATCCAAGGGATTTGTTCAATCATTTGCTGACCACTGAGCCAACCAAGCATAGATGTCAATGGTTTCACTGTATTTTACAAGAAACAAGGACCTCACAAAGTTAGTCCAGAAAAGTCACTAAACAGCAAATAGCAACAACAGATCCTAGGGAGAGGGAGTGACTCGTTTCCAAAGCTTTCAAGTTATATTATTTTAAATGTCCAATTTTTAACAAAAACTTCTGAAAGATGCTAAGAAACAAGAAAGTATGATACACACACACACACGCACACATGCATACACACATGCACACACACGTGCACACACATGCACACACATGCACACACACATACACACACATGCACACAGTCATCAGAAACTGTTTGAGGGACCCCAGATGTTGTCTTTACTAGAAAGACTGTAATCGGCTTTTACAAGTATGTAAAGTATGAAAACAATGAACACCAAATGGAGAATATTAATAAAGAGATATACAATACTTAAAACACTAATGGAAACTCTGAAGGTGAAAGAAACAATATTTTTTAAAAAAATCAATGGAGATCAAACAGCAGATTTTAGTTTAAAAAAAAGAATCAGAAAACTTGAAGATGCATTAATTGAGATTGTTCAGTCAAGAAAGAGAAAAAAGAACTATGAAACATGAACAGAGCTTCAGAGACCTGTAGGGCACCATCGTGCAAGCCAAATAAACATGAGTCACAGGAGGAGAGGAGACAAGAGAAAGAAGCTAAAATAGCTTTGCAAAAAGAATGGTCAAAAACCTCCCATATTTGGTGGAAATCATTAAGCACTGTGAAATTCAAAAAACTCCTAATAGAATAAATTCAAAATGGGCCAAACCCAGACACATTATAGTCAAACTGGCAAAATATGGAGTGCAGAAATAGGCAATCAGAGCTGGTCATTTAGTATATAGTATAAGCGGCATTTCAATTCACTGAGGAAAACTGCATTGTTGTTAATACAGTTGGGCCATCAGGTTAGTAATTTAGAAAACCTAATATGTATCTCCCTAGGTTCATCTGCATCATCACAAATGACATAATTTCCTTCTTTTTAAGGCTGTATAGTATTCCATTGTGTGTATATGCCACATTTTGTTTATACATTCATCCACTGTTGGACACTTAGGTTGATTCCATACATTGACTATTTTGAATAACGTTGAAATGAAAAAGGCAGTGCAGATATCTCTCAGGCATATCCATTTCAATTCATTTGGATATGTACTCAGGAGTGGGAGATACAGTGTGGATATTTGTCTTCTCCAAATCTCATGTTGAAATGTGATCCCCAATGTTGGAGGTGGGGGCTGGTGGGAGATGTTTGGGGCGAATCCCTCATGAACAGCTTGGGGCCCTCCCCACAGTAATGCATGAGTTCTGGCTCTATTAGTTCACATGACCTGGTTGTGTAAAAGAGTGTGGCGCCTCCCACGCTGCTCCATCTCCCACCATGTGACACCCAGCTCCCCTTTCCCTCTGCCATGACTGAAAGCTTCCTGAGGTTCTGAGCAGAAGCAGATGCTGGTGCCCTGCTTGCACAGCCTGCCTAGCCATGAGCCTCAGGTATTTCTTTATACCAATGTGAAACAGACGAACACAGTATATTGCTGGCTCAATTATATTGTTAATTTTTTGAGGAAACTTCATACTATTGTCCAAAATGGCCGTAATAATTGACATTCCCACCAATGGTATGTCAGTGTTTCTTTATCTCCACTTCCTGGCCAGCACTTACCTTTCATCATCTGAATCATAGCCATTCTAACAGGTGTTGAGGTTACAGCACAAGTTGTAAATCTCTCACTGAGGTTTTCATTTTCATTATGTGATGGTTAGAGGGGTTGAGCATTTTTTCATACATTTGTTGGCTATTTGTGTGCTTTCTCTTGAGAAATGCCTGTTCATTTCATTCGTCCATTCTTTCAGCAACTTATGTGTTTTCTTGCTATTATTTGAATTTCTTACATATTTTTGACAATAGCCCCTTATCAGATGTATAATTGAAAAATATTTTCTTCCAACTCATGGATTGTCTCTTTACTCTGTAGATTGTTTCTTTGTTATACAGAAGGAGGACATAAGTGAAGTAAGCCAAGCACAGAAAGACAAATACTGTATTACTGCACTCATATATTGAATCAAAGAAAGTCAATCTCATAGAAACAGCAGGTAGAAACGTGGTTACCAAGGCTGGGAGAAGGGAGAAGGAAGGGGAAAGGGGAGATGTCGATCAAAGGGGAAAGGGGAGATGTCGATCAAAGGGTACAAAGTTTCAGTTACACTGCAGGCATAAGTGTTTGTCATCTACTGCACTGCACAATGACCACAGTTAAGACTAATGTATATATACAGATATATATTTTTTGAGACAGGGTCTCACTTTGTCACCCAGGCTGGAGTGCAGTGGCATAAACATGGCTCACTGTAGCCTCAACCTCCCAGGCTCAAGTGATCCTTCCACTTGAGCCCTCACAAGTAGCTGGGGCTACAGGCACATGCTCTACCAACTTAATTTTTTTATTTTTTGTACAGAGTGGGTTTCACCATGTTGCCCATGCTGGTCTTGAACTCCTGAGCTCAAAGGATCTGCCTGCCTCGTCCTCCCAAGTTGCTGGGATTACAAGCGTGAGCCACTGTGCCTGGCCAATCATGTATATTTTAAAATCGCAAAAAGAATAGATTTGTGACATTCTCTCTACAGGAAATATGATAAGTTGTTGAGGTGATGGATATGTTGATTAGCTTGTTTTAATCTTTACACGATGTATCCAAACATCACATTGTACCACATAAAAAATACAATTATTGTCTGTCAATTTAAAAATAAATAAATAAGCCAGTTAAATAAATAAGGATATAACCAAATAATGGAATTCATAAAAGTTATATGATTAATTTACAGCCACCATAAAGATATGACACATATGTATTAAATATATTCTCTGTGCCAGGTCCTATTCTAACATGGCGCTAAAGATATAGCAGTAAAAAAAACAAAATTCCTGCCTTCTTGGAGCCTGTATTTTAACGGAGGGTGACAGACAATAAACACATAAATAATTGGAATGCATAAAATGTCAGATGGTGGCAGCTGTGATGGGGAATGATACCGCAGGAAAGAGGACTGAGGAGTCTGAGGAGCTGAAAGAAGGGAGGGTTGAAATTTCATATAAGGTGGTTGGAGAAGGCTCCAATGAGAGGATGATGTGTGAGCAAAGACCCAGTGGAGGTGATGAGCTAACAAGTTATGTCAATAACTGCAGGGAAAGAATCCAAGGCAGTGCTAAGGTCTTAGGTAGGGTGGCAGTATGCTTGGTGTGTTTGAGGAATGTCAAGGAGGCCAGGTGGCTAGAGGGAGTAAGGGGAACAGAAGAGTGGGGGCCAGATAGGCAGGAGCTTACAGGCCATGACAGGGATATTGGCTTTCACTTTATTATTACTATTTTTTTAAGACAGAGTCTCACCCTGTATCCCAAGCCAAAGTGCAGTGGTGCAATCTCAGCTCACTGCAATCTCCACCTCCTGGACTCCAGCAATTCTCAGGCCTCAGCCTCCCCAGTAGCTGGGACTACAGGTGTGCGCCACCACACTCGGCTAATTTTTTTGTATTGTAGTAGAGACAGGGTTTCACCATGTTGCCCAGGGTGGTCTCCAACTCCTGAGCTCAGGCAATCCGCCCCACTCAGCCTCCCAAGGTGCTGGAATTACAAGCATGAGCCATTGCGCCAGGTGGCTTTCACTTTAATTGAGATAAAGCCATGAGAGAGTTTTGAGCCAAGAAGTGGCATGATGTGATAATAAAATGTAAACTTCAAAAGTTGATACATTTCAAAAAAAAATCTGCTGGAATTATTTATTTTTTCCAAAATAAACTTTCTAAATGATGAAAGATTTAAATACAAAAAAGAAACCATAAAAGCACTAGAAAAAAACATAAGGGAGTGTATTTATTGTCTGAGAAAAAAAGACATTAGTTTTCACATCAAAACTAAAAATGAGGAAGAAAAATGCTGACAAATTTGATTATGTTATAAATTTTAAATTTCTGAATAGCAAAAATCAAAATTAAAAAAAGAGAGAGCTGTAAAATATTTACAGACGCATAGAAGCCTTACTACACAAACGTGTTTGCAAATCAAAAACAAAAGGCATTAACAGAAGAGAGAATAAAATAGCCAAAACCAAAAATTATGGTGAATGGCACGCACATTGGAAGATATAAAATTAAAACACAATCCAATGCTATGTTTCATATATCAGATTATGTTTTACCTTCTTTAAATCTGTCATTGTAAACAAAGATATGGTAACTAAAGTCAACCTGAAAGGAAGAAGCTGGGGTGCAAAATAATATTTATTTATATGAGATGGAATTTCACTCTTGTCGCCTAGGCTGGAGTGCAATGGCGTGATCTTGGTTCACTGCAACCTCCACCTCCTGGGTTCAAGCGATTCTCCTGCCTCAGCCTCCCGAGTAGCTGGGATTACAGGCACCTGCCACCACACCAGG
Source organism: Homo sapiens (assembly GCF_000001405.40). Lineage (NCBI taxonomy): Eukaryota > Metazoa > Chordata > Mammalia > Primates > Hominidae > Homo > Homo sapiens. The sequence continues at coordinate 28,391,925 of NC_000019.10, forward strand.
CTGATTTTTGTATTTTTAGTAGAGATGGGGTTTCACCAGGTTGGACAGGCTGGTCTCAAGTCCCTTACCTCAGGTGATTCACACACCTTGGCCTCCCAAAATGCTGGGATTATGGGCGTGGGTCACAGCACCCCGCCCCAAAATAGTATTTAAAGAATTTACTGGAGCCAACGTGAGGACACCTGCCCGGGACACACTTCCCAGGTGCCTTGGGGAGTGTTTGGTCTGCCTCTTTCACAAGGTTTTTGAAGTCAAGGGGAACAGGGGGTGGGCTGGTACAAAGTTGTTTGACAGGAGTTCTCACTGGTTTAGAGAGATAACATTAATTAGAGATTGACTCTACATTGTTGACCTATAGGGTATGAGTTAAGGTGTCCTCCTAGGGCATTTTATGGCTATGGGGTGTCAGTTAGTTTAGAGCCCATAGAGGAAGTGGCTTCAAGAGATAATTACTTAGCTCCAGGGGTGATGGCTGTTGCATTTTAAATTCCTCTCTGGGTCTAAACATTTAAAGGGGCTCACATTTCTCACATAAAATGGTTTTTTGTTTTGTTTTGTTTTTTTGTTTCTTTCTCACTAAAGGCATCCCTGAACAGCAATTTGGCTGGATCTGTTAATATTTTAAAGTTTATCCTTTGGCCTAGCATTCCCATCTATAGCTATTTCACCCCGTAGAAACACCAAGTGCAAAAATATGCCAGGCTGGCCAGCCACAGTGGCTCACGCCTGTAATCCCAGCACTTTGGGAGGCCGAGGCAGGCAGATCACCTGGGGTCAGGAGTTTGAGACCAGCCTGGCTAATAAGGTGAAACACTATCTCTACTAAAAATACAAAAATTAGCTGGGCTTGATGGTGGGTGCCTGTAATCTCAGCACTTTGGGAAGCCGAGGTGGGCAGATCACTTGAGGTCAGTAGTTGGAGACCAGCCTGGCCAATATGGTGAAACCTCATCTCTACGAAAACGACAAAAATTAGCCCGGCCTGGTGGCACCCACTTGTAATCCCAGCTATTCGGGAGGCTGAGGCAGGAGAATCACTTGAACCTGGGGGGCGGAGGTTGCAGTGAGCCGAGATTGCGCCACTGCACTCCAGCCTGGGCTACAGAGTGAGATTATGTCTCAAAAAAAAAAAAAAAAAAAAAAAGAAAAAAAAAAAGCCCAGGCATGGTGGTGAGCACCCATAGCCCCAGCTCCTCAGAGGAGGCTGAGGTTGGAGGATTGCTTGAGCCCAGGAGTGTGAATCAAGCTGGGCAACATAGCAAGACCCCATCTCTAAAATAAACAAATTAATTACTTAACTAATTAATTAAATATATATCCAATTGGATGTTTATTGCAGTGAAGTAATAGTAAAACAATTAGAAAAATCTAAATACCCATCAACAGATTTTGATCAACTTATCTGTGAATGATGATAATATTTAATATTAGGGTACCTATATTTAAAATCATATAAACCTTAAATATGTTACCTCAGTGACTGTGTCATAGAATACAAATATAAAAGCTTTTTTTACTACCTTTTAAACTTTATGTTGAGGCCTCATCTCTAGAATCCAGAATATACAAAATGTTGCTAAGAGATTAAAGGCAACTGCCAACCTTAAAGAATGAAGTTCAGAAGATATGATTAAGGGTGGAGTTTATTTGGGCACACAGCTTGAGGATGCCCGTCTGGGAGACGCCGACCCCAAATGAATAGGGAGAGCTGGTGTTTGTTTCACTTCTAAAGCCAGAGACAGAAACATCGGTGAGATCAGGACACTTTCCACAGGATAACAGGGCAGAGCTGGAGCAAACTGATCAGTCACATATTGTTCCATTCCAAGGAAGATGACTCCACTCCAGGAAGAGGGTTAGTGACCTAAGGGGGTCTTGACACTGTTGGGTTATAATTATTTACGAGCAGAAAAAAGCGGAAGCCGCAGCTGCATTCCACGTGACTCTGCTGCATAGCCATGTTCCTCACAAGGCTCAGAATAAGGTAAAATTCCAATAACTTTAAGTTTAAATTATTTTAAGTTTGAATTATGTGATATCACAAAACCAAAATACTTCACCCCAAAATATGTGTCTTAGGCATATTCTGAGCTGGCTGTTCAGAGGGCCTGCAAACACAAGGAGCCCTGCAAAGCTGTCTTTTGTGGGGCAGATTTGCACCTGCAGAGGAAATAAAGGGAAGTAAACAACAGATGTGAAAGGCTTTCTCCGAAGTCCTCCTTGTCAAGGTCCAGGAAAGATTAACTGAGAGGCTGACACCTTTAAAGGTCTTGCAGAGAAACATTTACCAGAAGCTGCCACCCACCCCCTTTGAGGGCTGCCACCTGAGAGGCTCCAGCTGTGTACCAAGACTGCCTCTGCTAACCAGGCCTCTTCTCCTCTTCTCTCTCTCCCGTATCCTTTTTGCCATGATCCAAGCCCCTATTTTCTGTATATTCAAGAGGGCTAAAAGCATCAACCATCTTGACATTTGTTTGAGTCTTTATATTTTGTATGACTCCCAAGCCCATATGAATGCTAATAAAATGTTTACACCTTTTTCCCCTGGTAATCTGTGCATTACATTTATCTTACAGACTCAAATTACCAAAACTTCAGGAACAAAGTTAAATGTTCCTTCAAAATATAAGACTAGGAAATCAGAGTTGGGAGAGAAATTAGAGTTCATCTATCCTCTCACCTCCTTTTTCATATGGAAATTTATGACTCAGAGAGGGGGAGTAACTTTCTTAAAATCATGCAGCAAAAGACAAGGTACAAGATCTCAAGTTTTCTGACTTCCAGTTAAGCATTTTGCTCCCAGAATTTTCTCAGACTCCAGAAAATGATAAGCCCTTGCAGGGCTGGTCCTTTGTCTCATCTCCCTTTTCTCCTCTATGATCCACACAGTGCAATGCACAGAGCAGAGCCTCAACGAGCAGGTGACAGAAGGAAATTTAATCAGTGGTTAAAGTTAAGCACTTGGCTGAGCCTCACCAGTGGGTGTGCTTGGTCTGTCAGCACACAGGACTTCCCCTTATGGCTCCTCTGCCCTGATGCCATGAAAAACAGATCAGGTCCCATAAATCGTGAGGAGTACATCCCCTCAGCAAGGTGACTGGAGTCACACGGTTCACTCCTTCAGAGCAAAGATCTTCCCGTCTCATAAAGCAAATTCCATAAGGGGCCTTAAGAAGACTTTGTATGTAATTTGCTGAACCTTAAGCCCAACATTTGAACTATTTTCCATGGAGACCTGTCTGTTACGCGCCTGGTGCGGAGCACTGCCTGGATTTCAGAAATCCACCCCGGTCCTGTGCTTTCTCACCAGAGCAAGACCCAGCCTGGAGGCTCCATGACTCCTGATGCCATTTTTCTCTCTCATTCTCTAAGAAACAGATCCTGAAACAAAAATTCATGAATAAAAAATGTATCTGGGCCCAGGCGCAATGGCTCACACCTGTAATCCCAGCACTTCGGGAGGCCAAGGCAGGTGGATTGCTTGAGGTCAGGAGTTCAAGACGAGCCTTACCAAAATGGTGAAATCCTGCCTCTACTAAAAATACAAAAATTAGCTGGGTGTGGTGGCAGGCGCCTGTAATCTCAGAACCCAGGAGGCAGAGGTTGCAGTGAGCTGAGATCGCACCACTGTACCCCAGCCTGAGCAACAGAGCAAGACTCTGTCTCAGAAAAAAAAAAAAAAGTATCTGGAAGGTGATCCCAGGAAACACAGGTAAGGGAATAGAAGAGTGAGATGGGGCCAGGTGCAGTGGCTCATGCCTGTAATCCCAAAGCTTTGGGAGGCTGAGGTGGGAGGATTGCTTGAGCCAAGAATTCGAGACCATCCTGGACAACATAGAAAGACCCCATCTCTACAAAAAAAAAATTCTAAAAAAATTAGCCAGGTGGTGGTGCACACCTGTAGTCCCAGCTACATGGGAGATCGAGGTGGAAGGACTGCTTGAGCACAAGAGTTTGTGCCAAGAGCTATGATTGTGCCACTGAACTCCAGCCTGGGAAACAGAGTGAGACCCTGTCTCTTAAAAAAAAAAAAAAAGTGAATAGAAAGGCTGGGTGTGATGGCTCACGCCTGTACTCCCAGCACTTTGAGAGGCTGAAGTGGCAGATCACTTAAGCCCAGGAGTTGGAGACAAGCCTGGGCAACATAGTGAGATTCCATCTGGACAGAAAATTAAAAAAAAAATAGCCCTGTGTGGTGGCATGCAGCTGTAGTCCCAGCTGCTTGAGAGGCTGAAGTGGGTGGATCACTTGAGCCTGGAAAGGTCAAGGCCACAGTGAGCTACAGTCATGCCACTGCACTCCAGCCTGGGTGACAGCTAGACCCTCTCTCAAAAAATAGTCATCATAATGAATAAGAGGATTGCAGGAGGTAACAGTAAAGGATGGATTATCAAGCTAATTACCAATGTGGGCAACTGGAACTTGATCCTTCTGAGGCAGGAGGTGCAACCTGACTCCAGAAGCGGGACTAGGACGCCAGAACAAACTGAGGACTGTCTGAAACAGGAACTGCGCAGATGTAGCTTTCCATAAGACACGCCCACTAGTGAGCCGCGTCAGTTTACTGTTGCCATGGCAACACTGGGACGTTACAGTCCCTTTCCATGGCAATGATCTGATGACCCTGAAGTTACCACCCTCATCCTAGAGATGTCTGCATAGAGATGTCCTTTAATTTGCATATAATTACAGGTGGGATAAACGTGGCTGCAGAACTGTCCTGAGCTGCTCCTCCAGGCACACAGCCTGTGGGGTGGCTCCGCTCTGCGAGGAGCAGTCCCCCTGCTGCTGCACACAGCCGCTTCAAGAAAAGTTGCTGTCCAACACCACCGGCTCGCCCTCAAATTCTTTGCTGGGAGAAGCCAAGAATTCTCCCAGGATAAGCTCCAATTTGGGGCTCACCTGCCCTGCATCACTTCTGGGCATAGAACACACTCTTTGGAGTTAGCTCCCATGAGGACAGAGGGGCTGGGACATTTGTACTGACTCAAGGCAGCCTCCCATCATGGGCTGTCCATGGAGGCAGGGAAGATTATCTTGTTTATCAGATCTTCCAACGTGCAACAAAAAGATCCCGGGGTAGTTGGAAGTCTACACTACACTACACTACAGTGATAAGACCCAGGGAGGGATGAGTGAGGCACAGACATTATCTTTTAAATATATTTTGTCTGTAAAGTGATACTTAAATTTTAGTTAAGAGGAGAGACTGAATGAGAAACTATTGAAATCTTAGGACAGGGCTTTAAAGACTTAGCTCAAGTCCCCACCCAAGATTGTATTTGTTGCCCAAAACTGCCCACCTACCCATCCATTGACTTCCTTGCATCTCTCAATGCAAAGAGAGACTTAAAAACTGTTTCAGGTTAATCGGAAGTAAAATATTTTGGCTTAGCAAAATCACTGTGGATGGAAATTGGAGCAACCCCATGAGAGCGCGTGCCTGAGCTCAGAGCTGCCATGTGCACTTTATTGGCGCTGGGAGGAGGTAACTGAAGCGGAGAGGTTCCTCACTGATGGTGGGGAAATCGGCTTTAACAGCTAAGGCAGGAATTAGTCACCCGGGGACTATCTGGGCATGCTCCGTGAAAGAGGCCATCTGTGGCTGTTTATGAGGATGTGTTTGTGAAAAGCGCCTGGCAGGCTCTGCAAGAGGGTTCTGGCGCCACTTCTGAGTTTCCTTTTCCTCCCTAGCCCACCATGCCTTGTGACAAGAGCGCTCTCCCTGGCCATTGCTCAGCCAAGGGGTGGGCATGAACTATCCCATGTTTCAAGGTGGCACCTCCACCTCTAGGGCTCTCTCAGTCTTGGCCTGGAAGAGCTGTCAAAGGAAAATGGGGCCCTGAAGGAAAAGGAGGAGAACCTGACAATTCCGAGTTAAGAGCAAGGAGAAAACAATAAATTTACAAACCATATTAGTGGTTCGTAACTCACTTTGTGACGCCTGCTTTGGTCCACGTGAAGATGAGGGAGAGGCATGCTCATGGGGTGGCTCTTAGTGCTCTGAATGGGTAGAGGAAAATTGTGGCCACAGGGCCGCAGGGCACAGGCCTTGGCTGATCTGATTTTCCACCATCCCCCATTACATTGTTCTGCATTGAGACACTCCCTTTTGGAGAGTGGTCATACACTCGATTTGAAAGAAAATCTTGATGGAGAGGAGGCAGTCATGTGGTTCATGAACTGCTCAGGCAGCAGCAAATCTGGGCTTCCAATTCCAGTACATATTTGCCTGATGTCTGTGTCTCAGACACCTCATAAAACATTATCTGGGGGTCAGGGAGCGGACGAAGCCAGGGTGGGCAGACTCTGGCATCCAGTGTGACTGCTGGACCCTCCTATCCCCAGCCAGACACATTTTCACAGCAGCAGAAGGTCATCAGGAGATAATGAAGGAAACAACAGAACAAACAAGGAAACGTGAGACCTTGCTCCTCAGAGACATGGAGAAGCCACCAGTCTCAGAGCCAGGGCATGCATAATTCCTACAGTTCATACCAGAACAGAGTTAGAGGCTTCCGTCCAAGTCCTTTCCAAAGGCAAATTACCATGCCTCTCCTTGAGGCCTGTGTTCTTGTCAAGCCCAGGAGCCCTGCAGGATGTGATCCCCCAAAGCAGGCCACCTGCCACCATGCACGCCCACCTCCAGAGTCCCTGCTTTTCCTAGAAAGGCATCCAGGACTTCTGTACATGAACCTCAGCCTGCCTGGCTCACAGCATCCCTCCTCTCCCCTCCTATCAACAAGGCTGTTATCAAAATAATTTTTTTGTTTTTGAGGCTGAGTCTCTCTCTGTTGCTCAGACTGGAGTACAGTGGAGCTATCTCGGCTCACTGCAACCTCCGCCTCCCGGGTTCAATCTATTCTCCTGCCTCAACCTCCCGAGTAGCTGGGACTACAGGTGCCCACCACCATGCCTGGCTAATTTTTATATTTTTAGTGGAGATGGGGTTTTGCCATGGTGGCCAGGCTGGTCTCGAATTTCTGGCCTCAAGTGATCTGCCCACCTCGGCCTCCCAAAATGCTGGGATTACAGGCGTGAGCCACCGTGTCTGGCCCAAAATAAATTTTTAAAAAATTTTCATCAATTATTTATTTATCCTTAATTTTTCAACCTTTAAAAAATTTTCAACTATTTTAGAATCAGGGGGTACACGTGCAGGTTGTTACATGGGGATATTGTGTGATGCCGAGGTTTGGGCTTCTATTGAACCTACCACCCAAACAGTGAGCATGGTACCCAACAGGTGGTTTTTCAACCTTTGCCCCTTGTAGTCTTCTCCTTCTTGTAGTCCCCAGTTTCTATTTTTGTTATCTTTGTGTCCATGTGTAGTCAGTGTTTAGCTCCCACTTTTAAGTGAGAGCATGTGGTATTTGGTTTTCGTTCCTGTGTTAATTTGCTGAGGAGAATGGCTTCCAGCTGCATCCATGTTGCTGCAAAAGACACAATTCTATTCTTTTTTATGGCTGTGTAGTATTCCATGTTGGATATGTACCACATGTAAAACAAATTATTTTTGGTCTCTTGAAATTTCCCTGTATTTTCCTGCTCTCTCCTCTAATTAGGGTGGTTGCCTTCCCAGATCTCCACTTGTGGAAGGGGAGCTACTCCAGATTCAACTCAATGGCCTTCTCCCCAGAAAGCCATGCATACTTCTCCCATGCTCTCACTCTGCTTGGTTCATCCTTGTTGCAGCTTTATCAGCCTTTGCCTGGGCTGCACCTGCTGATGCACATGCAGGCCTCTTCCATTGGGATCCACACTTCCAGATGCAGGGCTCATTCCATTCACCCATGCCTCCTCCTGACCAGGATTTGGATGTTCTGTATATTTGTATGCACACACACACACACACATACACATATAAAGTATGTGTAGGCACTCAATAAATTCTTGTTGAATGAACAGATAAATGAATAGACATTTTCCTGAGTTTTCTAAGACATAATATTCTTTACCCCCCCTGAAATTGGAAACATGACCCTTAAGGCTGATGGTATTTGTTGAGCAACTGCTATGTGCCGGATGCTGCGGTGGTAACTTGTACACTTGCTCTCTCATGCAAAAGCTACAACTCTCTCATTCTAAGGCTGAATCACACTGTGGTTGGCGTGAGGTACAATCCCAATGCCATCTATCTGCTCCAGGCTGTGGATAGGAATAGAGGTCCAATTAGACTTCAGTTCAAGCCACCTGCTGAGAGAGGAGCATAGGCCTCCCAATATCCCCTCCCATTGTTTCTGAGTCCTGCAAAGACAGTCTCGTGAGCCACAGACCTGGTCCAGCTCCATCACCAAGCAGTGTGGGCCTGATTCTGCCTGCCATGGCCAGTCACCCCCATCAATGCCTGTGCAAGGTGCACCGCCTCCGAACATCCCAAAGCTCCCAGATGTGCTGGAGGTGGCACAGGATGGAAGAATCCTGTCCCCGGCCCATGCCACTCTCTCATGGCCTGCAAATACCAGCAGAGTGGCTTTGGGGCCCAACTCATAAAAGCTTTGGCTGGCTTCTGGTCCCCACCCCTATACCATGGGATTCACACCAGGGCCAAGGGCTGGGCAGGGCATGTGAGATGCTGCTCCTTGTTTATCCTTGTCAGCCTGTTCCAAAGCACCAACATCTCCTCCCAGCCTCCCAGTTATGAAACAAAATCCCCCCTGCATTCAATGCGTGCAGCAGATGCCATAGGTGGGAGGAGGGGCAGCAAGGGCAACCTTGGCAGCCTGAGCCCCAGCCCACCCACCAACATGCTCTGCCAAGATTCATTTACACTTGCCAAGCTCTGGGCTATGTACTCTGCCTTCATTATTTCATATTAACTCTTAGTTAATACAGTTTAAATATCTGTGAAGATACCTATTATTGCCTTCAATTTCTAGATTAGGAAACCCACTGCAAGGGGTTAAAAAAGTTGCCTAAGTCCTCAAAAATAGCGTCAGGATTAGAGTCTGAGTTCAGGCCCATCTCTATCCAAAGCAGTGCTTTTAATAAGGTAGATTTCTCATGTTAGTCTTTTTCTTCTAATTAATCTGTAAGTTTCTCCCCCTGCTGTTTGGATATTTACACCTCTCTTGTTCATGGGGCTTATCCCTGGGCTGAGTAGAAACTTGTTGAATTAGGTTAAAATCCTGAAGTCATCCTAAGCTGCTAAGGAAAGTTACTTTTCCCAGAAACCTATAACCTCTCTTGGGAGCTCCTTATCTCTTTCCTCAAAGCAGGGAATATGCATGAACAAGACATTTAATTACTCCTCGTGATCAGCTCCTACATTCTGTAATAATTATCTTTGGCGATGTTATCTTGAGTCCCCTGGGTGGTATGGACATTATGAACCATTAGAGGCTGTTCTGAAAGCTGGCCATCAGTCTGATTCATATTAGGCCAATTACTTTTACTAAAATTAAAATTTGTCAAGGATAGCTTGATCATGAGTCCTGGCAGCTAAAAGGAGCCCTTTAACCAGCCATGAAGCACTCTTTGGCAGAAGCACAGTGATTTCATCTCAAGCTGAAGGTCTGGTTCTTAGTGAAACTACCAGAGATCAAAGGGACCAACTTCCCTGGATTTGTCACCTTGGACAAAAGCCCTGGCTCCCGGTAACCACTCCCGCTGGAATCACGCAGTCAGTCATTGCTTAGTTCTCTTCTATGGCACTCAGAGGTCCTCAATAGAGACAAAGACCAGCTCATGGACTCAGCAATCATGGGTTTTATGGTGTAGTTGGTATAACAAATCTATGTGTTACCCACACAACACACATTCCCATGTTTCACTTGCCAATAGAATCCCAGTTTTGCTAGGAGCAGCAACAGGACGTGCTAAAAAATAATTATTTTCCCAGCCACCTTTTCAAGAAAGCTGGTCATATGACCTAGACATTAAAGAGACCTAAAAGGAAGTCTGCTTCTAGCTTTCTGGGAAATTTTTCTTTTCTGACAACAACAACAACAACAACGACAAAATGCATGTGCTTCCCGTTTTCTTTTGTCTTCTCCCTTCTGCTGCATGGAGTAAGCATGCACTTGCTGAAAGTGCAGCTGAGACAGGCCGGCTGGCTGATTTCCTATTTTGACATGGGCTAATGTTAAAGGATAAAAGCCCTTCACTCAAACTCTGGCTCATCTAACCCTCAGGCAATCAGTACAAAAGACCTGGGAACCTATTGACAGCAAATTTCTATCAGGGGGCTAAGGGCTTTCCTCAAGTACTGCGTGTGCAGTCAGACTTAAGCTCCAGCCTAAAGTTACTCTTTCCTCATCATGATGCTAAAATTCATGCCCAGAGTGGAGATTTAGAATGCTAATACTACATGCAATGCATAAAGAAACGTGCTGAGCCACTGTGCAAGCACTGGACAAACTCCTAGACACACCCTGACATAACCCTTCCCTATAAAAGACCCTATAAGGCTGAACTACACAGTCTCCTTGGGGGCCACCGCTCTTTTTTCCTGTCTCACGCTGGCTCCCCATTGCACAAGGTAATAAACTCTCCTTTATTGCCACGTCTTTCTTGACTTCTATCCTGGGAAATGGAAAAAACCCAGGGCACCAGTCTCATCTGCCACCCTGCAAACATGAGATGATCAACTTAAAAATGAAATCTGACCTGGTTAAGAATGGAAGAACGGAACTGTAAAAAGACGCTGGGTCCTTGGAGACACGGGAGCTGTTGCACAGCGTTGTGTGGCCCTCCTTTGAGCTAGGTTGAGGAAGTTAGGTTTCATGTCACTTACTGCTGAAAGTAACAGGTACAGTTGCAAAGACAACCAAAGAAAGATACATAATGACCCCAGCTGAGCAGGAGCATGAAACAGTGTGATGGGTGGTTCTATCTAAAGACCACTCAGGTCTGGTGTGGTGGGTGGTTCTATCTAAAGACCACTCAGGGCTGTGGCCGAGGATGGAAGGCAAATGAGATCAGCATGGGCTGAGAATTCTCTCTGCCCGCACCCTTCACAGCATGTCTTCATTCTCACGTGTGGAGCACCTGCTGTGCTTATGTGTCAGGCACTGGCTGTGTGATGCTATAAATATAATACGACTATTACATGGTTGCTTGAAAACATGAATATTTGTAGGTTCGGTATTTCCTAAGTACCCATGTCCCACTGCCGGCCATCCAGGCCATGTGAGCCTCCCCCCACCGAGCCCCTGAAGAGGGCTCCTTGCTGCACTGGCCGGCACACATCACCACGCTGAGCATGGGGCAGAAAGGTCCCGAGGAGAAGGGCTCACGAGATGCCACCCAAGGGCATTGTATGCTGTTGCTGTAAAGGCCCAGTTCTCACCTTGTGTCACTTGGCCTCATCGTCACATTCTCTGGCTGACCTTTCTGTAATAAATATGTTTCCGAAATTTTATGTTAAGCTGATTTACATTTTACATATGCTATGATGGTTTCCAATTTTACTATTATAATCAATCCTGAGTCTAAACTTTTCTGTAAAGTGATTACTTTCTCCATTTATCTGATTGTTGGAACTAGATAATCGATTATCAAATTTTTATGCAAAATGAAAAAATCAGAGATAATGTCAATAAAATATCACGGAAAATGCACCTGTGATGAAGTTACCAGCATGTCCCTAAAACCTGCTCTACCCACAGCTGTTACTTCCTAGCTGATGGGAAGTCCTCCTTCCAGGTATGTAGGCCAAAAGGAAAAAAGTGCTGTTCTAAACACGCATCTTTCCCTTACAGCCACATTCAATCCTTTAACAAACACTGTTGCTCCTGCTTCCAGAATGCACACAGAATCTGAGCTCCTCTCGCCACTTCCCTGCCACGACCCTGCTCCAAGCCACCATCATCTCTTAACTGAATTATTGCATCAGCTTCCTCACGGATATCCTGTTCCCACATTTACCTCCCCGCAGTCTATCATCCACCACAAGGATCCCCCAGGTCACTGTTGTGCTCACAACCTCCAAAGGCCCCTGCCTCTCTGGAGCAAAAGCCAAAACCCCACCCAACCAGTGGCCAACATGACCCACGTGTCTCTCTGCGGGCTCTCCCGGGGCTCTCCCTGGGCTGCCTCCTGCCTGGCTGGCTCCACCACACTGGCCTCCAGCTGCTCCTTGGGGCCTGTGCTCTGGCCACTGCCTCTTCCTGGAATGCTCTCCCCTCCGGATGTCTTCATGGTTCACTGCCTCTCTTCCTCACCTCTGTGTTCATGTGTCATATTCCGGGCTATGGGTTGGACAGGACCAGGGTGTACATGGGGAGGCTGGATGGGAGGGCCCTAGTCGCCTCTGCTCCCCATTTTCTTAAACCAGAGCAGCTTCACTTTTGTGGGCCTCATATACTGGAGTTTCACATACGATTTTATTTGAGCAAAGGATACTAACTACTGTCTCAACAGAAAGCTTGAAAAACCACCAGATCGAAAGGGGCATGGCAGGTGGTTGGGAGTCTTGTTAGATATTGTTGATGTATTTGTGGGAAATGATAATGTGTGGCCCAGGATAGTGGGGGAAATGAAACAGATGGCCTTGGGAAACACTGTTGAGGGTGAATTTACCAAGCATGTTTATTGATTGGCTGTGGAAACCAACAAGTATCTGAGGCGGGTCTCAATCAAATCAAAAGTTTTTTTTGTCAAGGTTAAGAACATGCCTGGAAGAAAGGACTACGGGATCCCAGAAACAGCCTGTAGTCTGTGCCCTTCTCCAGAGTTGACTTTGAGGGCTTCAATATTTTAAAAGGGAAAGTGGGTTGGAGGGAAAAGAGGGAGGGCATGGTCACATTACTGAATCCACATGTTGCAAGGGAAAAGGAACAGGTGGGGAAATAGTCAATCATGCATCCTTCCTGCACTCAGTAAATCGGCACTTTACACAGACAAGGTGAACGCAGAGTAGAGATATTAATAGTTAGCCTTTTATCTGTAGCTCTCTGCTTAGGAAGAAAAGAAAAGGCAGCTTCTTGCATGACTCAGCTTTCAGCTAATTTTTCCTTTTGGCAGGGTGCATTGGGGTCCCGAGATTTTATTTTCTTTTCATGGTTGTGGGACAGGAGAAAGAATTAGGGATGCTCTTTGCCTCTGACATGAATACTGGATATGTGGTGATTGTTCATGCCAGATACGCAGGTATCTTAGATGAGAAATTCATTTTTATTGAGTTTCGGGTGTTTGAGACAGTCCCAAGAAAACTATTTTCATTTCCTGGCTGTCAGGAAATAAAAATGTTTTTATTTCCAGTCAGTTTCAGGGATAAGGTGAGAGACAAGGTCAGATAGGACCAGGGATTAAGTAGTCATCATAAATAATAGTGGCTGCCATTTGTCGAGGGCCGGGTGTATGATAGGCGTCGTATTAAACACTTCCTCTCATAAGGAATTAAAATGACATTATAAACATAAAGAGTGTTTGTTCATGTCGTATTTCTGTTCTTCTCATTCACTTAAGTTAGTGAAAAGTGGGATATGCATGATGAAAGAGATGCTTCATAGAAATGGTGGGCAAAGGAGCTGCGGGGCCTCTGGGAGGAACTAGAAGCAGCCCCCGCACACCCTTAGCCCCGCTTTGCCATCTCTTGCCCGTCCTCCTCTTGAAAGATCCTCTTCGCCCTGCTCTCCAGCTGCACCGCAGCCTGCCCTGGGCCTCACCTCCTTCAGTGGAATCAGCGCGCCCAGGAAGACCGAGCCCCTGTTGCCCAGCAGCGGTCACCTGGTGACGAACACACCCTTTTTTGTCTTTCTTTCCTCCATGTCTCACTGTCCCACTGCCTCATCGTACTTCTCTGGAGGCTACCTCCACCCAAATTATTGTTTCAGGGTCTGCTTTGCGAGAGAACTTAAAATAAGGCAGAGAATGTGAGGGAAGTTTCTTGGACTGTGCAGACAGACCAGAGAAAAACAAAGAGGCCAGAAAACAGAGAGCGGAGGCCAAGACCTTCTGCTTCCCGAGGGACGCGGCGCCCTCCGGCGTAGCCTGAGGGGCATTAGCATCTTCGCAGTCACTAACCACGGTCATCCATCTCCTGCCTCCGCGCAGCTCCCACAGACAGCCTGAACGGAACCTGTTAATTACGCTCCCAATCAGTCCATAGATCAAACGTACAAACGAGCAGCCCGTTCCTTCCTTATTATTATTGCCACTGCCACACTCCTGCCCATAATCCCTGGCCCACAGCCAGGTCTTTGTGTTGTTTTGAAACCAGCAAAAGCAACAGCATGAATCTTCTGTTAAAACACACACACACACACACACACACACACACACACACACACACACACACACACAGGCACTCCACTAGGCTATTTTTATTTCCTGGCTGACAGTCCTTTTATCATCTCCAGTGGGTAAGAAATTAATTGGGGGCTTGAAAATACAATTTTTCTATAGGTGATTACTGTAAACCACTGGGCTGCCTTGCAGAGAGGGGACTGTTTCCATCTCAGGCTAGGAAAACTTGGTGCATTTTTTGCATTATTTCTAAGACATCATTTCCCAATTACCTTTGAAATGCTTCACTGGCAACCCTCCAAAACAAGCCCTCTCCTTGCTAACAGGGTACATGGGGGAGTTCTCCACATCATTTAGAGAGCCTTATATGCACAATCTCCCCTGACACAAGCACTCCCTGAAGGATTAGCGAGCAGCCACTTGGACTAATAACAATTCCCCAATATCACAGGTGAATAATTACCAGCTCTTCTTCTCTAAAAATGGGGAAATAAAAGAAGATGGGTAGGACAGAGGTACCCAGAAGAAGAAAGAGAGGAAACAGGACTAGTTTCATTTTTTTAAAAGAGCATTAGGTTAGAATTTCACCTTCAGTTTAACCTAAAACTATCTGTATCTGTATCTCTATCTCTATCTCTGTTCTCTCTATCTCTCTCTCTGTCTCTCTCAATAGATGATAGATACAGCTATATTTTAATATCTCCCTATTTCTCTCTTTTTTCCTATCTCTCTATCTTTCTCAGATAATGTTTCCAGTTTATCTTCAATGTGACATTTCCATAAATTGACGGGGCTCACAGGGTTTACAACAAAGGCATGTAATAAGCCCTGCAAATACTGGGGAGTCAAGATTCACACACCTTGAGTAATTGGGGCACCACAGAGCAGAATATGTAATCAAGTACAAAATGTTGTGAGCACAACAACAATTACACAACAAGTACAATCAAGTTGTGAGCAGGAAGTATTTCTGGAAAGGGAGAGATAAAGGAGGGAGAGGGGATAACAATCTCTGGACACTAGTCTTGGAAGCTCCCACCCTACGCAGGCTGTGACAGGCTCCTCATGACCCCACCAGTTAAGGCCTTGTTGGGTAACACTCATTCCTAAAAAGCTCCACCTTATCTTGAACTGAAAACTGGCTCCTAAAAGCCTTGTTTCTTCTTCCCTCTGAAGCCTCGGAACACTGAGTTTCTTTCTTATTCCTCAAGATATATGAAGGTAGTTCTTCCAAACTCTCAAGTCTTTAATGACCTCTAATTTTCTGACTCTAAAAAATCTTTTTTAAAGAAAAGGATCAGATTAATGTCACTCTACATTTAATTTTTTAAAAGGCATTTTCAAATGAAAGAAGCCAGACATAGTTTAGGATTTACGCTTGACAAAACCAAGCCCAACTCAAGAGAACTGAAAGCAGAGACTCAAACCTGTGTTTGCACACCGGCATTTACAGCAGCATTATTCATTGCAGGCAAAAGGTGGAAACAGCCCAAATTGATGGAAGAATGGATAATCAGAATGTGGTACACGAATACGACAGAATATTATTCACCTAAAACAGGAATGAAATTTTGACACATGCTACAAAATGGATGAGCCTGGAAAACATTATACTAAGTGAAATGTCAGACACGGAAAAATACTGTATCATTGCATTCACATGACCTACCTAAATAGTCTAATAAAAAACACAGAAAGGAGTGGGGTGGTTGCCAGGGGCTGGGGCAAAGGAAATAAGGAGCTATTGTTTAATGGCATGGACTTCCAGTTGGGATGATGAAAAGGTTCTATAGATGGGTAATACTGGTGGTTGTACGACAATGTGAGTATACTTAATGCCATAGAAGTGTACACTTAAACAGGAAAAATGGTTCAAATGATACATTTCTGTTGCAAATATTTCACCACCACCACAGAAAACAAGTCCAATGTCTACTCACTGACTTCCCCAGCCCCTCCCAGTAAAGTTTTCTGAATTACTTGCAGTCAATTCAGACTATACCAGATGAAGTGTTTCTGATCATCCCCTTGGCTCTTTGTAGAAGCAAATACCCAGAATGGCCATGTCACAGCTCCCATATGTTCTCCCACGTCCCCTGCCACATATGGTGACACATGGCCACGGACTGCAGGCCCGAAGGTTATTTTCATCATGGCAGTGTTCCTCTTTGGCCCACATCCCTAACCTGGGATCAAGTTACTGTGGTCTGGGTCAAAGCTGGCAGCCCACAAGGTTTTATAGAGAGATGCTGGAGTATTGAGATGCCAGAGCAGGACTGAAGTTAAAACATTACACAGGAGGCCAGAGGAAAAAAAAGGGATTTGTCCAAAATCACAGAAGAGAAATGAGATTATTTTCAGTCACACTCAGGAGCTTGCTGATCCTGACAATAACCCTGACGCTGTGCTTGGCAATGCCCTCTCATCGGGGGCATCGGGGGCTAAGCACAGAAGGCACATGTTCCTGAGTGTTGTCTGCATCGATGTGGTTACATGATTCCAGATGGAAACAAATAATCTATTCTTTAATAATCTGCCCTCTTTTAAGACTGGCCCTACTTGATCTCCTGTCCCCACTTAGAAGCTCACACCCCAGCTGCTCAGGAGAATGGCGTGAACCCGGAAGGCGGAGCTTGCAGTGAACAGAGATCGCGCCACTGCACGCCAGCCTGGGTGACAGAGCAAGACTCCGTCTCAAAAAAAAAAAAAAAAAAAAGAAGCTCACACCCCACCCCAGAGCAGCTCCATCAGGAAGAAGTTATACACTTCTTGTATAACTTCCTGGATTATAAAATGTGGCAGCTGCCTGCCGATACAGTGCAAATGAATGCAAATCAGTTGCCAAATGAAATTGGAAAAATCTTGCACCTTCTATAAGATTTGCAAAGTCAGTGAAAGTGACAAGGGAAATGCCTTGAATCCCACGCAAATCACTGACAAATGAGGATAACGCAGAGTTACGGTAGTTAGTGCAGAAGAAAAAACCACAAAGCGATGATTTGACCACAGGCAAGCTTCAGAAGCAAAAGAGGCCTGCAGGAGCTCTTGGAAAAAATGGAAAAGTCTTCAAACATTTGGCTGAGGAGATCCTCCTAGGACTGTAGTTACGAGTTAGGCAGTTGTTAATAAGACTTTCAGAAAAATTGATTTGTTCTGTAGTACATGATTGCAACTAAAACAAAGATTGTTTTAAACATAAGATAAAATAAACAAGTGTTTTTTTTCAACTTATATTTGAAGTTCAGGGACACATGTGCAGGACGTGCAGGTTTGTTACATAGGCAAATGTGTGCCATGGTGGTTTGCTACACAGATCACCCCATCCCTAGGTATTAAGCCCAGCATCTATTAGCTATTCTTCCTGAGGCCCTCCCTCCCACAAGTGTTTAATCAAATCTTTTTTATTAAACTTATTATGAAATATTGTTCCATTTTAAATGGATTCCCTTTTAAAAGACCTTTTCTAGTGCTGCTAGCCTGACAAGTGAGCCCACTGTGTGTGTTGTGTACGTGTGTGTGTGCGTGTGTGTTTGCACGCTTACACATCTTCCTGTGTGCAGCCTGCATGCAGCAGTCCCCTTGCCTTCCAGCCACATACCGTCAAGACATGGGCTGAGGTTACCGGCTGCATGTTATATTGAACAAATTAGCAAATGAAGCTGGTATCCACACAGTGCCATTTCTCAGTCACCATCCCCAGAAGAGTATTTTGTATTTTATTTCCAGGAATGGGGCATAAGTTCACAGGAATACTTTCCCCTCCTCCCCCAGTGTTCCTTAAAAAAATCATGCTTTGTGTTTGTACCTTGCACTTTCAGCTTTGCTGAAGGGCTTACCTGGCATTATCCATTTTTACCCCACAACAACCTTGTGAGAGTTTCCAGCAGGAGGTATCAGCCCCATCAGACAGGCCGAGGTAAAGAAAGGCTCTGTCCAGCAGACCCAGTTCCTCTCCACCCTCAAGGCTTCTGCCTCCCAGACCAAGCACCTGTGATCCTGCCCTGTCAGTCCTGCACTTAAACTGACAGCTCTGACGCTCTGGGGTCAGCTTGCATTACGCCTATCACCTCCATAGCTCAGCTCCATAGTGTGATGCTACTCAGCAACCCAACACGTTAAGATGGGGGCGCAGAAAACCTGAACACACAGAGAGAATCTACCGTAATGAAGAGCAGGACATTATAGTGGACAACAACAGGATTAAGCACCAAATTAGAAGCCAGAAGTGGGAAGTTCCCATTCCAGCCTCACTCCTCACTAGTTGTGTGACTGACTTCAGAGAGCAGGTCATTCGGCCATCCTCAGCCTCAGTTTCCTTGCATTTGAATTGAAAATCATTTTTAAAAATGTGTATCTTATTTAGTTCTAGAAAGGGCCTTAGTATTAAAATCTCAGCCCTGTATTGAATTATACAAGAGTATTTGAGGAGCAAATGAGCTCATGGAAATCTTTTAAATTATGACCCTAAAAAATGAGATGAAGGGTCATTGTTATCTACAAAAGACACTAAAAATCTCATTTATGCCCAAATAACCAACTCTTCTTTAAGCAAAAGCATATTTGAGACCCAATCATTTTATTAGCAATAGTAAAAATCAAATGAAAAGAAAACCTCCACTGTCATACAAACCCAGTCAATGCATCCTTTTCTTTTTGTACGTCTTCTATCTCATTCCCTGTTCACAGTTAATCTGACTTAATTTAATTATAATCGCAGCATATATTATATTGTGATTTCTGCATTTACCCATGTTGTCATATCACCCACCAACAAAAACAGAAAAAGGCAAAATATGTAAATATAATTTCTCATTTCCACATCTGATGCCCAATCTCTTTCCATAGACAAACATAGGGTAAAACGTCCTTGGAATTGATGTCCTATAAGACGGAGATAAGGAGAAAGGCCTGGTTGGCTATTGAACCTCTACAGCTATCTCATAAAACACTTTAAAATGGCAGAAATATTTTTATCCATATCAGCCCATGTGGCAGCCACTAGCCATGTAAGACCCGTGAGCACTTGAATGTGGCAGGTGCAACTGAGGAACTGGACATTTAATTCTATACACTTTTAATTTATTTACATTTAAATCAGCACATGTGGGTAGCGGCCACTCTATTGGACAGCACAGGAGTGCCTGGCTGAGCAGAGAGCTGGCTGAGTTTCAGCAGGAGATCCGAGCACAGACCAGGTTCCCACTCAGTGCCAGGGTCCCTGAGGCCCAAGACTCTGCACCCACCCAGGCATACTTGTCCTTTGTCACTTTCTGGCTGCCTAGTGTTCATTTCCCCTTCTAAAAGCAGCTGGATTTCATTTGGTGACCTACTCTTTTCATGTCATGTCCTTGAGGCAAACCTCCCCAGCATCTTGTCTCTCACTGAAGAGAGTAAAAGGGGACTCCTTACTCTTTGGGAATGGGTCTGTGGCCCAAGCCCCCTACCCAGATGGTTCCTCCAGGACTTTGAGTACTTAGAATCCAGAATCACTCGAGTTGTCCTCTGCAGTGGCAGCAGTGGCCACATGTTGCCAGCCACATGGAGGGGACGAAGATTTCCCATCCTTGGGC
The DNA here is from genome assembly GCF_000001405.40 of Homo sapiens. Lineage (NCBI taxonomy): Eukaryota > Metazoa > Chordata > Mammalia > Primates > Hominidae > Homo > Homo sapiens. The sequence continues at coordinate 28,411,685 of NC_000019.10, forward strand.
ATCTTGAGCTTCCCAAACCCGTTTCTTCAGCCCACATTATATGTCCCATAAATCCCTTTTAACATAGATTATTCAGACACTGTTGTTTGCAGGGTAGGAACCCTAACAGGCCCCAAAGATGAGCCAGGGATGGTTCTGATCATTCTCCCTGTGTGTCCTCAACCCAGATGTGCTCCAGGAACTTCCTCACTCTCATTTCCATTCTTCCCCTGGTATAGTCTGCTCACCCAGAACTGATAGCATGGCTGTTTAGGTTTTCAGCCTGAAGCACACTGAAGGCAAATGGTGCGACAGGTTTTTCTTTTTGGGAAAAGTGCGTCTCCCCACTTTGAATCTCAGCATGACCAATATCTGTCTAGGGGCCTGCTGTTCATGGATGGATGTGCTAATTCAGAGTCAGCTGAGAAGCCCACCTCAACCTCCAAAAGCTTTTCACCTGGACTCCCCACCACCCCCTAGCACCAGCCCATAAACATCTTATTTAAGCCAAGGAAACTCTATACTGGAGGCTGGAGGGATCTCTTGAAGAGCTTGTACATCTGCTTGAATGCTCAAAGGATCAGCCAGGACCAAAGTATATACACTACCAGACGAAAGTATCCCTTCAAAGGACTCGCACTCTGCTAGAGGAGCACATTCCCAAGACTCCACTTCACTCATTTCATCTGCGCAGCAGAACCCAGCAAGGCAAGCCACTCCGCTTTTCATATCCTGACATTCTGAAGGCAAGTGCTGATTACCAACAGCGCAACCGTGAAACAGCACCACGGGGAACACTTTTTAACATATCTACCTAATTAGCCCCTTATAAAGTGTAATGTGATTTCTTGCCTCATCTTGTCATTAGTTTCATGAGAGTCTTTAAGAAATGACAGAGTCAGAAGGGAGAAGAAAGAGGCATGTCACACCCAACTCCATGTGCTTCCTGAATGGCCCAACTGTCCTTGAATTTAGCAAGGTGCACATGAAGCGCCCCCGAGCTTGGCACAAGGGCTTGACTGCTTTAACAGAGCTGTGGGAAGAGTTCCCCCAAGCAACTTACATGCTCATGAAGATAATGCATAGACCCCAATAACTGCATGCTCCATTCCAAAATAGCTTTGGAGAAATAAGCACCGATGTAGCCATAAGGAAAATTACGTTCAAGTCTCAGCCAATTCATTTATAAATCTGTACCTTGGGAAAGCCATACCCAGTAAGTCTACTCATGGGCCTACAGCATGTTGATAAGGCCATGAGAAGATGACCGTAAAAGTGTGTATCACAGTCATTGCTAATATGTATTGAGCGTTTTACTAGATGCAAAGCATCTTTGGGATGATTTCTTTATAACACAGTCAACATGGTCAAAACCATTCATTCATTCTGATTCAAATGTCAGGGACAGTCTCCCTAAAAGCAACATATTCGGAGAGGTCTTGCCTCATCCCCTGATCAAAAATTGGCCTCTTCTTTCATTCTCTCTTCTTAGTCCTTGAAACAGTTAGAGTCATATCTCATGTTAAGGATTTGGCTTTTTAATTCCCATCTCCCCCATCAGATTGTAAACTCTGCAAGGCAAAGACCACGTCTGTTTTGTTCACCCGATTTCTTAACATAAATCCTGCCATCTAAATGGTGATGAATAAATATTAAAATGATGACTGCCTGCTTTGTAGGCGAGAGAACTTCCAGAAGACCCCCACCATGGCAGATAAACTGTCTATATTTAAAGAAGAGAGCTGCAGAGTGAGACTCCTTAAACTACTGCCTTTTATTTCAAGCATTCCATACAGTAGGGACACAGCCATAAAGAGGACGCACTCTATTGATTGAAGAGTATATTAGTGGGAGAATTAAATTCATGCTCCTGGATTATGTTAATAATATTATTTCCTACTAACACATCTGATTACTGTAGATTTCAATATATAATATTAGTCTTCTTAGAATCAACATTAGGTATGATGATGTTAGCTATAATGACTTTAGCTAGATTCTTTTATTCGCTTAACACAGATTAATCAAATGCCTCGTGTGTAGCAGGCACCATGTTGGTCCCAAGTAGTATTTGCAAAAAAAATGACTGAACTTTATTCTTAGGGTTTTGCGGGGGGGGGGGGGGGGAGGACGGGTTGGGTTTTTTATTTTTTTGTTTTTTTTGCCTTTTTTTTTTGAGACAGAGTCTCGCTCTGTTGCCCAGGCTGGAGTGCAGTGGCATGATCTCAGCTCACTGCAACCTCTGCCTCCTGGGTTCAAGCAATTCTCTGCCTCAGCCTCCTAAGTAGCTGGGATTACAGGCGCCCACCACCATGCCTGGCTAATTTTTGTATTTTTACTAGAGACAGGGTTTTACCATCTTGGCCAGGCTGGTCTTGAACTCCTCACCACATGATCTACCCGCCTCAGCCTCGCAAAGTGCTGGGATTACAGGTGTGAGCCACCGCACCTGGCCTATTCTTAGGGTTTTGGATAACAGTCTGAACACCAATATCATATACCTTATACCACCTGCTCACCATCCCATTCTCACTCTGTTTTCTTTAATTTTTTAATTTGTTAATTTTTGTGAGTACATAGTAGGTGTATATATCTATAGCGTACTTGAAATGCTTTGATACAGGCCTGCAATGCATAATAACACATCATGCTGAATAGGGTATCCATCTCCTCAAACATTTATTCTTTGTGTTACAAAGAATCCAATTATACTCTTTGAGTTATTTTAAAACATATAATTAAGTGTAATTGATTACAAGTACCATTTTATGCTAACAAATAGTAGGTCTTATTCATTCTTCCTATTATTTTTGTACCTATTACCTGTCCTAACCTGCCCCCTGCCCCACCTGTCCCACTACTAATCCCAGCCTATGGTAACCATTCTTCTACTCTCTATGTCCATGGAGTTCAATTATTTTGATCTTCAGATCCCATAAGTACATGAGAAGATGTAATGTTTGTCTTTCTGTGTCTGGCTTATATCACTTAATATAATGATCTTCATTTCCACCCATGTTGTTGTAAAGAACAGGATCTCATTCATTTTTATGGCTGAACAGTACTCCATTGTGTAAAAGCACCACATTTCGTTTATCTATTCATCTATTGAGGGACACTTGGGTTGTTTCAAAATCTTTGCTACTGTGAACAGTGCTGAAACAAACACGGGAGTGCAGACATCTCTTCAATATACTGATTTCCTTTCTTTTGGGTCTATACCCAGCAGTGGGATGGCTGAACCATATGGTAGCTCCATATTTAGCTTTTTGAGGAACCTTCAAACCACTATTCATAGTGGTTGGGCTAACTTACATTCCCACCAACAGTGTATGAGGGTTCCCTTTTCTCCACATTTCACCAGCATTTGTTTTTGCCTGTCTTTTGGATACAATCGATTTTAACAGGGATGAGATGACATTTCATTGTAGTTTTTATTTGCATTGTTCTGATGATCAATGATGTTGAGCACCTTTTCATATGACTGTTTGCCATTTGTATGTCTTTTTTGAGAAATGTCTATTCAAATATCTTGCCTATTTTTTGATCAGATTATTAGATTTGTTTTTCTCTAGAGTTGTTTGAGCTCCTTATATATTCTGGTTATTAATCCCTTGTCACATGGGTAGTTTGCAAATATTTTTTGCCCACTCTGCGGGGTTACCACTTTATTGACTGTTTCCTTTGCTGTGCAGAAGCTTTTTAACTTTTTAACTTGATGTAATCTTTCATTTTATTGGTGTTCTTATTTACAATCAATGTTAATATTGATAAGTAAGAACTTACTCCCGCCATTGTGTTAACTTGTTTTCTAGTTGTTCTGTGATGTTCTCTGCCTTCTTTCTTTCCTTCCTTTAGTGAAAGTGATTTTTCTCTAGTAATATGATTTAGTTTCTAGCTTTTTACTTTTTGTGTATTCATTGTATGTTTTTATGGTTTGAGGTCACTATGAGGCTTGCAAATACTATCTTATGACTTTTTTTTTTCCTTCTGAAACAGAGTCTTGCTCTGTCATCCAAGCTGGAGTACAGTGGTGTGATCTTGGCTTACTTCAACCTCCACATTCTGGGTTCTCATGCCTCAGCCTCCTGAGTAGCTGGGATTACAGGCATGTGCCACCATACCTGGCTAATTTTTGTATTTTTAGTAGCGATGGGGTTTCGCCATATTGGCCAGGCTGGTCTCAAACTTCTGACCTCAAGTGATCCACCCACCTTGGACTCTCAAAGTGCTGGCATTACAAGTGTGAGACACCATGACTGGCTTCTTTATGACCTGTTACTTTAAGCTGATAACAACTTAACATTGTTTGCATAAACAAAGAAACAAAGAAGCAAAAAAAAAGGAAACTAATAAAAACTCTACGTCTTAACTTTGTCCTGATTTTAAACTTTTTGTTGTTTCTATTTATATCTTATAGTACTGTCTATGGCTTGAAAAATTGTTATAGTTATTATTTTTGATTGGTTCATCATTTAGTTTTTCTACTTAGAATAATAGTAGTTTACACATCACAGTTACAGGGATATAAAATTCTGTGTTTTTCTGTGTGCTTACTATTACCCATGAATTTTGTACTTTCGCATGATTACTTACTAACATCCTTTTCTTTCTGATTGAAGTACTCCCTTTGGCATTTCTCATAAGACAGGTCTAGTGCTGATAAAATCCCTCAGCTTTTGTTTGCCTGGGAAAGTCTTTATTTTTTCTTCATGTTAGAAGAATATTTTTGCTGGATATACTATTCTAGGGTAAAAGTTTCTTTCTTTCAGCACTTTAAATGTGTTGTGCCACTCTCTCCTGGACTTTAAGGTTTCCACTGAAAAGTCCACTGCAAGACATACTGGAGATCCATTGTATGTTATCTGTTTCTTCTCCCTTGTTACTTTTAGGATCCTTTCTTTACCCTTGATCTTTAGAATTTGATTATTAAATGCCTTGAGGCAGTCTTCTTTGGATTTAATCTGCTTGGTGTTCTGTTTTCTTGTACTTGGATATTGATATTATTATCCGGGTTTCGAAAAGTCTCTGTTATTATCCCTTTGAATAAACATTCTACCCTTATCTCTTTCTTTGTCTCCCCTTTAAGGCCAATAACTCTTAGATTTGTCCTTTTGAGGCTATTTTCTAGATTCTTTGACATGCTTCATTATTTTTTATTCTATTTTCTTTTGAGTCCTCTAACTGTGTATTTTGAAATAGCCTGTCTTCAAGCTAATTCTTTCTTCTACTTGATTAATTCTATTATTAAGACTCTGATGCATTCTTTAGTATGCCAATTCCATTTTTTATCTCCACAGTATCTGTTTGATCATTTTGAATGATTTCAATCTCTTTGTTAAATTTATCTGATAGAATTCTGAATTCCTTCTCTGTGTTATCTTGAATTTCTTTGAGTTTCCTCAGAGTGGCTATTTTGTATTCTCTGTCTAAAAGGTCACGTATCTGTTTCTTCAGGATGGGTCCCTGATGCTTTATTTAGTTCATTTGGTGAGGTCATTTTTTTCCTGGAATGTCTTGATACTTGTAGGTGTCCATTTGTGTCTGGAATTGAAGAGTTAGGTATTTATTGTAGCCTTTGCTATCTGGGCTTGTTTGTACCCGTCCTTCTTGGGAAGGCTTTTCACATATTTAAAAGGCCATGGGTGTTGTGATCTAAGTTGTATCTGTTTTAGGGGGCACCCCAAGCCCAGTAACACTGCAGTTTTTGCAGACTCAGTGGTATTGCCTTGATGATCTTGGACAAGATCTGGGAGAACTCTCTGGATTATCAGAGAGACTCTTGTTCTCTTTCTTACTTTCTCCCAAAGAAATGGAGTGTGTCTGTTCTGAGCCACCTAAAGCTGGGATAGAGTGACATAAGCACCCCTGTGGCCACCATCACTGTGACTGTGCTGAGTCAGACCTGAAGCCAGTGCAGCTCTGAGTCTCACCCAAGGCCGACTGTAACCGCTCCCCGCCTAGGGCTCAACAATCAGCAGACGGCAAAGCCAGCCAGGCCTTTGTCCTTCCCTTCAGGGCGATGAGTTACCCCCAGTTTCCAGGCTGGTCCAGAGGTGCTGGCTGGGAGCCTAGCTGGTGTTCTATTGTACTGTGGCTGAGCTGGCACTCGGACAACAGGATGCAGTCTTTCTCACTCTCTCCTACCCTTTCCAGAGGCAGGGCAGCCTTGCCCCATGGCCACCACCCCACAGGCCTATGCGGAGTACTTTCAGATTACCTTCTATGTCCCTTGAAGGCCCCCAGGGCTCTTCAGTCGACTGTGGCAAATGCTGCCTGGCCTGGGACTCACCCTTTAAGACAGTGGGCTCCCCCTGGCCCAGGGCAAGTCCAGAAATGCCTTCCAAGAGCCACATCCCAGAATCAAAGATTCCAAAAGCCCCCTTGGTGCTCTACCACCCTGTGGCTGTGCTGGTGTCTCAGATGCAAGACGAAGTCCCTTCTACATTTTCCTCTGCTTTTCTCAGGCAAAAGGAGTCTCGGCCATGGCCACCACAGCTGATAATGTGCTGTCTCCCCTGAAGCCAGTAAGTCTCAGAGGCTCTCAGTGTAGCAGCTGGGTATTACTGTTAACATGGGCTACCCAAAAGGGGCAAGAGAACTCAAATAATATATCACTAAATAGTAATAATACTTATCAATGGAAAGATAAAAGATTATGTCAAATGGAAAAATACACATGGTATTCTGCTAATGTGTAGAACATAAAGTTCTATCAATCCCAACACTACAAAATAATACTTATATAGCTAGGTTTGTCATAGTTGAAAGCAACCAGGCCAATTTCAACAGAAAAACAATTTAATTGAGAATATTCGGAAATTCACGTACATGTTCGGAGGCTTAGGGAACCAAAATGAGGGACAGCATAAACACTGCCCCAAATGACACAGAGAATGGTTTGACCTGCCACTGGCCCTGGACATCTCCACCATCATTGCTGCCTCTGAAAACCTTTCTTGCTAAAACTGCCAATTCTTCCAGAGAGAGGAGGCCCCCAGAGCCATGTTGTTGGTGGATGGGGGCTTCTGAGTGACAGGGCCCATGCACATGGCTGTGCCCTAGTGACAAGAGAGGCAGAAAAAATCAGGCACTGACTCATCTCTTCATAAAGTGGGGAAGAATGCAGACAAGGCAGAGACTCAGATGTGGGGTAGCCAAGGAGAACAACCAGTATGGATTGCACTGGCACATGGAGATGGGCGAGAATCCCTGGCAAGAGCAGCAATGCTTATTGGACTAGATGGGAACAGGGAAAGTTTGACCTTATATTTCTTTGTTATTCTGATATTGTTTTGCAATAAAGCCACTTAAGCAAATGGCTTAAGGAGGCTGAGTGCAGTGGCTCACGCCTGTAATTCCAGCACTTTGTGAGGTTGAGGTGGCAGGATTGTCTGAACTCAAGAGTTCAAGACCAGCCTGGGCAACAAAGCAAGAACCCACCTCTACACACACACACACACACAAATTTAATTAACTGGGTGTGGTGGTGCATACTTGCAGTCCTGGTTACTCGGGAGGCTTAGGTGGGAGGATCGGTTGAACCCAGGAATTCAAAGCTGCAGTGAGCTATGATCACACCATTTCTCTCCAGCCTGGGCAATAGAGCAAGACCTTATCTTTTTTTTTTTAAGGCTTAAAATAAGAGAAAATAAAGAAAGACAATAACCAAACCCCATTCAAGTGCTGCCTGCCCCTGAAGCCCAGCGTGGGTTGGTGGCAGGCGCCCTGAGCTTGAGGCCTGATTGTGGAGTGCAGGCATCAGACTCAGAGGGCCTGGGAGGCTCTGGAGCTTTCATCAGTTCACAAACCTCTGTCACAGCCTGATAACAAAGTTGTGGAAACTGCAACAAAGAATCAGAAAAAATGGGGAATTGGGAAATCACAGCAAATATTTTTCCCATGCTCTCAAATAACAGAAAGTTTACTGAAACAGATCACTTTCATCATGAAAACTGCAGTGAACTAGCTCAAGAGACATGCAGCAGCTCACAGTGTGTGCTTTGAGTAGACTTTCCTGGAAGAAGCAGCACCTCCTAGAACACAAATTCTAGCTTCATCGTCCTGGGTCAGCTTTCTTGGGACCCGGGGGACAAACTCCATTAACTTTTCCTCCTGGCTTTGCATTGCCAAACAGAACTTCTGGTCAACCTCCTTTCAGTCCCAGCGACCTCACAATGTCAATGGCCTCCAAGGGTAGCAGTGCTTGTTCTGGCAGCTTCTCCATGTGGAAATGGTCTTTAGAATCCTGGAAGGAAATCATTTTATGAAGCATGCATACCGTGAGAACACCTGACCCACAGTCCTAGGCTCAGTCAGAATCTACCCTCTGAAAAAAAATGTTTCTTCTCTGGAGCGTGGGTGTAACATAAGCATCTACTGAATGCCAGATAGTTTTATATTTTTTATATTTTAATTTTTTTAGAGACAGGGTATCACTCTGTTGCCCAGGCTAGGGTGCAATAGTGCAATCATAGCTCAATGCAGCCTCAACCTCCTGTGCTCAAGCGATCCTCCTGCCTTAGCCTCCCGAGTAGCTGGAATTACAGGTGTGTACAATCATGCCTGGCTAGTTTAAACTTATAAAAAAAAAATTAAAAAAAAAGATATGAGGTTTGGCTATGTTGCCCAGGCTGGTCTTGACCTCCTGTCCTCAAGTAATCCTCTCACCTCAGCCTCCAAAAGTGCTGTGATTACAGGTGTGAGCCGCCACGCCCAGCCAGCAGGCAGTGGTGACATATAGGAGTCAGATAAGAAGTGAACAAGACAGACTAGGATCTCCACGAGGTGGTGGCTTTGTCTGACTGACTGAGATTGATGCAGTAATGATACCCAAAGGGGAAACTGATGAAGTAAAATGAGGGGGGGTGGGCAGTTTCACTCACCTTGTCTCCTTCTGGCAGCCAAGAGGGAGAGGTGGGCAGCACCGGGAGGCCGGGATGGTTTTGCTCAGGGCCCTGACTGCCTGAACTGCTTCTCTAAATAACCTGAGGCCTCTTTCTGCACTCAAGGGCCCCATATCCTCTGATCCCTGTGTTGCTGCACCCGAATCAGCCCAGGCTGGGGCAGCATGGATTCCAGGTGGAGCAGCTGCTGAGTCCCTGCTAGTTTCTGAGAATAGCTCACAAGAGCAGAGGTGAGATTCTGCAGAGCTTTGTGGGTCTCTAAGCCAGTCATCCATCTTCCTGCCACCTTTGGAGCCCTCCAGGGATGAGCAGAACCCATGTTTCATGAACACATAAATTACTCAGTGCTCCGTAATGCACCCTGTAAGCCACAAAGGCCACAGATTAAATCATGGCAGTTGTGAGGACAGAGCCTGAGGCTGTGGCTGGACCAGTCTTGTGCAAGTGGCCAAGTGGAGAGGGGTTTCAGGCTCCCGGTGCCAGCCACAGCCTCGTCCCTCTTACCCAAGGCCCTTACAATCCCACTGTGTCATTTCCTTTGCACCTGTTGTCACTACACCCTCTCTACTGAGCTGTAGGCATCGCTACAGGGGCTGTGATGTGGCAGCCGTGTGAGCACAACCTCGCAGCCTGGAGGTGGAGGAAAGAGGACTGGACTCAGAGCCTGAGGACCCGGTCCCATTCCCACACTCTCCCCAGCTGCCTGTGTGACCTGACCCTCTGTGGACCTTCATTTCCTTGTCTATAAATGCAGGAAGCGGGGAACATAAAGGTCTGCAACACTGAATGCCTTCCATGGAGGATGCAGCCCCACCAAAGGGCACTTGAGCTCTCTCTCAGTTTGTGCCGCCAAATGACACTCTTCTGTGGGTGAAATTCCGCCAGCAGCCCCCAGCTACCTCGGAAGCTTTCCACTCCTGACGCTGATCTCAACGGAAACCTTCCTCCAAAAGCAGCATTTTCAGGGCTGGGGTGATCACTGCTGCGGCAGGGGCCCCACCATGTGACAGAGAGGCCCACGGTGGGCGTGGGGTCTACGGAGCAGTTATAGCTCCTGTCCCTCCAGCCACATCTTTATTCTGAGTTCAGCCCAACCTTTTCCATGAAGTTTCTATAAAGTTCTTCTGTCACCAGGACAGAAGTTTCTGTGTTTGACCTGGGGCAGATGAATCAGGCAGGAGGACTGAGGAAGACATCAGGGTTCTCCAGCCACCTTATGGGGGCTCCTGTGAAACAGGAATGGGGATCAACATGTCCCCCCACCTCCTACCCTGGATTGATAAGGGAATCACCTCTGGTTGTCACATGTCATACAGAGGATGCCTCCTCACTGAGATACCGGTGGAGGGTCTTGACTGCCAGGTTCTTGGCATTTTGAACAAAGAATTGGACAAAACGCACAGCAAAGCGAGGAAATAATGAGGCAACAAAAGCAGAGATCTATTGAAAATGAAAGCACACTCCACAGGGTGGGAGCGGGTCTAAGCAGCGGCTCAGTGGCCTTGGTTACAGGATCTTCTGGGGTCCAAATACCCTCTAGAGGTTTTTCTTTGTCCACTTGGTGTACACCCCATGCAAATAAAGTAGTAGTCTGTCATTAGTGTGATTGGTTGTGGAAAACAACCAATCAGAGGCTGAAGTGAAGTTACAAAGGTCACGTTCTATGTAAACATCTGATTGGTTGTGGAAAGCAACCAAGAAGCTGAAGTGAAGTTACAAAGATTAGACTCTATGCAAACGTCTGGTTGGTTGTGGAAAGCAACCAGTCAAAGGTACTTTTAATTTTCCATCTGCCATGAAGAAAGTAAGTCCGCGTGGTGACGGGGGAGGAGGGGAGGTGAAAAGGGAGTAACCTCTGGTTCTTTTGTTACTTAGGTGTGGAAAGTTGGGGTTTTCCTTTTGATACATATATTTTTTGCTTTTTAATAAGCTTTTTTTAGATCAATTTTAGATTTACAGAAAATTACAGAACTAGTGAAGAGTTCCCACATACTCCACACCCAGTATCTCACACTGTTAATATCTTATGTTAAAATGGCACATTTGTTACAATTAGTAAACCTATATTGATATATTATTATTAACTGAAGTCTACATTTTTTTCCAATTTCCTTAGTTTTTAACCTAATGTCCCCTTTTCTGTTTCAGAATCATTTGATTTAGTTCTAAAAAGTCAGCATAAATCGGCCTTAGGTTCCCTGTCTACAGCCCCTATTCTCCTGCCTCAATTGTGGCTCAAATACAGAGAACCAGGTTCCCAGGCCATTCAAAAGAAAACAAGCTAGCTAGGCATGGTGGCTTTTGCCTTTAATACTAGCACTTTGGGAGTCTGAGGCAGGAGGATAGCTTGAGGCCAGGAGTTTGAGACCAACCTGGGCCATGTTGCAAGACCCCCATCTCTACAAAAAATTAAAAATATTAGCCAGGCATGCTACAGGTGGCATGCACCTGTAGTCCTAGCTACTCAGAAGGCTGAAACAAGAGAATTATTTGAGCCTGGGAGTTCAAGGCTGCAGTGAGTTATAACTGCAGCACTGCACTTCAGCCTTGGCAACAGAATAAGACCCTGTTGAAAGAAAGAGAGAGAGCACCAAAGAGAGAGAGAGAGGGAAAGATAGAAAAAGAGAGAGACAGAAAGAAAGAGAAAGAGAGAGAGATAAAAAGGAAAGAAAAGAAAGCACACTACACGTGGTAGGATGGGGCACTCACACTCTAGGTTGGCGTGGGCTCAGACTCTTATGCAGCACAGTCATAGCAGAGGGATCCTGCCACGTCCCCTGGAGCTCCTTTGTGGATTTTGCACCACCTCGCATCCATTCGCGTTTCTCCCTGAAGGGAGGAATTTCTTAGTAGCTGTCTCTCTACTTCCCTCCACCATGCTCTTTAGAAGGGATCCAGCCCACATTCCAAAAAGGAGCCTGGCCATCTGCATACTGAAGGGGAGGGCATGTGACCCAGGCTATCCCATCACAGTGAATCCCAGGAACTGGGCAGAAGCAACTAGGGTCAAGAGAAGTTTTCTCTTTTTTTCTGAGGCTAAGACCAGAATGGTGGTGCTAAGACTAGGAGCAGATCTGTATCATAAAAATTGTTTATTTTACTTATCTTCCTTACTCTTTGTCCTTTTCTCCCTCCACAGATTACTTGCACGTACTCATTTTAATAGAGGGCAGTCACTCATAATTGATTAACTGCATAGCTGGACTCCTGGGTGCTGGTCGCAAGAGTAATCTTTGATTTTCTTTAGAAGAACAATGATCCTTAGGTCATGCAGACCTCCTTAATGGTATCTGGAAGTTTGATTGACTGAGGGACACGAACAGCTTCGGTCACCAGGAATCTCACCTCCTGCATACCTCCCTTACACATCAAAGCCCCAGTTGTGTTCAAAGACAAGTCAGATTGGAGTTTGCCTCTCCCAATCTCACACTTTGGTTGAATCAAATAAACCTTTCTCTCCTCCTAAGCACTGGTGTGTCAGTGTTTGGCTAACTGCGCATTGAGTACTTGAGTACTGGAACCTAGCGTCTGGGATCCTGCAAGACTAGAACCTACGTCTTCCGGCTGCCAGCAACACCTCTTCCTCTCCATGGAAACAGATGACTTCCTGCAATTCCAGACTCAACCTTTGGAAGACAAAGACCAACCCTGGGTGGCCCAGATTCCTTAGTGACTTTGGAAAGTTAGCGCCCAGCTTTTAGATCTGGAGACCAAGGAAGATAGAGCAAGCTGAGAGTAACATTCATTCACACACACACATACACACATGCACACGCACACACACACACACACACACCAGGCTTGAGGAAAAGAATCCCATGAGAAAAATAATTGCAAGACAGGCTTAATAGCTAACATTGACTGAGTGCTTAGTCTTTGCCAGGCACTCTGCTCAGCCATTTTACATGCATTTTTTTTTTAATTCTCAATAACCCAGTGATGGGAGCTATTACTGTACCTGTTTTACACATGAAAAACTGAAGCTCACAGACACTGAGCCCTTTCCCCAAAGCTGCACAGCTACTGAATGGTGTGGCCAGGCTGTCTGACTACAGACCCCACGCATATTTTTTCTTTTACAGAAAGAATAAATAGAAATCATTTGTTGAAATAGCACATTATAGACAACTTCCTGAGTTGCAAATTTTACCCCTCTTTTACTCAGAGATACTTTAAGACTTCTCTTTTAAGGATTTTAAGTTGCTTAGAGTGGAGCTTGTTAAGCTGTACACACACGTGAGTCACTGGGGATCTTGTTAAAATGCAGATTCTGATTTGCAGATGGGGATGCCCTGAATTCTTGGTCTCTGAGGCCCTCTCAGGTGGGATCTCTGATGGTGGTCTACACACACATCCTAACACAACACTCACACACACACGTACCGTAGTGCCAATACTGGGAGACTGAAATTCTATATTTTATATGCGCACCTAAGCTTCCTCAGAAAAAGAAAGAAATGCAAATACTTCATCACTAAGAATTTAAAGGAGCACATTGTGGCTTCCAGCGTCAGAAGCAGGAACCATTAATCTAGTGGGGATGACAGGAAATGAAATGTAAGAAAGCTGATTAGCAGCACCTTTAAAAATTAGACAGCTCAGCTCCAGAAAGGGAAATAAAAGTTTGGAATCTGAGCTTTCCCTGGCATAAAAGGGCAGAATAGCTCTTTTCAAAATCTCGAGTGACTTTTAGTTGTTTTGTTGTTGTTGTTTTCTCATCACCTCCTTAAAATCAGCTCTTACACTGCCTCTTGGGGGTGCAGATAATCCGAGCAGACTTGGACTGCTGCCATGAATACACAGTCTCACTCCTTTGCTGCTCCTCAATATTTTATTTTCTTTCCTGTGGAGAGGTCGGCGAAGGTGAGGTTGTGCTGCTGGTGATTAATTGTGGTAATAAACAGGGTGAGAGAAAGAACTGGAAACGCGAGAGGGGTTGGAGATTTATCTGAAAACATGGATCCTGGGTAAATAACGGGATGACTGTGAGATGATTACAGGCTGAATTGTGTCCTCCCCAAAAGATATGTGCATACCTCAGTGATATTGCGAGTTTAGTTCCAGACCATCAAAATAGAGTGAGTCACGCAAACTTTTTGGTTTCCCAGTTCATAGAAAAGTCATGTTTACACTATACCGTAGTCTATTAAATGTGCAATGCCATTAGGTCTAAAAAGTGTACTTACCTTAACAAAAAAAATACTGCTAAAATTCTGACACAGAGGAAGAAAGTAAGCATATGCTTTTGGAGAAATGGCACCGATAAGACTTGCTCAATGTGGGGTTGCCATAACTTGTAAAAAACACAGTACCTGTGAAACCCAATACAGCAAAGCACAGTATAAGGACATCTGCCTGCGGTAGAGATTTCAGCTCCTAGGGCCACAGAGTGCACCTTTGGTTGGGAACAGGGTCATTGCAGATGTAACTAGTTAGGATGAGGTCAGACTAGAATAAGGTGGGCCCTAATCCAAAATGACTGGGGTTCTTATAAGAAGATGACCTTGTGCCGGGCATGGGGGCTCATGTCTGTAATCCCAGCACTTAGGGAAGCCGAGGCAGGCAGATTGCTTAAGCTCAGGAGTTCAAGACTAGCCTAGGCAATATGGTGAGACCCTGTCCCTACCAAAAATACAAACATTAGCTGGGCATAGTGGCATGCACCTGTAGGTCCAGTGACCAGGGAGGCTGAGGTGGGAGAATCACTTGAGAGGAGGCAGAAGTTGCAGTGAGCTGAGATCGTGCCACTGCACCCTAGCCTAGGCAACAGAGCAAGACTCTGTCTCAAAAACAAACAAGCAAAAAGAAGATGGCCACGTGAAGTTGGAGGCACAGGAAGGACAGCCATGAGATAAAGACGGCAGAAACTGGAGCCCTGCAGCTGCCAGCCAAGGAACAGCACAGATTCCCTGCAAACTGGAAGAAGCCAGGAGGAGGCCAGGAAGCGTTCCCTGCAGAGTTCAGATTGGCCACGGCCCTCCCAACACCTTGATTTTTGACTTCTGGTTTTCAGGACACAAGATGATAGATTTCTCATGTTGAAGCCGTTTAGTTTGTGACACTTTGTTATTACAGCCCTAGCAAGCTAATACCATGAGGTTATCTTTCCACCTCTGACAAACTCCTAAATCCCCCTCCCAGGCCCTCCTCTACACTCACACCCCTCACCCCCCACCCCCCACCACCACAGTGATTGACCAAAAGGGAAGCAAGGAATGGGGCCAGTGTGGGAGGCAGTCAAGCAGAGCTTCTCGCCTCCAGTGAGGAGGCAGTGTAGGGAAGACACTGAAGAGCCTCGCAAGGCCCCACCTCCAGTCCAGCTGAGGGGCCTAAGGACAGGAGGGTGGGAGGGGTGGAGGGTAGAAGGGGAGGAGGGGAGGAGAGTGGAAAGGGGCAGGGGGGAGGGGGGAGGGTGCGAGGGGAGGAGTTGGGGAAGGAAGGAGGTGGGGAGGGTAAGAGGGGAGGAGGGCAGGCTCAAAGATGCTTCCCGCCTGCTGTCATCAGTGAGTCAGAGCACCAGAGCCTGAAAGGGGATGGGAACTGTAGGGCTGAGTTTGACTTTGAGCCAGAATTGACACCCCAGGGCCAAGAGCCTCTCACCAGGTGCCTGGAGATCTAATGAACAAATCAAGGAGGCCCCTAAGCAATAGAAGGACTGGAGATTTGGGGATGGTGAAGCTGAGGCTATAGAGTCCCACAGTGGACGTGAGGGGACCCTAAGGGATTACCCTTCTCTGAGTTCCCTGTCCTCCATGCCTTTATATTCCTAAAAAAGCACTAAAATCCTGGTATCCTCTGAGCCGAAGGCTCAGTTTTCCATCCCATCCCCAAGCCTCGTGGAGGCCGGAACTCAGCTACTGTTGGTTTATGCACTACTCATCAGCTCTCGGCATCTGTCCCACAGGCTGGGCAGCTCCGGGACACTGCCTGGCAGCAGGGGCTGTGATTCCAGCTGGAGTTTAAACACACACCCTCCACCAGTGCTCTCCAGCAAACAAGGACACCCATCCTCATACTCCCACCTGGAGACACTCGCACAGCACCACAAACATTCCCACACACACGGACACACCCATTCTCCAACATGCAGAGCCACACACCCTCACACAGACTCACACATGCAGCACAGTCACACACACTCAGCGTGGGTTCATAGAGCAGCCACCCTTGCTCAGAGACACAGACACACGTACACCCACAGCCACGTTCTCCAGGGCAGAAACAGGCGTCCCCTCTCCCTCCCTCTCTCAGACACATGCAGGACTCAGGAAATCCACAAAGGCCTTCACAGCAGAGCTGGGAGATTTTATACATCAAGGTCCTCAACTTCCAAACAGAACTAATTCATGCCACAAATAAAACAGTTACAGACAAATCTGCCTAGTGTGGAGTTCTACTTGGTGTTGGGTTTTGAGGAGGGTCACATGGCTCCTTCTCTTCAGGACCCCCACTTCTGGGAAAGCCTCCAGGCCATGCCCTCCTCACTGGGACAGGCAGGACCCTGCCTCCCCATCCTCTGAGCCTCAGGGCACCGAATGTCCACATCCCTCACGAGGCGCTTAAAACCAGAGAGAAATCCCGGCCCTCACCACCACACACCAAAGACAGACGAGAGAGGGAGGCCGTGAGAGGGGACCCCAGGGCAGTCATGATTAAATGTGTGGACACTGCCCTCCCCAGGGTTCCTGGAGGGCATCACATGGGGAGGGACCCTGGGTGCCAGCTGGTGAAGAAAAGGGTGCTTCCAGCCGGGCTCCAGTATGACATTGTCTACACTTGCATTCATCATCACGTGAAGGCTCAGACCCCTGGCTACATTGCCATTGCACCTAGCCCAATAATTATTTTATGTAGAAAATTAGTGTGTGAGCCAACTATGCATTTAAACAAAGCTCCATTTGAACACCAGATCTGTTTTCCTATAAATACCAGTATGCAACTGCTAAAACAAAATAGTAGGTCCTCTGTGCCATCTAGTAGCCTCTGTGATGGGAACTATTAGCACAAGAAATTCTAGGTTGGCCGCTTGGTGCTAACTGTGAAAGGGTGAAGGATGGGATCTGACATGCGCCAAGTTTCCAGCTGCAAACACCAGCACATTGTCAAAATGTGTTTTGTGCTTCTCCATCCTTCCATCACTCTTCCTAATGACAAAAATAATTAACACGTTCATATAAAAGCACAGAATGAATGGGAGTCCTAATTTATCCACCTATTTCAGGGTCATGCCTTTATCAATATATGACAAGTTAATGGGTCTTAATTAAAAAAGCAGCAGTAAAGCAATTTAGGAAACTGAAGGGTTATTATGAGTCATCACTGTGACAGCATGTTTTGTGCACCATGGAAGATAACAGATTTGCTTTCCATAGTATCACAGATCCATCATCCTGAAACTACTTGCTCTCGGTTGCAGAGAGCCATTTTCTTCCCTTTAAAAGAAGTGCATGAGCTGGTGGCTGCTTCCAGAGTGACAGCAGCAATGCATGATAGGAACCAGGAAGGCTATGGGAACCAGCGTGAGGGAGGGGGCAGCAGGCCTGACCACAGGCAAGGGTCAGGGCCCTGGGAGAAAGCATGAGCCAACGGTCAGGACAGGACCGCACATCAGGGTCGTTCCCAACCTGTTGCTCTTTCCCACCAAAAAACTCAGTAGTTTTCTAAGGACTGTCAGGATCCTCCCCCTCCACCCCGCCATGGCCACACTTCCTCCAGGTTCCTCTGAGACCTTTCCAGGTGGGCTTCAGCCTTGACCTATAGAGACTTGAACAAACACTCACATTGTTTCCAATGGTGCGAGGCCGCATTCCCTAAGATGACACTAGTCCTCTTCATGTGCCCGCATGAGAAAGCTCAAGGCTGCTAAAATAAGTTACCATTTCTTTCAGCCAACACCTGAAGACAGGGTCTCTGCCTCCCAGCCTCTGTGGGGGTGGGAGTCTAACTTCAACAGGAACACATTAGTAAACCCAGGTGGGTTTCACATGGACCACCCCACTTCCTGCTTTTGTAGTGTTTCACTTCCCTAACTCTGCCAAGCCCCTGCTCCTTCCCTCCCTAACCCATCATTCTCTCATGTTATCCTTTTCTCAGACAGAGTCTTGCTCTGTTGCTCAGGTTGGAGTGCAATGGTGCAGTCATAACTCACTATAGCCTTGAATTCCTGGGATCAGGCAATACACCCACCTCAGCCTCCCAAGTAACTGGGACTGCAGGTGGGTGCCACCACACACAGCTATTTTTTAAAATTTTTTGTTGAAACAAGGTCTTGTTCTGTTGCCCAGGCTGGTCTTTACCTCCTGGCTTCAAGCAATCCTCCCACTTCACTCCCAAAGTGCTGTGATTACAGGTGTGAGGCACTGAGCCTGGCCCATTCTCACTTTAAAATGCCCAGTGACCTCCACAAATCAAAGTTAAGTTCAATTTCTGCTGGGCTCTTTTCCCAGCTGCAATAGTTGTTACTGATTAAAATCTGTCCTTACCACTTTAGCGTTCATCTTTGTTCATCTTTGACAGGACTAAGAAATCTATTTCAGAAATATTTCTAAAATCCAGGTCTTCTTTGTCATTATTTTCTGGCCCTCACCATCTCGTCCCTGGAATGATGCAGAGGCTGCTTCATAGCCAGTCCCCCTACTGATAGCTCATCTTGTCCATGGCCATTTGGATCATGTCCTGCCTTTTTAAAACACCCTCCAATTGCTCCAATTTGCAAAGCAGAAATTAAAAACTGAGCATCTGACAAATGTGTACTTTGGCTAACTGTGCCTTTGTCATGATGTTAAATATTTTCCCTAAAGATGGGGTCTCACTCAGTTGCCCAGTCTGTAGTGCAATGGTGCAATTACAGCTCACTGCAACCTCAACCTCCCTGGCTCAAGCCATAATCCCACCTCAGCCTGCCAAGTAGCCGGGACCACAGGGGCACTGCACCACACCCAGCTAATATATCTATATATATATGGTTTTATTACCAACAAAAGCCCTTTGGAAAGCTGAGGAGGGAGGATTGCTTCCCGTCAGGAGCTCAAGACCACCCTGGGTCTTCCTATGTTGCCCAGGCTGGTCTTGAACTCCTGGGATTACAGGTGTGAGCCACTGGAATTCATTATAGGTGGTCTTGAATTCATTTCATGGGTAATTGAATGATTTTGCATAAAACTGTAGATTTCTTGCAAGACTGGCCTACAGTCCTGAATGGCAGCATTGAAACAGACTGATCCCATTTAGGCAGTGTGTGCACTCACCAGGTGGCCCAGTTCCCACCACTCCCTGCTACCCTTCACTATCCTCAGTTACGAACCTGCTGGCCCCATAGGCATCAGCGTTTGCCAGCCATCACAAGTAGGAGAACTGAGGCTGGAAAAATGGAAAATGAGACCCCAGGACACAGAAGGGTTCTAAGGAAATGTGAAGATGTTTCTTGCTAGCAAGGAAAACAGTCTCAGGGACTGAGCTGAACTCACAGTTCAGTGCCCACAGTGAGTGCAGTGAGAGGTGCATCTCCAGAGAAAAGCAAAGGCCACAGGAAAAAATGCAGGCTCAGGGCTCCTGGTGCCCCGTGTTTTGTCACAGAGTAAGAAGCCAAGCCTTCCTACAAAGAAAGGAAACACAGCACGTCTCCTCAGAACTAGCCCATCTTTAAACTTGACCTAGATGGCATTGCTCAGGGTGGCCCCTTGGAAATCCATGAAAGCCAGAAAAGAGGCCAAGGAGGAACATGGCATCTCTCACTTTCCCTGCCGTGCTTTGAGTATTGAAATGTCTGGGCAGGAATTCCTTTGAAATGCCTGAATCAGAGAGTGGATTTGCAAACCAAGTTTCTCCTTTATTTTTAAAGACTTTTAGCCTGACTTTTACTTTGAGAGTCAGGGACACGTGGAACATAAATTCCGGGTCCAAGAGTCATGTGATTCCTGGCCAATGGGAAACCACAATGGTGCCTCCCAGCCCTGGCTCTTAACAGCACCACTGCGCAGCTGAGCCAGCCTCAGAAACATGCGTTACCCTCCCAGACATGAGCCTCTGTGTGCCGCTTCTCCCCTCTGTCAAGTCGTGTCTTCTTATATTAATAAGAAAAATAAAATGAAATAGTGGTAAAGTGTTGGAGTGGCGAAAATTTTTGGGGATGGTATGGAGAGATAATGGGCGATGTTTCTCAGGGCTGCTTTGAGTGGGATTAGGGGCGGCGTGGGAACCTAGAGTGGGAGAGATTAAGTTGAAGGAAGATTTTGTGGTAAGGGGTGATATTGTGGGACTGTTAGAAGAAACATTTGTCATTTAGAATGATTGGTGATGGCCTGGATACAGTTTTGTATGAATTGAAAAACTAAACGGAATAAGAGAAGGAGAAAAACAGGTATTAAAGGTCTAAGAATTGGGAGGACCCAGGACATCTAATTAGAGACTGCCTAAGGAGATTCAGCATAGTCCTACCAGCAAAGATTATTTATTTACTTCAAGAGTTAAGAGTGGCAGTTTGGGGATAGCACCAGGAAATATCAGCTGTGATGGCTTGGAGAAACAGTGTAAACCGGCAGTGTAAACAAGAGCAGGGCATGTATGAGTAGTTGAGAATGGTGAATAGGAGTTTGACTAGACAGAAGATAGTAGGGATGACATGATCAGCAGGGAGACCATGTCATGTGTTTTTATGGGAACTATGCCAAGATAGGTAACAGATGAGGATGAAATTTGGGCTTGACTGAAGTAATGGGGGCTGTCTGTGAAGTCTTGCAGCAGTACAGCCTAGGTAATTTGCTGAGCCTAATGGGTGTCAGGGTCAGTCCAAGTGAAAGCGAAGAGAGGCTGGGTATGAAGGGTGCAAAGGAATAGTAAAGAAAGCATGTTTGAGATCCAGAACAGAATAATGGATTGTAGAGGGAGGTATTGAGGATACGGGAGTATATGGGTTTGGCACCAAAGAGTGGATAGGCAAAACAACTTGGTTGACAAGGCGCAGATCCTGAACTAACTTGTAAGGCTTGTCTGGTTTTTGGACAGGTAAAATGGGGAAATTGTAAGGAGAGTTTATAGGCTTTCAGCGAAGGGAGATAAGGGTGATTAGGTTTTAATGAGATGGTAAGGGGTGCATGATCGGTCACCAAGGAGGGAGTAGAGGTATCCTATACTTGTGAGTTAAGGTGGGGGGATACAAGAGGAAGACGCAAAAGAGGCTTTGGATTGGGAAGAAGGGTGGCAATGAGGTGTGGCTGTAGCCTAGGAATAGTCAGGGAAGCAGATAATTTAAAGTGTCTGGGCCTAATAAGGGAACTGGGCAGGTGGGGATAACTAAAAAGGAGTGCTTAAAAGAGTACTGTCTAAGTTGGCACCAGAGTTGGGGAGTTTAAGAGGTTTAGAAGCCTGGCTGTCAATACCCACAACAGTTACGGAGACAATGGAAACAGGCCCTTGAAAAGAAGGTAACGTGGAGTGGGTAGCCTCCATATTGATTAAGAAGGGGACGGACTTACCCTCCACTGTGAGAGTTACCTAAAGCTCGGCATCCATGATGGTCTATCGGGCTTCTGAGGCGATCGGGCATGTCAGTCTTCAGCCACTAAGCCGAGAAGATCTGGGAAGAAGTCAGTCAGACAGCCTTGGGCCAGAGTTCCAGGGGCTCTGGGAGTGGCTGCCAGGTGAGTTGAACAGTCCGATTTCCAGTGGGGTCCCCCACAGATGGGACATGGCTTAGGAGGAATCCCGGGCTGCGGGCATTCCTTGGCCTGGTGGCCAGATTTCTGGCACTTGTAGCAAGCTTCTGGGGGAGGTGGTGCTGGAGGAATGCCTGGCCACTGCGGTTTAGGCATTTGGAAATTCTTGTGTGCTGGAGATGTGGCTGGGGTTTGTCTCATGGTGGAGACAAGGAATTGCAACTCAGAAATATGTTACTACTTGGCTGCCTCTACTCTATTATTGTACACCTTGAAGGCAAGGTTAATTAAATCCTGTTGTGGGGTTTGAGGGCTGGAATTTAATCTTTGAAGTTTTATTTAATGTCGGGAGCAGATTGGGTAATAAAATGTATATTGAGAATAAGATGGCCTTTTGACCTTTTAGGGTCTAGGGCTGTAAAGCATTTCAGGGTTGCTGCCAAACGAGCCATGAACTGGGCTGGATTTTTATATTTGATGAAAAAGAGCCTAAACGCTGTCTGATTTGGGATAAAGAAAAAGGAGCATTAACCTTGACTATGCTTTTAGCTCCATCCACCTTTTTAAGAGTAAATTGCTGGGCAGGTGGGGGAGGGCTAGTCAAGGAACGAAACTGTAAGCCGGACTGGGTGTGAGGAGGCGAGGTGATAAAAGGATTACAGGGTGGAGGAGCGGAAGCTGAGGAGGAATTGGGACCTAGCTCAGCCTGGAGAGGAGGGGAGAGGTCAGATGGGTCTGTAGAAAAGGAAGATTAGAAAGACTCAGCGACACTTGGGGTTGGGACTGAGGGGACAGGTGGGAGGGAAAGAAGGAAGATTTGGGACGAGTTGCATTGGGAACAGAGACTAGGGAGGGACCAATGTGTAAAAGAATGCCTGGACGTCAGCACCTCAGACTGTTTGCCTATTTTACGACAAGAATTATTTAGATCTTGTAGGATGGAAAAATTGAAAGTGCTGTTTTCCGGCTATTCGGAACTACTGCCAAGTTTGTATTGGGATCAAGCGGCATTGCAGAAGAAAATAAGGCATTTAGGTTTTAGGTCAGGTGTGAGTTGAAGAGGTTTTAAGTTCTTGAGAACACAGGCTAAGGGAGAAGAAGGAGGAATGGAGGGTGGAAGGTTGCCCATAGTGAAGGAAGCAAGGCTAGAGAAAAGAGAGAGTAGAGACATGGAGGGAAGGGGTTCGGGGGTTCTTACCCTCCAGAAAAGTGGGAAAGAGGTGGGGGTGCAGAAATAAGGGGTTGGGGTGCAGAGATAAGAGGTCAGGGCACAGAAATAAGGGATCAGGGCACAGAGATAAGAGGTCGGGCTGTGGAAATAAGGGGTTCTTGCCTCTCCCCCAGAAAAGCGGGACTTGCCTCTAAGGGTGAAGGAGAAGGGGTTGAGAGGTTCTTGCCCCTCTCCCAGAAAAGCGGGACTTGCTGCTGACGGTGAAGGACAAGGGTTTGAGGGGTTCTTGCCCCTCCCCCAGAAAAGTGAGACTTGCTGCTAACAGTGAAGGACAAGATGTTGAGGGGTTCTTGCCCCTCCCCCAGAAAAGTGGGACTTGCCATTAAGGGTGAAGGAGAAGGGGTTGAGGGGTTCTTGCCCCTCCCCCAGAAAAGCAGAGAAGAGGTAGAGACATGGAGAGAAGGGGTTGGGGTTCTTGCCCCTCCCCCAGAAAAGCAGGACTTGCCACTAAGGGTGAAGGACCAAGGCAGGCGTCCCTGTGTGGTCCGACACCTCTGAAACGTGGGTGAATAATCAGAGAGGCATCCCTGCAATGATTAACACCAAGGGAAGGCTGCCTTCCCAGGCCGTGACCGGCGCCGGAGTTTTGGGTCCACAGATAAAACGTGTCTCCTTTGTCTCTACCAGAAAATGAAACGAATTGAAATTAAGAGAAGGGAGAGATTGAAGTGTGGCACCAAGATTGAAAAGAGAAAGAGGTTGAGGGATATTGAGGGAGGTTGGAGAAGAGAGTAAAAAGAGGCTGCTTTCCAGATTTGAAATTGGTGAGATGTTTCTTGGGCTGCTTGGTCTGAGGACCTGAGGTCGTAGGTGGATCTTTCTCATGGAGCAAAGAGCAGGAGGACAGGGGATTGATCTCCCGAGGGAGGTCCCCCTATCCGAGCCACAGCACCAAATTTCATGCGAGTCCCTGTGAAGAGACCACCAAACAGGCTTTGTGTGAGCAACAAGGCTGTTTATTTCACCTGGGTGCAGGCAGGCTGAGTCCGAAAAGAGAGTTAGTGAAGGGAGATAGGGGTGGGGCCATTTTATAGGATTTGGGTAGGTAAAGGAAAATTACAGTCAAAGGGGGGTTGTTCTCTGGCAGGCAGGAGTGGGGGTCACAACGTGCTCAGTAGGGGAGCTCTTGAGCCAGGATGAGCCAGGAGAAGGAATTTCACAAGACAATGCCATCAGTTAAGGCAGGAACCAGCCATCTGGATGTGTACGTGCAGGTCACAGGGGATATGATGGCCTAGTTTGAGCTCAGAGGCCTGACACCCTCCTATGCCTTGCCTGGCCCCTGACTGCCTAGGGACCTGCAGTCTATCTGGTCCTCTGTAAAGCTCTTTTTAGTTCCGTGTAAAACAGCAGGAGAGTAAAATTGGGGTCCAGATGAAACAGAACTATTCAGGCTGATATCCAAGAAGCGCCCTGGCTCCTTAACGTGTTTTCCTTTTCATTGGCCTCTTAGGACTCAGGTTTGCCAAGGCTCAGAAGCAAGAGCCAGGAGTGAATATTGCACATAACAGCGGTGAACCTGGCCTGCTTCTGAGTGTGCAAAAGCCCTTTACACAGGATTTCCTGAGGTCAGCCCAAGCCCAGGCTCCTCACCCTCCCAGAATGCCTCAGCTAGCTGGCAAAACATTGTAAGTGGAAGTAGAGATTTGTCCAGTGTCAAAAATCATTTCACACAATAGCAAGACACACCCTGGGTGGAAGTCACTGCTACAGAAACTGTGCCCTTCCTCCAGTCTTCATCTCGGCACATCTGTGACCACAAACGCTGTCTGTCTAAATTCACATCTTGTTCAATTTTAGATTCATAGTTTTCTCTACTCAAATACTTTACGCTTGTAAGACATGTTGTGTGGAAGTGGGTTAAACTTGTCTTTTAACATCACCAATAACCATCTTCTACATTTTTTTCAGTCATTAATTTGATATCTTCACTAAAAGAAATGCCAGTAATTTGAGGGTTTTCAGAGTAAAGTGCCTTGAGCTCCCCCAGACAGAGAAGAAGCAGAGGTGTCACTGTTATTATTCTGAGCTGATAGGAAACACATCATGGATTGGAGGCAAGGAATCAGCCACCACCTGCCCGGCACGCACATAGAGCAGGTGTTGGCTATAATTGCCTCTAGACTTCCTGCCATGGTCAGTTGAAAGTCAAACCTGTAAATGCTGCCTGACTGCAATAGAACTGGAGTCCACAGACATTTCTGCAACACTGCCTGGTGAAAATATACTGACTGGGTGGGATGAGATGGAGGGCGCGTATGGAGCAGACACGACTGGAATAGCAACCAACAGGCTGTCAGTCTTCACTGCCTTTTCTCGTCTTCCATTTTTTTTGATTCTATGACCAAAAGAGATGACAGACCTGTAAGAAAATGGATTTGGTCATTTCCGGAAGAAGCTTTTTCTTTGATCTGTCTGAGAGCAGGTCAGTAGAAGGTATTTTTGTTAACCTGGATCCTCACCATGGATATTTCCTGAGCTTCTACATGGCAGTTCTATGTTTTAAAGTTCCCTTTGCCGTGGCAGCACAACTGCACACCAGACAGTCACCCTTCTTCCTGAGAGCCACTGTGATTTCACTTCAGGCTCAAGGTGTCCTCAGCAGATCTGAGGGAGGACTAAAACAGATATACACGCTTTGCTTTTCTGCATCACCACCGTTCACAGACTCCCAGGAGCTCCTGCAGTCAGTAGAAAGGAGATCATTCAAGTGGCTTTCACCTAGTACCAAACCCACACAGCCTTCAGACCCAGCCCCTCCAATCTCCCGACCTCCTGGGCACCATCCCTGGCCAACCTGGTCCAGAATGGCCTCCGTCCTCTAGAGGCCCCAGGCACCAAGATCCACACCCTCTATTCCAGAGCATTCTTGGCTTCAAGTTAGGTCCTATTTATCAAACATTTGTCTAGAGAGCAGCCCCAGCACATAAGTGTGTGTGAACCGCAGAGTAGAGGCATGGCCCCTGCTCACTGTCCCCTCTGACTCTGGGCCTGGGTAAGACTGGGCTCCCCAAAAGCAATATAAGTGTACCAGGAATTTTCTATGGTGCTCCTGGGAGAAGTAGGAAGGAGGAGGGAGACGGAGAAATCAAGTAGGGGTGTGATTCAAGCCCCATTCTTGCTTGCACCTGCAGCGTGACTCCCAGTGTGAGCTGAACCTTAGAGCTTGTCCGGACTTGAATCAAAGCAACGAGCCTCAGGTATTGGTGTGGGTCAAGATGGGGAGACATAAACTCCCTGGAGCATCACTTCCAGCTTTCTGCACCTGTGAACAAAGCCCAAAGGTGGGTCACTGAGGAGAGACACAGGTATGGTATTAGTTGCTGAAGAACACAGATGCTGAGGAGTGGTCCTGGGTGGGAGGGGTTGGGCGGAGCAAACACCAGCTTCACGGCCACCTTCATAGGCCAGTCTCCTGCCAGGGGCACGAGACGCTCCAAGGAGCCAGAAATCAGAGCTTTCATTTCCTTTGTGACTCTACCAGGTACTCACAGAAGCAGGAAGGGAGAGGCATTGTTTAAAAAAGCAAACACTTATATAGCACTTACTATATGCCAGGCAATGTTCCAAGCATTTTATAAGCACTAATTCACTTAGTTTCTCAATGTCTCAATTTCCTTATAGGTAAAGTCAAGCTAATAATATTAGCTACTTCACAGGCTTGCAGGGAAGCTAAATAGCCTATGTAAGGTTACAGAGATGATCTGCCAAGAGTTGAACCTGGGCAGTCCAGCTCTGAATCTAAATGCTTAACCAAACCATTAAAATGAGTGCAGGCTCATAGGACCAGACAGACACAGGTGCAAGTCCCGGTTTATGTCAATAAAACTGCATATCATCCACAATGGTTGAACACTCCCACCAACAGTGCAAAAGCGTTCCTATTTCTCCACAGCCTCACTAGCAGCTATTGATTCCTGACTTTTTAATAATCACTATTCTAACTGGTGTGAGATGATTCCTCAAGGATCTAGAACCAGAAATACCATTTGACCCAGAAATCCCATTACTGGGTATATATACCCAAAGGATTATAAATCATGCTACTATATAAACATTCTACTATAAAGACACATGCACATGTATGTTTATAGCAGCACTATTTACAATAGCAAAGACTTAGAACCAACCCAAATGCCCATCAATGATAGACTGGATAAAGAAAATGTGGCACATATACACCATGGAATACTATATAGCCATAAAAATATGAGTTCATGTCCTTTGCAGGGACATTGGTGAAGCTGTAAGCCATCATTCTCAGCAAACTAACAGAGAAAACCAAACACCGCACGTTCTCACTCATAAGTGGGAGCTGAACAATGAGAACACATGGACACAGGGAGGGGGGCATCACACACCAGGGCCTGTTGGGGGTGGGGGGCAAGGGGAGGAAGAGCATTAGGACAAATACCTAATGCATGCGAGGCTTAAAACCTAGATAACAGGTTGATAGGGGCAGCAAACCACCATGGCACATGTATACTTATGTAACAAATCTGCATGTTCTGCACATGTATCCCAGAACTTAAAGTAAAATAAAATAAAAAATTTAAAAAACTGCATATCATCTCTGAGTCTTCACTTTCCTGTTTTTGAAATTGGTTTTTCTTAAAAAACAAAAAAGCCACTAATACCTGTATCTGTGTAAGAAATGTCCAGCAGGTGCTGAAGCCTTGCTGGGAACTCAGTAACTCTCAGGGATCATTACAAAAATCCTCGGTAAAATTGACTGCCTGCAATCTTTGATACAGCAATGCCTGTCCCCAGTAGCTTCCAGTGGCAGATGTGTTATGTGTGTGCATATGAAAAAACTAAACATGTAAAAAAACCCAAATCCAGGCCACCCAGTACATTCATATGGCATTACCCAGGTCTACACCCCTGGGGACAGTCGGCCATGCCTGGAGACATTCTAGGTTGTCACTGCTGAGGGAAGGGTGCTGCTGGCATCTCATGCGTAGAGGCCAGGGATGCTGGTAAACACCCTGCAATGGCACAGGACAGCCCATTCTGTATTCTTTCTTTCCAACATAACAATAATGATAAAAGCAGCTGCCAACACACATATTCAAGGCACAGGTCTGAGTATATTATAAAGGTGATCTCTAAATAACCTATCTCTGAGAAACGATCTCCTTTTAGCCCCTTTACAGTTAGGGAGAGGAGACTTAAAGAGGCTGAGTAATTTTCCAGGATCACACAGCAGACAGGGAAGCTTGGATTTGAATCATTGTCATGCAGAGTCCAGGACTTACACTCTTCACCATTATACATTCGTTCACTAAACTTTCCTAAGTTTGACCACAAATTAGAAGGCAGAAAATGAAAAAGCATGTAACTTGGTAGTTCTAGCAACTGATTTACTTCCATCAAAGGCCCTTTGGTTCTAGAAAGCTTTATCTATGTGTTAACGATAGCAGTATATTAAATTATGGGCTAAGTGTGGTATCAAATTGTAAAATAACCTATGAAATCTAAGCTTTACTTTTTCTCATAGTTATTAATGGCTGGGGTCAGACTCTCTTGGGAGCCCCTCAATTGGAAGAAAGACTGACAAGAACACACACACAGGACTTGAACCAAACCCATGTGAATTCAAAGGGAAGGCAGGTTTATTATCTTTCGCTCCCCAGAGATGAAGTCAGCCAGCTTTTCTGTTCATCACTAGGGAGGATATTAAACACAATTCTTTACACGTGGGGAAAAAAAAATAATTGATTCTGAGAACAGCTTTGGTGAAATGGGACTTTGGTTGGAACAGCACACACATAACCTCTCCAAGACAGCAGGTCATCCGCCCTGGAACCTCACCCTTGGTCTCTGGCTCTGAAACTCTGATCACCTTAGGGAGTGTACTGGCAATGACCAATAGACCAGGACCTTTTGCTGCAAATCTACTAATGTTCCCTAAAGGGTGACCTCTGGTGCTCAAGGTTGTTTCCCACCACAGGGCTGCAGGCTGCCACTCTGCAAAGTGAATAACTTCCTTAGTCAAGGCTGGTGGATACATGAAAACCTGTCATTAAAAGAAACACATGCTGGACTGGTTCTCCTAGAATTAGCCATTTGGAGTCTCCTCGGGAATCATTAAGGGGACATTTTGCCTGACTTTGAAAGCAATCTTTTTTTTTTTTTTTAACAATAGAAAACTACAAAGTACTATACAAAGGGGACTTTGGGCACCATCAGCTCCTCTCAAATCCCCTATGATGAGATTATTACTTAGAATAGCCTAGGCTATTCGACAGCAACATATTAACGCTGAAATCTCAGTGGCTTAAAAAATCTAAAAGTTGATTTCTTGCTAATGCATATTATGATCCTGGACAAACAATTCTGCAGGGCAGTCATCCTCCATGCAGTGCCTCAAGGACCCAGGCACCTCCACACTTGTGGTGCCACCATATCAAAAATTGGCTTCCAGGTCACCACAGCAAGAAAGCACAAAATTTGGGACTTGTGGATCACTTCCTAAATGCTTTGGCACTTCTGCTTATAGCCCATCGGTCATAACTAGTCATAGAGCCCCCCCAAGTGCAAGGAGGCTGAGAAATATATAGACGGCACATGGTAAATATCTCTATCATCATTTATTTGTGTTACACACTCTCCAATTATGCTCTTTTAGTTCTCTTACAATGTACAGTATTGTTGACTGTAGTCACCCCGTTAATCTCCCCCATATGTAGATGAGGAGCCTGGTGAGTGTGGCCTATTGCAAATATTTTTTCCCACCAACCCAAAACGTAGATTCAAAAACTAATGCTGATTTTTAGAGAATTTTAGGTGATACTTAATTTGGTAAAATTTATTGAAACTATACTTCTCCTAATCACATTATATCATTTTCTATAATCTTATAACTCTAACATCAAATTTAAGATAAGAAATATATTTATGCCCTATATCCATAAGCAACAAGATCATTAAATCTCTTTAGGCACTATTGTCTAGAAAAAAGAAGAAAAAACCTATCTAATTATTTTCAGCAGGAAAAAATTTACAGAGCTTACAGCCCAGCATTTTACCGCTTTTCTTTTTTTGCATTGGTGAATCATTTTGAGCTTATAATTTCAAAGTAAATATTTTTTAAAGCCTCAGGACATTCATTGTGTAATGATCATTTGAAAGATTTTTTGGTTATGGTGTTCTCAAATGAATAAAAAGGCTGTTCATAGCAACAGTTATTTCTATATTAAAAAGATGAAATTGTTCATTAAGTGGTACAAGTCAATTTCTTTCATCAGCCTAACTGCCCATTTTAGCAAAGATTCCATCTCTGAATTAAGCAAATAGCTACACATTTCAAAGTCAATAGCTATACTATGTTTCCTTTAACGTGAACATCTCAGACATATCAATGTTGTCAGCCTCTTTACTAAGCCTTTCTCTGAAAAGACTGAAGACCGTGTTTTGTTGTTATTGTTGTCATTGTGTGTTTTGTACTTTTGCTTTTTTTAAGGCAATATTTTTGTGTGTTAGCTACAGTCTGGCCGGTCATGACATGCACACTCAAAAGAGAGCCAGATATTTTTTAAAAAGTATGGTGAGGCTGAGTAGCCCATTTGACAATAAATGTAAAGTGCTCACATTTCCATTGGTCTGTTTGGAATTTCCCTAAGAAGAGTTATTTCTTTCTGTAATAAAACCAGAAGTCGAATGTAATAAACCATAGCTGGTCTGTGGGGGTTTGTGGCTAAAGTGAGTATGGAAAAGTCTGTGAACTTTCTGTTTATTTCCTTTTCCCAACCAAACCCTTGAAACTAGAGGCTGGAAGGAAGGGGTAGAGTTGAGGGCCATTGGACTAGGTGGAGGAAGTGACCTTGCAGATCCTTTCACATTCTGTAATGCATGCAAAAAATAATGAGAATGAGATAGCTGAAGTTTCAATTCTTTAGAGAGAGATTCAAATTCATTTGTCGGTTACAGGAAGCAAAAAAAATGCCATTATTAATTTAGGCAATTAGAGAACTTTGAAAGTAATATTTAGTACTTTTTTT
Source organism: Homo sapiens (assembly GCF_000001405.40). NCBI lineage: Eukaryota > Metazoa > Chordata > Mammalia > Primates > Hominidae > Homo > Homo sapiens. The sequence goes on from NC_000019.10 coordinate 28,442,457, forward strand.
AAAAAGCCTGTCCCAGGAGTTCAGCCCACAGCCTAGGAAAGCTTAATTTTTATAGTATTTCAAATGAAGAAAGGTCATTTCTTGGATGTGCTTGACAGAAGATTGTAATTATAAACTGGTAATTTTAATGAGAAGTGGGGTTTCCATAAAAACGGAATGAACTTTTGAGGAAGTAAAATTAGAGTGCATGTTCCATCCACTGTGGCATTTCCAAACAGGTCAGTGTTCCCAACATTGCCACCTGCTCTGCCATACTTTCCTGAAAAACGTTAATGCTTTGGTACCTACATCTGCTTCTCCTGCCTTCTCAATGCACCAAACAAGACATCAGACCTTTTTCTTGCATGGAGGCCTGCCTCCTGCGATGTCTGATCCACACACTTTTCTCTTCTCTGAATGCTAAACAGAGAGAACATTGCATTGTGATCTTCCCAGATTTAGGGCAGAGACAGGGCAGTCAGTCTGGGAAGGCACTTAGTGGAGTGAGCCCACAGTGTGGAGGGGTGAGTGCCTCCTGAGGAATCCTGCCCTCTCTACAGTCCACGTTTTCTGGCAGATCCAAGAGGTCACTTAAGGAGTTTTGAACAACCTGTACTGTAATGTCCTGAGGGTGCCTCAGCGTCATCTGTGCTCATCCCATTGTTATCTAACCAAATGGAGTCACTTTGCCTGTGTGCAATGGAAAGCCAAAAAATTGACACACTGGATTTTTGCAGAAAAACAAAAAAAAATTATTGCCGGTCAACTGGCAACGAGACAGGAGGAAACCCTCAAATCTGTCTCCCTGAGCTGGGGGCTGAGTGGGGTTTTATAAGCACAGGGTAATAAGGTGTGATCTGCTTGGATCTTGCAATGAGGTGATGCTGGGAGGCATAATCTCACTGATCCTGCCGCAGGACAATGCCAGGGTTTGATGTGCTTGAATCCTGGATCCTGCCATGTGGCATCCACTTTTAAATTTGGTCTCACTCCTCAGTTCGAGCACTTGGGGCTGCCCATCGTCGCGCACTTGGCTCATCTGGGCATGCTCCAGCAATGTGACCTTCGACCTGCAGGTCCATGGCAACTGAACAACAACTCACAACCTTGTTACGTGGAAGCTGAGCCAGACCGGTCTGGTGCAGTTACACATCCCTACAGGGTCTGATTTTACTGACTACGGGGGAGCTTGGGTATTGTTTTTTTTAAGCTCCTCAGATGATTCTAACACTCAGCAGGGGCTGAGAGCCACGGAGTTACTTTCTGAGAAGGAGTAAATATCAGCAAAGAAAGAGAGACAGGAAAGGCACTTGGCAGCAGCCTGGTGAGTAAGGGGTCAGGCAGCACCAAGCAAGGTTGGAGGATGAGCACAGTGAGGACCCACAGGGCCTATCAACTGTGTTAAGATAAACACCAAATCCTGCGGCTGGGCATGGTGGCTCACACCTGTAATCCCAGCACTTTGTGAGGCTGAGGCGGGAGGATCACCTGAGATCGGGAATTCGAGACCAGCCTGGCCAGCATGGAGAAACCCCGTCTCTACTAAAAATACAAAATTAGCTGGGCGTGGTGGCACACGCCTGTAATCTCAGCTACTTCGGAGGCTGAGGTAGAAGAATCGCTTGAACCAGGGAGGCGGAGGTTGCGGTGAGCTGAGATTGCGCCATTGCACTCCAGCCTGGGCAACAAGAGCGAAACTCCGTCTCAAAAAAAAAAAAAAAAAAACCCTAGAAAGCCCCAGGAAGTCAAAGAAGGGCGTCAGTGCAGAGCAATGCGCCAGCTCTTGGTTGCCGTATTCCTGGTGCTACAATAAAAGTTTGTTGACCATGTGCACTCAGGTGGGAATCAGAGGCTCAAGAGAAAAGCTAAAACCACCTGGAAGCTAAGCCTTGTCTAACCAAATCTATTGAGTCTCCCTCCAGCTAACTGAGGGGTCAGATGCCACTCATTTCTGTTTGGGAACAGTCATTTGCTTTAACTCTCAGCCTCTTGCTGCAGCCATGCTGCCTTCCCCTCAGTGTCCTCCTTCCTGCCACAGTAAGTCACTCTGGAGTGCCACGCTCCACTTAAAAATAAACACCTTCTGTCTCCATCCTGGCACAGTTTCAGCTTATTTAGCATTCTAACATATGTCGTCTGTTTTCCCAAACAATCTAACATGAGCATAGCACGATGGGGTTGATAATTTGGGCAAATGAGAAACAGCCTGCCATCAGCACAGACACAGTGACATTTGATTTGCTATCGGTAGATTCCATTGTGTTCTCTCTTCTCATCCTTGGATGATAAACACAGAAAAAGACTGCAAGATTTCCAGCCCTGGCTCTGTGGCAGAGAATAAGGTCTGGAGGCAGGGAACCTAAGGCTGCTTCAGGCTGACTTCTTAGAACTAAGTTGAAAGGAAAACCTTAACCTTCCATGCCTAAGTAACAAAAGGACCACAGGCTACTCCCTTTGACCTTTTCTCCAGGGCAAATGGGAAATTGGCTGTTCTGCAACAAATCAGACTGATTACCGGTCAAGTCTTCGTTTGCAACTTTGCAACTTCTCTCCAGCCTCTGAAAGGTTACTGTCCACAACCCATCAGACTGATTGCAGGCCGAGTCTTCATTTGCATAGAAGTATAACTTTGTAGCTTCATCCTAGCCTGTGACTGCTCCTTTAGGAACCAATCAGATGTTTGCACAGGAGGGTGACCTTTGTAACTTCTCTTCAGCCTCTGGTTGGCTGCTTTCTGCAACCAATCAGATTGATTGTGGGCTACCACTTCACTTACCTGAGATGAGCAAGAAGTGGCCAATGGGAAACTTCTAGGGGGTATCTAGACCCAAGAAGATTCTGTATCTGGGCTCTTGAGCCACTGCGGCTCAGTCCACTCCCACACTGTGGAGTGTACTTTCATTTTCAATAAATCCCTGCTTTCGTTCTTTTGTTGCTTCATTCTTTCTTTACTTTGCTGGGCATTTTGTCCAGTTCTTCGTTCAAAACACCAAGAACCTGGACAGCTTGCAGTTATGACCCTCTACCGGTGACGTATCTTGGCAAGCCAGCCAGGAGGAAAGGTAGGCCCAAAGTTTGGGATTTATTTTTCTCCTTTCCCCTTTTAAATCTTTCTCTCTTTTCCTTTTCAACTCGGGACCCTCTGTGGACAGTGCCTAAGCATGGAGACAACTGCAACTTTCTGGCCAGCGCCACTCTGGTGAAACTGAAAGGTTTCCACATGGAAGCGCCTTACTGCCGCCGCCCAGTTCGGGTGAGGGACCTGAGTCCTTTTCTTGTTTTCATTTTTCTGAGTCCTGTTCCTTTTTCCCTTTTTCTGAGTTATTTTCCTTTCCTCCTTTTTCAGTCTTTCAGCAGCTGTTTCCTAGTGGCTCCTTGGTAATTGAGAGGAACTGGCCAGGGCCGCTCTCCAGTGATCTCTGAAGTCCAGGGAGTGAACAGGGATGGCTGCCCTGCCTGGAAGGGGGAAAGACACTTTACTATCCTTTCCAGTTATCCTTTCACAACTGCATGTGACGCAGTTGGCAGCGGCAGCTCGTCCAGGGCAAATTCACACACGTTTCAGGTGACTTAAACTCCTTCTTTTCTTATGCTAAATTCTTCCCTAATCGTACTCAACTGGCTAAGGAACAAAACGGCCCACCCAGCATCCAGTTCTTATTACAGATCATGATTATTTTTTATAAAGCTCACAGTATGCTCTGGAGAGGAAAACCTGCATGTGGCGCCCCCTCCTAAGGCCAGAGACGTCTGGAACTCTTAAGATTGGACCCCGCAGGAGGACGTTCTTTGGGTTCTACGGACCTCAAACTCTCCAAAGGGGATGCCCTTGGCAGAGGTTCAGAGGTCTAGTATTAAGTCCTCCTTAGAATTTCCTCTCGGAGTTGAAATGCTGCTTGGACCGAAAAGTGTCTAGAATCTGAAGTTTACTGTCTAATGGAAAAGTGGGATGGTATTGCATAAATACAGGTCTTATAGGAGTTATTAAGAAGTTATTTTAGGCAGATAGAGAGGAAAAGGGGTCCTTGGGAAGTTTTTCTTTTAAAGCAGCTCCAGAAACCTTTCTTGTCTAGCAGGAAAGGCCCGGCTCTTAGATCCCGCCGACAAGCTTTGATATCCAAATCCCGGCCATTAGAAACTGGGTCCACCCAAACATGGTGATTCCCGCTGTCTTCTTGCCATTGCCCCGACTTGGGCCTGGAAACATGGCCACCCCCACATATCCACAGGTGTGTAGGACACCATGGCGCCCTGTATTCGCATATTAAAAGGTTAGGGTGGGAGGGCCAGGTTTTTGCGGGCCACGTGAGTGATATGCCTGGTCAAACCAATCCCCTGAGCCCTATGCAAATCAGGCACCACCTCCTCCAGCCTCCTCATATAAGCAGCCACTTTTCCCACCACACGGGTTTTCTCTTTGTTCGAATCCCCTCTCCCTCTGTCTCTGTACAGGGAGGCTGTTTTCTTCCTTCTTTCTTGCCTATTAAACACTCCACTCCTTAAAACCACTCCACGTGCGTCCATGTCGTTTTATCCAATTTGGTGCAAGATTAAGGACCCTGGTGTACCTCCATTCATTGGAGACTTATCACAGGCTTTTGTGCTGCCGTTCTAAGCAGGGGCCTGGTTAACGTGTGATGCCTTGCTTTGGTACTGTTTGGCCCCAGTGCTCCTTGGAGTCTGGGGAGGTTTAGCCTTTAAAATTCAAACTGCCAAGGAGACTGCTTTATCCAAAATTTTGGTTCACAGCCTTCCTTGGATTATCTATTGGGGCAAAGTAAAACCGGCAAGCTTGTACTGCTATCTCATGGCTAAGGTTCCGAGCTGTTGGATCTTTGTTTATGTGTGTGTATACATGTCTAGATGTGTTTATACAACAAATGTACACTTATTGTTGTATATTGTGTCTACAAAATTGGCTTATAAGTGAAAGAGCGCTCATGAAAACTGAGTAAGTCTAAGCAATTTTCAAGTTCATGTGACTTAAAGTATAACTTTACTAAACGAGCTAGCTTTAAAATTATTGGTGGAATAAAAATAGAAATGTTTTCAGAATTGTCAACATACATTTTGGCTGAATTTTATGTTTTTCTGTGCTAGATATTTTAAAATGTCAGTGTTAATTCAAGCTGGAAGCTGCTTAGGGCAAATCTGCCTCCCATTCTATTCAAAGTCTCACTGAGATAAATACATAACTAATTGCTTCCTTTGGAAAGGCTAATAAGAAACTCAAAAGAATGCAACCCTCTGTCTCCCACCTGTGATTGGAAAGCCCCCAGCCTCCTCGCCTCGAGTTGTCCCGCCTTCTGGGACCAAATCAATGTTTGTTTTACATATGTTATTTGATGTTACATGTCTCCTTTGTTAAAAGTCAAAATTAAGTACAGTGAGTGGGATAAATGTTTTAGGTAAACTTTTTGTGTAAATTAAAATCTTAGAGCTATTTTTAACACCCATTTGATATCTGGGCCATTTCCAATTGAGAAAGTGTTGTAATATGAGGAAATATGTTTCAAAAATTATGGAATTCATAATTCCATCTATTTTTCTTATCTGAAAATGCCCATATCTGATAGTTCTTATCTATAAATGCCCATATCTGATGGTTCAGGATTTCTTGCTTTTTGGAGTTTCACTAAAGTTTTAGGTTACTAAGGATAAAATTCTAGTTAACATGTAATTCTGTACACAAAATGTGCCGGAAAGGGTTATTTTATTAGAAAAAAAAGAATAATAATTTTGTCTAATCCAGAAGTTATCTAAAAGTTAGTTCAAATTACAGATTTGAAAAAGTTATTTATGAAACAATGTAGTAAGGACTCATTAAGTAGGGGAGAAAAGTGTGGAAAAAGTTAAATAATAAAATGTTCTTTCAAACCTGGAAACCTTGGAGACATTTGGCTAATTAACACTTTCATAGTTAAAGCCCTTAGTATTAATTAAAGTAAAATAAGAAGTATTGTAAAAATGCATTGGCAGTTTGATAATTCTTTTTTATAATATAGTTAAGCATGAAACTAAATTTAGTGTGGAGCCAAATTTCACATACATGTTTGCGTTGTTTCACACTGTTTACTGTTTTGCATGGATAGTGCTAGAGTACTTATTGGTCATGTGCCTTAAGTGGATTTCTTGATTGCACAGAATGTGATATTGGTAAACTTAAGGATATTGAATTGTGTATGGGGAATAAAATATTCATTATGTGGGTTTTTTAGGGCCCGGGATAACACTGCAGCCTCCAGGGTAAACTGAGTATAAAAATTTACACCTGGTTTCCTGCTTATTTGTTTTGGCTTCTAGTTTTCATTTCTTTGCTGTTTATTCTCCTGTGGCTTTGCTTGTATCCATATATATAAATAAATGATGTTTTCCAGTTCCTAGTGGAAGGTTTTATTTAGTTTTGTGATCCTATGCACTTCTTGCAAGTCCTCATTCATTTCATTTATCTGGAATTCCTAAGCTACCTTTGTTGGGCCTGCAGAAATTAACGGAGCACACCAGCTTTTTTTTTTTGTTTTTTTTTTTGAGATGGAGTCTCGCTCTGTCACCAGGCTGGAGTAGTGCAGTGGTGCAATCTCGGCTCACTGCAACCTTCACTTGCCAGGTTCAAGCGATTCTCCCACCTCAGCCTCCTGAGTAGCTGGGATTACAGGCGTGCGCCACCATGCCCAGCTAATTTTTGTATTTTTAGTAGAGACAGGGTTTCACCATGTTGGCCAGGGTGGTCTCGATCTCTTGACCTCGTGATCTGCCCGCCTCAGCTTCCCAAAGTGCTGGGATTACAGGCGTGAGCCACCGCGCCCGGCCCATGCCAGCTTTTTATCCTTTAACTAACTTTTTGAATTTTAGGGTTCCTGATAGTTTAAGTGTGTTGAGTATACTCTCACAAATAGAATTTGAGTCATATTTCTCTCTCTCTAATTTCTCCAAAATCTGTAAAGTATATGTAAACAGTCTAATTCATTGCAATGTATTCATTTGCATACAGTCAAGCAGGGTTGCCAGGGTTGCTCAGGGAGAGAGAACCCAGAAACCTGGCACGCCGGCAAAAGGGTAAGAATTTCTTACCAGTCAGTCTCTGGCCTCTTTCTTTCTGTGCAAACTGGTTAAATATAAAGTAGAAGTCACTATATATCTCCTGTGTAAAGTTCTAAATTAATTGGTTTAATAATAATAAAAGCTTAAATCAAACATTTTGTCAGAAAAGTGAAAATATAATGCGAACTTTCTTAGTTCATTTGACTTGAGTATTCTTTGGGAAATAAAGACAGTTTTAAAAATTATTGGTGAAATACAATTGTCTTCAAAATGTAAACGTGGTCTAAATTACGTTTGAATACTAGGTTTGCTAAACGCTTTAAGGTCATAAACTGCTTCTTTGGCTTTTGAAAATTATTTAACTTGCCTGCTTTCCAGCTAGTTAAGGCCTGGGGACATGTGGAGTTGGCCACACCCTAGCTATGCTGGAAACAGTCAAAGGTTATCAGAACATAACTTAAGAGGTTTTACATTAAAGTTAAAATTGCTTAAAGTCACCACTGTAACATGCGGTTAAGACTACTAGAAATAGTTTTACATGCAAGGTGTGTAAAAACAGTAGAAAGTGTTTTTTCAGTTTTTTTTTGTTTTTTGTTTTGTAAAAGGTTACAAAAGATTTTTACTTCTTTAAAATTTCTCAGTCATCATTTTGGCAAAATAAATAATTTATGGTAATCTGGAATTCCAAAAGCAAACTTTAGTTTTAAAATTGTCTTTCCTAATGCCCGGCTTTTTGGATGAATCAGAGGGCCCCTGAAAACATCCAGAAAGAAGGTATACAGGATTATTTGACTTGTTTACGCACATGGGATTGCCAAAATGATGTTCAATCTTCTTTAGGTTGTATTTTTGTGAATAATACTAATGTATGTTCCAAAAAAATATATGGGATTTCTAAAATTCTAATGTCTAAGTATATGCTATCAATGATAATTATGGTTATTATGTTAAGTTATTATAAATCATAGAAATAACTTGTCAGTGCTACGTACCTAATTTGGAAAATAAACTGGTATCAAAGAGGATATAAGTCTAATGTTAATTAAACATGGACTCATGAAAACCAGGATGTCCACCTTGTCCTTCGTGAATCCTTAAAGCTTTTGTTTCTAAAAGTTATGCATTCCATGACTCATCACGGAAAAGATAAAATAATCCAAATTAAATACATTGGTGCAATGACTTACAAATTGTTTAAAATAATTTATAACCAGTGCTTAATCCCATATTACTGGGAAAACAATTAAAGCTTCAGGTACATTTGGTCACCTGATGGGCCATTTAGACATTTTATAAAGGGGTTTCATTCAATTGTTATTTTCAGTGCATGTTTTCTAGTTGTATAAAAGCTTTCCCATGCAAGAGGGGTGATGTTGTAACAGTAGATTATTATGCTACAGTGTATTTTTACCGGGTAAAAAAGCTTTTTATGGCTTACATCTTCTAGAAACAGCAAAGAAGGACTGTTCTTGCCATCCACACTACAACAAAACTTCAGGACCTTGGACTTTGAGTTCATAGTCTCACAATTGAGAAGGGTCCCTCCACACTTTTGGAGCTGTGCACCCATTGGAACCCTAGAGGTAAACCTAACCAGGGAAATTTCTCCCAAGAAGAAGATGGCATCTTTGATGTGAACAGCTTTTTCAAATTCACAGATTAAGACTTCTACTATCATGAAATTCTTATCTTTGAATTTTTTTTTCTTATGGGGTGTACTTTTATTTGTGAAGGATTTTGCAGCCAGCCTTATACATGGGTAACCTTGTACTTTAATAGATAAAATATGAAGGCCCAATGTAGGTAAGAAACTTTAATCATACATGCACTGCCTCATAATCAGTCAAAAACAAAACATTGGTTTACTCCTCTTAACCCACATCATGGGTTAAAGAGAACATTGCCAGAAGGCCTTCACTTTTCTAAAAGGGCATCCTTTGTTAGGTCTTTTTTCCATGGTTTAAAGTAAAGAAGCAAAGATAAGAAATGTAACCCTCATGATAGGTTCTATAGCAAATTCTACTGTAAAGGCTACAGTTACACAACAGACTTTAAATTCTCTTGTGAACGTTATGCTAAATAATATAATTGGCTAAACAAAAAGTACCTATGCAGCTGCTGGCACTTATGGCCTATGGAGAAATACATCAAATGAAGATTATAGAAATTCAGTGGTAGAGAATTAATGAAGAGATCACTTAGTTAGGTAAGTAAATTCTTTATCCAGCTCATTCTTTGATCTATTTGATGTTAGGAGGTTTGGTTTATGGGAACCTTGGGTAAGGAGCATACTCCAAACTCTTGGTACTATCCTCCCAATAGTCATAATAATAGTCTCCCTGGTGCATTGTATTCTCTCAAAGGTTTTTAATGCTTGCATTTGGCCATCTCCAGAATGTCATACAGTCTCTCTTCAACTGGAATAACAGGAACTGAAAGAAATGTGCAACCATGAGGACACCATAACCTATAAATGATGTGCTGAGATTGGAAACTCAAAATCATGGTAACTGAGAGTGATGCTAAGGCCCTAAATTTTGGTCATGCTCTCACCTAAGTGAAAAATGGGGAAATTTTTAAACAAAATTCTGGGAGGCCATTGTTTTGGACTAAGCTCATGCACTAGGCCACAACAAACCAAACTGAACAAAAATGGAGTCACTCATGCTGACTTTAAGGAAACACATAGATTCTAAAACAGACCAGGTTTTGTTTTTTCTCCTGCAAATCTCTATGACAAACATTTCTGACAAAATAGGTATCAACCTCCTGAAGTTCCCATTAAATCTTTTTTTTTTTTTTTTGAGATGGAGTCTCACTCTGTTGCCCAGGCTGGAGTGCAATGGTGCAATCTCCACCTCCTGGGTTCAAGTGATTCTCCTGCCTCAGCCTCCTGAGTAGCTGGAATTATAGGTGCCCACCACCATGCCCAGCTAATTTTTGTAATTTTAGTAGAGATAGGGTTTCACCATGTTAGTCAGGCTGGTCTCAAACTCCTGACCTCAAGTGATCCACTTGCCTCAGCCTCCCAAAGTGCTGGGATTACAGGCATGAGCCACTGCGCCCGGCTGCCCATTAAATCTTTTAACCGAATCCATTTCCTCTAGCATAGAGACCATTGAGCTTCAGATGACTGTGCAACAAGGTTTCAGCCAGTTCCAGGTGAAGGCACCACCCCTGGCCATCAGGAAGCCACCCTGCCTCCACTAGACAGAGTAAGGTGAGAGTTCCATGATCTCCAACAGGTAGGGACTATGCCCCAAGTCAGCATGAAGCAGTTAGAGAAGAAAGACCTTCAGTGCCTCTGCCTCCCATGAAGACCTATGGGGATCATTTCTCTCAGCGGGGAGATGAGGCAGGAGAATAGGGTCTGGAGGCAGGGAACCTAAGGTTGTTTCACACCTGACTTCCTAGAACTAATTTGAAAGGAAAACCCTAACTTTCCATGCCTAAGTAACAAAAGTACCAGAGGCTACTCCCTTTGACGTTTTCTGCAGGACAGATGGGAAACTGGCTGTTCTAACAACAAATCAGACTGATTGCGGGTTAAATATTCATTTGCAACTTTGTAACTTCACTCCACAACCAATCAGACTGACTGCAGGCCGAGTCTTCGTTTGCATGGAAGTAGAACTTTGTAATTTCATCCTAGCCTCTGATTGGTTGCTTTGTGCAACCAATCAGATGTTTGCACAGGAGTGTGACCTTTGTAACTTCACTTCAGCCTGTGGTTCATGCTGTCCGCATCCAATCTGAGACATGAGGTGAACATAAAGTGGCCAATAGGAAACTTCTAGGGGGTATTTGGACCCAAGAAGATTCTGTATCCGAGCCCTTGAGCCCCTGCTTGGGTCTGCTCCCACACAGCGGAGTGTACTTTTGTTTTCAATAAATCCCTGCTTTTGTCCTTTTGTTGCTTCATTCTTTCTTTGCTTTGCTGGGCGTTTTAATTCTTTGTTCAAAACACCAAGGACCTAGACAACTTGCAGTCACCACCCTCTCCTGGTGACAGCTCTTCCAGTCAAAATGATTGAAACATCATTTGCCTTTAAATATCCTATTCATTTGGCAAGCATAGAGTGGACGCCAACCATGTAAGAGACACGTTGGCTCTGGCGTGAAAATGTAGAAACGGTCTCTGCTAGCAAGGGGCAGATAGGTTCATGAGCGAGACCGGATTACAGAGCATAGCGAGTCAGATCACAGCTGGCAGGAGGAACAAGAAGGAAACTCACAAGACAATGCATGGCCAATCCTACACTCAAAGATGAGGCAAAGCTTCACTGGTATCTCAGTCCGTGCGTGCTGCTATAAAGGAATACCTGAGACTGGGTAATTTATAAAGAAAAGAGGTTGATTTAGCTCACAGTTTTGCAGGCTGTACAGAAAGCATGGCGCCAGGATCTGCTTCTGGGGAGGACTCAGGCTGCATCCACTCACAGCCTGAGGGGAAGAGGAGCTGGTGTACGCAGAAATCACATGGTGAGAAAGGAAGCAAGAGAGAAGAGGGAGGCATCAGGCTTTTTTTTTTAATCCTCTACATTTATTAATTAAAAATAATTTCAACTTTTATTTTAGACTTAGGGGGTACAAGTGTATGTTTTTTAATATGGATATTTGCATGATGCTGAGGTTTGGGGTATGGATGACAGATCACTGAAGCAGACTTTTTAACAACAGTTCTAGGGGGAGCTAATACTGTGAGAAGTCACTCATTATTGCAGGACATCACCAAACCACTCATGAGGTATCCACCCCATGACTCAAACACCTTCCATTAGGTCCCACCTCTAACACTGAGGATCGAATTTCAACATGAGGTTTGCAGGGTCAAATATTCAAACTCCAGCAACCAGAACGAACTGGAAGAAGTTACCGCTGCTCTCAGTCAAGCCCAGAATTCCTGTCCCATGCAGACTAAGCATTTTCACACAGATCTTTCTAAGTCCTTAGGTCATTAGAGGAGTAACATTCCCTCTGGCTGAAAGGGAGACATCACCAGGAGGTCCCTCAGCCTTTTGCACAACTGATTGTCCAGGAGCTCTGTCCTGTTCTGATAGGGGCTGAGCTGAACCCTAAGGCTCAGGATTCCGGGGAATAGCACCACCCAGCCGGACCTCCCCAGGGACCCCAGAATCTACAGTGACTCAGACCCCTGTACAACCTGGAGCTTGCACATCTATTTTTTTCCTCTCACTTATCTGTTCACTGGGTCAATCAGTCCTTCAACAAACATTTACTCAGCCATCACTGCTCACCAGGCACAGAATAAAAGCAACACACAGGACCAGAGTATGGGCCTTAGAGACCTGCCCGTCTACAGTGCAAGTTTCTACCAGGGACATGGGAACCCAGGTATTGAAAAGGGCCTTGTGGATGCTTTATAGAGATGAGAGATGGAACAACTTTGCATTTCCAGAGGGCCCTGGGCTGAGGCCACATCTGCAGACCTTCCTTGAAGTGAGCAAGCAAAGTTGCTTGCCTTGGCTTCATGCCTGACGATGGCCCCTCTGTGGAAGGCTGCATGCTTGGACTCAACCCTGAGTCTTGGGAACCACTAGAGGAAGAGTAACAGGAGGTGGAACCCAGGGATGGCCACATGCAACCTGTTTGTCCCACCTCATGCCTCTTCCCAGCTATGGGTCCATTCAGTCATTCACTTATTCCCATAAAACCATACACTACATTTCTTCAAATTTCTTATGGGCCTGAAGCCCCCTTAATGCTCACCAAACATTTAATGATTTTTTTTTACTCTCTCAGAAATTAAATATGAACATAACGATCGTCACTGTTAACTATTGTCCTCAAGAAAGTTCCACATTTCTCAGATAGATAAATTTTACATTATTACCACAAATGGGCCATACAATGCTTGCAAAGTGCCAAGAGAAGTCTCTGGTCTACAATGGTGCCAGCTCTCTCTGCATGTTGGCACTGAGGAATGAAGAAGGAGCTGGAAAATATGCAGGAGCAGACCCAGACAGAAGTCAACAGGCCAGGCTGATTGGAGGGGAATGTTGGCGGTCTGAAAAAAACCAATTCTTCACCCCCTACTTTTCTTCTTCCTTTCTCAATATTTAGTCTCCTTAAGGAGCAGTAGGAGGCCTAGGTGAATAAAACCAGACATAGTGAATGCAGTAGAAGGAGACAGTCTTTAGTCCCAAACTAGAAAGAGCTGATAGACAAGGTAGCGATCTCCCTTTCCCTGGAGGAAAGCAAGCAGATAACAGACAATAAACAGTTGATAAAGCTATAGAACAAATTTAAGCAAGAGAAGGACTTTAAGGGAGAGAAAAAAAAATAACATTGCCAAGGCATCAACTATCAGGAACTCAGCTTGGCCTTTGTATATTACCTTATTTAATACCCACAACAATGCTAAGGAATGTATTACCATCTGCATTCGCCTAAGAAGGAGATATAGCTCAGAATAAGTAACATATTCCAAAGTCACAAACTGGATGTGGTTCTGACTCCAAAGCCCATTCTCTTTTCATTATGGTCACTGGCTCCCTGGAGGGGCAGGAACAGTGCACAGGAGTCATTTGTGCATTCAGCAGATGTTTGCTGAGAGTGAAGCTACTATGCTGGTGTGAAGATACAAAAATGATTAAACCCCTGGATTATCACATGGAATTCCAAAATTTTGGAAGGCAGCCTTGATGCCTAGGGAACTAATTGCATAGATTGGAATCCATAGGCCGGCACCCCTCCTTCTGTTCCTGCCCATCTGCCCCAAGCCTGGGTGGCCTACATCAGTACAGGGGCGTCCAAAGAGCAGGTGCTGGCTCTCCTGTGCAATTCACCTCTCCCAGAAGCAGTATTTCCCAAAGTGCATTTCTCAGAAGAGTGGGGCTGTGTGTTTTAGACTAAGAGCGTTCTCTGGCCCCAGGTGTTTGGGAGGCCTGCAGGATGCACTCATTATTAGAGGATCACAGTGCGTGCTAAAGCAGGAGAGGGTCTGCCCCCACCCACGCTGGAGCTGGCTCACTCATTCACGTCTCAGAGGGCTCTGCTGCTCTCTACAGAACAAAGGCTTTCAGCCCAGCAGGTGGCTCATGCCTGTGATCCTAGCACTTTGGGAGGCCCAGGTGGGAGGATTGCTTGAGGCCAGGAGTTTAAGACCAGCCTGAGTAACATAGTAAGACCCCATCTCTACAAAAATTTTTTGTTAAAATTAGCAAGGCATGGTTGCACACGCCTTTAGTCCCAGCTACCCATGAGGGCTGAGGTGGGGGGATCACTTGAGCCCAGAAGGTTGAGGATGCAGTTGTCTGTGATTGAACCACTGCACTCCTGCCTGGATGACCCTTGCCCCAGCCTGGAGCAAGACCCTTTCTCTAAAAAGAAAAGCAAAAGAACAAAGGCTTTCAGAATCTTTTGGACTGTGGCCCAGAGTAAGGTATAGATTTTACACTGCAACTCTATACAGATACCACACACACACATACATACAGATGAAGCCAAAGTTCAGTGAAACAATACTTGCCTTTACTATGTGGGTTGCATTCTAACCGTTTCTATTTGGTTTTCTTGTAATACTGAGTCATGACCCTCTAAATCAATTTCATGGCTCCACAGTTTGGAAAACACTCATCTAGAATACAAGAAGTCACTTGAGCTGATTGCTAAACTAGCCCCACTCTGAATGAGAGGGTCGAAAAACTGACATGAAACTGTGAACCAGGAGCCTCAAATCCCAGCGTCACTGCTTTTGGGTTGTGTGATCTGAGTCAGTGGCTTCTCTTTCCTGAGTGAATGTGAAAACCTAATGGTATCATTTAGCATGGATGCATGCTAGAAATACACTGGAAATAGACGTCACTCAAGTGGCGTTCTCAAGGAAAATTTAACAAAGGGACTGTCTGAATCATGTGTGCAGGGTTAAAGCAAGGAAAAGGAGAGGGAGCGTTTACTAGAACCTGGAGTGAGAGCTGTGAGAGAAGGTGCCCCATAGGACACAGGCAGAGAAGAAGCTTGGTGGTAAATACCCTGACCCCTTTTCCTTCCTCCCTGCAATCTCCTATTAATATTTCCATTAACCAACACCAACCAGAAGCCAGAGGGCAGAGGGGTCCATTGTTGAAATCCTTACAGGTCAGCTTCCTGGCACCCCAGCAGAATGAAGAGTGGAAAGTGGATCAGGAGGGCTGAATGGAGAAGAGTCCTCACCCCAGTGATGACAGCATAGTGAGGGACAGTGTTTACTGTGCTGCCTCCCAACAGCCAAGTGCCATTCAGAAAAGTGGTGCCCTCACTCCTACAGCCCTTACAGTTTGGAAGTGTTTCCCATCCATTTTCTTTTTTAAATTTTTCTCTTCTTTCTTTCTTTCTCTCCTTCCTTCCTTCCTTCTTTCTGTCTTTCTCTCTCTCTTTCTTCTTTCTCTCTTTTTTTTTTTTTTTTGACTGGGTCTCACTTTGTTGCTGAGGCCAGAGTACAGTGGTGCAATCTTGGCCGACTGCAACATCTGCCTTCCGGGTTCAAGCTATTCTCATGCCTCAGTCTCCAAAATAGCTGGGTTTACAGGTGTGCACCA
Source organism: Homo sapiens (assembly GCF_000001405.40). Classification (NCBI taxonomy): domain Eukaryota; kingdom Metazoa; phylum Chordata; class Mammalia; order Primates; family Hominidae; genus Homo; species Homo sapiens. The sequence goes on from NC_000019.10 coordinate 28,458,017, forward strand.
CCACACCTGGCTACAATGATGCCATTGCACTCCAGTCTGCGTGACAGAGCAGCCTTGTCTCAACAAATAAATAAATAAATAAATAGGAAGAGCCTCAGGGTTGGCACTACAAGGTGTAGACATGGATCAGGCTGAGGGTGGAGAGTCCTAAGGGAAGGCATGGGCCCCTGACATCTGGAAACTGGTCTGACACTGACAGCGAGACCATGTTCTTTATGCTAGACATACCTGATCTCACAGAACACCTACATCAAGTGAGGTCACTAGACAAAAACAAAATCACTGTGCAGCCCTCCTAAAAACCACCACTCTTGGTAAAAAATGAGTGACTGCTACTTCTTTACCAATTACAGCCTTGTCCTCGCTCTAGTCTGCCCTTCCTGTCTGTAACATTTATCAAGATACCAAACTACAACATCCTTCTCGCTTTCTGTCAGTACCCAATCCATGGCAAACGTCACCTTCTTACACCCTCCTCAACATTACCCAACCAAAGCCCAGACTCTAAAGCTTTCATCAATATCTTCTTCCTGAGATGCCCCACTACTTTTCTGTGGAGAGCATCCTTCTTCACCATATCAAGTAATAAACCCAGCTGGCCAACTGCAGGTGTGTTCCTGGTGGTCTGTGACTGGAAGACAGTGACATTCAGAAATAAGGGAGTTCAGAACATGTTGCCCCCAGATCTGCTGCTGTAGAATATTGACTATTTTGAGTTAAAAACGGATAAGAAAACAGCAGATGAAAGAAGACCACTCTGATCTGTTTCTTAAAAGCAAAAAATAATTCCCATGTGAAGAAGGCACTCTGTACCAGAAGCAAAGTCCCACTCCCATCAAGGATGGGGAATTGAGACCAAGAAAAATCTGCACATACAAACCTTGTTAGACTCACCCTTATCTTCCTGGCCACTTCTCCACCCAACTAACCATGTTAGCCCAAGCCCCTTTGCCTTGTCACATTTTCATAATGCACTACCCTTTGTCCAATTCACTATGTGTTTACTGTAACTGCCTTTTTGGGTCTTCATTTCCTTAATAAGGCCCCCGTGTCACATAAAACTTGTGTGAAATAAATGTGTATGTTTTCCTTTCGTTCATCTGTCTTATGTCAATGTAACTCGCAGGTGCAGCCAAAAATCCCTATGAGGGTAGAGGTGAAGTTGTGCCTCCCCTCCAACAGCAAGGATCCAGGGCAGGCCCATGGAGGGTTGGGATCTGGGGACGAGCAGAGGCAATAGCCCTGCTCTTCTGGGTAGTGGGGGATCCCAGGAAAGCCACCGAAGGCAAAGGTCCCAGGCCTGCTCTGGACAGGAAAACAGAGGGCTTGCCCAAACACCATAACAAATAGAACAAAGACCTTGCAGAGTCCAGAATTTACTTCAGAAAAGTTTATTTTAAGCAAAAAGAACATGATAAAACTACAGTTAAAAGAAAAAATCCAGCTGGGCATGGTGGCTCACGCCTATAATCACGGCACTTTAGGAGGCTAAGGGAGGATGACTGTTTGAGGCTAGGAGTTCAAGACCAGACTGGGCAACATAGTAAGACCCCATCTCTAAAAAAAATTTTTTTTTAATTAGCCAGATTGCTGATCTGTAGTCTCAGCTACTTGGGAGGCTGAAGTTGGAGGACTGTTTGAGCCTAGGAGGTTGAGACTTCAGTGAGCCGAGATTGCACCACTGCACTCCAGCCTGGGTGACAGAGCAAGACTGTCTAAAAACAACAACAACAACAACAAAAAAAAAACCATAAAAGAAAGAAAAAGAGAGAGAAAGGAAGCAAGGAAGGAAGGAAGATGTAAAAGAAAGAAAAAGAAAGAAAGAAAAGAAAAGGAAAGAAAAGAAAGAAGGAAAGAGAAAGAAAGAAAGAAAGAGAAATCGATCGAAAGAAAGAAACAAAAAAGAAAGAAAGAAATCCATCTAGTAGCTCTGTGTTGGGGGATTAAAGAGACAAATACTGGTGGCTGGGAGCCCAGTGAGGAAGCTGTGGGGAGGAAGTAAGTACATTGGGATGCTCAGAGACTACCCCAAGACCCTGCTTGGAACTTGGAGTCTTTCTCTCCTTCATTCTCTGCAAACTCAACGTATTCCTTTGAAGCAGAAGTGAAAGAACCTAAGCAGCTCCAGTTCTCAGAATTGCTTGCTGCTCCCAGAATGCAGCTGCCTGTCTCCTTGCTCCTGGCCAAAAAACACCGAGAGGAAGGCACTGGAGAGCAGATAATTCAGCTCCTCAGAGAAACACTACACACAGATGTCAGAAGAGAAAATTAACCCAGAGTTTGTGGACTAGATTCTCCTTCAGTCATACAAGATGCATGTCTAATTAATGGAAATGACTTTGGAGCAATGCCTTTGGTTTCATGAGGGGAAAATATTTGAGATGAAGGATTTGTCCAAATGTATTTTCTTGATGCCGCCTCCAAAGAACCTTGAAAAGGAAGGAAAACAAAATGCAAGCTAAGTGTCAGTGGTAACTGATTTGTAGCTTGCAATGTTTTATTAACAATATCTGGTTCATCTGCTGTTGGGGAGAGAAACTTTTAATTCTAACTGGTACCTAACCAGTCCTAAGCAGGCTCTCTGAATACCTTACTTAGCACCTATGAAAAATGTCTGAAGCTTGAAGTACAAAAGACTAAATAGTAATTTGGAAGTTTGCTGTGCTTTAGAGTGAAGCCCTTTCCTGTCCTGCACAGACAAAGATGTCTGCTGGGTTTCATGAATGTTGCATGGCACGTGTAATTACGCTAGATAATCACACCTCACCCAAGCCCCACACCTGATGATGAACAGGCTGTGGAAGGCTCTGTCTCCATCCTCATGAGGAATTATTCAGCACCTAGACTGTATTCCACTTCTGTTTGGGCCCATAAACATACATATTGATCAAAAGCTTTTGCAATTCTGACACCATCTACTCTAAAACACTATCTTATTTGTGGGTAATCAGCACCTCATGAATATTAGATTTCTCCCTTAATTTCGCTAGCGTGGCTTTCTTTTTGGCAGGGAAAGGTCAGGACTCAATCAGGTGAATGTTGCTAAGAAAAAAAAAAGCAGAACAAATTCCTGCTCTGGGCAGGAGGATGCTGTGGGTCAGGGATGAACGGGCCTCCTCCCTGTTTTTCTTCCGCCCTCTCCTCGGTTCCCAGCACTCCCCTGCCCCCACCACCCTGACCCAGCCTTCCTGTCTCATGGTCCAGAGATGGCTGCGTGGTTAAATGGCTCATCACTGAATAGAGGTAAAGAAGTATCAAAGGCATGAGTACCTGTATGTCAGAAGAACTCAGAAACAGATGATGGGCGAGTTGCCGGGAGATAGCTGAGCCTTGTACTGAGATCGTGAATGGAGATACATCTTCCTGCTCCCATCTACAGCTCGGAAGACCCAACCTTACATCCCAGTCCAGTCCTGGCTCCTCAAGACTCCAGACCCACGGAGAGGTGGCGCTGATGGTGAGACAGCCAGGAGGATGGTTTCTACAGTAATAACCCACAGAGTGCTCAGAACTCATTCCCCAAATCAGCCACTTTCAAATCAGAAACTAGAAAGAGGGAGATGGAATAAAAAATAAAGGAAGGTTGAGATAATCACACAGCTGGACCCTGGGAGGCAGTCCATGGGCTGGGCAGTATCTCAGTAAGGTTTAGGATCCAGGGTCACATCTGTGAGGCCTCCACCCCAGCCCCCCAACCTTCTATCCAGCCAGCCAGCCTTTAATTCATTTGGCTATCACTAAGTGAGCACCTACAATGTGCCAGACATGGGGCTAAGCACTAAAAGTGCAAAGACAAGCTGGACAGTGTCTAAACCTTTTAAATCCATTCATTCATCACTTCTTCAGGCGTGTACTGTCTCTACTAGGTAACAGATATTGCTAGCTGAATTTAAGGCAAAGGGCCAAACAGATGTGGTCACCATCCTTTCATAAAGCACAGTCTTCACGGGTGGACATATGTTTATTTTGTGTTTATTTGTTTGAAGATCAATTATAAATTGAATAAGTACTAGAGAAGCAATACACTGAGTTTTGTAGCAAGAAAAACAGGAAACACCAAATCTAGCCTGGTACCTTTGTGGAGCCTGCTCTGAGGAGGTGAGCTGAGGTGAGGAGTGAGGGACCAGGTCCAGGGGCTGAAAGAACATTCTAGGCAGCAGGGGCAACCAGGGGAGAAGACCCTGACTTAGGAAGCACTGAACGCATTCAAAGTGGCACTGCCATCCCTACACTTTGGGAGGCCAAGGCGGGTGGATCACCTGAGGTCAGGAGTTTGAGACCAGCCTGGCCAACATGGTGAAACCCTGTCTCTACTAAAAATACAAAAATGTGCTGGGCGTAGTGGTGCGTGCCCGTAATCCAGCTACTCAGGAGGCTGAGGCACAAGAAACGCTTGAACCCGGGAGGCGGAGGTTGCAGTGAGCTGAGATCACGCCACTGCACTCCAGCCTGGGCAACAAGAGTGAAACTCTTTCTGCAAAAACAAAACAAAACAGGACAAAAAGAAACACACAAAGTGACACTGCCAGAAGGCCAGGGGACTGGGCAGAGTAACAAGGGAAAGAGAGATGAAAGATGGGGTGGGAAGGCATAGGGAATGAGTAGGGGCTTTCCTTGGGGTCCAAAGACCCCACCAAGGGGTCCACAAATAGAATTCGGTGAGTCTGTGAAGGTGGATAAAAAGTGATTCTTTCTGTTTTTTTTTTGTTTTGTTTTGTTTTTTTGTTTTGAGACAGAGTCTCTCTCTGTTGCCCAGGCTGGAGTGCAGTGGCGTGATCTCGGCTCACTACAAGCTCCGCCTCCCGGATTCATGCCATTCTCCTGCCTCAGCCTCCTGAGTAGCTGGGACTACAGGCATCTGCCTCCACGCCTGGCTAATTTTTTTGTATTTTTAGTAGAGACGGGGTTTCACCATGTGAGCCAGGATGGTCTCAATCTCCTGACCTTGTGATCTGCCCGCCTCGGCCTTCCAAAGTGCTGGGATTACTGTGCCTGGCCAAAAGTTATTCTTTTGTGTTCACCAACCTCGAGCTGAAATTGAGCATGTCCCTAATAGTATTATTAGTACCTGGGACCTTGTCATCAATATAAGCCATAGAGGCCTCCATTTCACAGCACGGTTTTTGCAGATATCATGCTGTGTCATTTATACTGATCACAACGTTGGAATTATGATGCTTATCAGACCTGCTGCTATAATGTATTACTAGAAAAGCAAATCTGTTATTATATTACATTTTAATGTTAATAAGTATATTTCAATATAATTGATTTTGTTAATTCTGTGTATTTTACTACATGCATTTAAAAAATTGTTCAGAAACGGGGTCCACTGGCTTTGCCCAAAGGCATCTATGGTACAACAGAACTAAGGACCCCCAGCTAAAGCTCCCTGGAGGAGCTTGCAGTCTGGAGGAGAAGGCAATCTGGGGCCAGAATGAGCTGAACTATGAATGGGGCAGTGCCAGGGGCTCTGGAAGACCAAGGAGGCAATCCTTGCGCCACCTGGGATGGGTGTCAGTCATGTCCACAACGATGGTTAGAGGCATCTTCTCAGAGTGCATCCCACCCTGCCACCAGCCAAAGGCAGGCACAGCACAGGGAAGGCCACCAAGTCAGGCCCTGCCCAGCTGCTGTGACCTGGTCTGCTTCACCCCAGGAGGGGTGAGAGCAGCCTTCCCCAACCCTCTGCATCCCATCACCATGGAGACCAGGGCGCAGTCTAGCCAGAGGGAAGACAGTACTCTGTCCTTGTTATTTACTTACTCATATTCTCCCTCCTTCTCTTGTTCATTTACTCTCTCTCTCCTCTCTCATTCCCACTTTCTCTCCTCTTTGATTTTTTTCTCTGCCTCTTTTCCCCCTCTCTCTTCCCCTCGCCAACTTCCTCTCATCTCTATTCACTTCTGTGTTTTTCCTCTGCATTTATTCCACAATCCTTCACTTCTAACCTGCCACAGAGCCCCGAAGCATGAGGAACTGGGTGGGAACCCACAAATCTGATAGTCAAGGCTTCTCTCTGCCCTATTTTTAAGGTGGGAAAACAGGCCCGGAGAGTGGAGAACCACACCCTGTCTCTAGATGTGCCTAGCACATCCTAGTCCTAGCCCTGTGCTTTGGCCCCTGTGCCTGGAGAGGGTCTCAGCATGGCACGGGCCTCAAAGGCAGAGCTGGAAGGGCCTTGGCTTGCCTCCTCCTGGCAGCCCTCAGCAGTGTCTATGGGGTGGGGGGGTAAGCACCCTCTTCCTCATGCAGAATCCCTGCCTTGCCCACAGTAGAGCTGGTTCCCAAGCAGAAGAGCAGCAAACTGAATCCAAAGGCAGGGACCTTTGGAAGGCATTCTCTCCTCAGTGGAAATGAGCCTCTCTCTCTGCTCCACCTGCCTCCCCAGCACCTGCCCTGGGAAATAGAACCCCATCATCAGGGGAATGACAAAGAAGGAATGACGGGGTCCCTTGCCAACCTGCTGAGCTTGGCAAGGACCTCACAGCCTCTTCTTCCAGAAAAGACAATGACAGCAGGGAGGGGGAATGAGGTGACACTAATTCCTGTGGAGCCTGCCTGGGATGGGGAGGGCCAGGGCTGGGGGGTGACTTCCCAGGGTGAAGCTGGTGCCCCCAGCCCGACCCTCCCTCCCTCCTCTGTGCTTCTGAAGCGTTTTGCGCACTGGCTCGTCAGCACTGCAGCACTATCTGGTAGCTGCCAATTTACTTTATTATGACTTGTTGGAGCACGAGGCCTGGGAAAGCCCAGGCACTTGGTAAATTTCAGTTGAGGAAAGTGAAACTCAGTGAGCTTTAACACAAATATAAATGACTGTTGAAACATTTCTAAAGTTACAGAGTGAAGGGAGAAAGTGGCATAATTCATATCACACACCAAAGCATATGTCTAAACTGCTTTCTTTCCCTCCCAAGTCAGGAGAGGAGCAACGAAACGGGCAAATGGAATGTCAAAGTGTCTCCCCATTCGTGGCTGCCGGAAGGTGGCTGAGCATGATGGGCCAATCTTCATGAGATCACATAAGTGAGTCTCTGGCCAGGCCAGAGGGAAGTAACAGCCAAGAGCCCTGATGAATTAAAAAAATATATATATATATATATAAATATATAAATATAAATATATATAAATATAAATATATATATATATATATATATGAAGATTTGAATGGGGGCCCAAAGAGAAGGGGCCCTAACATGGGAGAGTGGAGGAACAGTGGGAGGGTTGAGGGGCCACCAAGCAGGAGCACTGGGGCTGCACAAAGACCTCTTCCAGCACTCCTCATGATGGGATCCCCCTGTCTCTCCAAAGCCCTCAGAGAAAGCGTATTTTGGGGTGAGCCACTGTCCATGGGAAGCAGGCGAAAGCCCACAGAGCACGTGTCTGAGCTGTGGCTGGAGTCAGAGGTGGGGCTGAGAGGATGCAGGGCAGGCACAGGAGGTGCTGGACAAGAATGTGTAAGTTATGAGTCAAAATGACTGGAACACTCTCCTGGCTCACTGCACCACCTCCTCCACTGCTCATGGGTTGAATGAGATGGGATCCCCCAGGAGAGGCCAGAGCCCCTGGGGCCCAGGTGCAGCTGAGGGGAAGGGGGCATCCAGCAGGCTTCCCTGACCAGCTGTCCATCTAGGCCCCTGGCCCTGCTGGCAGAGCTGGCTGCAGCCTGATGCCAGACTGGGTGAGGACATTATGCTAAGTGAGGTAAGTCAGGCACAGGAAATACTGCATGATCTCATTGAGATGTGGAGTCGACTGAGGTGTGGAGTCTGAAAAAGAAGAAGAAGAAGAGGAGGAGGAGGAAGAAGAGGAGGAAGAAAAAAAGAAGAGGAAGAAGTAGTAGAAGAAGAAGAACAAGAAGGAGAAGGAGAGAAGAAGGAAGAAGGAAGAAACAAGAATGAAGGAAGAAGGAAGAAACAGAATAGAAGAAAAGTGGCTCCCAGGGGTAGGGAAGGCAAGGAAATGGTGGGGAGATGTAGGTTAAAGAGTGCAAACTTGCAGTTATGTAGGATGAATAAGTCTGGGGATCTAATGTACAGCAAGAGGACTACACTTACTAATATTGTAGAGTATATTGAAAATTTACTGAAAGAGTTGATTTTAGGTGCTGTTAGTGTGTACACACTCAAGGAAACTATAGAAGGAGATGGATATGTTAAATTGGTCATCTGTAAATAATCACTTCACTATAAATATGTATATCAAAACATCTTGTTGTGCATCTTAAATTTACACAATTGAAAAAAAAAAAAGGCTGCCAGACCAAGACTCAGGGCCACTGCATTCCACCAGGGGGTGCTGTTTGACATCTGCCAACACCTTTCACAGCCTCCTCCGCCAAATATTTCAGAAACCAATTTCCAATAAAGCAAACACCCTACTCACCTGGCTGCAGAGTTGGAAAATATCTTGTTTCGTTGCAAATGAGTTTTACCATCTCCTCAGAGCTCTGAACTTAGCCATCATGCACAGTCTCTTAGTTGGGTCAGTGTCCCGGGATGGAATTTCCTGACCTTGTCACCGGTTCTTGGATCCACACCTTAGAGCAATTCATTACTGTTGGAACTGCCTGCATCTGGTTCTGGCCTCTCCTCTCAATTAAGGGAGAAACAAGACAGGAGGGAGGGCTGCAGGAAGCTGCTGTGCTGTGAGAAGCAGGTGCCCTTGGATGGCTTCTGCAAACTCCCCAGGTCCCAGTTTTCTCATTGGTGAAGAAACCAGAATGGGCAGACCAATAGCCTTACAGGCTTGCTCAGTGGCTATCCTGACAAAACAAAAGACCAAAACACAGGTTAGGAGGTGTTACCTAAAATGTACAGGAGGCCATTGATTTGGGCGGAGTTCCTGGCTGTGCATCTGGCCTGCGGTCACCCAGTACTCCGGGCTCTGACACACAGGCGGCAGCTCCTCCCTATGAAAGTGCCACCCAGGTTGGACATGTTTTTAAAAGCTGATCGTTAATGAGCTGGAAAGGAAAGGAATAGAAGCCATTATGATCACTCTAAGAAAGCATCTCTGATTCATGGATCATTTACTATTGATTATTGAAACCAATGCCATCGTGCACGCCCTGTGGCTGGTTTTAAAACCTCTATATCGTGGAGTTTGGGATTTATTTGGAAGCACTATAATAAGCAGCACATGACAATTACTTCCCTCAGTATTCCCTGTAATCAAGATAAATTATCCTGCTATTGATGTAAATGGGATATGAAAATCTATAGAGTCCTCCTGAGGAGAATAAACCCTACATTATGCTCACCTCATTTAACAGCAAAACCATTTTGGGGTCAATCAAAAATACATTCCCCCAAACTTTTATTGCCATCCATCCTTAGTCACCTCCAGAAACAATTAGCAAACAATACCAGTGAGGAAGCACTCAGCCTAGGGGCGCCTGTACTGCTGTTATTATATTCGCCTTATAGAGCCTCCATGTCCACAGACCTAGGGCATCCTTTGACACTCACAGGTGTCTTATCATAAATGTATTTACATAGGACACATATGTATTTAAAATTTGTTTTCCCCATTGCTAAACAACCTCTTATGAAAATTCAAAGTACGATTAATTATATATGAATTTTTTTATAAACAACAAATGGCCAGGCACAGTGGCTCACACCTCTAATCCCAGCACTTTGAGAGGCTGAGGCAGGTGGATCACCTGAGGTCAGGAGTTTGAGACCAGCCTGGCCAACATGGTGAAACCTCGTCTCTACTAAAAATACAAAGATTAACCAGGCATGATGGCTCATGCCTGTAGTCCCAGCTACTTGGGAGGCTGAGGCAGGAAGAATCGCTTGAACCTGGGAGGTGGAGGATGCAGTGAGATGAGGTTGTGCTATTGCACTCCAGCCTGGGTGACAGAGAGAGACTCCATCTCAAAAAAATAAAAATAAAAATATATAAACTCAATTTGCATTACTTCTCCTTCTCTGATTTTTGTCTCTTCTTTTCCATCAAGTGCTTGCCTTTTGAGCCAGCTTTCTGTGGCTGCTTTTCTTCTGCCAGAAAAGGTGCTGCCCTGAGCAGCTCTGTACTCTCTCTTTCTTTGATTTTCTCTGTTTTTCCTGTCCCTGAAACCCCATACTTTATTCATTCAGTGGGGATGCCACAGCCTTCTTTCCTAGGAATTCCTTTCAGTGCAGAACGCTTCTGGCAGTCTCAACTTCTTTTACGCACCTAACCTCTCTTTCTGAATTTGTTATTTAATATATTGTCCTTTTATTCAGCATCTTTACTATAAAACCTTCTTCTTTATAGCAAGACAAGCATAAAATCCTCTCTAAGCCATGTCTTTTCAAGCTATTTTATCTCAGTCTTAATTCTCCTAATCTCACCTGTTTAAATGAGGAGAGAGAAAAAGGAAGAGGAGGAGGAGGAAGATGAAGAGAAGGAGGGGAGAAGGAGGGGAGAAGGAGGAGAAAGACTCACAGTGACAATGATTTGACTATCACTGGATGTTAGGATTATGAGTGATTTATTTTACGGTCTTTATTTTTTCAGCATTTTGCAGACTGTCTGCAATGAACATGTACACTTTATTCCAGTTGCCCTAAAAAGCTGAGCCTACGACAAAAGCTTACAGGCTAAAGCTTTGTTGGAGGTGCAATCCCAAAGAAAGAAGCAGGAATGAGGAAGAAAGAGGGGCAGAGAAAAAGCAAAAACAAATACTGAGCAGTGCAATTCCAAGCCGGTCACAGTCTCACAACAAAACATAGCTGACTGCTCAGTCACTTAGGACCTCACCAGAGAGGCCACAAGGAGCTGTGAGCCACAGTCAGCCAAGGAGGGTCAGGAGGCACTGGCTGTCTCAGCCTCTCCTGGGCAAAGTCTGCACTGACTCCCCACACTGGCAGACCACGTGGCTCCACAGGAAAAGCCGGGCTGCAGGGGACCTGACCCAGCCATGCCCAGGTGCACCGTTCCTCCTGTCACTTAGCACCACACGTGGGGGCTCTTGGTCTGCAGAGCTGGTGGCAGCAGCGGAGGCAGTCAGGGCTCCTGGAACACAGACAGCTGAGCTATTGCTAGAGCTGCTCTGGCTGGAGGCAAGGCAAGTCTGCTGATCAAATGCTTTTATAGCTAAGAAAATAAGAATAGCTTGTTTTAAAATATTAGATTCCATTATAAAGTCTTGATCCTTTTAGCCTCAGCTTGCTGTAGGCTCATTCAAACCTTTTTATATCCCAGATCTACACTGGACACAGTCCTTTAAGACAGAGTCATAAACCACAAAGCCCACGGGGCCAGGCCAGGAACACGCACAGGAAAGTGAGCTGAGTGGAGGCTGCGGAAGTGCCGGCTGGGTGGAGGCGGAGCGCACACACCTCTAAGTCACGACTGCCTGGCTTCGGCCCACGGCTGTTACACCTTTTGACTTTGTTCCAAAATATTTTAAAATTGAAATTCACGACTTCTCTAAACGTGAGAAATCTCATTTTTCACTGTTGACAAGTGGACTTTTTTTCCCCAATATTTTGAGCTAAACAAAACATGTCAGCTCTCCACAGACAGTTTTTATTTGTCCACAAGCTTGTGACGTCTGCTAATAAAAAGACTATGGAAAACACTTCATTTTCCCAACCTCTGCATTGCCTCACATGATAGCTCATGTTTTCATGAAGGTTCCATGTGTAAGACACTGAGTGTTACACATGGAGTTCCTCATGTCGTTTTGGAGCAGCACTGTTACATAGGTAATATTATTAGTCCCATTTTATAGATGAGAAAACTGAGCCTCTGGAAGCTTAAGCATCTTGCTCAAGATCATTCGGATGGTGCATCGCTGGTGTGGACTTTGCACACCTTCAGGGGCCAGGCCTCCGTTGACTTTTCCACTGAAGATGTGCCCACACGTGTTAACCTCTCTGAAACTCACAACCCTGTCTAATTGCAGGCTGCTTGGCTATCACTATTCCGCCGATAAGGAACTTGAGACTCAGGGATGTAAAGTGACCCTCCAGAGGTTCCAAGCGTAAGAGGGGAGGCAGAATTCAAAGGCAGGCATGTGTGACTCCAGGCCCAGGAAGCCCCAGCCTGGGGATCCCCAGCCTGCTGAATTCACAGAGCTTCAGAGCGGTCCTGGGTGCTGGAGGCAGAACAGATGGAGATGGGCCCAGTACTCATGCTGGAGAAAGTCCTCTGGACACAACTTGCCAGTCTCATGCAGGTTTCCCTGGGGCACTCACTAAAAACAAGATTGGTTCTTCTGACATACCCTGAAGGTAGCCACTGCCAGGCAGCCTTCCCCAACTTATTTCCCCAGTGGCTTCATTTCCCAGCTTCCACACCCACCACTAACAGCCTTCCCCTCTGAGAACTAGACTCACTGAAAGCGCGGACTGCGTTTTAAGTGGCTGTGACTCCCCAGGGCTCATTTTACCTAACAAAGGAAGAGATAATCTGTGACACTGTGATATAATAAGAAATAGACATATATACATATATTTTTTAACCCCATGCCTCTTGCTTCTGGCACAGAGCTCTTAAGACCTTTGTAATTTCCTGAGCCATTGACTATCTAACACAGAGCTCCTAAATCCCTTGGAATTTCCTAGGTAACAGGAGTCTCTTTGGTTCTTATGAAGTGACTCTTGGTGGGCTCCTGGGTGGCCTCAGGATGGGGGCTGGTTGGCAGGGGAACCAACCATGTGATTAGGGGGTTGGAAGTTTCAGCCCCACTCCTTGATTTCTGGGAAGAGGATAGGAGGTGAAGGTTGAGTTGATCACCAGTGGCCAGTTGATTTAGTCAATCAGGCTTTTGGGCTGGATGTAGTGGCACACACTTGTAATTCTAGCACTTTGGGAAGCTGAGTGGGGAGGGCAGGATCCCTTGAGCTCAGGGGTCCAAGACCAGCCTGGACAACATAGTGAGACCCATGTCTCTACAAAAAAAATTTTTAAATAGCCAGATATGGTGATGTGGTGGTTCTAGCTACTGGGAAGGCCGAGCAGAGGGATCAACTGCTTGAGCCCAGAAGGTTGAGGCTGCAGTGAGCCATGACTGCACCACTGTACTCCAGCCTGGGGCACAGAGTGAGACACTGTCTCAAAAAAACCCCCAAATTATGCTTTTGTAATGAAGCCCTCCAAAAAATCCAAAAAGACAGTTTGGAAAGCTTCTGGTTGCTGTATGTGTGGAAGGTCCTTGAAGGGGGCACTGAAGCCCCCTGCCCTCCACACATCCTTGGCTGTATGCGACCCACCACCTGGTTGTTCATCTGCATTCTTCACCATATCCATTATTAATATAATAAACTGGTAAATGTAAGTGTTTCCTTGAGTTTTGGGAGCCATGCTAGCAAACTGTGGAACCCCAGTTAAAGCCAGTTGATCTAAAGTGTAGGTGATAACCTACTACCTGCAATTCTCGTCCAAAGTGGGGCAGTCATGTGGCACTGAGCCCTCATCCTGTGGGATCTGCCCTAACTTCAAGTAGATAGTGGCAGAATTGACTTGTAGGACATGCGGTTGGGATCCACTGAAAAAAAGTGTGGGAAAAGCCCACATATTTGCTGTGAAGTTTGGCTGAGTGGTTGTGGGAATAAAGAAAACACAATTTTATTGTCATCATCAAACTCATCAATTAGTAACATTTCTTAGCTTTTAAAACCCTTTGAAAGGCTGATAAAAGCTGTTGGTTCTCCCCTCAAAATAAGCACTTATTAAACCCAGTGCTCCATCTGATTTCGGAGACGTCCTGTGCCGCCTGAAGCCCATCCCTGCACTGAGGTTGAGAACTCCTGATGCAGTCGTGGTCCTTCTTCATCGATAAGTCACTTCCGGCCCACAGGCTTGTCCTCAGATCACTCATGAGTTTCTGGCAGGCCAAGGATTCCTGCTTCCTAAAGTTTATTTAGAGTTCATGGTAGACACAGACTAAAAACCTACTCAAACTGGCCTCAGAAAAGGGGAAGGGAGACATAGTTTCAGTGTGGAATGATGGAAAAGCTCTGGAAGTGGACGGTGGTGACAGCTGCATGACAACGTGAATGCACTTAAAGCTACTGGATTGTATGCATTAAAATAGTAAAAGTGGTAAATTTTGTGTTGCATATATATTACCACAATAAAAAAAATTCAAAAAGGTAAAATAAAAGGAAGAGTACATTTTAGGGGCTGGAGAGTACACCAGGGAAGCTGCTGGCTGCTGGACCTCAGGAGGTAACGAGAACATTGTCACACTAACCCCTGCCCCTCCCCTGTGGCTTCTCCCTGTCCACTCTTCCAGCTTAGGCCCACATCACAGCTCTCATGCTTTTATTCCCCTCCAGCAAGAGAAATATTTCCTCAGGCTGGGAGGCCACAGCTCATACCAAGACACAAACTCATTGGAGGAGGAATCTGATTGCTCCAAATTGGAGCTAACAATCCTGTCTTGGCAGCAGGCAAGAATCTGTTAATATAATCATGGCCACCAGAGAAGTGCCATCACAGGGGGAGGCAGAAGAAAGCAGTGTGGATGCACATCACAGAAACGAAGCCATGAGACGCACCAGAAGGCTACACGCAGAGCAGCACAGATAGAGCTGAACCGTCTATTACCGAGTAGAAAGAGGAAGAAACAGAAGATCTAGGTGGGAGCTTCTCCAGCTTGAATCACAGAGGAAATCACTAAGGGACCCTCTTAAAATGCAGGGACTGCTTCCACAGATCAGAAGCAGGGCCTAGGACTCTGCATTTCTAACAAGCTCCAGGCGAGGCTGCTGGGGCACACACCACACTTTGAGTAGCCAGGCTTTAGAGCCCAAGCTCAGCTTTTGTGTAAATCAAAAATGCATGCCGGAAGCAGCTCTACCTAGTTTACAAGGATGCATGCATTCTCCAGCACATTACCAAACACAAGATGAGAAGCAGGGAAGAGGTGAGGGTGTGGAAGTGCAATGAGAATACGGGAAAGAGAAATCTACAAAATGGGAGAGGGATCTTGCCCCATCGGCCAGTGAGAGCACGCTGAGAGCTGAGGGTGTGATTAACGTGACTCGTACCCACAGTCCACAGAAGGAGAAGGAAGGGCTCTCATGCGATGGAGCAACTTCCTGGACCCTGCTGGCTTGGCAGGTTTCCTGGGCCAGCCCCACCGGCTTCCTTAAGGGACATTTGAAATGGTGACTTAGCTTTCACCTATAAGCAGATGGCTTGGTGAGGGTGGTGAGATTTAAAATCCACTGCCCCTGAACTTCCCACACACTTCCCACACACAACTGCATTCAATGTGTCTTTCCAGGATATAGAAAAAATATTTGCTTAGATTTATGTTAACCATTTGATTTGCATGCACAACGCAAAAAAAAAAAATCAACATCAGTAATCAAGGAGGCTAATATGCAAATGTATCAAATCATCATCCCCAGAATTTTCTAATAAACAAAAGGCTGAGGAGCAACAGCCAGTGACGCTGGCAGAGCTGCAGGCGGGCCACAGCGAGGGGAGAGGGAGAGCCCCACAGCACAGCTCACGTGGCACAGAGCACATCACTAAATGGAAATGGTGTGATCCATTTCACCTGCCCCCAAAACACATGCTGCTATGGCTCAGCTGTGTCCACACCCAAATCTCACCTTGAGTTCTCATAATCCCCACATGTCAAGGGTGGGGCCAGGTGGAGATAATTGAATCCTGAGGGCAGTTTCCCCCATGCTGTTCTCAGGATGGTGAGTGAGTTTTCACGCGATCTTATGGCTTTTTTTTTTTTTATAAGGGGCTCTTCTCCCTTTGCTTGGCACTTCTTCCTGCCACCTTGTGAAGAAGGTGCCTGCTTCTCCTTCACCTTCTACCATGATTGTAAGTTTCCTGAGGCCTCCCCAGCCATGGTGAACTGTAAGTCAATTAAACCTCTTTCCCTTATAAATTACCCAGTCTCAGGCAGTTCTTTTCTTTATAGCAGTATGTAAATAGACTAATACACATGCTATCCAATAGATTAAAGAGACTGAAACACAAGTGTGTCCCCAAGACAGGAAGAGCTGGGAAAATAAAATACCTGACATGTGGCATGGTGCCAAGCGGAGGTCCCATGGTCTGCTTTCCCTCAAAAACTTTATTCCATCTCTGTTTCTCCACTTTCACCCTATTACCTGGAGAGTGGAAAAAATGCTCCTTCAAACAAATCACTCAAACCAAGGAACAAGTTTTAGCTCATGGAGTCTCACTGATATTGAAATATGGGCCTATAGTTTGAATTGCTTACAACACACTGATTAACTCAGGACTAAAATGATTCATCATACTGTTGGTGAACTTAGCAGCTTAGCTTCTGTGTGTAGTAACTAGATTGGCACTTACTGAGCACCTGCTGTATGCTGGGCAGTGTACTAGGCACTGCAACTGAGGAAAAAAAGTATTTTTTTTTTGAGACAGAGTCTCACTCTGTCACCCAGGCTGGAGTGCAGTGGCGTGATCTCAGCTCACTGGAAACTCTGCCTCCGGTTCATAGCTGGGACTACAGGTGTGTGCCACCACGCCTGGATAATTTTTTGTATTTTTAGTAGAGATGGAGTTACACCGTGTTAGCCAGGATGGTCTCAATCTCCTGACCTTGTGATTCACCTGCCTCGGCCTCCCAAAGTGCTGGGATTACAGGCGTGAGCCACCGCACCCAGCCGGAAAAAAAAGTTTTAAAGCCTGGACAACATGGCAAAACCTCATCTCTACAAAATATACAAAAATCAGCCAGATGGGGTGGTGCACGTGCCTCTGGTCCCAGCTACTCAGGAGACTGAGGTAGGAGGATCGTTTGAGCATGGGAGGTCGAGGCTGCAGTGAGCGATGATCACGCCACTGCACTCCAGCCTGCATGACAGACCTTGTCTCACAAAAACTAAACAAAAACATAAACAACACGGTCTTAGATGTGGGCATTGTCTATCATGTGCCACCCACCTATCTATCTAGAGAGACAAGACTAACATATACAGAATAGATTAGAGCAACAAATTGTGTTCCTATACGTCCAGTGGATGGACTTCATGCTTCAGGCATGGCTGGATCCAGGGATGCAAACAATGTCACCAAGACACTGCCGCCCACCCCCTGCTCCCTCAGAGAAGCTTCCTAGGCTTGAAGCTGTCATAGAAGGAAGCAGCCAGGAAGGAGAAGCAAAAAGAAGCGCTGGCAGGCCCCGGCTGGAAGATAGTGAGATGGGGGAGAAAACACAGAGCCCTTCTTTCTCTTGTGTCTCCATCAGTCCCTACATCAATTCTGCTTGGCTCTCTGGGTCACCTGCTCCTCCTGCACACACTAAGCACTGGGCAAGACTATGGCACTCTGGTTGGTCTTTCTGAATCCTGGACCCTTCCCAGAAGGGGAAGGGAGCTGCCTAATGGTCAGGTTCAACAAAGTCACATGGAGGGGCAGAGCACAAAGGTCACTAGAGAAGAATCTGCTGGGCAGACAAGCAACACAATATGATTGAGAATGCAACAATATCACACTGGAGACATCACCATGGGTTGAAATAAATTAGGCGAGAGTGGAGCGTTTCTAAAAATGCTTGCTGTAGACTGAATGTTTCTGTCTCCCCAAAATTCATAGGTTGAAACCTAATCCCCACTGTGATGGAAGCAAGAGGTGGAAACTTTGAGAGGTGATGAGGTCATGGGGCAGAGCCCTTATGATTGGGATCAGTGCCCTTATACACAAGGCCCTGGGAGAGCTTCCTCGTCCTGTTCTGCCACGTGAGGACACAGCAAGAAGCCGCCATCTGTGAAGCAGGAAGCAGCCCTCACAGACACCAAATCTGCCGGCCCCTTGACCTTGGAGTTTCCAGCTTCCAGAACTGCGAGAAATAAATGTCTGTGGTTTGTAGGTCACCCAGTCTGTGGGATTTCATAATAGCAGCCCAAGTGGACTAAGAGAGTGGTAAAATTAAACACAGCAATTACACACATTTGGGGTCTCCCATATGACAGGCAAGTATTCTTTGTTATCAAAATCCAAAATCCAAGACTCAAGGGCTGCAGGAGCCATCTCTGCCCATCCCCCACGTTCATCTTTTGGCATCTGTCCCCCTCCTCCCATGGGGCTTACTTCTATTTTTATTATTTCTGGCTCTTACCTCAGGGCCCTTGCACTTGCTGTTCCACTTGCCAGGAATTCTCTTCCCTGCTTGTCTTAAAACTGATTCTTCTCATCCTTCAGTGTCCATAAGAAGTGTGGCTTCCTTAGGGAGTGTTTCTCCTTCCACCCTTGATGAGCTGGTTGCCCCCCTCCCTCACTCACTACTGAGTCCCCAGGGTGGGGAACGCATCTGTACTGACCATTACTGCACCCCATTGCATAGTCCTAATGCACAGTAGAAACTTGATAAATGTTTCCTTCCTTCATTCAACAAATATTTACTGAGCACTGACGGTGTGCCAGGCATGACAACAAGTGTTTAAAATACATCAGTGCTCAAAACAGCCAAGATCCTCTACTCTCAAAAAGTGTAAATATTTTTTTCAAATCAATGACCGAGCCCGCTGACCAGAACCCCAGACACTGAGTAGCTAAGCAGAAAGCAGCTGCAAGGGCAATGCAGGTGAAGGGAAGAACAAGCCGATGGCCCAGAAGGCAGGATGAGAATCCGAGATCCACTCTCCATGATCTGCCATGAGTTCCACCAGAGGCCTGGCCATGCCTTGGTTTCCCCCAGCCCACAGCCTGCAAATAGCTCCTCGAAACCCTTGGGGTGTTATGGCCCCTGCTCATCCTCCTGAGGGCACAGGCAGCGAACTGAGAACCCCTGTGAATAGCACTCTGGAAAAGTCAAGTGCCCTCCACCTGCTGAATCACACTTGACTTTTGCTAAAATCAAGACAATTACAAGATTGTTCCTGATCCTATTTAGTACGGCTGGATGGCCCTTGAGCCAAATTAGAGGGAGGATGGGCCTGGAATGAGAGAGGATGAGATAGGTTCCATGAAGCTCCCATAAGAATTTCACTCTTGAGGCGATGCCACAGCCCTGGCAGGCTGCACAGAATAAAAGTCCACCTTGGTTAGATGCTTCACCTGTTTCTAAAGGAAACTGTACTCCATCATTGTTCAGGAACTTAAAGCATTCATTTAAAAAGTAATAGCAAACACTCAGTAAAAGCACACTTTGACCACCCACTCTTCAGACCAGGGCCCCACCCGTTTCAGAAATAACCATTCTTACCAAATTAGTGCATGCCTCTTCCAGAATTTTCTATGCATTTACATACACATGTATTGTTTAATTTTTTTCTTGGTTTTGTTTTATATAAATGAGTTATATTGTCATTTCGGTTCAAAAGCTTTTCTTCCTCTACATTACATTCTATCTTGAAAGTCTTATTAGTACATATATATGCTTTTTTTTAATTTTTAGAAATGGGATCTCGCTTTGTCACCCAAGCTGGAGTGCAGTGGTGTGATCATAGCTCACTGCAGCTTTGAACTGCTGGGCTCAAGCGATTCTTCCACCTCAGCCTCCTGAGTAGCTGGGACTACAGGCGAGCACCAACACACCTGGCTAACTTTTTAAAATTATTTTTTGTAGAGACAGGGTCTCAGCTCGCTATGTTGCTCAGGCTGGTCTCGAACTCCTGGCCTCAAGCAATCCTCCCACCTCGGCCTCTCAAAGCACTAGATTATAGGTGTGAGCCACACTGCTCAGCCTGTCTATTCTTGTCAGCTTGTATGTAGTACTCCACAGTAACTTTGTCATTATTTATTCAGCATTAAATCATTATCTATTCCACTGTTAATAAACATTTAGCTTGTTTTCAGTTTTTCCAGATTCCACATAATGCTGTGATGGAGAGCCCTGTTCACACCTTCTCCCTAAGGTACTGCTGAGTGTCTTCCTAGAGCAGATATCTACAAGTGAAATCACTAGTTCACGGAGCACACACAGTTATTTTAACGTATGCTACCAAGCTCCCCCATCGTGGCTGGATTCCCCCTCCCACAGCCGGGCATGAGCATGTTTATCCCTCCCCTTAATGTTTATAGGGTCCTCTTTTTTTCTCCAACCTAATTGATGTTTTTCCCTAAATCCCATCAGGCCTAGTATGACCATCAAATGCAGGGTGCCATTGGACAGCCCTGAGTAAGAACTGATTGCCAAGTAAAGGAAATCCTTAGACTGAATAGAAGAATTATCCTTCAATATTCCAAGTTTTTTCTCCAGGATCCATGACATGCTCATGGTCCATCCAGAAAAGACATCCAATGTAGAAGACAGAGAGCTGGAGTAAGAGGAAGAAACAGAAGCAAAAACACTGGGAGAGCACACTGGCTTTGGGCCTTAGAACAGCGTGTGGCCTTGAGCATGGCTCTCCAACACTATGCATCCTTGTGTCCCATGTCTGAAACCGTCCCTACCTCATACACTTACCATAAGACTTGAAGAAAATTAAAAATGCCAAAAATACCATACTGAGCTGCTGTCGAGGTTGTCGACTGCCTTAAACAAGAGTTCTTAAGCACAGTGCAAACCCCTTTTTAGGGATGACTATTTCCACCAAAAATGATTGAGGAAATCCTTCCCCATCTCATCAACACAGGATGGAACTCAAAGTCATGCCTAGGCAAAGGATATTTGGTCACAGAGCAGAGCTGAGCTGCAGCCTCCCACGAGCATTAATGATTAAGTGACCAGCTAGTTGCTTTTTACACACTCCCCTGGAGGGCAGTGGGGCATCTCTGGACATGGCACTGATGGAAACCAAGCCCCAGGTGAATGTAGAGGAGTGGATCTCAGTGTTGGCGGCGCACTGGGATCACTGCGGGGAGCTTCATAAAAAAAGGATGCCCAGAGATCCAGATTTAATTGGTCTTAGAGGTGACGTGGAGGTGAGATTTTGAAAAGCTCCCCCAGTGATTGTGAAATGCAGCGAGGTTAAGAACCACTGCCTTAGGGCAGTTACAGATATCAATTCTGACCATGCCCTTCAACTAAGAAGAAGAGCCGGGATCTGTATATTTCCTTTTTTTTGCAATTTCTTACTGTAAAAATTTTTTTAAAAGGAGAAAAAGTAGTGTCCTAACACAAGAGTCTCAGAATTGAGAACGTGTGAGACAAAGATAGCGTGAGACCAAGAGGAACAGTGGCAATACTTGAACGAAACAGCAGAAGACAATGGTGAACCATGCCAGGCTAACTGCCTCCATTACACCCTTAGTAAAAAGGAAGGGGATGTTGTAGTTTGCTAGGCATAATTATATGTGACAATTTTGAAGTAGGGTTTAATATTTGACTTTAATAATTCTCAGTGAATTCCTTGTGTGTCATCAGAGATTAGAGTTCAAGGAGGCTGAGGCTACTGGAATTTGCAGGGCAGAGAAGCAGAAAGGAGAAACATACACCAAGAAAGGATTCCTCAAGTCTGTTGCTGAACAGTAAATTTCACTTTTGCGGAAAAAAAAAAAAAAAAAAAAAAACTCCATAAAACTAGGCATAGAGTGACCAGAGAACTATAAGTTTGACCATTCCTAGAGCTCACTCAGGGCTACAGAACCTTCAGGCTCCAACCAGGTGGGGTGGAGAGTCTTTGTTAATATCCAAGGCATTCAGTTAAGAGCCCAGAAGGATTCTGCAGTAGTGGCAGAAATAAGCTTGCCTGGGGAAAAGGCTGCTGTAAACGCAAGCCAGGGTAGCTTCACCAGTCCCAGAGGAATCCAAGTAATCCCCAGGGAGCTCAAGCTCAGGCACTTGATTGCCTGGACTAAGTCAAACACCCTTTGAAGCAAGACAACTAAATCCAGCAATCAACAATGTAGATTCACCACATCCAGGGTTTCATGCAGAAATTACTATACATAGGTAGTAGATATGTAAAATGACAAACATCATAAAATGTGAATTGCAGAATCAAGGTGGTAGGTATATGTCTTAAATTTTTTTTTATAATAAAATGTAGGACTGGGTGCTGTGGCTCACACCTGTAATTCCAGCACTTTGGGAGGCCGAGGTGGGCAGATCATGAGGTCAGGAGATTGAGACAATGCTGGCTAACATAGTGAAACCCCATCTCTACTAAAAATACAAAAAATGAGCTGGGTGTGGTGGCAGGCGCCTGTAATGCCAGCTACTCATGAAGCTGAGGCAGGAGAATCAATTGAACTGGGGAGGCGGAGGTTGCAGTGAGCCAAGATCGTACCACTGCACTCCAGCCTAGGTGACAGAGTGAGACTCCATCTCAAAAAATAAAAAGTAAAAAAGTAGGAAAAACTACTACATAGGCATATAAAAGAGAAATATAACTAAAATAACTACAATAAAAGTTATTCAATAAAAACAGACTCAGCAATGACAGAGCCAATAGAGACAAGCACATAAATCAGCTACTATCTGTGCACATGTCCAGAAGCCATGTTAAGCAGAACTTGTTTTAAGTTGTTTATAATTTAAATTTGTGGATACATATTTTACTTTTTTTTTTTTTTTTTGAGATGGAGTTTTGCTCTTGTTGCCCAGGCTGGAGTGCAGTGATGCAATCTCAGCTCACTGCTGCCTCTGCCTCCCAGGCTCAAGTGATTCTCCTGCCTCAGCCTCCTGAGTAGCTGGGATTATAGGTGTGCGCCACCATGCCTGGCTAATTTTTGTATTTTTAGTAGAGACCGGGTTTCACCATGTTGGGCAGGCTTGTCTCGAACTCCCGACCTCAGATGATCTGCCAGTCTCAGCCTCCCAGAGTGCTGGGATTTCAGATAAGCCACCACACTCGGCCCATATTTTACTTTTCTTAGGGACAGGGTCACCCAGGTGGGAATGCAGTGGCACAATCATGGCTCACTGCAGCCTCAACCTCCTGCTCAAGCCATCCTCTTGCCTCAGCCTCCCAAGTAGCTGGGACTACAGGCGCAGGCCACCCTACCCAGCTAATTTTTAAAAAAAATCTTTCAGAGATGGGATCTCACTGTGTTGCCCAGGTTGGTCTTGAACTCCTGGGGTCAAGTGATCCTTTTGCCTTGGCTTCTCAAAGTTTTGGGATTATAGGCATGAGCCACCATGCCTGGCCAAGAAGAACTTTTTAAATACTTTTTTCTAAAAGAAAAAAAATGATTACAAAGCAAACAGAAATACTCTAACATTACCAATTGCAGGGGAGAGAGTCAAAGTACAAAAATGATTCACAAAGCAGAAGAAAATGAAAGTGATAAGCACATGAGGAAAATAATCAACCACACTAACATAAAACATTGTAAGTAGGATAATATCAGATTAGTCAAGATTTTAAAATTCTGTGTTCAGTGCTGGTGACCATGTAAGAAGACACTGATCCACAGCTAGTTGAAGGTCCATTCTGGGTTCCTGTTTCCTGGAAAGCAATGCTTAGTGGGACGGGTAACTTCCTCATGTGACACAGCTGGTAGCAGTGCTGGCTGGCTGTGTTCCATGTCTAAAGTCGCAGAGGCTACACCAGGCTGGCACCGTGGTCTACAAACCTGCCACTCTCTATCACCTTTTTATTTATAGAGATGAGATGGGTCACTCTCAGACAAAAATAAGAGGCACAGTTGTGGGCCACGACAGAGCAGCAAGCAGGGAAGGTAGGTCCCCAGATAGCGGCCTGAGAGGAAGGACATACATGTGTAGTGGCCCTAGCTTCACTCAGACGCTGTGTATAAGTTGGGGGCAGAGAAAGGTGTGTGGCAGAGGAAGGCCCAGCTGCAGTGTGTTCCCCCAGGCAGCTCTGCGGGTTGAGGACACAGCCAGGTCAGTCCTTTCTGCTCCCACATCTCTCCCTAATCAAACCTGTTACTGGGGAACCTCAGTGACAGGCTGGGTTCTAGGTGCATCTGGGGACTGCCAAACATAACATGGCCTACCACTTGGGAGGAATGCAATATCTGATAGTCCAGTGTTTCCAAAGGTTGGTAACTGAAACAGAGAAGTTAAATAATTTGCCCAAGGCCACACAGCTGAGTCAAGGAAGTGGGGCTTGTTAGGCATTTCGGCCACCTGCAATCCACCTTCCAAATTGCATCCCTATCTTTGTGTCTCTTCTACTATTATTTACCTTAAACAGTTTTAACTTGACTTTAAGTAAAACTACTTTCTAAAGATTTGGCTCAATAAAAAGGTTATAAGTTTTATGAAAAAAAATTAAGTTATAGTGATAGAGGTAGGAGGCAGCCAAATGCCTAGACAGATAGAGAAGGGTCCCCAGTGAAACCCACCTTCAAGTCTAAAACAGGCTAAGGACTGAAAGACGGGACCGCTGGTTTTGGATGAAACCCGTGACCCAGAAGGAGAACTTCTGCCTCCGTTTGCCTGCCCTTTCCTGATTGATTCTTTCTGAATAATGCCTTTCAACCAATCAAATGTTGCCTTTTCCGATACTACCTATGGCTTGCCTGGGCATGCCCACCTGTGTTCTAGGAGAATGGGTGGAGCCACCAGGAATTCACGTCTTATGCAGGGGAGGAGCCTGGGCCTCTTCACCTCCTGTGCAGCAGCCCTGGCATTCAACTGTGAAGGGAAAACCTGCTTGGAGAGCCCCTGTCTTTGCTGGGAGCTTTCCTTTTGCTTAATAAATTCCACCCTCCTCACCCTTCAATGTGTCTGTGTGACTCATTTTTTTCTGGTCATGAGACAAGAACCTGGATTTAGCTGAATGAGGGAGCAAAAATCCTAAAAAAAAAAAAAATCATAGATGTATATTTTGTATATATTTAAATTCACTTTAAAGTAAATATATAACTATTAAAATGTGTAAAAAAATCATCACACACACAACCAGCAGTAATTTTTGACACACTTAGGGGGCAAGGGCTCCCACGACCTCTGAACTATCCTGTGGGTATAGCTGCAGGGCTGTTTGTTCACACATGTGATGCGTGGCCTCTACTTGTTCACAAGAAACACAGTGAGAGGCAGACAATTTGCTCACTGTCAGCCTCAACTGGAAGAAGGCTCACTGCTGGATGCTCCTGTGTGGAAGTTTCCCCTCTCTCCAGGCAGGCAGGCAACAGATCCCAGCCCAACAGACAGCCCCCATGAGGCTCCAATGCACCCTCGGCCACAGTATTGAAGGATGCTGTTTGGACCAGGGCCTCTAATTTCCCCTTCATGAGATGTGCCGGGTTTATGATGTCTCTTTCCCAGCCCCTTGACTTCCAAGCACTGCCCAAGGACCCCAACCTCCACCTCTCTGTTTTCTGCTTTTCAGAGTGAGAACTGTTCGCCCCTGATGGTGAAGTCTAGTGACTGATCCAGAGGCTGCTTTCTGCAACCCTGCTGGGTGCTCAGATGTCCCTTCAGTTGTGTCCTTGTCTAAGCTGGAGACTAAAAAGCGGGACGAAGAGAGTCTTCCTCTCTCTCCTTTTTGTCCTCTCTATCCCCTCTGCTTCCTCTCTCCCCTCCTTCTCCTTTCTCTTCCCTCTGCCCTCTTCTCTCTCCTCTTTCTCTCACTCCAGTGTGTCTTAGGCCTATTTCCCAAATAAGAGTACCTGAAAGATGGCTGCTAGCATCTCAGGGCTGTCTGCATTATTCATTCTTCTACTCCCAACCCTCTATTTATAACCAAGCCTTCTGGCATCTGAAATAATGAAAACTATCCTATTAGCAGCTTTCCGATGGTCTAGACTGCTCTTTGGAACATCCCAAACACTTTTGTATTCAAGTTTCTCTTCTGACTACAGGTACTTCTCACTCTCCAAAATCTGACTGTCAGAGCTCAGGAACCAGCAGTGCCAGGGACACCCCTCCTTAGGTGAACCTCCCACTCTCTGAACCCTCAGGAACCAAACAGACTGAAGCAAGTTGCTTGCTTTTGTTGCCTGAACTCACCGTCCAAATTCTCACTCTCTGAATTTAGGACCTGAAGAGATGACAGCAAGGGACACTGTGTATTAAACTAACTCAGCTGTAACCAAAGCATCTGTCGACATAGTTCCACTGCAGCTTCCTCACAGCAGAACAACAGGGACCAAATTCTCACACAGCAACCCCCAAAGGCATTCTGGGACAGGCAGCATCCTTCAGAGGCTCACATTCTGGTCAGATAAGTTCGATAATGCGTCCGTGTTGAATGCAGCAGATGTAACCCTTCCAGCAGATTCACAAGGCCCACCAGCCCAAGCTGGGCTTCACAAATGCGAAGGTCTCTTTGCTGCAAGACTTTCTAGAGCTAAAATCTATTTGAACATACACCCTTTGTTCAAATAGCCCTTAATATCCGATGTATCTTGTATGCTTCCAAACACACCCTTGGAAATCCAGATTTGGGGTGCATATGCAGATTCGTGGGTTTTAACTAGCACTTTGTCCTAAGACATAAGCCTGCAGTCACCACAAACCAGGTCTGCAGAGGGGTCCAGTTATCTGAATTTTCAAGATGTTTCCCTGGTGATTCTAAGGTATAGCTCTGGTTAAGAAGAAATGTTATCTGTGACATTTTGTGCACAACAAGGACGTAAAGAAAATGAGTGCGTGTGGAGGCCGTTTGTGGGACTTCAGACACGTAACATATAACAGTGATAGAGTGAGATCCAGAATCTCTTGCCCTGAAAGGCAAAGGTCTTTTTTAAAAACAAGTTGGCCCAGCATGGTGGCTCACCCCTGTAATCCCAGCACTTTGGGAGGCTGAGGTGGGCGGATCACCTGAGGTCAAAGTTCGAGACCAGCCTGACCAACATGGAGAAACCCCATCTCTATTAAAAATACAAAATTAGCCTGGCGTGGTGGCGCATGCCTATAATCCCAGTTACTCGGGAGGTTGAGGCAGGAGAATCACTTGAACCTGGGAAGCGGAGATTGCGGTGAGCTGAGATCACGCCATTGCACTCCAGCCTAGGCAATGAGAATGAAACCCCGTCTCGAAATAAATAAATAAATAAATAAATAAATGAGTTTTTCTTAAGGTTTGAACAAACTTCTGGGTTTTTGGGTAAGGGAGGTGGGTTAGGGTTTCTGGGTCTCATTGCTAAGCTCCGAGATTCATTAGAACGAAAGCAGCAAGGCTCACCTACCCACACAGTCCACAGGAGACCCTCGCAGGGGAAAACCCTGATTCTAGACGTAGGTGGCACTTTCCTTAGTAACGTGACCAAGTGCACTTGATAGAGTGGTCCTGTTAGCAGCAGTGAATCCATATGATCTGAGACAACTCAATTCTTGCCTCCTTAGAAGAATTTGACTAAGGGGCATAAGGTAGAGGGAGAGACTGAGGCAAGTTTTATAGCAGGAGCCAAAGTTTATTAAAAAGTTTTAAGGCAGGGGCCAGGTGCGGTGGCTCACACCTGGAATCCCAGTACTTTGGAAGGCCAAGGCAGGAGGATTGCTTTAGATCAGGAGTTTGAAACCAGCTAGGACAACATAGCAAGACACTGTCTCTATTTTTTTTTTTTTTAAGTTTTAGAGCAGGAATGGAAGGAAGTAACATACACTTGGAAGAGGGCCAAGTGGGCAACTGGAAAGATTCAAGAGCACAGTTTGACCTTTGACTGAGGTTTTACACGTTGGCATGCTTCCAGGGAACTGCATCTCTCCTCTTCTGCTTCTTCCTTTGGGGTGAGCTGTCCGCATGCCCAGTGGCCTAAGCTCTTGGGAGGGGCCGCATGCACGGTGTGTTTACCAGAGCTGTGGCTGTGCGCATGCTCACTTGAGTCGTTTGGTCACCGACCGGTTAAATGCTATATTGCTTCTTAATGCACATACTTGAGCCCACCTGCCAACTCCTGAGATCTTATCGGGAAGCTGCTGATCACCAGTTTCAGGTTTTTCTATCTATTGGGAGACTGCCTTTTCTTGGTACTGCCTGCAATCAATTATTATTTTAGAGAGAGACAGTGTAACAACCACCTGACCCTCACCTGCTGGTCGCCTGACATTCCTGGTGGGGGCTCTCCCGCCCTGCTCCTGTCTGCCTAACTACCTGCTCTAACAGTCCAGTGGGAGGAGGTTGGTCCTAAGCCCACTAGCTGCTAGGGTAAATAACACGGTCTCTCTTTTTTTTTTTTTTTTTTTTGAGATGGAGTCTCACTCTGTCACCAGGATGGAGTGCAGTGGTGTGATCTCTGCTCCTCACTGCAACCTCCGCCTCCCAGGTTCAAGAGATTCTCCTGCCGTAGCCTCCTGAGTAGCTGGGACTACAGGCACATGCCACCATACCTGGCTAATTTTTGTACTTTTAGTAGAGATGGGGTTTCACAGTGTTGGCCAGGATGGTCTCGATCTCCTGACCTCGTGATCCACCCGCCTCGGCCTTGCAAAGTGCTGGGATTACAGGTGTGAGCCACCACGCCCGGCCAACATGGTCTCTTTTGGTCTCTGTGTCCTCTTCTGTAAAATGGTGACAGTTCCTGCCCTGCTCACCTTGAATAAGAACTTTGAGGATAAATACATTACTGAAGGTAAAAATGCATTATAAACTCTAAAAATACTACATACATGAGAGCTGATTTTGATTGCTTAAGGTGCAAATAAGCCCAGGCTGACTGAAGATGATGAGGTGACCCTGATGGCCGAACCTTTACGAATCCTTTCCTTATTAGCAAGTTGACTTAGTGGGAGCTTTGTTTCCTCAGATTCTGTGGCTAGAAAGACCCCTTATTTTCCTGCTGCCAGGGTCATCTGTCTAGAACATAAATCTGACCGTGTCACTCCCGCTCCTTCTTGTCAGATCTCAGACCAAGTGTCAGCTCCATAGAGAGGCTTTCTGCTGTCCTCCATCTGCAACTGCAGACCTTTCTTATACCCGAGAGACACTGCAGACTCCCTCCTGACAGGCACCATGACATCAGATGGCTTTATTTATTTCTTTTTCATCTCTCCCCTCTCAAGAGAAGGCAATCTCTCTGAAAGAAGGTAAGGAGATGTTTATGTTATTAACCACTCTTTCTAGGAAGGGCTAGATCAATGCTGTGCAGGTACCTGATGCTGAGAGAAAGAGAGAGAGAGATTGCAAGGGGAACCAGGAAACCATCAATGTTGAAGAGAGAGTTATCCTGATTTCCAGGCCCTGATTCCAGGTTCTCATGAGGCCTGGCTGCTTATGGGTTCAATAAAAGCAGCAGGATCATGGGTTTTTTCCAATACATTCTCACTTTTGCTTAAAGCAAATTAAAATGGTGTGTTGTTGCCTTAACCAAATACACCCTAAGCCACATCTGCCACTAGAGAAGAGGCCTGTGGCTGGCAGGGACTGTTTTCTGCTCACTCATTGTGAGTCCCCAGGGCCTGGCACAGTGATGGGCAAGGAAACACCTGTGAATGGGTAGAGTTTATCTTTATCTCTGCACTGCACAAAAGCTCAGTTCTCATTTT
The DNA here is from genome assembly GCF_000001405.40 of Homo sapiens. Classification (NCBI taxonomy): domain Eukaryota; kingdom Metazoa; phylum Chordata; class Mammalia; order Primates; family Hominidae; genus Homo; species Homo sapiens. The sequence goes on from NC_000019.10 coordinate 28,487,244, forward strand.
CCATTTACAATGTTCCAAAGTTTTCCAACATAATTCCACAGGTCAGAGGTTACAAACTGACTACCCAGCTGTTGAATTAGCCCATAGGCTTTTTTTTTTTTTTTTTTTTTTTTTTTTTTAAGACTGGGTTTTGCTCTCGTTGCCTAGGCTGGAGTGCAATGGAGTAATCTTGGTTCACTGCAACCTCTGCCTCCTGGGTTCAAGCGATTCTCCTGCCTCAGCCTCCTGAGTAGCTGGGATTACAGGCACACATGACCACGCCCAGCTAATTTTTAGTATTTTTAGTAGAGACAGGGTTTCACCATGTTGGGCCAGGCTGGTCTCGAACTCCTGACCTCAGGTGATCCACCCGCCTTGGCCTCCCAAAGTGTTGGGATTACAGGCATGAGCCATTGCACCCGGCCTTGTTTTGTTTTTTAAAACATTGTTTTTACCTGGACAGTTTTTGAAGAAAGAAAAGAAGGAAGCAAAGAAAGAAGAAGAAAAGGAGGGAGGAAGAAAAGAAGGAAGCCAACATTTTAAAATGGAGTGAGTTCACATGAAAATCAACATTACCAGCCCCTCTTTAAAAACTCGAATATTTTACAGCACTAAGCTCTAAAAGACCTTTCTACTTTTACATCTTATTTTTGATGGTTCAGAAGAAAGCAATCTGTTCTTGCATTTAAGGTAATAAAATCTGAGACCCCAGATTCCTAAAGGGAAATGAGTACAAACAGAAAGCTTACAAATGTGTTTTCCCTTTCTCTCTCTCCTATTATCTGTCCCAACAAGAAAACCCTGCCCCTTCCAGGGACAGATGCTGCAGGATTATAGAACAGTGGCTCAGCTGCGGACTCTGCCAGCATCCCTGCAAGAAATGCCTCTAAGTCCCCACAGTTGCAGCCACATCTTCTGCTGACTGGAGTCACCTGTGAAGCTGATCTGCATATGGCTTCTGGCCTTGTTTGTTGAGAAACCTGCTAAAACAAATGCAAGTGTCGGGAGCGGCTCATTAAAGTTTTTGCGCTGCTCTGCAGCACGGCCCTCACTTCCTGAAACTCTCATACCTCTCAGAGACTTCGGGTTTTTTTCTTTCTGAAAGTCTCAATCCTGGTGCCCCAGGGACAGCAGAAAAGCCCCTCAGAGCCCCCCAAACAGGGCATGGCCCACCAAAGGCCATGGCAGTATCCACCCATTGTTAGAACACACTTTCCTTTTTTTTGATGTGGTTTTCACTGGGAAAAGATGGGATGTGGTGGCGAAGAGACCAATAAACAAAAAGTTAAACACTTAAGTATACAATGGTTTTCTGAAAAATAAGGAGAGAGAGCATGCAAAAATGTTACTTTCAACAACTGGAAAAAAGCTCTGAAAGTCCATGCGTCGGGCAGTAGCCAAATCCATGTTCCATCTTAAGTAGGTTTCCCTCCCTCCCTGCCTCCCTCCTATCCTTCCTCCTCCCTCTCTTCCTTCCCTTTCTTTTCTTTCTCTCTTTCTTCTTTCCTTCCTTCTTTGTAAAATCTTGCCAGGTGCAGTGGTTCATGCCTCTCCCAGCATTTTGGAAGGCTGAGGCAGGAGGATTGCTTGAGTCCAGGAGTTCAAGGTCAACCTGGGCAATATAGTGAGACCTCATTTCCACCAAAAAAAATAAAAAATAAAAATTAGCTTGGTGTGGTGACACATGAATAGGAGGCTGAGTAGGAGGCTGAGGTGGGAAGATCATTTGACCCCAGGAGGTTGAGGCTGCAGTGAGCTAGGATTGTGCCACTGCACTCCAGCCTGGGCAACAGAGCAAGAGACCCTGTCTTAAAAAAATACATCATAAATAAAATCTGTCCCGAAACTATCCTGACTTTCATCCTCCCCAGATTGGGCTTTGTCTTCGGAGCCTCCATCCCCAGATTTCTCGGCCCAGAGCTTGCAGATGTTTTCTTTGCTGCAGGCTCAAAGTGCATTTTGTGATACATGGCTGTCTCAGGCCAGGTTCCCCCAGGAGCAGACACAGAGACAGGGGACTGAGAGCAACAACTGGCTGGGAGGTGGCCCAGCACCTCATCGTAGAAGAGTGTGGGAATGAGACAGGGACAGAAGGCAGCCAGCGGAGGGCAGGCTGTCACACAGGTCACCACTGTGGCCCCTAGAGTCCAAGCCCTGAAGAATCCTGGGAGCCTGTGGAGCAGGGGGAGCTGGGGTCTGTGTTTTCCAGCCCCATCCACCAGCAGCTGAGGGCTGATGCCACGCCTTTTCCCTCCCAGCACTTCTGGCTGGTCCCAAGCATGTGAGCCTGCAGCAGAGTGAGGTCAAAAGGCTCGCCTAGAACCCCAATCAGGGCGCCGCAGCACCTGCTCCAACTTGTCCAGCCCCGGGCCCACCTCAGTTAACAGAGCAGTCCCTCTTCCAGCCAGGAGGCCCTTGTGGCGAGGAGAATGTAGAGGTGGAGCACATGGAGGCAATGTACTTGTCTGGGACAATCATTTCCTTACTCTTATCACAACAAAGCCATTCCTTCACTGTACTTTAGAGACCTCTGTCTCCTCATGCCCCAAAGATGTTCAGCTGGGGTTCTCCTCAAGGAGACAGAAAGCAATGGACCTTAGATTCTGCGCCAGCTGCTCTCTTCTCCGCCAGGGTTTACTTGGGCACTGGCATGTTGAAATGCTGCGGTTTCCAAGCCAAAGGGCTTTTCTCTCCCGGCAGGCCTTTCCAGCTTCCTCGGCTGCGCGGTTCTTCCTTTGTGGCAGGAAGGCTGGGACTTACGGTGGGGTTAATTCTGATCGTGTATCACTGGAACATTCTTTCATTCATGTGCTAGTGTTCACAGCTCACTGTTGCTTCAAAGAAGCTCAGTGCGTGAGTATTTGATATTTTCTTTATCGAGATGCTCAGTTCTCTGAGTCGCTAGAGCGTCTCCCTTTACATCCAAATTCCAGCCCCACCACAGTTCTCTCCCTCTTCACAGCCACTGCCCTCTCATCTGTCAGTCACTCAGCTCTCATCAGAGTAAAAGAACAGCCCTGGGGCTGCCACAAAAAGGGCTCTTCACTGGAGCCCAGCCAGCAGATCCCAACTCCAAGTCCCTGGAATTAGACTCAGCTCAGTGGCCAGGCTAAGCCCCAGCTTGTGCCGGTGACAAATGAGCGCTGGGCAGAGCAGGCCAGGAGGGCTCCACTGTTGCTTGAAAGAAACTCCGATGAGGTGAGAATGATGGAAAAGCAAAAGAATGCCGTGCAATGCGTGTGTGCATAACAGCCCTCTCTGGGAGGAATCAACAGGGCTGGGTTACCAATTAGATGTGGAGGGCGAGGGAGACCTCAGACCCCTGGCTTGGATGAGGGGAGTGTGGGGAAGCAACAACAAAAACAGGGACTGGAGGGCAGGCAGCCTGTGGGGGCTGGATGGTGTGGGAGGGGCAGGGGAAGGCTGCTCAACAGACCCGTGCCATCTTTCATTCCACCGATGCCCTCCATGTGCTCTACGGTGTGCTGGAAACACAACAGGAAGCCTCACAAAGTATTTGTCTTTATGGAGCTGACATGCTGCTGTAAGAAGTCACAAAATAAACAAGATGCTAATAAGTCAACAAGATACTTTCACAGAGTCCCTTGGTTTGGTTGTCTTTGTGGCAATAAGACAGAGAGAGAGAAAGAAA